>NC_000002.12:217489618-218114618 GCF_000001405.40 Homo sapiens | reverse complement strand
CATTTTAAAGGCATAGGTTCTGGAGGCTTAACAATGGCCACCATCAAAATATCCTAAACCTTGGCAGGAACTTTGTCTTTCCACTTGAAGCAGTTCCTTTAAACATTGCAAATTTTTTCCTAGTCTTATACCATGGATGTACACCACTTTATACATCATATGTTGACTTGACAGCTATATAGTTGTTCTGGAATTAGAATTTGTGCTCCCCATTGTTGTAATAAATCTCTCTCCCATAAATTTATAGGTACAGAAGTTATAATTGGTTGAATAGTCCTAGGTTGTCCATGGGGCCCTTCACAATGCAAAATATAGCTGCTTTGATATACTTCAGGGGCTTTACCAACTCCAACTATGTTAAATTGAGCAGGTTGAATTGGTCATGTGGATGGCCAGTACTGTAGAGAAATGATTGAAAGGTCCACTCCTGTATCTACCAAACCTCTAAGTTTCTTTTCCTGAATAGTTATTTCACAGGTAGGATGTTTATCAGTAATTTGATTTACCCAATAAGCTGCTTTGCCTTGTTTATTTGTGCTTCCAAATCCTCCTGTTCATTTAATTTCACTTTTCCCCATTCCCACATATGGCACAATCAGGAGCTGTGCTATGCACTGTCCTGGCTCTGCTTTCCAGGGAACAGAAGCAGATATAACAATTTGAGTTTCCCCATTGTAGTCTGAATCAATGACTCCTGTATGTATTTGTACCCCTTTTAAATTCAAACTAGACCTGCCTAGAAGTAATCCTATCGTCCCCACTGGCAAGGGTCCACAGACTGGGACCTTTTGCAGGGGTTCACCAGGCAGAAGGCTCACAGCTTTTGTGCAGCATAAATCTACTGTGGCACTACCAGCTGTGTCAGGGGACAAACATTGTACAGGGGTGAGGGAATGGCCTGAGCTGGAAATGCCCTGATTTGGAATGGGGCCTGGGATGGGCCCTTCATGGCCTTTCCCAAAATCAGGTTCCCATCTTTATCAAACTTAGAGTGACACTGATTAGCCCAATGTTTTCCTTTTACACATTTTGGACATATTTCAGGCTCAGCAGTTTTCTTTTCTCCCCTTTCTGGTGGCCTGACTCACTGATTTTTTCTACATTCTTTTTTAGTATGACCATGCTTCCCACAGTTAAAACAAGCTCCAGGAAACAGAGTATTTCTTTTATCCACTCTCAGTCCTGCCACTGCCTGTGCCAACAAAGTAGCTTTATGCAGATTACCTCCGATAGCATCACAGGCCTTGATATAATCAACTAAATGTGCTTTCCCAAATTTAAAAGGAAAAGGCTCAAATGTAGCTATAATATTTCCTTGTTGATCTGGGGGGTGTATTCTAACAGGGAACTGCCAAGCCTCTATATCACCCTCTTGTCTAGCTTGCCGAATTCCTGCCTGAATAGAACTGAGAGTGGTCGCTTGAGGCACTGCTCGAACAGTCACTGGGGCAACTACTTTTCACCCAGTGTCCTCTGGAAAAGAAAGATCTGGAAGGTCAGGCCACTGTTTTACTTTAAAATAATAATGAGGGGGTGCAGAAGGGTAGGGATGAACCTCTACCTCCTTTGCTGCTTTAGTTTTAGCCGGCAAACAAACCTGCTCTGTAACCTCTTCTGTTACTTCGTTATACTCGCCTTCCTCCTCATCATCAGTGTGAAAATGTTCCAAGGTGGAACAAACCAGAGCCCACACTTGTCCCATTGTTACCCTGATGCTTCTGAGCTCCTCTTCTTACTCACCATGGGGATTGCTTTAACAGTACTCAGTTGTCCTCCAGCTTAGTTCCATGTTCTCCAACCGTCGCTCCGGCGACCTTCGACCTGGATTCAAGCCCCCATGATGGACGCCACTTGCCAAGACCAGCTTGGTCAGGGAGACCCTAACCTGGTGGTGCTGGAGGAATTGAAGACACACACAGAAATATAGAGGTGTGGAGTGGGAAATCAGGGGTCTCACAGCCTTCAGAGCTGAGATCCTCGAACAGAGATTTACCCACGTATTTGTTGACAGCAAGCCAGTGATAAGCATTGTTTCTATAGATTATAGATTAACTAAAAGTATTCCTTATGGGAAACAAAGGAATGGGCCAAAATAAAGGGATGGGTTTGGCTAGTTATCTGCAGCAGGAGCATATCCTTAAGGCACAGATCACTCATGCTATTGTTTGTGGTTTAAGAATGCCTTTAAGTGGTTTTCTGCCCTGGGTGGGCCAGGTGTTCCTTGCCCTCATTCCAGTAAACCCACAACCTTCCAGTGTGGGCATCATGGCCATCATGAACATGTCACAGTGCTGCAGAGATTTTGTTTATGGCCAGTTTTGGGGCCAGTTAATGGCCAGATTTTGGGGGGCCTGTTCCCAACAGCCAACAAATTATAGTCCAGAATTATGCCACCCAAGATGATCTCTTGGAAGTCCCCTTAGCTAATCCTGACCTTAATGTATATACCAATGGAAGTTCATTTGTGGAGAATGGGATATGAAGGGCAGGTTATGCCATAGTTAGTGATGTAACTATACCTGAAAGTAAGCCTCTTCCCCCAGGGACCAGCGCCCAGTTAGCAGAACTAGTGGCACTTACCTGAGCATTAGAATAGGGAAAGGGAAAAAGAATAAATGTATATACAGATAGCAAGTATGCTTATCTAGTAGCCCATGTTGCAATATGGAAAGAAAGGGAGTTCCTAACCTCTGGGGGAACCCCCATTAAATACCACATGGAAATTATGGAGTTATTGCATGCTGTGCAAAAACTCAAGGAGGTGGCAGTCTTACACTGCCAAAGCCATCAGAAAGGTGAAGGAGAAAAGGCAGAAGGAAACCGCTGGGCAGATGCTGAGGTCAAAATTGCTGCCAGGTGGAACCGCCCATTAGAAATACCTATGGAAGGACTCTTGATATGGAACAACCCCCTCCAAGAGATTAAGCCCCACTATTCCCTGACTGAAACAGAATGGGGACATTCATGGGGGCATAGTTTTCTCCCCTTGGGGTGGTTAATGACAGAAGTAGGAAAGGTACTTATACCCGAAGCCAGCCAGTTGAAAGTACTTAAAACCCTCCACCAAACTTTTCATATGGGTATTGAAAACACTCATTAAATGGCCAAATCCCTATTTATAGGACCAAATCTCCTCTGGACCACCTGACAGGTAGTCAAAGCCTGTGAGGTGTGCTAAAGGAATAATCCCTTGGTCCATCGTAAGGCCCCTTTGGGGGAACAAAGGATAGGTCACTATCCTGGAGAGGACTGGCAGTTAGACTTCACCCATATGCCTAAGTCAAAGGGATTTCAATACTTGTTGGTCTGTGTTGATATCTTTACAAATTGGACAGAAGCTTTCCACCTGCAAGACAGAGAAGGCTCAGGAAGTGATTAAAGTCTTAATTCATGAAATAATTCCTAGATTTGGGCTTCCCCAAAGCTTACAGAGTGACAATGGTCCAGCTTTTAAAGCCACGATAACCCAGGGAATTTCCAGGGTGCTAGGGATACAATATCACCTTCACTGTGCCTGGAGGCCACAATCCTCAGGGAAAGTCGAGAAGGCAAATGAAACACTCAAGAGGCACTCGAGGAAACTAACACAAGAAACTCATCTCCCATGGCCTACTCTTTTGCCCATGGCCTTGTTGAAAATCTGAAATTCTCCTCACAAAATGGGGCTCAGTCCATATGAAATGCTGTATGGACGACCTTTTCTCACAAATAACCTCCTACTTGATCAGGAAACGGCCAACCTGGTCAAATATATAACTTCTTTGGCAACATATTAACAAAACCTTAAAAACCTACCTGAAGGATGTCACAGAAAAAAGGGATCAGAGTTGTTTCAACCAGGAGATCTAGTGTTGGCCAAATATCTCCCCTCTACCTCCCCGTCTATGGACTCTTTGTGGGAAGGACCATACTCAGTAATCCTCTGTACCCCCACTATGGTTAAGGTGGCAGGAGTAGAATCTTGGATTCACCACACCTGAGTTAAATTTTGGATATCCTCTGAGGAACCTGCAGAACCGTCAGCTCAGGAGTCCCAAGATCGGCCAGACCAGCCTTGATACACCTGCAAACAATTGGAGGACTTGCATCTTCTATTTTGGAAGGAAACATCTGAGACAAAAAAGGCTCCTACCACTGATCCTGAAGAAAAACCCCTTCCTCCTTAAAAAAGATAAATGAAAACCTACATAATCTTTAACACCTCTCCTTGCCCCTTTAATGGAATCCTTTTACTATTTCATCATATTATTAAGCAGCATACTAACCATACTCTTTGTGATAGGACTGTATACTGTAGCTCCTTCCGGAATGAAAATAAAATAGAACACAGGGAGCCACTCAGTTTGCTCCCAACACCCCTTTCCAGCCACTCACTGGAGCAACCCTGGCAAGTACTCTAGAAATATGAAAAAATGAAAACAACAAACTCACACACCTTTTTAACATACACAACCAGTTCTGTCTACCCAGCCAAGGTATATTCTTCTTATGTGGAATGTTGACCTATATCTGCCTCCCCACTAACTGGACAGGCATCTGCACCTTAGTCTTTCTAAGTCCCAACATTAACATTGCCCCATGAAATCAGACCCTATCAGTACCCCTCAAAGCTCAAGTCCATCAGTGCAAAGCCATACAACCAATACAACTTAACCCTACTTATAGGGTTAGGAATGGTTACTGCTACAGGAACTGGAATAGCCAGTTTATCTACTTCATTATCCTACTACCACACACTCTCAAAGAATTTCTCAGACAGTTTACAAGAAATAACAAAATCTATCCTTACTCTACAATCCCAAATAGACTCTTTGGCAACAGTGACTCTCCAAAACCACCGAGGCCTAGACCTCCTCACTGCTGAGAAAGGAGGACTCTGCACCTTCTTAGGGGAAGAGTGTTGTTTTTACACTAACCAGTCAAGGATAGTATGAGATGCTGCTCAGGATTTACAGGAAAAGGCTTCTGAAATCAGAGGATGCCTTTCAAACTCTTATACCAACCTCTAAAGTTGGGCAACATGGCTTCTCCCCTTTCTAGGTCTGGTGGCAACCATCTTGCTATTACTCGTCTTTGGGCCCTGTATTTTTAACCTCCTTGTCAAATTTGTTTCCTCTAGAATCGAAGCCATCAAGCTACAGATGGTCTTATAAGTGGAACCCCAAATGAGCTCAACTAACAACTTCTACCGAGGACCTCTGGACCAACCTGCTGGCTCTTTCACTGGCCTAAAGAGTTCCCCTCTGGAGGACACTACAACTGCAGGGCCCCTTCTTCTCCCCTATCCAGCAGGAAGTAGCTAGAGTGGTCATTGCCCAATTCCCACAGCAGTTGCAGTGTCCTGTTTAGAGGGGGGATTGAGAGGTGAAGCTAGCTGGGCTTTTGGGTTGGGTGGGGACTTGGAGAACTTTTCTGTCTAGCTAAAGGATTACAAACACACCAAACAGCACTCTGTGTCTAGCTAAAGGTCTGTAAACGCACCAATCAGCACTCTGTAAAAATGCACCTATAATCGCTCCTTGTCTAGCTAAAGGTTTGTAAACGCACCAATCAGCAATCTGTAAAAATGCACCAATCAGCACTCTGTAAAACGGACCAATCAGCACTCTGTAAAATGGACCAATCAGCGCTCTGTAAAATGGACCAATCAGCAGGACATGGGCGAGGCCAAACAAGGAAATAAAAGCTGGCCACTTGAGCCAGCAGCGATAACCCACTCTGGTCCCTTTCCACCCTGTGGAAGCTTTGTTCTTTTGCTCTTCACAGTAAATCTTGCTGCTGCTCACTTTTTGGGTCCCCACTAGCTTTATGAGCTGTAACATTCACTGCAAAGGTCTGCGGCTTCACTCCTGAAGTCAGCAAGACCATGAACCCACTGGGAGGAACAAACAACTCCAGACATGCCACCTTTAAGAGCTGTAACACTCGGGGGGAGGTTCCAAGATGGCTGAATAGGAATAGCTCCAGTCTGCAGCTCCCAGCGTGAGCGACACAGAAGATGGGTGATTTCTGCATGTCCAACTGAGGTACCAGCTTCATCTCACTGGGGCTTGTCAGACAGTGGGTGCAGCCCATGGAACAGGGCAGGACATCACCTCACCCGGGAAGCGCAAGGGGTCAGGGAATTCCCTTTCCTAGCAAAGGGAAGCCATGACAGATGGTACCTGGAAAATTGGGACACTTCCACCCTAATACTGAGGTTTTCCAGTGGCCTTAGCAAACGGCACACCAGGAGATTGTATCCCGTGCCTGGCTTGGAGGGCCCCAAACCCATGGAGCCTCACTCACTGCTAGCACAGCAGTCTGAGATCGAACTGCAAGGCAGCAGCGAGGCTGGGGTAGGGATGTCTGCCATTGCTGAGGCTTGAGTAGGTAAACAAAGCAGCTGGGAAGCTCAAACTGGGTGGAGCCCACTGCAGCTCAAGGAGGCCTGCCTGCCTCTGTAGACTCCACCTCTGGGGGCAGGGCACAGCTGAACAAAAGACAGCAGAAACTTCTGCAGACTTAAACGTCCCTGTGTGACAGCTTTGAAGAGAGTAGTGCTTCTCCCAGCATGGAGTTTGAGATCTGAGAATGTACAGACTGCTTCCTCAAGTGGGTCCCTGACCCCCGAGTAGCCTAACTGGGAGACACCTCCCAGTAGGGGCCGATTGACACCTCATACAGCCGGGTGCCCCTCTGAGATGAAGCTTCCAGAAGAAGGATCAGCAGACAGCAACATTTGCCGTTCTGCAATATTTGCTGTTTTGCACCCTCCACTGGTGATACCCAGGCAAACAGGGTCTGGAGTGGACCTCCAGCAAACTCCAACAGACCTGAAGCTGAGGGTCCTGACTGTTAGAAGGAAAACTAACAAACGGAAAGGACATCCACACCAAAACCCCATCTGTACATCACCATCATCAAAGACCAAAGGTAGATAAAAACCACAAAGATGGGGAGAAACCAGAGCAGAAAAACTGAAAATTATAAAAATGAGAGTGCCTCTTCTCCTCCAGAGGAATGCAGCTCCTTGCCAGGAATGGAACAAAGTTGGATGGAGAATGACTTTGACGAGTTGAGAGAAGAAGGCTTCAGACAATCGGTAATAACAAATTTCTCTGAGCTAAAGGAAGATGTTGGAACCCATCACAAAGAAGCTAAAAACCTTGAAAAAAGATGAGACGAATGACTAACTAGAATAAACAGTGTAGAGAAGTCCTTAAATGACCTGATGGAGCTGAAAACCATGGCACAAGAACTACGTGATGCATGCACAAACTTCAGTAGCCAATTTGATCAAGTGGAAGAAAGGGTATCAGTGATTGAAGATCAAATGAATGAAATGAAGTGAGAAGAGAAGTTTAGAGAAAAAAGAGTAAAAAGAAATGAACAAAGCCTCCAAAAAATATGGGACTATGTGAAAAGACCAAATCTACATCTGATTGGTGTACCTTAAAGTGACGAGGAGAATCAAACCAAGTTGGAAAACACTCTTCATGATATTACCCAGGAGAACTTCCCCAACTAGAAAGGCAGGCCAACATTCAAATTCAGGAAATACAGAGAACGCCACAAAGATACTCCTCAAGAAGAGCAACTCCAAGACACATAATTGTCAGATTCGCCAAAGTTGAAATGAAGGAAAAAATGTTAAGGGCAGCCAGAGAGAAAGGTCAGGTTACCCACAAAGGGAAGCCCTTCAGACTAACAGTGGATCTCTCAGCAGAAACTCTACAAGCCAGAAGGGAGTGGGGGCTAATATTCAACATTCTTAAAGAAAAGAATTTTCAATCCAGAATTTCATATCCAGCCAAACTAAGCTTCATAAGTGAAGCAGAAATAAAATCCTTTACAGACAAACAAATGCTGAGAGATTTTGTCACCACCAGGCCTGCCTTACAAGAGCTCCTGAAGGAAGCACTAAACATGGAAAGGAACAACCGGTACCAGCCACTGCAAAAGCATGCCAAATTGTAAAGACCATCGAGGCTAGGAAGAAACTGCATCAACTAATGAGCAAAATAACCAGCTAACATCATAATGACAGGATCAAATTCACACATAACAATATTAACCTTAAATGTAAATGGGCTAAATCCTCCAATTAAAAGACACAGACTGGAAAATTGGATAAAGAATTAAGACCCATCAGTGTGCTGTATTCAGGAGACCCATCTCACGTGCAGAGACACACATAGGCTCAAAATAAAGGGATGGAGGAAGATCTACCAAGCAAATGGAAAACAAGAAAAAAGCAGGGGTTGCAATCCTAGTCTCTGATAAACAGACTTTATACCAACAAAGATTGAAAGAGACAAAGAAGGCCATAACATATTGGTAAAGGGATCAATTCAACAAGAAGAGCTAACTATCCTAGATATATATGCACCCAGTACAAGAGCACCCAGATTCATAAAGCAAGTCCTTAGAGACCTACAAAGAGACTTAGACTCCCACACAATAATAATGGGAGACTTTAACACCCCAATGTCAACATTAGACAGATCAATGAGACAGAAAGTTAACAAGTATATCCAGGAATTGAACTCAGCTCTGCACCAAGCAGACCTAATAGACATCTACAGAACTCTCCACCCCAAATCAACAGAATATATATTCTTCTTAGCACCACATCGCACTTATTCCAAAATTGACCACATATTTGGAAGTAAAGCACTCCTCAGCAAATGTAAAAGAACAGAAATTATAACAAAGTGTCTCTCAGACCACAGTGCAATCAAACTAGAACTCAGGATTAAGAAACGCACTCAAAACTGCTCAACTACATGGAAACTGAGCAACTTGCTCCTGAATGACTACTGGGTACATAATGAAATGAAGGTAGAAATAAAGATGTTTTTTGAAACCAATGAGAAAAAGACACAACATACCAGAATCTCTGTGACACATTTAAAGCCGTGTGCAGAGGGAAATTTATAGCACTAAATGCCCACAAGAGAAAGCAGGAAAGAACTAAAATTGACACCCTAACATTACAACTAAAAGAACTAGAGAAGCAAGAGCAAACACATTCGAAAGCTAGCAGAAGGCAAGAAATAACTAAGATCAGAGCAGAATTGAAGGAGACAGAGACACAAAAAAACCCTTCAAAAAAATCAATGAATCCAGGAGCTGGTTTTTTGAAAAGATCAACAAAATTGATAGACTGCTAGCAAGACTAATAAAGAAGAAAAGAGAGAAGAATCAAATAGATGCAATAAAAAATGATAAAGGGAATATCACCACTGATCCCACAGAAATACAAACTACCATCAGAGAATACTGCAAACACCTCTACACAAACAAACTAGAAAATCTAGAAGAAATGGATAAATTCCTCAACACATACATCCTCCCAAGACTAAACCAGGAAGAAGTTGAATCTCTGAATAGATCAATAACAGGTTCTGAAATTGAGGCAATAATTAATAGCCTACCAACCAAAAAAAGTTCAGGACCAGACAGATTCACTGCCAAATTCTACCAGAGGTACAAAGAGGAGCTGGTACCATTCCTTCTGAAACTATTCCAATCAATAGAAAAAGAGGGAATCCCCCCTAATTCATTTTATGAGGCCAGTATCATCCTGATACCAAAGCCTGGCAGAGACACAACAAAAAAAGAGAATTTTAGATCAATATCCATGATGAATATTGATGCAAAAATCCTCAACAAAATACAGGCAAACCGAATCCAGCAGCACATCAAAAAGCTTATCCACCACAATCAAGTTGGCTTCATCCCTGAGATGCAAGGCTGGTTCAACATATGCAAACCAATAAATGTAATCCATCATATAAACAGAACCAAAGATAAAAACCACATGATTATCTCAATAGATGCAGAAAAGGCCTTCAACAAAATTCAATAGCCTTCATGCTAAAAACTCTCAATAAACTAGGTATTGATGGGATGTATCTCAAAATAATAAGAGCTAGTTAGGACAAACCCACAGCCAATATCATACTGAATAGGCAAAAACTGGAAGCATTCCCTTTGAAAACTGGCACAAGACAGGGATGCCCTCTCTCACCACTCCTATTCAACATAGTGTTGGAAGTTCTGGCCAGGTCAATCAGGCAAGAGAAAGAGGAAGTCAAATTGTCCCTGTTTGCAGATGACATGATTGTATATTTAGAAAACCCCATCATCTCAGCCCAAAATCTCCTTAAGCTGATAAGCAACTTCAGCAAAGTCTCAGGATACAAAATCAATGTGCAAAAATCACAAGCATTCCTATATACCATTAACAGACAAACAGAGAGCCAAATCATGAGTGAACTCCTTCACAATTGCTACAAAGAGAATAAAATACCTAGGAATCCAACTTACAAGGGATGTGAAGGACCTCTTTAAGGAGAACTATAACCCACTGCTCAATGAGATAAAAGAGGACACAAACAAATGGAAGAACATTCCATGTTTATGGATAGGAAGAATCAATATTGTGAAAATGGCCATGCTGCCCAAGGTAATTTATAGATTCAATGCCATCCCCATCAAGCTACCAATGACTTTCTTCACAGAACTGGAAAAAACTACTTTAAAGTTCATATGGAACCAAAAAAGAGCCCGCATTGCCAAGATAATCCTAAGCCAAAAGAACAAAGCTGGAGGCATCACGCTACCTGACTTCAAGCTATACTACAAGGCTATAGTAACCAAATCAGCATGGTACTGGTACCAAAACAGAGATATAGACCAATGGAACAGAATAGAGCCCCCGGAAATAATACCACACATCTACAACTATCTGATCTTTGACAAACCTGACAAAAACAAGAAATGGGGAAAGGATTCCCTATTTAATAAATGGTGCTGGGAAAACTGGCTAGCCATATGTAGAAAGCTGGAACTGGATCCCTTCCTTACATCTTATACAAAAATTAATTCAAGATGGATTAAAGACTTAAATATTACACCTAAAATCATAAAAACCCTAGAAGAAAACCTAGGTAATACCGTTCAGGACATAGGCATGGGCAAGGACTTCATGTCTAAAACACCAAAAGCAATGGCAACAAAAGCCAAAATTGACAAATGGGATCTAATTAAACCAAAGAGCTTCTGCACAGCAAAAGAAACTACCATCAGAGTGAACAGGCAACCTACAGAGTGGGAGAAAATTTTTGCTTTCTACCCATCTGACAAAGGGCTAATATCCAGAATCTACAAAGAACTTAAACAAATGTAGAAGAAAAATCAAATAACCCCATCAAAAGTGGGCAAAGGATATGAACAGACACTTCTCAAAAGAAGACATTTATGCAGCCAACAGACCCATGAAAAAATGCTCATTATCACTGGCCATCAGAGAAATGAAAATCTAAACCACAGCGAGATACTATTTCACACCAGTTAGAATGGCGATCATTAAAAAGTCAGGAAACAACAGGTGCTGGAGAGGATGTGGAGAAATAGGAACACTTTTACACTGTTGGTCGTACTGTAAATTTGTTCAACGATTGTGGAAAACAGTGTGGCAATTCCTCAAGGATCTAGAACTAGAAATACCATTTGACCCAGCCATCCCATTACTGGGTATATACTCAAAGGATTATAAATCATGCTGCTATAAAGACACATGCACACATATGTTTATTGCAGCACTATTCACAATAGTAAAGACTTGGAACCAAACCAAATGTCTGTCAATGATAGACTGGATGAAGAAAATGTGGCACATATACGCCATGGAATATTATGCAGCCATAAAAAGGATGAGATCACGTCCTTTGTAGGGACATGGATGAAGCTGGAAACCATCATTCTGAGCAAACTATTTCAAGGTTCTCACTTATAGGTGGGAATTGAACAATGAGAACACTTGGACACAGGGTGGGGAACATCACACACTGGGGCCTGTCATGGGGTGGGGGGAGGGAAGAGGGATAGCATTAGGAGATACACCTAATGTAAATGATGAGTTAATGGGTGCAGCACACCAACATGGTACATGTATACATATGCAACAAACCTGCACATTGTGCACATGTACCCTAGAACTTAAAGTATAATTAAAAAAAAAAGAAATTAGTCTTACAGGAGTCATGGACCACATAGAAATCCAGAGAGGTGATAGGGAGACAGAGTTACTACAGCCTTTGGTCTCTTAGTGACTAGAAGGAGCTGAGCTAATTTCTACATGGAATAATACCACAGCCAAGAAGATCTTAGCTTGTAAAACCACATTCCCTATAAGTAACAAGCATAATAAGCAAAAAGGCACCATCTAAATGTAGAATCAAAAAGAACCATGTAAACACACTGAGATAGTATCCTAGGTGTTTCTGCCATAGTCAATAGTTATGTAAACCAGAATCCCAAATCTACCAAAGGAATTACAGGATTCTGTTTGTTGGATGGTATAAGATAAGGGGGTATTCTCATAACAAGGAGGCACCGGGATGGCTCAGAGAGAATGGAATTAAATGAACAGAAATGTAGACAATAGCTCAGAAGTTAGTTTTCTTCCTTAACATCACTATACTACAAATTTCTTATTGCCTCTACTTTTGTAACAAAACATATCCATTCTTTAGGACAGTGATTTTTGGACTCTCTTTTTAAAGTAAGTAAACACTTTCTTTGAAGATATTTTTAAAGATAACTCATGTGAAATCCTACTTTGTAAAATTAGTAAAAGTGGATCTTTTCTGGTTGAAGTTGATTCTCATAGCAAAGGGCTCTGCCTCTTTGACCATCCTCCTTTCTCCCCATCCATCTGGCTGCCTCCTGCATTCCTCCAAATCCAAGCCCCTTTTAAAACTTTTTGAATCAGAGAACACTGTTTGAAGGTGCTTCTTTAATTAACGTCTTCAGAATTGTTTTTGTATATTGGTTATTCAGACATTTGAGAATTTCTACTTCCAACCTGAAAGTATGTATGCAGAAATGAATGTTATGATGAAGCAACTGCCTAAGAAGTTTAATTATCGGCTGTGATTCTGACTTGTTGATTATTATACTTAAAACATAAAGTGATTTCTGGCTCTGACTTAGCTTCTTTAATCAGATGGTCACCCACACTACCTTGCCCTGAGTGTACTTCAAGGCTGCAAGTCATTTTCTTGTTTGTTTTGTTGATGTTCTGTTTTCCATATTAAAAATATTGTCTCACAGATCTGGAACCAAGCATAACTTTGATAAAATAAAACAAAATGTAAAATTAAAAAAAAAAAAGAGCTGTAACACTCACTGCGAAGGTCTGTGGCTTCACTCCTGAAGTCGGTGAGACCACGAACCCACCAGGAGGAACAAAAAACTCCGGACGCGCCACCTTTAAGAGCTGTAACACTCACTGCGAAGGTCTGCGGCTTCACTCCTGAAGTCAGCAAGATCACGAACCCACCGGAAGGGAGAAACTCTGGACACATCTGAACATCTGAAGGAACAAACTCCGGACACACCATCTTTAAGAACTGTAACACTCACTGCGAGTGTCCGTGGCTTCATTCTTGAAGTCAGCAAGACCAAGAACCCACCGGAAGGAACCAATTCCAGACAGAACATCCCAGTTTTAACATTGAATGTAAGTGGCCTAAATGCTCCACTTAAAAGATACAGAGTGGCAGGATTGATTTAAAAACCACCCATCAAATATCTGCTGTCTTCAAGAGACACAAATAACACATAAGTGTTCCCAGATGAATGAGGTCCGGCTGCTTGCACTTAGGGTCCAATAACAAGATGCAGACAGACTGGGAAAGAAGGGAGTTTATTTCTGTAAATGGTTACAGGGAGAAGGTTGGAGCAACTCACCAGACCAACTCAAAGTTACAAATTTTTCCCCAGTGCTTATATATATTTTACACTCTATGACTACATGTGGGAGTGCAGCTACAAGCCAGAGTGTTTCATTCAATCTATATCTAATCTTTAACTAGAGTTTGGGGTCTGGAAAACTTTCTCTAGAGCCTTGGAAAGTTTCTTAATCTTAAGTGGGCCCTGGTATGAGGTATATGTGTTAGAATGCTTTTATTATTTGATCAGACTTTAGGGTCTGAGAAAACCCAGACAAGGTCTTAATGGGTTTGTTTTTGCATTCTAGTCCTCATACTCGATGACATGGTTTGGCTCCATGTCCCTACCCAAATGTCATGTCGAATTGTAATTCCCAGTGTTGGAGGAGGGAGCTGGTGGGAGGTGATTGGATCTTGGGGGTGGATAACCCCCTTGCTGCTCTCATGATAGTGAGTGAGTTCTCATGAGATCTGGTTGTTTGAAAGTGTGTAGCCCTTCCGCCTTCACTCTCTCTCTCCTGCTTTGCCATGGTAGGACACGCTTGCTTGCCCTTCACCTTCTGCCGTGATTGTAAGTTTCCTGAGGCCTCCCAGCCATGCTTCCTGTATAGCCTGCAGAACTGTGAGTCAATGAAACCTCTTTTATTCATAAATTACCCAGTCTCAGGTAGTTCTTTATAGGAGTGTAAGAATGGACTAATACACCCAGACACTGGTTTCTCCAGTTCTTTAATATTTAACTTATGTATTCATCAAAATTATAGTAAAGGGTTAGTGGAAACTGACCTTGGCTGCTAATGAAAATCTGACCTGCTGCATAAGGACTCATAAATTCAAGGTAAAGGAAAAAAAGATATTCCACGCAAATGGAAACCAAAACCAAGCAGGTGTAGCTATTCTTATTTCTGGCAAAACAGACTTTTGATCAACAACAGTAAAAAAAGACAAAGAAGGACATTATATAATGATAAAAGAATTAGTCCAACAAGAAGATATTACAATTCTAAATTTACATCCACCTAACACTGGAGCTCCCAGATTTATAAAACATTTAGTACCTGACCTAAGAAATGAGATAGACAGCAACACAATAATAGTGGGGGACTCTGATACTCCACTCTCAGCACTAGACAGATCATCAAGACAGAAAACCAACAAAGAAACAATGGGCTTAAACTATACCCAAGTGGATTTAACAGATATTGACAGAACATTCTTTCCAACAACTGCAGAATGTACATTCTTCTCAACAGCACGTGGAACATTCTCCAAGACAAAACATATGATAGGCCACAAAACAAGTCTCAATAAATTTAAGAAAATCAAAATAGCAAGTATCTTCTCAGACCACAGCACAGTGGAATAAAACTGGAAATTAGCTCCAAAAGGAACTCTCAAACTATACAAATACATGGGAATTAAATAATCTGCTCTTGAAAGATTTTTGGGTTAGCAATGAAATCAAGATGGAAATTAAAAAATTCTTTAGTATGAATGATAATATTGACACAACTTATCAAAACCTCTGGGATACAGCAAAAGCAGCCCTAAGAGGAAATTTCATAGCGTTAAATGCTTATATCAAAAAGTTTGCAAGAGCACAAATTGACGACCTAACGTCACACCTCAAGGAACTGGAGAAACAAGAACAAACTAAACCCACGTCCAGCAGAAGAAAAGAAATAATGAAGATCAGAGAAGAACTAAATGAAATTGAAAAAACAAAAACAATATAAAAGATAAATGAAACAAAAAGCTGGTTCTTTGAAAAGATAAACCAAATTGCTAGACCATTAGCAAGATTAACCAAGAAAAGAAGAGAGAAGATCCAATAAGATCAATTAGAAATGAAACTGGAGATATTACAACCGATCACACAGAAATACAAAAAATCAATCAAGGCTACTATGAACACCTTTATGTGCACAAACTAGAAAATCTAGAGGAAATGGATAAATTCCTGGAAACATACAATCCTCCTAGGTTAAATCAGGGAAAAATAGAAACTCTGAGCAGACCAATAATAAGCAGTGAGATTGAATCAGTAATAAAAAATTGCCAACCCAAAAAAGTCCAGGAACAGATGGATTCACAGCTGATTTCTACCAGGCATTCAAAGAAGAATTGGTACCAGTCTTACTGAAACTATTCCAAAAGATAAAGAAAGAAGGAATTCCCCCCCACACCCCAATCACTGTATGAAGCCAGTGTCACCCTAATACCAAAACCAGGAAAGGACATAACAAAAAATGAAAACTATAGACCAATACCCCTGATGACTATAGATACAAAAATCCTCAATAAAATACTAGCTAACCAAATCCAACAGCACATCAAAAATATAATACATCATGATCAAATGGGTTTCATCCCAGGGATGCAGGGATGATTTAACATACACAAGTCAATAAATGTGATACATCACATAGATAGAATTAAAAAGGAAAACCATATGATCATCTCAATAGACACAAAGCATTTAATAAAATCCAGCACCCTCAACAAAATAGGCATAGAAGGGACTTAGCTCAAAGTAATAAAGCCATTATATGACAAACCCACAGCCAACATCATACTGAATGGGGAGAAGTTGAAAACATTCCCCCTGAGAACTGGAATAAGACAAGGATGCCCACGTTCACCACTCCTATTCAACATAGTACTGGAAGTCCCAGCCACAGCAATCAGACAAGAGAAAGAAATAAATGGCATCCAAATTGGAAAAGAGGAAGTCAAACTGTCACTGTTCACTGCTGATATGATCGTATACCTAAAAAACCCTAAAGACTCATCCAGAAAGCTCCTAGATCTGATAAATGAATTCAGTAAAGTCTCAGGTTATGAAATCAATGTACACAAATCAGTAGCACTGCTATCTACCAACAACGACCATGCTGAGAATCAAATCAAGAACTCAATCTCTTTTATGACAGCTGCAAAAAATAAAATAAAATACCTAGGAATACGCTTAACCAGGGAGGTGTAACATCTCTACAAAGAAAACTACAAAACACTGCTGAAAAATCATAGATTACACAAACAATTGGAAACACTCCCCATGCTCATGGATGGAAAAATTAATATTGTGAAAATGACCATACTGCCCAAAGCAATCTACAGATTCAATGCCATTCCCATCAAAATACCATCATCAGTCATCATAGAAATAGAAAAAAAATCCTGAAATTTGTATGGAACCAAAAAAGAGGCCACAAAGCCAAAGCAAAACTAAGCAAAAAGAATAAATCTGAAGACATCACCTGACTACAAATTATACTACAAGGCTACAATTACCAAACAGCATGGTACTAGTATACAAATAGGCATGTAGACTAAGGGAACAGAATAGAGAACCCAGCAATAAAGCCAAATGCAGCTATCTGACCTTTGATAAAACAAACAAAAACATAAATTGAGTAAAGGACATTTCAATAAAAGGTGCTGGGAAACCACATGTAGAAGAATGGAACCGGATCCCCATCTCCCACCATATACAAAAATCAACTCAAGATGGATCAAAGACTTTAAATCTAGGACCTGAAACCATAAACATTCTAGAAGATAACTTTGGAAAAACTCTTCTGGATATTGGCTTAGGCAAAGAATTTATGACTAAGATCCCAAAAGCAAATGCAATGAAAACAAAAATAAATAAATGGGACCTAATTAAACTAAAAGGCTCCTGCATAGCAAAAGAAATAACCAGCAGAGTAAACAGACAGCCCAGAGTGGGAGAAAATATTAGCAAACTGTGTATTCAGACAAAGGACTAGTATCCAGAATCAAGGAACTCAAATCAGCAAAATAAGCATCTGACAAAGGACTAGAATCTAGTATCTAGAATCTACAAGGAACTCAAACAAATCAGCAAGAAGAAACCAAATAATCCTGTCAAAAAGTGGGCAAAGGACATGATTACACATTTCTCAAAATAAGATATACAAACAGCCAACAAACATGAAAAAATGCTCAACATCACTAATCATCAGGGAAATGCAAATGAAAACTGGAATGAGATGCCACCTTACTCCTGCAAGAATGGCCATAATTCAAAAGTCAAAAAAACAATAGATGTTGGCATGGATGTGGTGAAAAGAGACCACTTTTACACTGCTGGTGAGAATGCAAAGTACAACCACTATGGAAAACAGTGTGGGGATTTCTTAAAGAACTAAAAGTGAAACTACCATTTGATCCAGCAATCCCACTACTGGGTATCTATCCAAGGGAAAAGAAGTCATTATGTGAAAAGCACACTTGCACACACATGTTTATAGCAGCACAATTCACAATTGCAAAGATATGGAACCGACCTAAATGCCCATCAACCAATGAGTGGATACAGAAAATGTGGTTTATATACACCTGAAGGGGTGGCCTGCCCCTCCACACCTGTGGGTATATCTCTTCAGGTGGGATGAGAGACTGAGAAAAGAAATAAGACACAGACACAAATTATAGAGAAAGAACAGTGGGCCCAGGGGACCGGCGCTCAGCATACGGAGGACCCACACCAGCACTGGTCTCTGAGTTCCCTCAGTATTTATTAATTACTATTTTCACGATCTCAGCAAGAGGAATGCGGTAGGAGAGCAGGGTGATAGTGGGGAGAAGGTCAGCAAGAAAACATGTGAGCAAATGAATCTGTGTCACAAATAAGGTTAAGGGAAGATACTATGCCTAGATGTGCACATAGGCCAGATTTATGCTTCTCTCCACCCAAACATCTCAGAATAACAGAGCAGCATTGCTGCCAACATGTCTCGCCTCCTGCCACAGGGCAGTTTTTCTCTTATCTCAGAATTGAACAAATGTACAATCGGGTTTTATACTGAGACATTCCGTTTCCAGGGGCAGGCAGGAGACAGAGGCCTTCTTCTTATCTCAACTGCAAGAGGCCTTCCTCTTTTACTAATCCTCCTCAGCACAGACCTTTCGCGGGTGTCGGGCCGGGGGACAGTGTGGTTTTTCCCATCCCATAAGGCCATATTTCAGACTATCACATGGGGAGAAATCTTGGATGATACCCGGCTTTCCAGGGCAGAGGTTCCTGCGGCTTTCTGCAGTGCATTGTGCCCCTGGTTTATCGAAACCGGAGAATGGCGATGACTTTTACCAAGCATACTGCCTGTAAACATTTTGTTAACAAGGCACATCCTACACAGCCTTAGATCCCTTAAACCTTGATTCCATACAACACATGTTTTTATAAGCTCAAGGTTGGGGCAAAGTTACAGATTAACAGCATCTCAGGACAAAACAGTTGTTCAGGGTACAGGTCAAAATGGAGTTTCTTATGTCTTCCTTTTCTACATAGACACAGTAACAGTCTGATCTCTCTTTCTTTTCCCTACATACACCATACAATACTACTCAGCCATAAAAATGAACAAAATAATGTCTTTTGCAGCAACTTGGATAGAGCTGGAAGCCGTTATTCTAAGTAAAGTAACTCAGGAATGGAAAACCAAATATCATATGTTCTCATTTATAAGTGGGGGCTAAGCTATGAGGATGCAAAGGCCTAAGAGTGATATAGCAGATTTTGGTGATGCAGGGAAGAAGGTTGGGAGGGAGGTGAGGGATAAAAGATTACATATTGGGTACAGTGTACACTGCTTGGGTGACAGGTGCATAAAAATCTCTCAGAAATCACCTCTAAAGAACTTATCCATGTAACAGAAAACCACCTGTACCCCAAAACTATTGAAACAAAAAAGAAACACACAAACACACAAAACTTTTAATATGACAAAACAAAGCATGCATATTGTAAAGAATACAAGCAATAAAAAAGCACAAAAGCATATAAAGCACAGCTGGAAAGTCTCTCTTCCGTTCCTCTGTTCACCCATATCTTTTCCTCAGATAACTACTGTCTACAACTTGGTGTGTACATTTTCCTGGAATTCTCTCTATGCAAATACAAACATGTTTTCCTTCCTTCTTTTCTTAATAAAAAAGATATATCTACTATATCATATATATGTATATATCTCACCTCAAGTGATCCTGCCATCTTAGCCTCCTGTATATCTGGGATTACAGGTGTGAGCCACTGGGCCCAGCTGAATTAGTTATTCTTATCTGTTTCCCTTTTGCTTTGGATTGTTATTTTGTTATTTTTTTTTGGCCTCAAGTGATTCTCTTGCCTCTGCCTCTCAAAGTGTTGGGATTACAGGCATGAGCCACTGCGCATGGCAAGAAATAAAATTTTTTTTTTTTTGGAGACAGAGTCTCACTCTGTTGCTCAGCCTGGAGTGCAATCTTGGCTCACTGCAACCTCTGCCTTCCAAATTCAAGCCATTCTCATGCCTCAGCCTCCCGAGTAGATGGGACTACAAGTGTTCACCACCACTCCTGGGTCATTTTTGTAATTTTAGTAGAGACAGGGTTTCACGCCATGTCGGCCAGGCTGGTCTCGAATCCCTGGCCACCCACCTCGGCCTCCCAAAGTGCTGGGACAGGCGTGAACCACCATGCCCAGCCTTGGATTGTTATTTTGTTATTGATTGATTTTGTTACTGATTTGTAGGAGCTCTTTATATAATTATGTTTTGAATATTTGTCAATTATGTTAAGATATTTTCTTCCTGCCTGCTGTATGCTTTTCATCTTTATTTATGGTGGAAAGTTACCGTTCAGGTCTTACTTGATCTCTATATCACTGAATCCCACTAACCCATTCTCCTCTATTCCCCTTGACCTCTCTTGTCTTGTTTATTGCTCTATTTCTTAACTTATTCCTCAAATATTGAGGTTCCTGAGGATTCTACTTTGGTTTTCTTCTCTTTTCACTCTACTGCCCCCTCTTGGTGAGTCCACTGGTTTTCATGGCTTCAGCTGCCATCCGACATGTGCCAGAGTCTCCCATAGCTACTGCTCCCAACAAGTGTCTCCCCTAAGCTCCAAACTCTGACATGCAATTATCTCCTTAAATCTCCCTGAGGGCCTACAGATTTTGCAAATTCAGCATGTAGAAAACTAATCTCATTGTATTTCCTGACACGTCTTTCTCCTGAGTGGTTCCTTGTTCAATCATCTGCCAAACCAGAAATGTACCTGCTCCTTACTCTTCCTCTCCTTAAGAACACTCCTGACTATCTCCTCCTCACCATCTTCACTGAGAGTGTTAGGCAATACTTTATTCTCTCTCACTTCACCTAAGGCAATGGTCATGCAAAGTTGTGGGTTCCAGACTGGGCTGTGTGAGTTAGAATCCATCTACCTAGTCCTGGACTTTGGTCAAGTGATTTAATCTCACTGGGTCTCAGTTTCATTATCTGTGAAGTGGATATAATGAGAGCAGCTCCTACATGGGGTTGTTATGTGGATTAAATGAGTCTATACTGATAAACACTTGGAATGATGCTTCGCTCTGTTAGTTGCTCCTCATCCTCCTCTTCCTCCTCTCCCCGTCCCCCTCCTCTCCTAAATGTTCTCTACCTCAAATAGTTCCCCCTTTAACCCACCCTCCAATCTACTGCCAGAACGAGCTTCCTAATATATGAATTTGATCACTTTCTTTTCCTCTTAAAATTCATCAAGGACCCTGGTTACACTCAGGTAAAGTCAGACTCCCGAGCCGGTCACCTGGTACCCTCCATCTAACTCCTGTTACTTCTCCAACCCTGTCACTTCAGTCTCCCCCCACCCCCAGTACGGAACCCTTAACTCCAGCCACAGGGAACCACCTACAGTCCCCTCAACCCCCAAGGGGCTGTTCTAGTTTCCTCTGGGGTCTTGGCATGTGTTTCCCTTTTCCCTGGGATGCTCTTTCCCACTCTTTTGGTTTGGACAACTCTCCCTTTACCTTGCAAATGTAGCCAAGGGTTTATAATTCCTCATCCATTTGGCTGCTCCTTCCCCCATGGTAAGGTTCTTGAAAGCAGTGCTTTCATATTTTTATCTTCGTATCTCCAAATCAATCATTGTTTGGCATATCATAGATGCTTAATACATTTTTGTTGAGCACTAAATGAATTGACAGGTAGGGGAAACTGATGTACATTGGAGCATCTCAGTGACATCTAATTTAAAGAAATAATTATGTTGCACCAATTACCCAGGGCATCCCCAGCCTATGAATACAGATGAAGTCACGTCAATAGCAACAACCTGGATTGTGGTGGCCATGCATTCATGCTGGGCTTCAGCCCTGTAATGTGCTCCTCAGGGACTGGGGAAGTCTATTAGGGGTGTCTCCCACATGCTTCTCTGGGCTTTGCAGTTGCTGGACATGCACCCTAGAGTCACCACTGAAGAAGGACGGGTGCACGTGCAGTGCCAGGCTCTGGGAGGTCTATGGTGATCTTTGTGGGTCTCTCTGCTTGAGAGTCCCCAAAGTCTAACAGACTTTTCTAATTTCTTTTTGGAACTCTTTTGCTCTCCATTGGACTTGGTGCAGACTCTTCAGGGGCAGTGTTGAGCTAGATGTTGGTCTTCAGCATTGCTCTTCTTTTCCCCAAACAGTGGGAGAAGGTCCAGCTCCCCCAATCCTGGCCCCTGATTCCCATCTGATGAGTTCTCTTCCAGGAGCAGCCTCCTTGCTCTGTGAAATGGGCTTCAGCCAGTCCCCCATCACCACCCCGCGAACATCCAATCAATTCATCAGGAAGGTCTGAATTTTGTGCTGGAGTTCCTGCTAGAATATGACTTCTTCTGCTATAGTAAGAATCCTGCCCTAGTAAAGACATGTGAGTAAGCCTCATTTCCAGAAAGGGACTGCTGCCCTTTAGGGTAGTGGCAATTCTATTGCTCTGATTGCTCCAGGAGCCCCCCACTTTCTCCCCTCACCCTGTTATTGTGTTTCCTAAGCAGAAGTTCTCACCAACTCTCTAGGGCAGAAACTACTGTTGCAAAACTCTTGTTCCATGTGAAGGTAATGGGATGCAATCTGGGCGGCCTAACCCCAAGAAGCCGTCCAGAGCTCTGGTCAGAGCCACAGTATTGCCCAACTGCTGTGGAGGCTCTGGCAGTGCCTGCAAGACAGAGCAGATAAGGACAGTGTGACTGCCTGTTGGGGGCCACAAAATGTGTCTTAGAACCTGTGTAGGGCAGCTAATCACCTTATCATAGAGTGTGGTCTGCACTTCTTCCAAAACAGTTATTCTCAGAAGCACCACAATCAGGCGCCTAGTGAATGACCTACCCCTTTCATAAGCCTTCTTGGACAATACAGGGATGTGATCTTATGCCACAGTACTACATAGTCCACATCAATGGTCCTTATCAAAGTCTGGCCAAATGAACACTGCACAGAGAGTGACCTAGACTCAGCCTTTCCCTCCAGGTACTCTCAACTTGAGATCAATAAAGAACTATAGCGGTTGGTAGGAAAGGACAGAGAGGTCCAAGTTCTGTGTCTGTGCCTCTTTCCTGCCCTCCAAATGCAGGAGTCCTGGTGGGAGTGGGGTGGGGGCAACAGAAACTCTCACATGCTGCTGGTGGGAAGGGCAAGTGTACAACCTCTTTGGGCAATAGTTTGGCAGTTCCTTAAAAGTTAAACATGGCCAGGCGCGGTGGCTCATGCCTATAATCCCAGCACTTTGGGAGGCTGAGGCGGGCTGATTACGAGGTCAGGAGATCGAGACCATGCTGGCTAACATGGGGAAACCCCGTCTCTACTAAAAATACAAAAAATTAGCCGGGCGTGGTGGCGGCCGCCTGTAGTCCCAGCTACTTGGGAGGCTGAGGCAGGAGAATGGCGAGAACCCAGGAGGCGGAGCTTGCAGTGAGATGAAATCACACCACTGCACTCCAGCCTGGGTGACAGAGCGAGACTCCGTCTCAAAAAAAAAAGTTAAACATAATGACTCACCCATGTCATTCCTAGGAATTTACCTAAGAGAAACAAGTATATGTCTACACAAGAGAAACCTAAGAGAAACAAGTGTATGTCAGCAGATACTCATGTGAATCTTATTTGTAATAGCCCCAGGTTGGAAACAACTCAGATGTCCATCCACAGGTGAATGTAGAGACAAACTGTGGCATATCCATGCGGTGGAATACCACTCGACAATAAAATATGTTCTTGATATATGTAGCAACAGACACGAATCTCAACATCATTAAGTTCAGCAGAAGAAGGCAGGCAATAAAGAGGGCATACTGTATGATTTCACTTACATAAAATTCTAGAAAATGCACATTAGCCTGTGGTGACTGAAAGCAGATCAGTGTTTGCCTAGGTATGGAGGGAAGGGAAGGGAGGGAGACCACAAAGGGGCACAAGGAAACTTTGGGGTGGATAGATATGTTTATGAAGACGGTTTCATTGGTGTTTGTTAAAATCAAAACTCATCAAATTGTACACTCTGTGATGTTTATCATATGTCAGTAGTACTTCAATAAACATAAAAAGAAACACAGCAACACAAACACAGATCCCTGAAGCTGACTCCAGACAGGAAGCTGCTGGAGAGTCCAAGATAGTGCAGGCTTCACTTCTCGTGAATCAGGAAAGGTGGGCACCGCTGCTGGGTGAGTGGGGAGTGTGGAGGAGAAATGTCAGGGCTGCTGGGGTCTTATCCACAGTCATGGATTTGCTGAGCCCAGAGGGACTTTAGAGAGGATGGGGCCCAACTCTTAACATTAGAGAAGAAGCCCTGAGCACTGAGAGCTTCGCCAAAGTCACCTGGCTCGTTGTGGTAGTTGCAGGGCTGGAACCACTCCCCACACCCTACTCTGCCCACAGAAGTGCTGGTGCCTTAGATCTTCAGTGTCTAGAATGAGGACTGGACAAACAAGAGGGCTGGGAAGAGCTACGGGCAGGGAGTGGATTGAGTGGGATGGGCAGGCAGGTGGGAGGCCAGTCATGGGCTGGTCTTGGTCTTGGTCAGGTGACCTGGGCTTCTCTTCCCTGGGCGCAGGGTGGGCAGCAGCGGTCTCTCTTCTTGTAATCCATGGAGCAAGCATGGCAGAGCAGGCCTCCACAGAGCCTGGAAGGCAGAGGCAGGAAAGCCTGGGGCGGCCTCTGCAGCTGGCACTTCCCCAAGTGGGCGCTGAGGTCATGGAGTTCCAGCATCTTCAGGTCCACCTGAGACATCTGTTTCTCATCTCCCAGTGGAATGCCCTTGGTTTGTCTCAGGAGGTCTCCCCTCTCCTGAAGGGTGTCCTGATGCCCGACCCCTCCAGAGCCTCCACCTCCACATGGCAGCTTCTCCTGGTGGCTCACTTTCCTCTCTCCCAAGGCTGGTCCTAGCACTGTGCTCACAGAGGAAGGAGGGGGAGCAGCTTACGCTGTACAGATGCTCCCTTCCAGATGAGAGGCCCATTTCTCAATCGGCTCTTGGAGGGGGACCCAATCCCACTCCCCGGACCCCATTCCTTATCTGATCCTTCTGCTCTTCTCCTTTATGGCTCTGCTTAGTGTTGGAAGCCAGATGTGGTAGAATGAGTAGTCAGCTGTAAGTGGCCTTTTATAAACACCCAGTTCCTGTGTCCCTCCCTTCCCTGGGGTGGGTGGGGGCTGTCAGCTGGTGGAAACTGGGCTGTCCCAGAGGGAGGATTCTGTGCCCTTCCCTTTACCTGCATGGATACCGCCGAGAAAATCGGCCAAAGATCTTGCTACAGGCCACACAGCACTCGGGAGCCATGGAAGAGAGATGCTGGAGCCTCTGCCACAGGCGGTCCTTCTCTCTGATGGGGGGATGAAGGTGGAGAGACACAGACAGAGACAGAGATCAAAAGATAGAAATGGGAAAAGACCCAGACAGAGAGACAGAGAGGAACAGACGGAATCACACAGAGAGGAAGAGAGAGACAGAGAGGGTGATGGAGGGAATCACATGGACACATACGGAAATAAAAAGAGATTCAGAGACAGGGACAGAAACAAGAGCAGAGACGCAGATAGAGACACAGCAATGGGGAGGGATACAAAGATGGACAGAGAAAGATGGTTACTCAGAGAGAGAGAGAGGGGTGGAGAGAAGGGGAAAGAGGGAGAGAGAGAGAGAGAGGATTGGAGAGAGACAGAGAGTGACATAGAGAAGTTGAGAGATATATAGAGGGAGAGAGACACACACAGAGAAAGAGACACAGAGACAGAGAAAATGGAGACAGAGGAGAAGACACAGATATGGAGACAGATGGAGAGATAGAGAAAGAGACATAGGGGCCAGAGAAAGACGGAGAGAAATGAAGAGACAGTGAGAGACACATGCAAGAGATCAGAATGCAACTGACACCTGGCCTCCTCTTTGCCCAAAATAACCTTGACCCATGATTTAAGGACCCATTATTTAAGCACAAAGGAGTGTTCCCTGATCACAGAGGCCCCTGGGGTTTCTTGCTCCAGACACTTACAGCACATCTTGCCTACTGTCTCTTATCTGGCACTTAGTACAAACTGTCTTGTATTTATTTACATGTATGCCCTTGCAAAACTAATTTCACTGCTTTTTTCTTTTTTCTTTTCTTTTTTTTTTTTTTTGACAGCATCTCACTCTGTTGCCCAGGCTGTAGTGCAGTAGCATGATCACAGCTCACTGCAGCCTTTACTTCCTGGGCTCAGGTGATCCTCACACTTTAGCCTCCTGAGTAGCTGGGACTATAGGCACGTGCCTGGCTAATCTTTTGTAGGGATGGGGTTTCGACATGTTGCCCAGACTGGTCTTGAACCCTGCCTCAACCTCCCAAAGTGCAGGGATTACAGGCATGAACCACCATTCCCCACCTTCACTCCCTCTTGTAAGGATATTTAGGAAGACGGGTTGTTTTAAATTTTTATCAAAATAATACATGCATATGATTTAAAAATAAAATCGTACAAAAGTGCTCATATCAAAAGGCCTCCCCTCTCTTTCTTGTTCTCAGTGGCAAACCATTTCTGACGTCTTTTTGCTTTCTCTCCTTGAAATTACTTCCAAATTTAAGTAATATGCTCCTATATTTCCTTCTTTGTTTACCAATAGAGAACATTCTCTATAGAGCTCCTCCTTTTGATATCAGAGGATTTAGCTTATTTATTACCATCCTCACTAACTCACCCTCCTAACATAGTTATATTCCTATTTTTGGTTCCTCTATTGGCTACCATTGTAATTTTTTTTTTCTTTTTGAGACAGAGTCTTCCTCTGTCACCCAGGCTGGAGTGCTGTGGCATGATCTTGGCTAACTGCAACCTCTGCCTCCTGGGTTCAAGTGATTCTCCTGCCTTGGCCTCCCAAGTAGCTGGGATTACAGGCATGTGCCACCATGCCTGGCTAATTTTTGTATTTTTAGTAGAGATGGGGTTTCAGCATGTTGGCCAGGCTAGTCTCAAACTCCTGAACTCAGGAGATCCACCTGACTTGGACTTCCAAAGTGCTGGGATGACAGGCATGAGCCACCATGCCTAGCCTACCATTGTAATTTTTACAGAATATACTCATGTATTCATTTCTTCATCTACTAACTATAGGTAGTATCCTTATGACTCCTGTTCTGTAATATGATGATGCAGCATCTCTTCCTTTCATCTCACCTCTTTCCTCCACCTTCTAACTTGCCGTCTTTTCTCACAGCATCCAAAATGGTAGCCACTACCCCACATGTGGCTATTTACATTTAATTTAATTAAAATATTAATAAATAAAATAAAAACTTTAGTTCCTTAGTTGCACCAGGTCAATATTTCAAGTGCTCCATCTCTACATGTGACTATCAGCTACCATACTGGACAGCATAAATATACAACCTTTATAGAACATTCTATTGGATTCTATTCTATACATAATATTGTTAAGGTGGTAGCATTTATGTTCTGTTTCTATAATTACATAATTGCTTTCTGTGCTTTGCTTTTAAGTTGATTCTAACACTGAAAAAAATTAATGAATAATATTTACATTATTAGATAATACATATATATATTTCTTCCCAAAGAGCTAAGATGTCTTCTACAACATTTTCCTTCTTGGAAGGCTTTTGGTTTTCTGGGAGTTTTTAATTGCCTTTCTTTTTTCCTTGCATTACTTGCCTTTAACATATTATTTTCCTCCCAATTTTTCATCATTTCAGGTGCTCTCTTGATTCCCTTTCTCTCCAGAAACCTTCCTCCTGGGTCCTTGGTCCTTCTGCTACAGTCTAGACTGACTGCTCCCTGGGATTGCTGCCCACTTGTCATCTTGGGAATTCCCTTTTCTTCTCTCCTAGGCTAGAGCTATTTTTTTTCCCCTGAATTCCACATCTTCTCCTTTCTTGGCTTACTTCCTTGTTTTTCTGGAGCACATCCTCAACTAACTTCCTATGAAAGGCTATGTGGGAGGCAAATTTTCTGAAATCTGTCTATGTGAAAATGTCTTTACTCCACCACCTCCCCCACTTAATTCATGGTTTGTCTGGAAACAAGATTCTAGGGCAAAAGTCAGTTTTTCTCAGAACTTGAAAAGAATTGCACCATAGACTGTTTACATGGTTGGATTCTACTTCTTTTATAGGTGATCTGTCTTTTTTTCTGGACAATCTTAGGACATTCTCCTTATCTGTCTTAGTGAAATTTCATAATGATGTATCTAACTGTGGGCTTTGTTTGTTTTGTTTTTCATTCCTTTGCTCAGTGAAATCTTCAAATCTGAAGATCTGTGTCCATCAGAGCTGGGGAATTCTCTCACATCTTAATTTTTGCTATGTTTCATTTGTTTCTCTCCTCACAGTTAGAAAGGACATTGGAACTCAGAGACTGATTATCTGTATGTCTAATTATTTCTCTCCTGACTCCCATCTCTCTGTGCTTTTTATTCTACCTTCTAAGAGACTGCCTCATCTTTCTCTTCTAATCATTTTAGTGAATTGAAAAAAATTCAGTGATCATAATTTTAATTTAATTTTTAATTTCCAAGAATGTTTTTCATCTTTTGACAGCTGCTTTTTATAGCATCCTGTTTCATGGAAGATGGATCTTTTTCCTTTGTTTATCTTCATCTCTTCCCTTTATATTCTAGACTCTCCTCAAATATCTGGGGATCCTTGGTTGTCATTTTATGTGTAAGAAAGAGGCAATAAAATCTGTTTAGAACTCCGAATAGTGGACAGGAATGGTTGACTAGTGGCTTCCCTTTAGTGGGGACTGGGCAGGGAGCTACCTGCTACAACCAGACACCCAAATGCCAGGACAAACTGGTCTTTTATTTGGGGCACTTGAATTCCTTTAGTGAAGGATCTTTTGATCATTTGCTTGGGAGATAGGCCCCTGAGTGCTGGATATTCTGCATGTGGGGAGGCAGGCAGAAGGCAGCAGGTATGGATTGCTCTTTCTAATGACTTTATTCCTCATCTCACTTCTGCCATGTGTGGCTCTGGGATCTCTGGATCCTACAAAAAACTTGGGCTTCACACAGTATCCACTTCTCCAACCATTTTCCAACTTCTGGAAATTAGCTGAAATCTCTCCTCTGTGGTTAGCTCCTCCACTTTTCTCTCCGTTTTAAGTTTTAGTCTTTTATAGTCATTTTAGAGAAATTTCAGGATGGAGAATAGATAAGATGTGGGCAGTCCACCATCCCGACGCAGAAGTCAACCTTGGTGGCTATTTTTTTTTCCTTTTTCTTTTTGTTTTTTGCTTAGGGTCGTATTTTCCATAAGCTTCTGCCAGGGACATTGTATTACATAGTTTAATGTCTCCTGCCTGAGAACCTGTGATTAATCACCTTTGCACTGGGAAACTAGTGCTGATGAACTAGTATATTTTCTTTGGATGGGAAGTGAGATTTAGTTACTCTGTCTTTCCCTTTTTGATCCTGCTACCAATATGCTCAGTGCTGAGTTCTAATGCTAACCCTAATCCTAACACTTTGGGGATATATACGTTTTGTTTTCTATTATATGTTCCACGTAATTTTCTTTCTTTCTTTCTTTTTTGAGATGGAGTTTCACTCTTGTCACTCAGGCTGGAGTGCAGTGGCACGATCTTGGCTCACTGCAACCTCCGCCTCCTGGGTTCAAGTGATTCTCCTGCCTCAGCCTCTTGAATAGCTGAGATTACAGGTGCCCGCTAACACGCCCAGCTAATTTTTGTATTTTTAGTAGATGCAGAGCTTCACCATGTTGTTCAGGCTGGTCTTGAACTCCTGACCTCAGGTGATTCATCCACCTCACCTTCCTAAAGTGCTGGGATTACAGGCCTGTGAGCCACTGCACCCGGCCATGTTCCATTTAATTTTCTAGTTTTCTTTAACAATCATATATATATGTCTTTTATTGTTGGCTACCTTAAATTCTTTCATGAGGTCAATACTTCACTTTTTATATCTCTCTTCCTCCCAATTGACAGTAAATTCTTTGGAGGAACTATTCCTTAAATTATTTGTTTGTCATTTCCAAGTTGATGTCTCCTTTTTCTCACCCTTAATACCATTTGGATATTGTGTAAGAGGATTTAGTTCTAAATGACCCCTCACCTGAAATACTAGCACTTTGGGAGGCCGAGCTGGGTGGATTGCTTGTGGTCAGGAGTTCAAGACCAGCCTGACCAACATGGTGAAATCCCATCTCTACTAAAAATACAAAAATTAGCCTGGCATGGTGGCATACACCTGTAGTCCCAGCTACTTGGAAGGCTGAGGCAGGAGAACCGCTTGAATCCGGGACGCAGAGGTTGCAGTGAGCTGAGATGGCGCCACTGCACTCCAGCCTGGGGGACAGAGCGAGACTCCGTTAAAAAAAAAAAAACAAGCAAACAAAAAACCCTTAGCAACCTTCAAATTTTAATGGAACCTGAGTCCACTGGTCTCCTGTTTCCTGAACTGTATGAGAGGATAACATATGTATGTGAACTCTCTTTCTACTCAACTAAAGGGCAGGAACTATGCTTTCCGCATCTTCCCCATCTCTCAGTGAGCTTAGTGGTTTGGAGCTGACCCTGGTGAGCCCAATGTCTGGAACCTAGGACAGCTGACCTAGGGCAGGTCCACAGGCCCAGGGTCTGAGGAAGTCCCGTGGGCAGGCAGGTGTAGGACACGTGATCACCTCTGGGTTCTCCCTGGTGTCTTTTTCCTCCTTCTCCCAATTCCTTCTCAACCCATGGTTCCTTTCTCCTCCCTAACCTTAGTAGGTGTGTGTATGTGGGGGTGGGTCTGGGTGGGGGTGTGCATTATTTTCAGGGGACTCTATACAATTTATATGCTATGTGTCCTAGATGACTAAGTCTGCCTTTTTTTTTTTTAATGGATTCTCACTCTGTCGCCCAGGCTGGAGTGCAGTGGTGTGATCTTGGCTCACTGCAACCTCTGCCTCCCAGGTTCAAGTGATTCTGTTGCCTCAGCCCCCTGAGTAGCTGGGACTACAGGCACACGTCACCATGTCTGGCTAATTTTTGTATTTTTAGTATAGATGGGGTTTCACTACATTGGCCAGGCTAGTCTTGAACTCCTGACCTCATTATCCGCCCACCTTGGCCTTCTAAAGTACTGAGATTACAGGTGTGAACCACTGCGCCTGGCCAAGTCTGCCTTATTTCTGACCCTCAGTTTCCTTTTCTGTAAAATGGGGATAACAGCAGGGAGTGGCTAAAAGAAACAGAAGGGTTAGCTTATATAAAAGGTCTAGAACCCTGCTTGGGAGTTGTGAGTGGAGTAGAATTTTCACGCTCCGGGCTCCACATCCCTTACCGTTCCCCCATCTGTTTCCCCTTTCCCACTGTCCCCGTCCTTACTGGATCAGTTCCAACACCCGCCTCTTCATGGCCTGGACCAAGTCCCGCTGCCCTCCAAGCTCCTCCTGGTACATGGCATCCCTCCTCTCAGCCTCCTGTTGCTTCTGCTCCAGCTGTGCCTGCAGCTCGGCTCTCTCTTCCTGACACCTGGGTACAGAAGGAAGACTAGGTTCTCAGGGGGCAAAGCTCAGCCTTTGTGCCTGAGCTAGGCTGAGCCTCTTCCAGAGAGGGAGCCCATGGGAGACGCTGGTGATGCCCCCGGCAGCTGAAGTCCACACACACACAAACACACACACACACAGCACACACATGCCTACAACACAACACACACCCTAATACACACATAGTATAACAGAACACATACGCACAACACAGAAGACACACTTACAATGCTACATGCATATAATTTATACATATAATGCAATACGTACACACACCACAACACACGACACATCTCAACAGACTTAACGCACACACAACACAATACACACAACACATATATAATGCACACACCACACACATAAACAGAACACAAACAACACAACATATAAACACACACTTGCACAACACACACAACAGACATCCATAATGCAGACACACAACACAACATGCACACAATGTATGTGCGTTTACACACACACATACAATATACACACCACACACTGAACTGCACAGTGTGTGTGGCCTGACACCTACGAACTGACTCCTCACCAACCATTCAGAGAAATGAAAACAGGGCCCTGCCTTGAGTTTTCCTTTAGAGGGAGGGGATGAGCCAACATTTCCTCCTCCCGGCTTTGTTTTTAAACATTTCCATTTAAGATGTAACTTTCTTGAAAGGTGTGTTCACCATCATGGCAGCTCTCTGGAGGGAAGGCAGACGCCTGGGAACCCAGGCTGGATGGTCGGTGCCCAGCTGGAAATAATTGTGTGTGGAAGGGGAGCAGTGAAGGATTTAGGTGGTGTTTTGCTTTAAAATATTTTAAAAAGTTATGTTACCTTGTCTTTTCAATTAAAAAAGTAATAGTAAAAATATGGCTTTCCTAAATTTGTTTTAGTTTTGGGCTTGGTGGCGTCTCAGCTCCACTCTTGGTTTTTCTTTTTGTGTGTAGTGGTTTTCTGAAAGGTTCCAAGAAGACCACTGGACTGGAAATAAAAAAGACCTGGCCCCAGGGCCCAGCCTCTGGCTCAGTTGGGAGGCCCCTGGCTCAGCTGGGAGGGCGTTGCAATGGCAGGTGGCATGCGTGAGAGTCCCAGCGCTCAGGATGCATGTACGTGTCTGTGCCAGTGTGTGTCCTGGGGCTTGAGTGTGTTTGAGCGGAAGAGGCTTGCAAGAGGCTTGACAATGAATTGAACATGTAATTTTAAAACACCCCCTTTTAGCATGTTGCAGGGAAGAAAGTTGGGTGGGCCATGACATCAAACTGTCAGCAGCTCAGCCACTGACATTCCAAAGAGTTCAGTCACTGCAACCCCAAGAGCGTTCTGGTGCTCAGGCACGAAGCAGGGCCATGTTTTTAATTTTAATGAACATTCTAGTCTTTTGGCACCTCATTTCTTAGCTGCTGACTTTAATTTTCCTGAGCCAGTTTACTTGCCCTGTGATCCTGGGCCCTTAATGTGATCACCGTGGTGTGTACATGTGTCTCTGGGGTGGGAGAGAACACTTACTTAGCACCTACTGTGTGCCAAGGGATGTTTAGGTGCCAGGAATAAAGCAGAGCCTATGGATCTTACAGTGTTTGGGGCAGGGGTAAAATAAATGATAGACTCATAAAATAACTAAACTAAGTGCTATGACAGAGACAAACGAGAGGCTAAGACAGAGACCAGGGAGGGTTCTTGGAGAGGCTTCTCAGACAAGGTGAAATGGAAGCTGACCCAGAAGATGAAAAGTCAGCAATATAGAGCCAGGCATGGGCACATGTAAAGGTCTGCAAGTTGGAAGGAGCTGAGCTTGTTTGAGGAACTGAAAGAAGATGAGTGAATCTGGGCTGCCACAAAGGGCAGTGGGGGGCAGGGAAGGTAGGAGAAGAGTGGGGAGGTGGGCAGGACCTGAGCTGTCTGTCAGTGGCCCAGGAAAAGTAGATGTTAATCTCAGTGAAATGGGGAGCCCCTGAAGTATTTTAATCAGGGGGTGATGGATACTCCTAGCACACGAGGGGACATGGAAGCATGGAAGGAATTAGTTTACTGAGCACTTACTATATGCCAGGCCTGAGCTTGGTGTTTTATAGCCCCATTCATTTAGTTTTCACAATGTTAGGAGACAGATAATATAATCCTCATTTTACAAGAGAGAAAAATAGAACCTCAGAGAGGGGGTGACACTTGCCCAGGGTCACATAGCTTGATGAGTGGAGGGGGCAGAAATCTGGACACAGGCCAGCCCAGATCAAAACTCTTTTTGCCTCCCTACACCTTCACCCAGGTAAGGCCCTGATCACCAGTGATTCCTGGCACTGGTGCCAAGTGGGCAGCAGGTGGGAGGGAGGGAGGGAAGGATGCTGATGGAGCCTGGCAGGACTCCAAGGAGCTCAGTGCTGCTGTGCAGGGGCTGGGGGTCATGTGACATCTGCCTAGTTCCCCATCCTGAGGACCTCTTTGGCTGATGCTTGTCCTAATTTCTTTGGCTTGAGGTCTTATTCCCAGCGCAGAGGACACCCACCTGCTTGGAAAGATGGCCCCATGAGCATCTGAGCTGGGAGGAGGAACCTTAGCTATCCCACCGTCTCCTTTTGCAAATCAGGGACCTGAGGCCCAGAGAGGGCAGACCACTGTCCCCAGGGGCCCACAGCTAGAAAGCTGTGAGGTGGATGTTGGAAGCCCCATGTCTTAGCCCAAAGTCCGTTTTCACAGCCCCATGGGCCTGCCTGAAGCCTGCCGCCTTCAGGTCAGCTGTGGCTCACCTCTGCCCCCAGCCTGTGCTCTGCACGGGACTTCTACCACACTTCCACTGTCCTCCACACCACAGCCTGAGTGAGCCTTTAAACACAGAAGTCAGACGGAGAAACGCCCCTGCTCTAAACCCTGCCCCAGCCTCTGGTAGCACAGAGAATTCCGGTGCCTCACTCTGCCTTTGAGGCCCCTGGCTCCGGCTCTGCCGCTCTCTCCTCTGCTCAGCCACACCCCGTATGCATCTGGCCTGCCTGTCAACAAACGCATGTCTTCCGGACATTCCCCTGGCCACAGCACTTCTCACTAGATATTTGCATGGTCCAGTCTTTCATGTGGTTGGGGCTTCTGCTCAAATGTCACCTCAGAGAGGACTTTCTGGACCCCAGTCTGAATGACTATCCTGTCTTTCTCCGCGCCCTTCCCTGCCTTTGTTTTTTTCCCTAGCATCCATCCAATGGCCATTGGATTGCTATCTGTTTATCTGTCCCAGGTCTTCTAGAGCAGGCTGGGCCAAGTTTGTTCACCACACCTGCTCATGGCCATTGTAGAAGCATACTAAATGTCCATGGAATGAATGGGTCCCTCGGCACTTCTATTCTCTGTGTTGAGGAACTCATCACCAGCTTGATGCCCACGGGCTCCTTTCCCGGGAGTGAGCTTTGTCCTTAGCTCCCTGGCTCCCAGGCATCAGGGTAGCACATCCTCTTCTGAGCCTCAGGGTCAGCTGTTACTCACCATCCTTACTCTGAGGACTCCAGGATCGATCTCCCAGCGCACACTTCCCTCCTGAGTTCCACACTTAACTGCTTGCCCAGCGGCTCCCGTCTGACATGTCTAACAGGTATCTCAAACGTAACGTGTTCAAAACCAAGCTCTGAACTTTCCCTACAAATCTGCCCTGCCACAGCCCACACACTTCAGTTAATGGTGACTCTAGCTTTCCAGCTGATCAGGTCAAAAAGCTTAGAGTCATTCTCAACTTCTGTCTTTCTTTCATACAGCATATCCAATTCCTCAGGAAGTTCTACTTCACACTTCATCCAAAGCCCGGCAGCTTCTCCTTGCTCCATGCTGCCAGCCCAGTCTGAGCACCCCAACTCTCCCCTGCATGGCAGGGTCCTCGCTGGACTCCCTGTGTTCAGCTTGCCTGCTAACAGGCCAGCTCCAAGGGGCCTTTAAAACGCACATCAAGCCGGGCACCGTGGCTCATGCCTGTAATCTCTACACTTTGGGAGGCTAAGGTGGGTGGATCACCTGAGGTCAGGAGTTTGAGACCAGCCTGGCCAACATGATGAAACCCCATCTCTACTAAAAATACAAAAAATTAGCTGGGCGTGGTGGCAGGTGTCTGTAATCCCAGCTACTCGGGAGGCTGAGGCAGGAGAATCACTTGAACCCAGGAGGCGGAGGTTGCGGTGAGCCGAGATGTCGCCACTGCACTCCAGCCTGGGCAGCAAGAGCGAAACTCTGTCTCAAAAACAAAAACAAAACAAAACAAAAAAACCAACAACAACAAAAAACATGCCAGCCTCTAACAGGCTGATCTATAGAGAAAGTGGACTGGTGTTACCTAGAGCTGGGAAAGGAATGAGGAGTGGCTGCTAATGGGTACAGGGTTTCTCTTTGGGGAGATGGAAATGTTCTGAAATTGATTGAGGTGGTGGATGTATAACTCTTAAATATACTAAAAACCATTTAATTGTTAAGCATTTGAAAAAGCATGTAAACATCTTTTTGACATTAAAAAAAGTCAAGTCTCTCTCCTACTCTGAGCTCTCAGTGGCTCCCATCTTCCTCTGAGTCAAAGTCGAGGCACTTCCGATGACCTCGCAGGCTCTCCCTAACCTGCCTCCTTGGCTCACCTGACCTTTTCCCACATCCTCTCCCTCCCTCACTCTACTGGGGCCCGGAAGGCCTCCTTGGATGTTCCTAGAACCTGCCCTGCCCGTCCTCCATCAGGGCCTTTGTTTTTGCTGTTCTCGCAGCCTGGAACATTCTACCGAATAGTCAAAGGGCTTGATCTTCACTTCCTTCAGGTCTTTAGGTCAATGTCACATTTACAGGGAGGTCTTCCCTGGCCATATTACCTTATTAAAATGTAAAATACCACACCAACATGTCCCATTCCTCTTGTCTGCTTTATGTCTTCTTCTTAGAACTTATTCCAATCTGATATCCTAGGTACTTTACTTGCTAATCACTTTTATTGCCTCCTCCACTAGAATGCAAGCTCCATGAGGGCAGGCGTTTGGCCTGTTTTGTCTGTGAGAGGATTTCCCATACCTAGGACAGGCCTGGCTCAGAGTGGGTGCACAGGGTGTTTGTGGAATGACTGAATGATGAGTGACAGGTGGCCGGAGCACTGTGGTCTGTGAGACAGGGTCCCCAGTAAAAGGAGCAGCCAGGGCCAGGCCATCTCTCTATAACCTCCCAGCTGCTCCTCCCAGACTGTCTTGAACCCTTGAAGACTCTTGTGTGGCCAGAACCCCCATGTTCATTTTGCCCTGAATCGTGGAAACCTTTGCGACCACACTGTGTGCTCAGCTGAGTGTGGAGTGGGAGGAGCCTGGGGGTCCTTTTGGGTTGGTTTCTGGGCTCCTGGGCCTCTCTCACCTGCGAAGCAGACAGCCAGAAGGCTTCCTAGTGATTCAGGCTGAATCACAGCTACTCAGGCTCTGCTGGGGTCCGACTGGTGTCTGTTGGACCTGGGGCAGGTGTTAGCCATGTGGGAGAGAGAGACAGGGGCAGGTGGGCAGACTGACGTACCCGGAGACCACAGGAGAGAGACACAGAGAGGCTGAGTCAGGCCACGGAAGATCTCTGCAGTGAGAAGAGACTTTAAAAAATAAATTATGGGCTGGGTGTGGTGGCTCATGCCTGCAACCCTAGCACTTTGGAAGGCTGAAGCTTGAGCCTAGGAATTTGAGACCAGTCTGCACCATGTAGTGAGACCTCGTCTCTACAAAAAGAAAGAGAGAGAGAGAGAGAGAAACTGAGACCTGAGAGACTGAGGACTGAGGGGGGATGGTAGAGACAGACAGCGTGCTGTGGGCCCCTGAGGTCAATGTGATGACGGAAGATGAAGACACTGGATGGTGAGAGACACTGAGCAGGAGAAACGGAGAGACTGAAGTGCAGGCACTCGACATGCTGCCTGAATGGGGCGTCTGAGCCCACTGGTTCTGGAGTCAGCTGCAGGCCTTGAATCTCAGCTCCCCCGCTAACTAGCCAATGGTGGGTGAATTGTGCAGCATCTTTGAGCCTCAGCTTCCTCCTCTATAAAATGGGGGTTCTATAGAACTCATCTCATAAGGGTGTTACGCAGAAGCACCGACAGCAGTGCCTGGGACGTAGTAAATGCTTAGTAAATGATAGCTGTGATTATGAGAGGGTGAGAGGTGGCATAACAGGAAGAAGCAAATGAGACACAAAGAAACTGAGTAAAAAAGGGAGACAGAAAGAGATGGGGGAAAGAAGTCCAGTGGAGTAGGGAGGCAGAGAGGGTGAAAAAGAGAGAGGAGCTGCCCAGGGGAGGCAGCAGAGGGAGGCAGGGGTGAGGGTGGGAAGGAAGCAGGCCAGGAGGCGGGGCCTTTCCTGGGGCTGCTCCTGCTCTGGGAGACCTACGAGAAAGGGATGCACAGAGGAGGGAGGGTGGAGCCCTGGGATCAGGAGCAATGCCCTGCAGGCCTCAGATCCCAAAGGTGTGCCCAGTCCAGGGCCTGGTGCATGGGAGGTTCTCACAAGACCTCACTGGCTTGACCGTGATTGACAGCAGGACCTAGGGAGCACTTCCAGGTGCCCTGTGCTGTGGGTTGCCAAGGTTACCTGCTGAGCTGCTCCCGAAGTGCCTGCAGCTCCCCCTCCTGCTCCCTCAGCAGCTGCTCCTGGCGCTGGGCCTGCTCCTCAGCCTTCCGGAGCCCAAGTCTGAGGCTCTGTGGGGTGGAAGGAGGGGAGAAGGAGGCTGAAGGAGAAGGGCAGAGACCCCAGTGCTGGGGCTGACCTGAACAACATTCCCGAGAGACCCCAGGCCATGCCCTGGCAGGGCTGGGGACAGTGCTGGGAGCTGTGATGCCTGGCTCTGTCCTAGGCCCTGCTTCTGGGTGTGCCTGGGCCACGGTTTCTTCCTTCACTGAAGGGTGGAAGTTGTAAACTCAGAAACTTGCAAGTTCCTGGGTGGAGGCCGAAGGGAGGCTTGGTGACAATCTTGAGTGACCTCCAGGAGAAGCATCCACCACAGGAGCAACTAGGTGGGCTCTGCAACAGTAGAACTTAGATTTCGGGAAGAGACTTACCATCATGAGGATATGGAACTGGAGAGAGGAAGTGACTGCCTGGAAGAACTGCTGGGAAGGGATCTCAAACTCCAAAGCCTACTGGGGCTGGGCAAGAAGTATTGCCGAATAAAGTGGGTCTAGCGTGGGGCAATAGGGAGAGGCGGGGACTGTGGGGACCTGAAGAATGTATGGCTTTCAAAGGCATCCCCAAATAATAATCCTGAGTGGGCCAATAAAAATTGACCCGTGGGAGGGAATGGTCCCAGGCTACCATTGCAGACCCTCATCTGTGGGCCAGGTCAGACAGGGGCAAATAACCAGGTATGGAGCTCAACTGTTCTCACCTTGATCTCGTCCTGCAGGGACACCTCGGCTTGCTCCTCCCTTCTGGCCACAAGGGTCACTTCTGTTTGCACTTGTGGATTCTCCACGGTAGAGTCTTCCTTTGTTGCGTGTCCCTGAAGGACCCAGGGCTCCCCCAGGATGCTAGAGCCCCCCGACCCCTGCCTGCTCCCTGATACTGCTCCCTCTACAGCCCCTCTGGGGCTGGGCATCAGCAGCCTCTGGACGTGACTCCACTCTGCTTCCTTTTTGTGAGTCCCCTCTGTTGTTCTCTGACCCTCTGCAACCAGCAGAACCCCTGTGACCTCAGCCTCCATCCCTATCACCTCCTTCTGAGTGCCCATAGCCCCCTTCCCCTGTCCCTGGGTGCTGGGTGTTGAGTTCCCCAGGAAGATCTCAATCCATGGGGCTCTTTCCTCCTGGTCTAGCTGAAGCTCCTTCCCTTCTGGCTCCCACATGCTCTGGGGGTACCTATGTTTCCTGGAACTTTCCCCCTTCTTTTCCAAAAAGAAAGGAAGATGCCTTTGTTGCTGGGACCTGGGAAGCCCTGCCAGCTGCTGTCCACTGGGTGCATCTTGCAGACAGATGGCTTGACTGGTGTGTGAGTCCTCAATCTGGACATTTTCAGGCCCTCCATATGCGGCTGGGATCTGTGGAGAGGACCCAAAACCAGTCATCCCTCTCAGCACCAATTCACTGACCTGGTGCCATTAGATTAGGCCACAGTGCTAATCTAATCAGCTTGCTAAATAGATAGGTACCAGGTCCTCTCACTGGAAGCTTTGATTTATCAAACCCCAAATCTGACTTTTAGCAACACCCAGGTGATCTGAGCGCCATGCTTTGGTCTGGTGAGGGACATCCTGATGTCCTTCTGTCCCTTCCCGCAGCCCACATCCTTCTCCCTCCTGCACCTGGGTCTTGGGTATTGATCTGGTTCCCCCTAAGTTCCTCTCACTCCTTTCCTTTAATTTTTCCTCCCGAACTACATGTCATGTTTCAGTTTTTTCATCTGCAAAATGGGAATGATAATACCCGGTTTTAGGGTTGTGATGAAATCTCGACTAGACCGACACTCAGCTAAGAGCAACCTCTCAAGAAGCCTCTGTGCTCCCATGTTCCTCTGTTCATTTCTGTGTCACTTACACTGAAATTGTATATTGCAATGCTTTTTTTTATGGTATATCTCCATGAAGAGACCCTGAACTTTTCGGACCAGAGAACTAATAGTATCTGTACCCAGTGCCTGGAAGCTGGTGGGGGTGCAAAATGTGCTTGGGGGATGATGATAACAACGACGGTGACCACACACTGTCATGCGGGGAGCGTGTAGCCAGGAGCCCTGTGCAGTGCTGGATGTGAGTTGTGTCCGTTCATCCTCACAATATCCCTATGGGGCAGGACAAGTAACTTGTTCAAGAACCACAGTTTGTAAGGGGTGGGGCTGGAATTCAACCGGGCAACCTGGGTCTTTAGTCACTTCTTGAACTGAACTGAGTCATGTGTCAATTGTCCAGTGCAGGGGACTCAGCAGAGGGTGTCCCTCTCATCTGTTTCCTGAAGCTTTCAGTGGCCCGCCCCTCATAGCACTTTCTCCTTGTCTGGGCCCAGTGGCTCCGGCAGAGGGTGCTAGAGTTCCCTTTCTCTCCCAGTGTCCCCGCCACCCCAGGAATAGGAGCCCTCTCCTCCTCTGCAGCTCCCCAGTCCCCTGCTCCACACACTGGCCTCTTGCTCTGTCTGTCCTGTAGGGTCAGGGCTCTCTGTACACTCGGAGGGGGAAGCTCAGTTTCTACTCAACTTGAGGATGCCAAGGAGATGGGGAAGAGGCAACTCAGAGTGAAGGCAGGGCAGAGGCACCTTCTTTGGGGCATCTTTGTTTTTTCTGGGTCTCCTTCCCTGGGTTTGGGTGGAACTGGAGCAGCGTGACCTGAAAGTGAAAGAGGCAGGGGGACCCTGGGCCTCTCTTCAGTGTTGGGCTTGGTCCTCAGATGGAGGGTATCCCATCTTTCCACTAGCGCATTCATCCCATGACACTTCCTCCTTCCTGCCCACCCACCCTCATGCATCCCATCCTCCATTCATCCGTACTTTCCCTCCTAGCATCCAGCTATCCATTCATCCTCCAGCCCTCCACCTCAACCACCCAGGAAGTCGTTAGTGAGTGCATATTCTAGGCAGCATTATGCCATGAATTTGCACTGGGAGCATCGAGGGCTAGAAGAATCCAAAGGCATGGAGCAAAAGGAGGCAGAGACAGATGGGGCTGGAGGCTGAGGGCTTGGGGCTTGCCTGGGACCCTTGGTGGCCATGGGACCAGGTGTCAAAAGAGACTTCTCTCCTGGCTGCACCCACTCACTCTGAGAACATGGGCCAGGCTCCATCCAGGTCTGGCTGCTGGAGGTCCAACTCGAAGGCCACCCCATTGAGAGCATAGAGAGAGTCCAGGATGTCTTCTTGGCGTTCTGGGCAGAGCAGAGGGCTCCGGGGTCCATACCATTCCCTGTGTTAACAGTGATCAGAACCCTTGGCCTTTGACCCTGGTGCTGTTTCCCCCTGCCCCAACCACCCCCACCCCAGCTCAACCTCAACAAAGCAGCCTCCACTACACACCGTCATGAGGCTGTTCCCCAGGCAGAGTTGTGGCCCTTCAGGAGCAGGAGGCCCAAGAACCCTGATGCTCCCAGGACTCCTGGGTTCTAACCTCCCTCTGCCCTTTCTCCCTTGATTTTTCCTTCATGACTCTCATTGTAACTGTCCTTGATAGAAAGCCATCTGTGGGGGTTAAAGGAGGGCTCTTTTACAAAGGAGGGAAAGTGGCTCAGATGGCATCGGCAGGAGGATGTCCCAACAGCCCCACCTGGTGAGCTCTGAGTTCAGGAGGCAAAGCTGCAGGGCCTCAGCCAGCTGCCCACGGGCCAGGCAGAAGCGGATGAAGGCACGGCCTTTCCCCAGAGGGGTCTTCAACTGCAGAGTGCACAGGGGCAGAATGGGGAGCAGTATTAGGACAAAGGGCGCCCAGGTAACACAGAGAGAGGGGACTGGAAGTGCTTGGCAATGGGAAGGGTGCAGGGGGACCTGAGGCCATGGGAGGAAAAGGGTGTCTGGAGGGGTGCTGTGGGCAGGGCTTAGGAGACATGCAGAGCAGGTGAGGGGTCTATGGTCGGTAGAGCAGGGTGGGGGAAAAGGAGGAGGCCTATGTCTACCCCCACCCCGTCAGCCTTCTTGCTGCCTGGCCCTGGATACCTTGTCCTGGGAACGGACAAAGTGGATTGGCTCCATGTTTCCCCGCTGCCGTCGTAGGGCAGTGCAGAGAAAGTCCCAGTAATCCTTCCGAGGCCCCAGGAAGCTCTTCTGCTCTTTCTGGTCAAACTAGAACCAAAATGAGGCAAAGAAAGTGTAGAAATGCTTCCTCCCAGAACACGCCCTGCATTCTAGCTTGCTGAGGGGACATGTACTGGAGGAGAGGGCTCCTGCAGACACACCCGGCATCCAGACCCAGCCCTGTCCTTACTGGCTGTGTGACCACGAGCAAGGGGCTTGACCTCCCTGAGCCTCAGTGTTCTTATTCATTCATTCAGAGGCCCTTATTGAGCTCTTGCTATATTCCAGGCCCTCCTCTGTGTGTCTGGGGATACAACTATGAACAAACTGACTTCATGGAACTTACATCTTGATACTTACATCTTGATCCACACTAGGCTGGTGGTGTCCACTCCTTCCCCATGGAGTGCCCCTAGCCTTGCCTGGGTACTCATTCTCCTCAAGACACCTACTCATCCTTTCCTGTGCCCCAGCTGAATGGAAAATGTGTGTTCTTTGAGGAGAGGGTGCAGAAGTAAAGCACAGCCCCAGGGATGGGGCTGAGCAGATGCTGCCTGTGTGTGGGGAGCAGGGTGCCTGGTTGTAATACTGCCTTTCTCTCCAGGGGGATCTCATCCTCTTCTCCTCCCGATGGGTCCCGGGGCCCGGAGAGGGACACTGTGGCCCTGATAAAGGAGTTAAGACAACAAACAGATGAGATAAGTAAAGCATCGAGTATGTTAGATAGTGATGACTGCTACGGAGAAAAAAATAAAGCAGGAAAGAGAATGGAAAATGCTGAGATGGGGGATGGGTCCCCTCGGGCCGACCTGGGGTAGAGTCACCTGTTGGCCAAATGGGGGCTGATCCATTGTGGTAGCTGTGGTGTGTGGTGTGTGTGGCACGTGTGTTGAAAATCTAGGGTGCCCAGAAAAGCCTTCCTGCTTGAAGGAGCTGAGAAAGTATGCTGTGCATTCCAGTGGAAGAGCATTCTAAGTAGAGGGGAGAGCCCGAGCAAAGGCCCCGAGGCAGGAGCATGACTGGTGTGCTCCAGGAAGATCCAAGAGGCCAGGGGAGCTGAAGTGCAGTAGATGAGTGGCAGGGTGGCAAAAGATGAAGTCAGAGAAGCAGGAAGATGTGTGTCGGGGTGTTGGGGGGTGGACATCAAGCGTCTCAGAGGGCGAGAGTGAGGATTGCATAAAGCCAGGCATATAGAGGCTGAAGTCTGACACATAGCAAGTATTCAATAAAAGCGGTGCTGGTCATAGTTGGGGCTCTGAGTAGCAGCAGGAAGGGCCAGTCCTAGGACATCAATGCCTCTGAAAGTTTAAGCAGTGGGGGTTGCCCCCAGGTCTGGGTCCCACCACCAGGCCTGGGTCCCTTCCAGCCCCGCTTTGCCCCACTTCACTTCTTAGGCTGCAGTGACAAACTCCAAGAGTGAGGTTAGGTGTCAGGAGGGAGAGGGAGATGACACAGTGCATGGTAAGGAAGGGGGCTGTGGCTCCTCCCTGATTTTCCAGGAATGTCCCACCAGTTATCTGGGTCTGGGGAGAGGGATGGGGAAGGGGAGGAGAAGGTCCCACCTGCAGCAGCAGCTCCAGGCAGCCACAGAGTCTGTGCAGCTCGGCACTGGTGTCCGTCACTGGCCCCTGCCCATCCCCATAGCCCTGGAGGATGGCAGAGACGGCAGCTGCTGGGAGGATGGCAGATGTCAGGTCGCTGAGGGAGGGGCTCCCAGACCCTGACTTCTCCCATGACTCAGTCCCAGAGCATCTCTCAGGACACACTCACCTCTTAGGTCTTTGGTGACCTTGAGGATGGCTCCCTCTTCTGCCATGGGTACTTGGAAATGATGTGATTCCTTGCAACTTGGACTGTGAGCTCAGGAAGGACTTTCGGCCTCACTGCCCAGCTCTCTCCTTACACAAAGCAGGACGCAGAGCCTACAGAGGGAAAGTGACTAATCTTGGGTGACATAGCAAGTTACCTAGTAGGGGGAGAATCCCAGCTCTATCTTGTAGGCCAGTGTGTGAAGATGATGGTGTGGCCTCCACCGATTGAGCAGTCCCTGGGTGACGACACTGTGCTAACACTTGATGTCCTTGTCCCATTCAATCCTCACATAATCCTGGAGGTTATTAACTCCATTTTAGACCAGGAGAAACAGGGGATTGGAGAGGGTAAGTCTTTTATCCAGCATCACAGAGGTACCCAGGACTTGAACTCAGGTGTCTGTGCCCACAGGGCCTGTGTTCTGGGTCCTGACTTGGTGTGAGTGACCCCGTGAGGGCTCATGATATGTGGACACTAGGCTGGGGGTGTCCACTCCTTCCCCATGGAGTGCCCCTAGCCTTGCCTGGGTACTCAGTCTCCTCGAGACACCTACTCATCCTTTCCTGTGCCCCAGCTGAATGGAAAATATGTGTTCTTTGAGGAGAGGGTGCAGAAGTAAAGCACGGCCCCAGGGCTGGGGCTGAGCACATGCTGCGTGTGTGTGGGGAGCAGGGCGCCTGGTTGTAATACTGCCTTTCTCTCCAGGGGGATCTCATCCTCTTCTCCTCCCCATGGGTCCTGGGGCCCAGAGAGGGACACTGTGGCCCTGACAGCTGGTGGCCTTATTCTGAGATCCTAGAGTCAAGACCAGGCATGGAGCGGAAAACCCAGGTGTCCTGCCTCCCGGGCTGTGGCTGTTGGAGTTTGGGGTGGGGTGGCAGTGGTACAGCAGTGGGACACAGTGGAGGGAAGGGGAGAGGGAAACGGAGGTAAATGAGGGAGGTGGGTGGAGCATGGGATTCAGGGAGGACGGGGTCAGGAGTCCAGAGACCTGGGTCTCCATCCTGGCCTGGCTATGAACTCACTGTGTGATCTCCGGCAAATCACTCACCTTCCTTGAGCCTCAGTTTCCCAACCTGTAGACCAAAGATTGGACTGATGGTCTCGGCAGCCCCTTCCAGCCCAGATCCTGTGTGAAATCCATGAACGGCTCCATGTGTCTCCTCCTCTCCCTCGTCTCTGCCAGGCATTTTCCTCCCCTGGCTCCTGGCATCACACTCCTTCTATCCCCGTAAGTTCCAGGGGTCTCCCTGCTACTCACCCAGGAGAGCCTGGCTGGCTGGGGCACGAGAGCGCAGCTCTGCTGCCAGAGTCCGTCCCTAGTGACTCTGCCTTGCACAGCAGTCCCAGGATTTACAGCCTGGGAAGAAGTAACTCAGTCCCAGCCCAGCAGCCTGGAGGGGGAACCTGGCTCACAGCGGTGGGGGAACCGCAGACGCTGCAGGGAAGAAGTGGTAGAGGCAGGATCCAGGGCGCTGGGGCAGAATGGTGAGATGGGGGATGGGTCCTCTCAGGCCCACCTGGGGTAGAGTCACCTGTTGGCCAAATGGGGGCTGATCCATTGTGGTAGCTGGGACTGCTGCTAGTTTCCTTTTCGTTTTCAGCACCTGCTCTTGCTTTTCTCCTTCTCACCACCAGGGGGCAGAGGGAGGCCATGGAGCTCCGCAGCTGCTATTCCTGTGGTTGTCTCGTCTCTGTCACTTGGTTGGGCTGAGAGGCAGCGCTCCAGAGTGGGGAGGGCAGGGCGAGGGTCCCACCACGCTCCTCCTTCCTTCTCCACCTCAGTCAGCTGAGCGGTCCACCTGAGTGCTGGTCACCAGTGCCGAATCCCTAGTCCTGATCTCATTCCCAAAAGGATGGATGTGAGACCACCAGTGAGATCCTGTGCCCAGCAATGGGCCAGGTGGGTTTCCCAGGTGGGCTGGGGCTTCCCTTCCTGGCTGTGCTCTGCCTCCTTGAGGCTGGGGTCTTTCCATGCTGGGTCCTCGTTTCTCCAGGCTGGGCTGCTGCAGGGGCTAGTATGGGGGCAGAGGAGCAGGGGCCTGGGAGGACGGCTGTTTTCACAAACCCCAGGAACCGCATCTAAAAACCAGCACAAGGGATGCCCCAGCCCGTCTGCCCTCTCCTCCGTCCCTATATCCCCCATGCAGAGGCTGAAACCCCCATCTCTGTCTCCCGTGTCATGTCCCTGTCTCCCATCCCTGTCTTTCCCTCATTCCTTCCCTTTCTCTGTTCCCTGTGTCTCACTTTGCACCCTTGGTCTCTTTCTTGCCCTCCCAATTCAGTCTGTCTGAGGCCCTGTCCAGGATCCCTGCCCCTGCGCTCCTCCAGCACCCTGCCCTTCTCCAGCCCCCTGCCTCCCTCCAGTCCCCTGCCCTCCTCTAACCCCCTGCCATCCTCCAGCCCCCTGCCCTCCTCCAGTCCCCTGCCCTCCTCTAACCCCCTGCCATCCTCCAGTCCCCTGCCCTCCTCCAGTCCCCTGCCCTCCTCCAGTCCCCTGCTGTCCTCCAGCCCCCTGCCCTCCTCCAGGTCTGAGCTGGGAGGCAGGTGTCTGCCAGGGAACCACTCTGCCTGGTACAGGTGTGGCGCTGGTTTCTCCCTGGGAGAGTAAGAGGAGGTGTTTGGCATCACCAGGGATGGGTAACTCCTCTCTAGGTCCCTGTGACCTCAGGACTCCCTGTTGGTGGGTCTCCTTGCTTCACCCCATGTCCCTGCCTCCCCACCTCCCACACAGCCAGCTTTGACACGGATGAGGGGGTGCCTGTTGGGCCAGGCTAGGGTGGGCAGGAGCAGGGACAGTCAGTGGGGCTGGGATGGAGCGAGGTGCCAGGGGCAGTGGAGGTGGATGATCAAGGCGAGAAGGAGGGGAAGGTGTGTGTGCTGGTGTGCAACAGTGGCAGGGACAGGGATGGGGATGAGTGTCTATCTGCATCAGATGAGCTGGTTTCTAAGCGGCCTCTTGGGAGAGCCTGGAGCTTGCCTGTGACTCCCTCCCTCCTCTAACTGTGGGGAACAAGCTCCATCCCAGCTGGTGTGCCCTGACTCTGGCTCCAGTGGGGGTTGCTGCTGCTTGGGGCTCCCCTCTTCAGGGGCTTAGGGAAGAGCAGCCTGCACCCATCACCTGGGCCCTCACTAGAGGAGGTGTGATACCCTCGTTCTTGGGGTGGATAAACATCTACTGGGTGCTGATCCCCTCAGGAGCCAAGGCTCAGTGGCTACCCGGACATCTGGGCTGCCTGCCAGGGCACTCCTACTGCCAGTCCTGCTACTTCCATGCCCCTATTCCTCTCCTGGCTCTCCTGGAGCCCTCCCATGTGTGCTGTGTGTATATGGATTGGGAGGGCAGAAGGCAGAGCAAGGGGCCCGGGAGGTGGGGCAGCCATCTGCGGGGTGGTGCCAGTGGCTGGGGTTAGAGACATTATGAGCCAGGGAGGGGGCTAAGTGGGGCCACGACTAACTTGGGAGAAAGGACCGGATGCGGAGATGGCTTGTACATGGGTGATAAAGAGCGGGAGGAAGTTGAAAATGACCTCTCTCATCTCACAGAGACGGTGACTGACAAGGCAGCTTCAGACATTTGTCTGTATTAGCGTGTTGAAATATTTCGTAAATACAGAAAAGTGTACAAAATTCCCACTGACTAAACACACAGGTGTATCGGTATCCTCAGCTCTCAGAGTCTAGAAATTACCATTAAAGCAACAGTAATCAAGACAGTGTGGTGTTTGTGAAAGAACAAGGAAACGGAAAATCTGTCACATTTTGAAAGACATTATGAAGACGCGACAATCCAATGTAATGTGAGATCCTGGATTGGGTTCTGGAACAGAAAACAGACATTTCAGAATATGGTGACATTTTCATAAGGCTCACAGTCCTCTGAATAGCATTGCAGCAATGCAAATTAGTTAGTTTGGACACATGTGGCACGTAATGTAAGACGTTATCTTTAGGAAAAGCTGGTGGAGGGTATATGAGACCTGTACTGTCTGTACCGTCATTGAATCTCTTCTGTTAACACATAATTATTTTAAAATAAAAAGTTAAAATAAAAAAGAAGTGAGATTCCTGGCCTGCAATCACAAAATGAATTGGAAATAGCATAAAGCAGAGTGCTGTAGAAACGTTGACAGTTGGCTGGGCGTGGTGGCTCACGCCTGTAATCCCAGCACTTTGGGAGGCTGAGGCAGGAGGATCACCTGAGGTCAGGAATTCGAGACCAACATGGCAAAACCCCGTCCCTACTAAAAATACAAAAATTAGCTGAGTGTGGTTGCAGGCGCCTGTAATCCCAGCTTCTGGGGAGGCTGAGGCAGGAGAATCCCTTGAACCTGGGAGGTGGAGGTTGCAGTGAGCTGAGATTGTGCCACTGCGCTCCAGCCTGGGCGACAAGAGCAAAATTCCTTCTCAAAAAAAAAAAAAAAAAAAAAAAGAAAAGAAAAGATGACAGTTGCTATATTGTTATCATCATCATCATCATCTCAGCAACCATCCTTCCCCACCTAGCAGCACTTTGGACATTTCTCTGCACCTGTGTCTCTTCTATGGGGTCCTGGCCCTCTCAAGGCCCTGATGCCTCCCTGTTCCCTTCCCCACCCCCCTTGTCCCCCAAGTCTTCTGGCCCCACCCCTCCTGTCCCCAGGGAGGCTGCTAGGCCAGTGGCTGAAGGAGGGGCAGCCACACTCCCTGGTGATCTCCTGCCCCAAGTGTCTGTGCCCTGACACGGCCTGGCCAGAGCCGGCTAGAGTGCAGCCAGCAGGGCATTGCAGGGGTTAAAGGAGGCCATGGCTGGCAGAGGGGGCCCACTGCTGTCTGACTCCTGGAAGGAGGCGGTGCACTGCTGACCCGCCTCCTGGGCTGGTCTGGGAGGGAACCCCACTAGTAGAGCCCTCTGCTCAGTTGCTCCCAGCAGTGGCCCTGGGGCCAGCTCTGCTCCTTGCATCCCGCTCCCTGCTTGGACACAGGCTCACTCGCTGCCTTCTTCTGGGAAACCAGCTTCTTGCCAGCCACAGCTGCTACTCCCACCACCAGCCACCACTCCTGTCCTGGGAATCCCTTGTCCCAGACACCCACCTCATTCAGTGGCTCCTCTACAGGAAAGGTGAGTGAGTGAGTGGGGCTGGCAGGCCCGGCAAGGTTAGGGTTCAAAGCACTGTCTCCATCTCCACTCTAAAGCATGGGCCCTGCTCCCTTGCCCTTGGGCAAAGCCTGGCAGGAGCACGCCCTGCACCTTCCCCAGCACAAGCCCTTCCTCCTTCCTCGCCCCTCTGGGCAGAAATGGCCAATCAAGGTGGTTAATGAGCAGACTGAAGCTGCCTCCCCTCTGCCCCTCCCTCTCCCCCCACCCCTCCTCTCCTACTCTGACTCTGATGCCCTGCCTGCAGTGGGCCAGGGAGAGGGCTGAGTGGGGCCACGACTAATTTTGGATAAAGGACTCGATGTGGAGATGGCTTGGGTGTGGGTGGGAAGGAGTGGGAGGACGTTGAAAATGGCCCCTCTCATCTCACAAAGATGAGATGATTCTCCACCCGTTCCCAGGCTGGAGAATCCATATGGAGCTGACCTCAGTGTCTGTCCCCCAACCCCCAATCCAGAACTTGCGCTAGGACTGCCTGCCCAGATGTTTTAGGCTGGCCTCTGTTCTAGACAAGGAAACGGGATCGGGGTGATGAAGGGGGACCCGGAGAAGCCTGCTGTGCTTCAAGGCTGGGCTCCCTGCAGGGGAGGGGATGGGGTTAGGGGATAGGATGGGTGCTGGGTGGGGAGGAACTGGAGGGGGAGGGCAGGCAGGCAGGCGGTTGTGGGATGGGAATAGGAGGGGGACCTGGAAACTAGGGTGCCAGGGTCTTTGGGCACAGGGACTTCTCTTCTGGAAGCCCCAATTGCCCCTTCAGCATGGCACCAGTGGGGAAGGTGTAGGGGGAGCACCCTCTCTTCCCCTCCTAAAGCTGCCTGGGGTGGGTAAAGATCATGGTGGCTCAGACTTGGCCTCAAGTTGCACCTTCCCCTGCCAGCTGGTGGCCACTCCTGTATCCCCAACTCCAGCTCTCCCCGGACCTCAGTACTTGCTACAGCTGGGGCAACCCCTGCCTGAAACCTCTGGCCCAGGGTTGTGGGATGGAGCGAGGGAGGATGTGGATTGAGATGGAGAGGTGGGTGGGAGAGCCCCGAATGGGATCAGCACTGGAGACCCAACTTGGGGTTGGCTTGGACTCTGCTGCCCATGGAGGGCAGGGAGTTGGAGAGGAGTGGGCTGGTCCAGGCTGGGGAGGGTCTTGGCCAGTCTGGCTGACCACCAGAGCTGGGAGCCAGCACTGTAACCAGGAGCTGAAGGTTCTTGGTGGTGGAGGAGGCACCCTGGGGCCCTCTGCTTCCAGGCGCCTGGCCTTGAGCCCTTCTGGCTCTGCTTCCCCATCCCTCATCCCATACTTCTTCACGCTTCACTTTCCGCAAAACTCCAGTGCAGAATTTCCCAGGGAGATGGCAGTGTCCAGAAAGTGTAAGTACAGCGAATCTGGTGGCCAGGTGGAGCGGGGCTGGGGTGGGGTGCTTATGGGTTCATGGAAAATACTATTGTTTTGTGACCAACTTCTGGCCTCTGATGGGCTGTGGCTGAAGCCTTAGAGTTTGGGGACCCTCGGGCTCCTGTTTTTACCCAGATAGGAGCAGGTATCAAGAGGGGTCAGAAAGGACTTTTGTTTGGTTGAAAGAAGAGGAGACTCAGAGGTGGAAGCTCAGCTCAGGTGAAGGAAGAGCTTCTTAGGAACCTTGCCTTATGGGCTGACGTGTAAGGTGGTGAGATTATTTTGTCTAATACAGCACTTGCAGGGGCCCCGCCTCCCTGCTAGTTTTGGGGAACCGAGAGCCTGATGCTCTGCCCTCACACTGTGCCCCTCGCTCACACCCATGACTCAACACCTACCATGTTCGCTCCTAGCTGCTTCCTGCAGAGGTTCTGAGGTTCTTCCTATTCCTCTTGGCCCACTCTGCCCCTTGCCTGCTGGTTAATTCCTGAGGGCTGGAGCATGCCACTATGAACATTAGTTTTTGTGTGGGCATAGCTTTCAATTCTCTTGGGTATATCCCTAGGATGGGGGTTGCTGGTTCATGTGGTAACTCTGTGTTTAACTTTTTTGAGCAACTGCTAAACTGTTTTTCAAAGCAGCTGCCCCATCTTACATTCCCACCTGCGATGTGGGAGAGTTCTGACTTTTCCACTTCCTCACCCACATTGTTCTTGGGCATCTTTTTCTGACTGTGCCCAGCCTGGTGAGTGTGAAGTGGGTTCTGGGACCTTTAACTTTCTGGTTTTTCTCTGTCACTGGGTTCCATTTTGGGGGTAGGTTATGGACTTGGACCTGGTTGATGGTAGGATGGTCATCCCTTAGACTCTAAGGCAATGGCCAGAGGGTGATCTATTTTGTGGTTCGGAAAAAAGCTAATTAGGGAGCTGGATTGCTTTAGTTGACTTCTTCTTTGAGAAACTGGGATAACATTTTTGAATGGCTTCAGCCCACCCTCTACACCCAGGCTTCCCCAGAGCGGGATCTCTCCTGTCCCTGTAGCAAGGGCAGAGCCAGCAGAGATGGACTGAATGAGAAGAACAGGGGAGTCAGGGCTGGATGGAGGCACACACATGCAGGACAGGGAGGGTCCCCAGCAAGGCTGGAGAGCCACCAAGCAAGGGTAGTGCAGCCCCTGTTTTCTCTGCTTCCTGCCGCCGTTCCCTCTTATTGGGGTGCAGGCTGGCTGTGTCTGCTCATCCTGCATGGCAGCACATGGCTGCTCAGAGCTCCCCAAATAACCTGTTACGTTTCTACCCATGGGGAGAATCAGGGAGCCCACTTGCTTATTATTATTTATTTATTTTTATTTTATGTTATGTTATTTTATTTTTTTGAGACAGAGTCTTGCTCTGTCGCCCAGGCTGGAGCACAGCAGTGCCATCTCGGCTCACTGCAACCCCTGCCTCCCGGGTTCAAGCAATTCTCCTGCCTCAGCCTCCCAGGTAGCTAGGACTACAGGTGCATGCCACTGGGCCCAGCTAATTTTTTGTAGTTTAGTAGAGATGGGGTTTCACCGTGTTGCCCAGGCTGGTCACGAACTCCTGCTCAGGCAATCCGCCTGCCTCTGTCTCCCAGAGTGCTGGGATTACAGGCATGAGCCACCATGCCCGGCCACTTATCATTTTTTTTTTTTTTTTTGAGACGGAGTCTCGCTCTGTCTCCCAAGCTGGAGTGCAGTGGTGCAATCTCGGCTCACTACAAGCTCCGCCTCCTGGGTTCACGCCATTCTCCTGTCTCAACCTCCTGAGTAGCTGGGACTACAGGTGCCCGCCACCATGCCCGGCTAATTTTTTTTTTAAAATATTTTTAGTAGAGACGGGGTTTCACCATGTTAGCCAGGATGGTTTTGATCTCCTGACCTTGTGATCCGCCCACCTCGGCCTCCCGAAGTGCTGGGATTACAGGCGTGAGCCACTGAGCCTGGCCCACTTATCATTTTTAATATACTTTTCCAAAGTACACACACATTCCCAGAGCAGGCCTCCTTCTACCCAAAAGAGAAATGCTGGGCCTTACTAATTAACTGAAGATTCTTCTATCTCGAGCCTTCCAAAACTCCATGCTACTGTTCAAACTGTTTTCCAGAACATTTCTTTCAAAATAACTTTCAGAAGGGTGCACAAAGAGATTCATCCCTCACTTTTATAGTCAAACCTTGATCTGTTTTGAGGGTACAACCCCATTGGAGTGGCTGCTTAGTCCCCTGATTAAGAACTGAGTGGCATCTCATGTTTCTGAACATTAAACCCAGCCTTGACAGCTGAAGGTGCTCACCACTGAGGGATCCAAGTAGGATTGAGTGTCCTGTAGTTATTATCCACAGGGAACATTCTACAAAGTTTTGGGAGACTGTGATGTCATGGGAAATGCAAGAATATGTGTCCAGCATGGAAGGGAATCAGTATGGAAGTCTTTTGATAAATTGTGGCATTTATCACTAACATTGCCTCAAAACTTTAGACTACCTGCCATATACAAATTAGAGGTGAAAATTACTTCCATGTAATATACAAGCCAACACAAAGAATCCTATCCCAGTTTCTTGGATGGATAGGCAAGAATCTGGGTAAGGTTTATTGTGCAATAATCCTCTTCTCTCTTCTATAGGCCAGGATTTAAGTTTACCTCAAAAATGGAAAATTTTGGCTGGGAAAATTACATGTGGGAAGACATCTTCAGTGGAGATTTTAGTAATTACAGTTTCAGCTATGACCCTACCCCTTTTCTACTAGATTCTGCCCCATGTTGGCCAGAATCCCTAGAAATCAATTATGTTTTGATCATCATCTATGCCCTGATGTTTCTACTGAACGTGATGTGAAACTCCCTGCCGATGCTGGTCATCTTATTCAGCTGAGTCAGCCACTGTCACCGATGTCTACCTGCTGACCCTGGCCTTGGCCGACCTGTTCTTTTCCCTGACATTGCCCATCTTGGCTGCCTCCAAGATGAATGGCTGGATTTTTGGCACAATCTGTGCCAGGTGGTCTAGCTCCTGAAGGAAGTCAACTTCTACGGTGGTATTCTACTACTGGCCTGCCGCAGCATGGACTGTTACCTGGCCATTGTCCATGCCACACGCACACTGACCCAGCAGCGCCACTTGGTCAAGTTCATATGTCTGGGTTTGTGGAACCTGTTCCTGTTACTGTCCCTACGCATCTTGCTTTTCCGAAGGACCTTCTACCCATCCAATGTTAGCCCAGTCTGCTATGAGGACATGGGCAACAATACAGCAAACTGGTGGATGCTGTTACGGATCCTGCCCCAGTCCTTTGGCTTCATCGTGCCGCTGCGATCATGCTGTTCTGCTACAGATTCACCCTGCATACGCTGTTTAAGGCCCATATGGGGCAGAAGCACTGGACCATGTGGGTCATCTTTGCTGTTGTCCTCATTTTCCTGCTCTGCTGGCTGCCCTACAACCTGGTCCTGCTGGCAGACACCCTCATGGGAACCCAGATGACCAATGAGACCTGTGAGCGCCGCAACGACATCAACCAGGCCCTGGATGCCACTGAGATTCTGGGCATCCTTCACAGCTACCTCAATCCCCTCATCTACGCCTTCATTGGCCAGAAGTTTTGCCATGGACTTCTCAAGATTATAGCCATACACGGCTTGATCAGCAAGGACTCCCTGCCCAAAGACAGCAGGCCTTCCTTTGTTGGCTCTTCTTCAGGGCACACTTCCACTACTCTCTAAGACCTCTTGCCTAAGTGCAGTCCCGTGGGGTTCCTCCCTTCTCTTCACAGTCACATTCCAAGCCTCATGTCCACTAGCTCTTCTTGGTCTCAGTGTCAGTGCAGCCCCCACTGTGGTCGCAGGAAGCAGAGGAGGCCACGTTCTTACTAGTTTCCCTTGCATGATTTAGAAAGCCTGCCCTGGTACCTCACCCCTTGCCATAATTACTACATCACTTGCTGGAGCTCTGTCCCTCCTGCCCTTGAGCTCATGGCACTCTATGTTCTAAGAAGTGAAAATCTACACTCCAGTGAGACAGCTCTGCATACTCATTAGGATGGTTAATGTCAGAAGAAAGAAAATCATAAAATAGAAGGTGTCCACAAAGGTGCAGAGAAAGTGGAATTCTCGGGCATCGTGAGCGGGAATGTAAAATGTTGTGGCCACTGCGGAAGACAGTATGGCATCTTTCCTCAAAACATCAGACATAGAATTACCACATGATCCTGCAATTCCACTTGTAGTAATTGACCCACAAGAAGTGAAAGCAGGGACTTGAACACATATTTGTACACCAATATTCATAGCTGCTTATTCATAAGACCCAAAAGGCAGAAACAACCCAAATGTTCATCAATGAATGAATGAATGAATGGCTAAACAAGATGTGATGTGTACAATGTTCATCAATGAATGCATGGCTAAGCAAAATGTGATATGTACATAACGAAGTATCCTTCAGCCTGAAAGAGGAATGAAGTACTCATACTTGTTACAACACGGACGAACCTTGAAAACTTCATGCTAAGTGAAATAAGCCAGACATAAACAGATAAATAGTTTATGATTCCACTTACATGAGGTACTGAGAGTGAACAAATTCACAGAGACAGAAAGCAGAACAGTGATTACCAGGGACTGAGGGGAGGGGAGTATGGGGAGTGATGGTTTAATGGGCACAGAGTTTATGTTTGGGATGTTGAAAAAGTTGTAAAGATAAACAGTAGTGATAGTTGTACAATAATGTCTGAGTACTTAATGCCACTAAACTGTACACTTAAATGTCTAAAATGGTAAAATTTTATGTATATTTTACCTCAATTAAAAAGAAAACACCTTGGCCCCCAAAGGTACTTTTGCCAAAGAACCAAGGCTGAAATTTCTTGCTAAATGAGATAATTAAATGTCTTTCATTGCTTAAACCACTTTTGTGTGTTTATTTTGTTTCTTCCAACCAAAAGCTTCCAAACTGCTACAGAGAAGTGGGGCAAGAGTGAGCAGAGGTCTTGGGTGAGAGTCTTTACAAGAAGTAAATCTCTTTGTTATTTGTTGTGTCGTAAAGAGAAGGATAGAATAGAGATGGAGCCCAGCCTTGCATCCCCTCATCCCCAACCCAAGCTTCCTGCTGCAGACCACGCATCATGGAAAGAAATGTGTTCTGGGATGCTCTAGGGCATCTCATATCCTTGGGTGAAGCAGTAGTCAGGAGTGTCAGGGGTGGGACTTAGAAGGTGCAAAGGGTTGAGTAAGTTCACCAAATCCCCCTGATCAGGTAGCAGAAAGGCAGAGAGCTCTTCCAGGTCAGCCAGCAGCACCCACTTTGAGTGTCCCTCCCTCTCTCTCTCTCCCCCACAAGCACACACCCATCATATGGTGGTGTCTGGCACCTTGCACTGACCTTCCTGAGCTGAAGCAGAATGAAACTGCTGCTCCAATTCCCGCTTCCAGATCTCACACATGAGGTCCCTTCTGGCCCCCCACTGACCTGGAAATGTGAAAGGAAGAGAATTTGGGGAAACACAATTCTATCTTATCATGCTGACTCAGTACAAATCCCTCCACACAAACTTATGTGCAAACTCTAAGGAAAAAGAACGGTTCCCACAAAGGTTCAGGTGATGTTTATTAAAGGGTCGGGGAAGGGAGAAACACATTGGGGCTTTTGAAGGCACTGATAATGCCTTCTTTCCTTACCCACATGATAGATGCTTGGGATTTAGTGTATTATTATTCCTTAGGCTATAAACGTAAGTTTTTCTTAACTTGTAGTATGTATGCTATTCACAATGAAAATGTTTTAAAACGTTAAAATAAAGGAAAAGCTAAGGAGAAAGTGATCAGAAGAACACAAGGACAACTCGGGTCATTTTGAGGACCCAGTGCACAGAGTGGAGTGCAGGCTTTTGCATCTTGTAATTTTGGAGTGAGAATTCACCAGATTAGAAGAAGATACTTTCATGCATTGCTGGTAGTAGATAAATAGGTACAAGCTTTAGAGAAAGCAATTTGATGATCTCTCTTTTAATGCACACAATCTCTGATTCAGGAATTATACTACTACAAACCTATCCTACAGAAATAGCTGCTTAGTTGGACAAATGTGTACAGAACATTCATTGCAGCCTTATTTACAAAAATCAGAGATTAGAAGCAACCCAAATGTTTATCAATAGGGAATTCATTAGTTACACTCTGAAGTTGCAGCCACACCATGGAATACTGTGAATGCAGTAGTTTAAAGTCAAAGCTAAAAACATTCTGCTAAGTGGAAGAAGCCAGAACAGAACCACATATTATATGATTCCATTTGCCTAAAATGTTTCCTGAAAAGGCAAATCTGCAGAGACTGAAAACAGATGACTGGTTGCCTGGGCCTGGGGTTGGGAACACAGATTGATTATAAATAGTCACAACGGTTCTTTTTGGGGTGATAGAAGTAACCTGTGGCGATGGTTTTACAGCTCTGTTAGTTTACTAAAAACAATGGATTGTATCCTTAAAACAGGCAGGTCTTATAGTTGGTAAATTACACCTGAATAAAACTGTTTTTAAAGAAGAACCTTAAAAAATTAATGAGGTAGGTATATGAGCGGACACAGAAAGTTCTTCAAGAAATAATGTGGAATGAAGGAGGAAGGTAGAACAGCATGTGTAATAAATGGCTTACCCATTTGTATAAAAAATTATAATATATGTAGATTTATAAAGGTTCAGATAAATGTCTAGGAAGTATCAAAGTCACATAAAATCTAGAGATGAATTTCTAAACAAAACCTTTTATGTGGCAAGACAGAATTACAATTCAGGGTGTGTACACAGACTGGGGTGGTCTTTGCAACAAAGAGAAAGTTGCAGGTTTTATTAGAAAGAGAAATGTTAAGTATTGTTTTGAAAGAAAACTCACTGGCATTAAGCAAAGGTTTTTGGGAGTTGACAAGCTCTGATAGATAGGACAGCGCTGGGTAAAACTAGTCTTCTCTCTCTCTTTTTTTTTTTTTTTTGAGATAGAGTCTCACTCTGTTGCCCAGGCTGGAGTGCAGTGGCACAATCTTGGCTCACTGCAACCTCGGCCTCCCGGGTTCAAGAGATTCGCCTGCCTCAGCCTCCCAAGTAGCTGGGGACTACAGGCGCAAGCCACCATGCCTGGCTAATTTTTAGTAGAGACGGGGTTTCACCATGTTGACCAGGTTTGTCTCAAACTCCCGACCTCAAGTGATCCACCTGCCTCGGCCTCCCAAAATGCTGGGATTACAGGTGTGATCCACCGCACCTGGCCTGGATAAAACTAGTCTTGAAATCACAGCAGCTACTTGGTAAAACTGGTCTTAAGGTTACAGCAGGTCATTTTGGCAGCTGAACTGTGATGTAATCCCTGGTCAGGCCCTTTGTGCACTGAATGCTTCTTTCTCCTCTGGACACTCAACTCTAATTTAGTTGTATGTGACAAGATAACTGTAATTTATGTAATCAATTTTCATATTTCCACCTGTTGATCAAGATCATTGTCTGAAAGCATCACTGGGTAACCATCTTGAAGTTAGGCTTTATTGTCCTTCATGCCAGGATGAGCCCATCCCTGTGGTCTTACATTGAGGGGAAAGTACAAGAGTCAGTGTCAGGGACCCGGGCCACATTTGGGCAAGAGAGACCAGAAGTGGGGGAAAAAAGCTCTCTCAGGGCAGAGTTGCCTGGAGTTTAGCATCAAGTTCTATCTGATTATTCTGGCAGGCATCAGCAATCATCTTGAAGTGTGGGGCTAACATTATCCTGTTGGGAGAACTGGCTTTGCAAAGATTAGACAGGCAATAAAAGCAGAGCTTACAGAGCAGAATACAAAAAAAAAAAAAAAACAACAACCAGCAACAATATAATAAATCCAATTTGTACAATGGTTTTGAACCAAAAGCCCAAGCCTCAAGGCAACCAACTAGGCAAATCAAATTGAGACCTGTTGCAGCCATTGTGTAGCATTCCGTGAGTGAGCTGAATTAAAGCAGAGAGTGTCACCTCTAGAAAAGGGACAATTTGAACAAAAATTCGTGCTGGGATATTGCCGAAGATGCTCTCCAGGTGGACTGAAGGATTTTTTTAGGTCAGATTCTGTCAAGTTACCTATAGCAGTATCTAATTTGTGAAATTTTAATGATAGCATTATCCTGTGAAGTGGAAAGGTAGTCAATGAGAGGGGTAGGAGTCGTATTACCATATGGAGTTGTATTTTGACGGTCTTGGGAAAAGCTGCCTAAGCATGAAGTTGCCAGTTTTGTAGTTCAAATATCTCTGATGATGGCACTGTGGCGGGGATGGTTGGTGAACATTCTGGGTGGACCCATACATCAGGCATGAGTCTTGCTCCTTGAAATGTATATTAAGTTGTTTAGTTTTAGTTTAGGGCTTTAGGAAAGAGTAATTTCCTGCTTAGTAATTCCATGGGGGAAAATTGGATCAGAGGAAACCAGAAGAATTTAAGATACAGTCCATTCTACAGACAGATAATAAAAAATCAAAAACAATGCACTGGACTACAATACAAAAGCAATAACGAGTGTATTCTAGACATCCCAATTTTTACTGAAGATAATCAGAGTAACACCAAATTTAGTTTTATCAGGTTTGGCCTGATTATTTATGTAAGTGTAGTAAAAACAGTGATTGCATCTTAGATTGTATTTTTTTTTTTTTTTTGAGACAGGGTCTCACCCTGTTGCCCAGGCTGGAGTGCAGTGGCACGATCTTGGCTCACTGCAACCTCCACTTCCTGGGCTCAAGCAATTCTCCTGTCTCAGCCTCCCGTGTAGCTGGGACTACAGGTGCCTGCCATGACGCCTGGCTAATTCTTGTATTTTTAGTAGAGATGGGGTTTCATCATGTTTCTCAGGCTGATCTCGAACTCCTGAGTTCAGGTGATCTGCCTGCCTCAGCCTCCCAAAGTGATGGGATTACAGGCATGAGCCAATGTGCTTCGCCTTGTATCTTCTTCTTATTATTTTTTTAATTTTGAGACTAGGAAGCCAAATTAAGGCAGGCTTCTGATTTTAACTGCAGTACCCGGAAATAGGTTAAAATATGATAACTTCATCTAACCCTGATAATATAATTAACATTTTAAATTGCATCTTCCTATAAAGAAACAGAATTTTATTGAACTTATGTGAATAACTATATTGTCATAAAATAAAAAGTACTCACAGATAATTTCCAAATTTTAGAAGGATCAAGTAGGAAGAATAAGCAAATGTTTTCACCTTTGTTCATGAAAATTTGCCTCACCAAATTGTTGTTAAACTACAGATAGCTTAAGAGAGAAACTTTTCTTAAATCTGGAAAACAAGACATTTAAGTAAAGAACTAACAATATTTCAAATGATATAAAAATCATAATTTGTATCAGTTATTCAATTTCATGTAATCAATTTTTATTCTGCTTGATTTTGATTAGCAGTTTTATAAACCTATCAGTTCTTCTCGTTAGAGTTTTAGAAATGTTATTTATTTAGTCCACTGATCTTTTTTTTTTTTTTTTTTGAGACAGAGTCTCACTCTGTCGCCCAGGCTGGAGGGCAGTTGTGTGATCTTGGCTCACTGCAACCTCCACTTCCTGGGTTCAAACAATTCTTGTGCTTCAGCCTCCTGAGTAGCTGGGATTAAAGGTGCACGCCACCACAACTGGCTAATTTTTGTATTTTCAGTAGAGTTGGGGTTTTGCTATGTTGGCCAGGCTGGTCTCGAGCACCTGACCTCAAGTGATCTTCCCGCCTCGACCTCCCAAAGTGTTGGAACTACAGACATGAGCCATCATGCCCGACCCTAGTCCATGATCTTAAAGTAATTAAAAGCCTGTATTTAAGAGTACTTGTAAGAGTCTTATGAATCTGATTGCAGATGCCTTTAGAGAAGAATCAACACAGTAGATGATAAAAACTTAGAATAGCCATGCTTGAAATCTGATGAAAGTTCAACTTTTGAAAAGGAATTCTGTCATTTGTATTGCAAACAGCATTTTAAGACAAAAATGAGAATCATGACTGACAGCATCACACCAGGACCATCAGACTTTTATAAATTTCATATAATCTTTAGACGATGAAGATTTCTGTCAGTAACATCCACATGAATATAACTTAAAAGATGTTTAGGCCAGGTGCGGTGTCTCAGGCTTGTCATTCCAGCACTTTGGGAGGCCAAGGCAGGTGGATTTCTTGAGCTCAGGAGTTGGAGACCAGCCTGGACAATGTGGCAAAACCCAGTCTGCACAAAAAAATTACAAAAATTAGCCGGGTGCGGCTGGGCGCGGTGGCTCACGCCTGTAATCCCAGCACTTTGGGAGGCCGAGGCGGGCGGATCACGAAGTCAGGAGATCAAGACCACGGTGAAACCCCATCTCTACAAAAAATACAAAAAAATTAGCCGGGCGCGGTGGCAGACGCCTGTAGTCCCAGTTACCCGGGAGGCTGAGGCAGGAGAATGGGATGAATCCGGGAGGCGGAGCTTGCAGTGAGCCGAGATCTCGCCACTGCACTCCAGCCTGGGCGACAGAGCAAGACTCCGTTTCAAAATAAAAAAAAAATTAGCCAGGTGTGGTGGCGCATGCCTGTAGTCTGAGCTACCTGGGAAGCTGAGGTAGGAGGATTGCTTTAGCCTGGGAGGTTGAGGCTTCAGTGAGCCATGTTCATGGCACAGAACTCCAGCCTGAGTGACAAAGTGAGACCCTGTTTCAAAAAAAAAAAAAAAAAGGTTTAATATCATTTCGTTATTTGACAGTGCTTTTCATACAATTAAACATATTAAATAAGCCTCATATTAAATAAGCCTCATCCTTTGAGACTTTCCAGGGGCCCAACTGGAAAATCCCAAAGTCGATGTTAGGTTAAAAAGACTTAAGTTAGAATTCTATTTTAGGGAAGTTTGTCAAAGATGTTAAAAGGCTTAAAACATTTAATTAAAATAGAATCACGAGCCAGGCACTGTGTCTTGCACCTGTTATCCCAGCTACCTAGGAGGCTGAGGTAGGAGGATTCCTTGAGCCCAGGAGTTTAAGGCTGCACTGAGCTGTGATCATGCGATTGCACTTGAGCCTGGGTGACAGGGTGAGCCTTATGTTTATGAAATAATAATAACTATAATAATAATAAGTGGAATCAAATGTCATTTTGAAATAACAGTCATTTATTGAATCAGAAGGATAATAAAAATACTTTAAGAGTAAATATAAAATGTTACATAGCTGAGAGAAAAAAAAAACCTTAGACCTGCCTTAGGGATGACTTTCAAAAAACCCAATATTAGTTTATTAATATTAACAGCACAAAACACAAGACGTTATCTTTTTTTTTTAAAAAAAAAAAAAGTGAGATAGAGGTCTTGCTATGATGCCCAGGCTGGTCTTGAACTCCCAGACTCAAGCAACTCTCCTGTCTTAGCCTCCTGAGTAGCTGGAACTACAGGTGCTCAATACTGTGTCTGGCAAGAAACTATCCTAAAACTTGAAATCTCTGTTTCTTAGGCAAATTACTTAAAAGATAAAGAAAAGCCTCCTGCAGTATAACTGCTTGTCTTTATGGGAAGCCTATTTGGATAACCTGGAAGGCAAACCTCATACAAAGGTAATTAGACACGGTAAGAGTATGTCCAAGGTTAGGAGTGTACACCATATTATAGGAGAAAAAGGTAAACAAGAAAACCAATACCTTGGGCAACGGAATGCATGGTTTTTAGAAAAAGTAATAGCACGTGAAATTGTCTGGTTACATAGAACAATTTAGACACATCAGGAAGAGCTGAGTACAGAGTCGACTTACACTGGAGGACACGTTGTCCTCCTAGGCCTTTAAGACAAACATTCTGGGTCAGGCCACAAGAGTAGAGTCTGAAATAAAAAAAGAAAAAGCTACAGGAACTGACAAATGTTGAAGGGGACAGTCACCACTTTAGTAAAGCAAAAAGATGTATCTTTTCAAGGAAGAAGAGCAGGAGGCAGTGACGTATGACCTGTAAGTCACATGTAGTGAGATGTGAAAATGCCAAACCCCTGAGACATGAATCTGAAAAGCTTTAAGAGGAAAACTCTACCTTGAGAAAGGAAATTATCAATTTAAATGAGGAAGACAGCACTTCTAAGTTGAAATTATGTAGAAAATTTAAAATAGAAAAAAGGTGTAGTTTAGAAGATGATTGAAAATTCAACAGAATTCAGAATTAAACCCCAAACCTCCTGTAGTTTTTGTTGTTGTTGTTGTTTACTAAAAGCAGATCAATATTTTAAGAAAACCTTTCTGTTTCAAACATAGAAGACCAGTCTCCAGCCCTGTGCCATGGTACCCCTGATGTCAGTGTTTAATTTTTAGAAAACTTAGAAACATGTTTTTAAATCCAGGCAACCTAATCACACACAAAACTCCCTTTACAAAACCATCCTTCATAAACCCTCCCCAACTTGCTTAGGTCTTCCATTATTTTCTTAAAGTCTCATTACTGCCCTACACTTTTCTGTGTTTTTTTTTTTTTTTTTTTTAAAATATTGGAACAGCCAGTCATTTTATCTTAGGACAAGAACGTTCTCTTTTTCCCATTATTATGGAAACCACTTAATATTTTTTCTCTTGCAAAAATTAGCTTTTGTATATTTTGTATACAGAATTAAATATATTGATTAGAACTTTAATTTTAGAAACCTTAATTTTTAGTAAAAACCCAGGAATAAGTACTTTTCTGAACTGTTATATATAAACATCCCCTGAATATATGTTTTATAGTACTTAAAAACATATTTTTACAGAACAATTTCTAATGTGGTATAGGACGTTTTCTTAATAGACCCAAATATCTTTTGTGTTTTTATAATATTTAAGAAGTCAAAAATAAATAAGCTTAAAGCTATGTTTAACAATTAATGTTTCAGCATTTTATCTTATTTAGAAATGGCTCAGGACTGTGATCCTGCACTTTGGGAGGCTGAGGTGGGAAGATTGCTTGGGCCTAGCAGTCTGAGACCAGACTGGGCAATATCATAAGACTTCATCTCCACAAAAATTAATTTAAAAAATGAAAAGAACTTACCTAGATATTTTAAAAATATCTATCACTTACTTTAACATAACTTCAAGATTTTAAATTACATGAAAACTTTATGTATAAATGTTTATTCCATTTATATATACCTTGTTTTTTATTTACAATAATTTTACCTAGATTACTCTTGAAAACTGAGATATTAGAGCAGGTCATTATTTTAAGTCTTTTTCCTGTCAAAGAAAATCACTAAAGGTTAAATTGTGTTTGATATACAGAAAACAATGGTCATTGCATGTACTCTCATCTGTACATTTGTTCTTAGGTCAAACTCATACTTTTATGATCTTAAAACATCTAGCAGAGACAAATATAACACTGTCTGGCTACCAAACCCAGGCCAAAAAAAATGTGTGGTAATACAGAGAAAGATGTGAATATCCAGCTATAAGAAGGTCATAGAACATGAAATGCTGTGGATTTTGTAGTTTGGCGAGTAGGAGGGAGTGGCACTCAGTGGCTTCTTTCACTCTTGCAGTTCTGTGAGCTGGAGGGAGGGTTATAGCTCTTATTCCCACCTCCCACAGTTTGGTGAGCTAGCCAGGAGTGTCACAGCTCTTTTGCTCCTGCAGTTCGGCAAGTGGAAGGGAGGGTTACAGCTCTTTCACCCCTGTAATCTGTAGCTCATCAAGCCAGCCAGGAGCATCACAGCTCCTTCACTCCTGCCTACTGTAGCTTGGTGAGTTCCGGGTTCTTGTCCTGTGATCAAGAGGAATAAGATATGTGGACACTGGAGAGTGAGTAAGGCGGAGAAGAATTTTATTGAGTGACAGAAGAAAAGCTCTCAGCTGCAGGAGCGGACACTGAAAGTGGGGTAGCCATCTGTGAGGCTGAGTCTGGGATTTTTATGGGCTAAAAATGGAGGAATACTTGCTGACTGGTCCATGGGTGGCTTTGGAAAAAACACCTTTGATTGGTTAAAAGACATCATCCAGAAGTAGCCAATCAAGAGAGAGTGGGTGAGATGAGGATAGAAGTTCTCACTCCAGTCATGGACTCTATCTAGAACTAGCAGCTGGGTTTTCAGGCTTTAAACTGTCCTTGATTTGAAGGTCAGGTTTCACCAGGGACCCATCCCTGTCTGACTAGGAATTTGTCTGTCTCCTGTCACTATCACAAGCAGATTCAATTCAAATAAGATTATCTCAAGGCATCTATTCATCAAACTCAAAGATAAAGAAGGTCAAAGATAAAGAAAGGACCTAGCTGGGCACGGTGGCTCACGCCTGTAATCTCAGCACTTTGGGAGGCTGAGGCGGGTGGATCACCTGAGGTCAGGAGTTCAAGACCAGCCTGACCAACAGGGAGAAACCCCGTCACTACTAAAAATACAAAAAATTAGCCAGCTGTGGTGGCGCATGCCTGTAATCCCAGCTACTTGGGAGGCTGAGGCAGGAGAATTGCCTGAACCTGGGAGGCAGAGGCTGCGGTGAGCTGAGTTCATGCCATTGCACTCCAGCCTGGGCAACAAGAGTGAAACTCCATCTAAAAAAAAAAAAAGACCTAAAACAGCAAGAAAAAAAGAAGTCAATTAAATATGAAGGGGCTCCAATACATCTGGCAGCAGACTTCTTAGTGGAAACTCTACTGGCCAGGAGAGTGAGATGATATATTCAAAGTGCTGAAGGAAAAACTTTCAACCTCAAATATCATATTCAGCAAAATTATCCTTCAAAGATGAAGGAGACATAGAGACTTTCCCAGGCAAAAACACCTGCCAACTCTGGACATGATCCACAAGTGAGCTGCCTGCCCCAGGCCATGGGAAAAAGAAGGTCATTTGAGGAACATTCTAGAATCCCAAGCCTGAGTATCAGATGATGAGGTCCCAAACCTGCCATTTGGAATGGTGTGGAAACTCAGGGCCAAGAAATTTAGCAACAACAAAAAATGCTGTGAACCATATGACCCAGTAGTGCCCCAGCCAGTACAGCCATGAAACTTCCCCCATGTAGATTTCTTTGTAATCAAGGGCAAATGCAAGATTACATGAAAATATGCTCTTCGAAAGATAAATTCATGATTAAATATTACAAAGAACTAACAACCACCAGAATCAACAATCAGCCAACTTAACCCATGGGAGATTTAACAACTGAGGACTAGAGATAACAGAGCAATCTGAATGTGATTTTTAAAATAAGCATGTTTTAAAAATCCAGAGGCGTTTTATATTAAGAATGGAGAATTTAATGAACATGTTTACCTCTGTTTCCTCTCAAAAATCCACTAAAAATGACACTAAAGGGATTTTTTTTAAAAGGCATAATCCTACAAGGTACAAGGATTAAGAGAAAGTGAAGAAAAGATAACCGATTAAAAAAATAGAAATCAGAAGTAGATGGATAAGTGGTAACTGAGTTTATTAGACCAAAAATAAAGAGAGACAATAAAGGGAATCAAATAAATCTTTACAAAAACCATAATATCTTCAGAAACATAAGAAACACTATAAAAACCCTGGAAAACAACCTAGGAAATACCATTCTGGGTATAGGAATGAGCAAAGATTTCATGATGAAAACACAAAAAGCAACGGCAACAAAAGCAAAAATTGACAAATGGGATCTAATTAAACTAAAGAGTTTCTGCACAGCAAATGAAACTATCAACAGGGTGAACAGACAACCTGCAGGATGGGAGAAGATTTTTGCAAACTATGCATCTGACGAAGGTCTAATATCCAGCATCTATAAAAAACTTAAACAAATTTACAAGAAAAAGCAACCCCACTAAAAAGTGGGCAAAGGACATGAACACTTTTCAAAAGGAGACATACATGTGGTCAGCAATCGTGTAAAAAAAGCTCAATATCACTGATCATTAGAGAAATTCAAATCAAAACCACAGTGAAATACCACTTTAGACCAAAAAAGACAAAAAATAAAAGATGCTGGCAAGGTTGCAGAGAAAAAGGAACGCTTATACGCTGTTACTGGGAGTGTAAATTAGTTCAACCAGTGTGGAAGACAGTGTGGCAATCCCTTGAAGACCTGAAAGCAGAAATAAATATAAATGCTCATACTATAGAAAAACAGAACTTATAAGTTCAACCCATCAGAAGTAGCCAGAAGACTTAAAATTTATAACTGGGAACTTTCCAATAGGATAGACTTATAGATTAAAATTAAATATGAAAATATACATATAAATTAAGTATCTAGATCATTTCCGTATGAGATAAACTACTAAAATTATTAATCACTAAATAAACGTAAGTTTAAGCTTATGTACTTTAGGCTCGTTATTAAAGAGGAACTAGAGATAATTGGGTGCACTGGTAAGCATATCCTGTGCTATGGGGAAATAGGATTTAGGCCAATGAAACCACGTACATCCTAATTTTCGCTAGATATTAAGGCTACTAAGGGTAAAGAATTTTAATTAATACATGTAATTAAAACTACTAAAAACAAAGGATGAATGAAAACAACTGTACACAAATATGTATGTGAAAAATGTATTTTAAAAGTGAGATGTATTTTTAATAAGGAAAAGTATAAAATGTACGTGTTTTCCTTAAGAGAAAAAGAGAGTAATTTTGTCTTAAAGCAAGATGACTTATTGATCCGGAATAAAAAAGGAGAAAAAGACTAAGACAAAAAAAAATGAATAGATACAGAAAGTTGCAGAAGGTCTATGAAAGAAGAACTTTATTTGTGGTCATAGTACAAACATTAGATAGATTTTACTTGTAAGTTAAAAAAACTCGGTGATGTACTGGTGCAAAGTTAGAATTAGGTTTTCTCTCTGTTAAAAGGACACATTTTCTTGGAGTATTGGTCTCCCTGTGAATGTGAAAGGTTTTTTTTCCTTATCTGTTAAATAATTGGCCTAGAAACACAGATTTTGTGTTTAATCAAGGTAACTTTTTGTACTTCATGTTGTCTTTTTAAAAGCCTTTTATTATTGAAGAAAAGTGTAATCTTTTCAATACTAAAAGAGCTAAACTTTTTTTTTTTTTTTTTTTAACCACAATGAAACTTTTTGTGTTTGCCTTTGAAATCATTGTCACTTTGGTATTGTTTCACAGTGACCTGTGTACCTATTTAATCAAGTGTTTTAAACCTTTTGACATTTTTGACAGCTCCCCAAAATCACATTCTAAATCAAGTCTTTTGGACCTCAAATTAACATTGAGAGTTTCCAGAAGGGTCCCTGAAATATGTCAAAAGAATTAATTTTATCTCCTTGTAACAAGAGGGAAGTTAAACTAATTAGACTTATTTGATGTGTTAAATTGCATGAGAGGCACTGCCAAATAATAAGTGATGCTGAACTTTCTCTAAGTTATATTTGTCATTGATGAGTGTTCTAGAAATTGTATAAAATTCCTAGACGTCTCATATTTCCTGGTATAATGTTATCAGTTATAAAACTAATGATTGTCTTATAATGCTGTATTTTTAAGACTAACCAAATTTTCTTCCTGAAAGATTTTGAAAGCAGCTATGACACAGCATTGCAAGATATTCATAGAAAATGATTGCTTCAGCAACATGGATGGAACTGGAGAACGTTACATTAAGTGAAATAAGACAGGAACCGAAAGTTAAGCACTGCACTGTCTCACGCGTATGTGGAAGCTAAAAAAAGTTGAACTCATAGAAGTGAAAAGTAGAAGAGAGGTTACTAGAGGCTGGGAAGGGCAGGTGGCAGGGGGAGTAGTGAGAGACTACACTCTCCCTATACAATTACAGGATACACAATTAGACAGGAGGAATAAATTCTAGTGTCTCTAGCACTGTCCAATGACTATAGTTAACAATAGTATATATTTACAAATAGCTAGAAGAGAGGATATTGAATATTCCCAACACAAGCAAATGACAAATACTTGAGATGATGGATGTGCTAATTACCCTGATCTGATCACTATACATTATATACATCAAAACATCACTATGGGCTGGGCTCGGTGGCTCACGCCTGTAATCCCAGCACTTTGGGAGGCCGAGGCGGGCGGATCACGAGGTCAGGAGATCTAGAACATCTGGCTAACACGATGAAACCCTGTCTCTACTAAAAATACAAAAAAAATTAGCCGGGCGCCATGGCGGGAGCCTGTAGTCCCAGCTACTCGGGAGGCTGAGGCAGGAGAATGGCGCGAACCCCGGAGGCGGAGCTTGCAGTGAGCCGAGATTGCGCCACTGCACTCCAGCCTGGGCAACAGAGCGAGACTCCGCCTCAAAAAAAAAAAAAATCACTATGTACCCCATAAATATGTATCATTATTATGTACATATTTGCCAATTTTTAAAAAAGAAGGAGAAAAAAGACTGGTAAGTACAGGTGTCTGATAACTAAGATTATGCTATTGGACTGGGTAAGAAGTTCCAAAACTCTAAGAGAAAACTGATAGTTTCATGAAACTATTAACAAAATATCAAACAAAACAAAAGAGTTAATTAGATGAGGCTAAATTAACTGATGAGAATGATTATTCATTTTATTACTTTTTGTTAAAACGTTGGTTTTTTTAATGTATTGTTTTCTAGATTTAGGGAAATTTTTTTTCTTTTTTATGAGCTGTCAATAACTTACATTAATTTGATAAAATGTACTTTGTAAATAGAAAGGGAACATTTATCTTTTTCTTCCTACCTGATGGTTCCAGGATTTGGAAACTCTTCTTAAATATTCTTATATGCAATATGGGTATTTGCACTGGTTCAATAAAAATATACTCTGCTTGTAATAGGACATAAATGGGCAAGTTCTTTGCTTGACTTCTTGTCTAGAGAAGTTTTAAAAAGTCTAATCTGAGATTTCTCATGCAGTCAAATATCATATGAAAAAAGCTCAACATCAATGATCATTAGAGAAATGCAAACCAAAACCACAAAAAATAAGATACCACTTGGCACCAGTCAGAATGGCTACTATTAAAAAGTCAAAAAACAACAGATGCTGGCCAGGTTGGGGAGAAAAAGGAACACTTATACACTGTTAGTGGGAGTGTAAATTAGTTCAACCAATGTGGAAGACAGACAGTGTGGTAATTCCTCAAAGACCGAAAAACACAAATACAATTCTACCCAGCAATTCCATTACTGGGTATACACACAAAGGAATAGAAATCCTTCCATTATAAAGACACAGCTACACATATGTTCATTGCAGCACTATTCACAATAGCAAAGACATAGAATCAACCTAAATTCCCATCAATGGTAGACTGGATGAAGAAAATGTGGTACATATACACCATGGAATACTATGCAGCCATAAAAAAGAATGAGATCATGTCCTCTGCAGGAAAATGGATATCTGGAGGCTATTATCCTTAGCAAACTAATGCAGGAACAGAAACCTAAATATTGGTGTTCTCACTTATAAGTGGGAGCTAAAAGATGAGAACACATGGACACACAGAGAGGAACAACACACACTGGGGGGTTTATCAGAGGATGGAGGGTGGGAGGAGAAAGAAAAAGGATCAGGAAAAATAACTAATGGGTACTAGGCTTAATATCTGGGTGACAAAATAATCTGTACAACAAACCCCCATGACACAAGTTTACCTATATAACAAACCTGCACATGTACCCTGAACTTAAAATAAAAGTTAACATAAAAAAAATGTGATCTGAGATTTCTCATTACAGCTAACTAAGATTGACTGATACAAAGACAATAAAGCACCTTGGATAGTATCATATTTTATAGCATATATAGATTTATTATTCTTGCATTTACATACATATTCAGGTCAAGTTTCATGAAACTGATGGCAGCAGTGGCTCATCTGGCCACTGCCAAAACACTGGCTGCAGTGAGGAGGTGCAGCCTGGGCCTTCTGCTCCATGGAGCAGGCAGGAGCCCCACCCCTGGGTGCCACAGCAGCTGCCCAAGCCTAGCTGTAGATCCTGGCATCTCTGTGCTTTGGAGGCCCCAGAAGGCCTCCCTGACCCTTGCAGGCTCAGAAGGGCCTGCTCCTGCTGCCTGGTCTCTCCCCACTCCCGGTGCCCACTCCGATCATGGAGTAAGGTTGCATGTGAACCTGGGCACTGTCATAGCCCTGCTGGGTGGGTGCACACTCAGAGCAGTACTGGGACACCAGCCCCCTGCCTCCTCAGCCCCCTTCTGGACTTTGGGCACTGACAAGCATGGGAGGGAAGCCGAGATGGGGCTGAGGGCAGATCAGCACTGGCCTGCAGGTGCCCCTTCGTCTGAGCAGCCTGGATGCCATGATTGGTGGCAGGAGGCAGACAGGCTCCTGGGAGGAAGGTGGTGGGTCCCTGGCGAAGCCCCACCTTCAAAGTCTGGGGGCTGGGCTGCCAGTCCTGTGGACCAGAGGTGGAGCTTGTGGTGCTTTTTCTTGTGCCCACCTGTGGCTGCTGATGGACCAATCAGCATGCACTTCCCCCATCTGAAGACAATGCATACCCCAGACTCAGCCAGAGAAGAGCAGATGTGGGGATGACCAGTTGCAGAAAGGAGCTACCCTCTCTGGGGCCTCATCTGTGCTGAGAACTGCAGAAGTTGGGTTGACCAGCTGCAGAGAGGACCTACTCTCTCTGCTGAGAGCTGAACAGATGTTGGGATGACCAGCTACAGAGAAGAGCTACCCTCTCTGCTGAGAGCAGAACAGATGTTGGGATGAACAGCTGCAGAAAGGAGCTACCTTCTCCAGGGCCTCCTTTCTGTTGAGAGCTGCAGACTACTGGATGACCAGCTGCAGAGAGGAGCTATCCTCTTCAGGGCCTCCTGACTGCTGAGAGTGGAAGATGACCAAATGACCAGCTGCAGAGAAGACCTACCCTCTCTCCTGAGAGCTGAACACTCACTGGGATGACTTGCCTACAGAGAGGAGCCACCCATTCCAGGGCCTCCTCTCTGCTGAGAGCTGAAGACTCAATGAGACAACCTGCCTACAGAGAGGAGCTACCCTACTGCAGGTCTCCTCCGAGCTGTTCTAACATGCAATAAACCTTCTCTTCATCTTGCTCACCCTCCACTTGTCTGCCTACCTCATTCTCCCTGGGTGCAAGACCAAAACTTGGGCAAAGGCACCACTGGCCACAGAGGTTTCCAGCCAGAAAAGCAACACTCCAATCACAAAACTAGATTTATTTTGTAGAAACAAAATAATTGTGATTATTTTTGGTAAAAATAGGAGTGACTATAATAAAGATTGTATTTCAGTAGAAAACTGTAACACACTCATTATCAAATTCTGGTCCTGTTCATTTTTTTTTGAAGTTTTATCTCCCTATAAACTGGATTGAGTCTTGATTTTTCCTGGTTTCACTAAAAATTAAAACTGCCCCTTTCCCGAGCCCTTCAAGCTGAAGCTGGATGATTTAACTTCAGAAAAATCACTACAACAGATCATGTATGAACAACTTTCATGCTTGCTGCTATGGGGATCACTTGGAGAGTTTACCAGAACACCCAACAACATAACCAGAGACATTCAAGCTACAAATGAGGTAAATCCATCAGACTGCAGCTGCCATCCTCATTTCATCTTCTGAAGATGCTTTAAACTCAAATCTAGAAATCTCAACTAACTAGCCTCTGGACTAAAAAACTAAGACCATACTTTGCTCGAAATATTAACTTCTGTTTTTCTTTTGTTTTCATAGATACATACCCTGAGTTCTCTTCAAGCTTGTAACTTAACAAGAAAAACTTAGGCTCATATTGGTAAGAAATGGTGTTTCTATGTTAACAAATCAGAAATAGTTGCCCCAAAATTAAAGATCTTAAGAAACTAATACAAGTTTTCTTTTTAATCAGGCACTACCTCCTTTATTGATTTATTTAGTTGATGAAATTCTGGAAACTTTGCTCCAGGGAATTTTTCAGCCCTTGGATATTATTCTCCTGATTGTCGTTGCCTTTATATCCCAAGTGTGTTGTAGTCTCTCATGTGGTGGTTCCCACCAGCCACTCACTCATCAAATGATTGCCATCAAGGATTAGACAATTTGGATAAGTCAACAGCCCAACTACTCAAGCCTACAAAGACTATGCAATTTTGGATAGTGCTGACTATGTGATTTTACATCCCAGGGTAGCTGTTAATGATGATGGCATCTACAGGACTCTTTGTTCCAGTGACTACATCAGTAGCAGTAACTGAGAATAACGCTATACTGCTTGCTCATACTCTTAGCTTGCTGAAAGGATGACCAAAAAGGGAAAATTGTTAAAGTAAATTAAAATTGAGATCAGGCCTCAGGAATCCCTGAGAAGACAAAACCAGGCAGGACTTACAAATTACCTCAAGCTTGCTTGATTTGAAAACATAAGTGAAACTTAAGCTATTTCTTGTAAATGCCTATATTAAAGAAAAACAAAACTTACCTCAATCATTCAGAAGTAGCCAACAAACTTATATAATAGGGACTTCCCAACAGGATAGACCAAATAAAGCAGCTGTATAATTGTAACCAATCATTTTTTTTTTTTTTGGCTGTACTTCTGTGTCCAACCTATAAAAGCCTCTCTCTTGCATTCCCTCAGTGGAGCTCCTGAACTGCTTCTGGTTTGGAACTGCCCAGTTCATGAGCTGTTGTTTGCTCAAATAAACTCTTTAAAATTTTATTATGTCTCAGACCTAAATATATGGAGAAAGATACTATGCTCATGGACTGGGAGACGCAATACTGTTAAGATGTCAATTTTCTCCAACTTGATCTACAGATTCTATACAATCCAAATCCAAATCCTAGTTAGACATTATACAGAAATTGATAAGCAGTGTCTAAAATTTATCTAGAAATATAGCCAAAGCAATTTGGGGAAGAGTAGGCATGGAGAGTCACTGTCCAGGTTGGAAGAAGACAATGAGGAGCTCCAAGAAAGAGGTCTTTGAGAAAGAAAAATTAATAGATTATCCAATGAATGTGAATGTATTGAGGGAGACATTGGGACTGATGTCATGATAAGTACATGGAACATCCTATCATCAATTCCAGGGAAAACAAAACTTGTACAAAGAAAGGAAGTGTAAACGTCCTTTCAGATGGTTCTCTAGAGAACCATCTCTAGAGAACCATCTGAAAGACTTTGGAAAGCTATTCAGATTGGTTGTAAGGACATCCAGCATCTAGTAAGGACATCCAGCATCTAGTTCTCATTCTATCCTGATTCTACCATTAATAAGTCTCGTGACCTTGAGTGGGGTCTCGTACCCCTATAGATTTCAGTCTTCTCATCTGCAAATCGAGGGACAGAGTCGTCCACCTTTTATTTGCTGCCAGACCTGAGGATCTATGATAAGTCCACTCAGATACACACATTTTAGTATGTTCCGTCCCTACCAGTATTTGCATTTTCACCAAAGACAAAATCTTAGGGCAAAGCAATAAACATCAAATTGGAAAACTGTCAGCCTCTTCCCACAAAAGGGCAAGGTATAAAAAGAGGGGAGGAAGAGGCTGTGGCCTCCTCTTCACCTGCCTCCAGGTATGAAGTCAGAGTTTAGTACATGGTCATAAGGCAGGAGGAGGGCAACCAGTTTATCAGAAATCCTCAGGTCCCACAGAAATGAACACGTTTTCTAAAATAAAGTCAAGCCAAGCTGTCCTACCCCAAAGAAAATCCTAGCAAGCAAAGGTGGCTTCCTTCCTGAGGCCCCAGCCAGGTGTGTCCAACCGTAGGAGCCACAGCTCAGAGATCAGAGTGACTTAACAGTTAGAGGGCACTTGATGAGTAAGGTGAAATAGGGAAACCAAGTCAGACGACACCTCCCTTCTGAGTCCCAACCATGTCTACATCTGGAGAAGAACAGTTAAGTCAAGGGATCACAGACTTGTGATTAGAGACTGCCAGGGTCCATATGACCAAGCGGGGGTCCCAGGTGTGAAGCTGGGGTTGAGGATCCATTATCTGAATTTTCCACTCTATGGATGATCACTTTTATTCTTTTCCTTTTCTTGAATTTATTTCCATTTGTTTATTCCTAAATTCCCTGGTAGATCACCTGTGAAAGCTTGCAACTGTCTGATAAGAATAAAGGGGGAAGGATTTGACTTTACAGCAGAGACTTCAGAAGGAGTCCTCTCTAGGAGCAAATTGGGGGCAATCCAGTGGGAAGGAGGTGGAAGACTGCACTTGAGCTGCGTTTGGACAACAGGCACACAATCTTTACTTACTTTTCAGGCTGCTTTGAGGTAGTCTGGTGGGGATTTGATGGGAAAATGAACGCTCCTTTGCTGCTAGCTACTCTTTTGCACAACCAGTGCCAATGACCAGTTGATTTAAATGGCTCTGAGGCTGGGGGCATAGGCCACTCCCAGAGTCTGGATGGTTAGCAGAGAGACCATAGAGCTGGGGCAGTCCATGAATGGAAGAGCTGGGGTCAAGGTCACTGCTCCCCCCATCTCAGTAATGGAGAACGGCTTCTCTGGGAACCTGCCTTAGCTTCCCCCAGCAGCTAATGTCTGTTCCCTGGCTTGAGTCTTCTGGCACCTTCATCAATTCTCCATTATAACATGAACCCTACTATACTGCAGTGATGTGTTTACAAGTCCACCCTCCCCCAGCCTGTGAGCAAGAATCCTCTTCCATTCATCTTTGTGTTCTCTTTCAGGGACTATAGTAAGTGCTCAATCAACGGTTGTGGAAATAAATAATGGGAGACATTTCTACTGTGATTCATGGACCATGTGTCACCACCACAATTCATTGTCTATTGCTTTTGGTCACACACTCATACCACAGGTATGCCCGAACACACAGCCCACCTGGTCTGCCTGCCATTGTTCCTTCCCAACCATCCTCTAATGGTAGTGTAAATCTTGCCCTACCACAAATGTCAAATTTATCATGCCACAGATGCCTACAATTCTGCCACTGGCAAGCCTATTTTTAAAGGTAGATCATACTCTCCTGCTGGGTTCTCTTTTCATGTATAAATAGTGACAGGAAGTTTAAAGAGACAGTAGCCACTCTCAGTTTGCTTTTACCGATGTTGGTTTATCTTGCTGTGATGCCCCTTCCTTACTCACCGATAGAACCTCCATTGGATGAGGATGGTCTAAACCAGTTATGCAACCGATTGCCCACTCTCCCAGACTTCTTTACACCTAGTGGTGGCCAAGGATATGATTTTTGCTAATGAAGGTCAAGGAGAAGACTGCTGCAAGCTCTGGGAAAGCCCTCGCTTTTCCTACCAAAGAGAAAGAAAGACACTGCTTGGCACCCTCTCTCCCTTTTCTTTCCTTTTGCTTGTGACTGCTAGAGCTGCAGCAACCATCATGGGGCCATGAGGAAAAGGGCAAATGAATCGGAAAGAGGGTAGTCAGCCTTGGAAGTTACTGAGCCCCCAACCAACATTAGCAAATGTTATGTGTAAAATAATACCACCAAAAACCCCTCACCCGCTATGTTTTTAAGCCACTGGGAGTCAGATTTTTGTTACTAGCCGCTGAGGGCACTCTTCACTGATAACATGATCATCTAATTTGGGGTCTTCCAAACTTCCATCATCTCTAAACCACCTTTCACATTTTGGCCATGTCTGCTGAAGTGTAATATTCTTTAAATCAATTCACTTTTGTTAATTTAATTTAAAATGAATATGTAATGATTAAAATGAAAACAGATTCACCATGAATCACCCAAAACTGTGCATTTTTACTGATGGAGCACTTTGCAAAAGCAAACTCAGCTCTGTCTATGTCTCTGATGCCCAAATTTCCTTCTTAGTTGCATCATCATAATAAACACAAATAAGATGTTTAACTATGGCCATTTCAAGACATATTGTCCACAAATAATTGCTTTTTTTTCTGGTGTTTTTCTGAAAACTTTTTTTTTTATTCAAGCAGCTGTAATTCTAAGGTGTTATGTGTTCAAGGAGATTCATGGAAAGGACTCTGATAACTTTCATGGAAAGGTTTTTGATAACTTTAAGATCATACCATTGGACTGGGTAAGAATTTCCATAACTCTAAGGAAGAGACTGACGCTATCATGAAACTTAACCAAGATCAAGAAGAACAAAGTAATTACATGAGGTTAAATGAACTGAGGAGGATAATGTTTTTTATGAATTTTTATTTGAAACTTTGCTGGTTCTTTAAATATTTTGTTTGCCATAGTTTAGGAAACTGTTTTTTTCTTTTAAACTATCTATAGATTACAGAAATTTGGCCAAATGTACTTTTGTGAACAAAAGTGGAAACACTTACTTTTTCTCCACATAGGATCCTTCCAGAATTCAGAAACTATTTGTGAGTATTCTTGTTGGTATGGTAATATAGTGATTTGCTTCTGTTCTATAGGAATCGGTTCTCTTTATAACAGGATATATTGACAGTATTGGGTATATTACTAGGGCATTGACTGGGATGTCATATTTGAAAATGTCCAGAGAAGGAATCTATAGGTATTGCTGGTGAAGTCTGAAGTCTGCCTTGGTTTGGCTTTCTAGCCTCAAGAGGTTTTAAAAAATCCAATTTGAGATTTCCTATCAAAAGTTCCAACAAAGCAAGCTTTAAAAGAAAACCTCTGTGGTCAATTGCTATGTTTGCTGCATTTATTTAATTAGTCAGGCTGTGTTTGATGAGGCTAAACTTATTTTGCAAACAAATTAGTCTTACTTTGATTATCTTTGGTAGAAATGAGAGTGAATGTAGAGAGAAAAATTATGTTTCGGAAGAAAAATTATAGTGTGCCTGTTATTAGATTGTAGCCCTGCTCATTGTTTTTCAGTTTATTATCTTTTTTTTTTTTGAGACTGAGTTTTGCACTATTGCCCAGGCTGGAGTGCAGTGGTGCTATCTCCACTCACTGCAACCTCCGCCTCCTGGGTTCAAGGGATTCTTCTGCCTCAGCCTCCCAAGTAGCTGAGGTTACAGGCGCCTGCCACCACGCCCGGCTAATTTTTTGTATTTTTAGTAGAGATGGGGTTTCACTATGTTGGTCAGGCTGGTCTCGAACTCCTGACCTCAAGTGATCCGCCCGCCTCAGCCTCCCAAAGTGCTGGGATTACAGGCTTGAGCCACTGCACCCAGCCTCAGTTTATTATCTACCTGTAGACTGGACTGGATCTTGATTCCTTCTAGATTCCTCCAATCCAATTTTCTCCCATGGAATTACAAAGAACAAGAACTGCTCTGTTCCTGAAGCCTTATAAGCTGGAGCTGGGCAACTTAGTGTACATTTCAAGGGAAAACCTTCATGCCTGATGTGCGTGCCACACAGAGTTTCACCAAAATACCTGATGCCATAACCAGAGATATTTAAACTGCAAACCAGAGTGAGAAGTTGATGACTTCACGCTGTGGACAGCTTTCCCCAAAACACTGAAGAAGACTCCTCATCGTGGTGAATCTCTTACCTCTCTTAATTTCTCCTTGCTTATGTCTACCCCTTTCACTTGGCAGCATTATGCTGTAATTAGGATTTCACAGCCAGTAGCTTCTGTGGGTAACTTGAGGGAGTGTTGGTTCTGTCACATCAAACCCAAAGTTTTACGTCATCTAAGAGATCCGTTAGGCCACCCAGTGGCTGACTTTAGCAGCATCCTTAACTCAACTGTTGGTTCAAATTGGAACTGTGGTCCCTTTTATAGAGTTAGACTTCTAGACTCACTCGTTCTCACCCCCTGTTTTAATTTAACCCAGTCGTAGGATGCTAGATAATGTGATTCCTTGTGACTTGGACTGTGAGCCCAGGAAGAACCCTGAGTCTCACTGCCCAACTCTCTCCTTACACAAAGGAGGATGCAGAGCCTCCTTTGTGTAAAGTCCAGAGAGGGAAAGACTTATATCTGGCCACACAGCAAGGGAAAATCCCAGCTCTATTTTGTAGGCCAGGGTGTGAAGATGATGGTGTGGCCTCCACCGATTGAGCAGTCCCTGGGCGACGACACTGTGCTAATTGTTTAATATCTTTGTCCCATTCAATCCCCACATAACCCTGGGAGGCTAGAGGGGAACCTGGGGCACAGAGAGGGTAAGTCTTTTATCCAGCATCACAGAGGTTCCCAGGATTTGAACTCAGGTGTGTGTGCCCACAGGGCCTGTGTTCTGGGCCCTGACTTGGTGTGAGCAGCCCCGTGAGGGTTCATGCCATGTGGACACTAGGCTGGGAGTGTCCCCATGTTCCCCATGGAGGGCCCCCAGCCTCACCCGGGTACTCATCCTCCTCGAGACACCCACTCATCTTTTCCTGGGCCCCAGCTGAATGGAAATGTGTGTTCTTTGAGGAGAGGTTGCAGAAGTAAAGCGCGGCCCCAAGGCTGGAGCTGAGCAGATGCTGCGTGTGTGGGGGGAGCAGGGTGCCTGGTTTTAATACTGCCTCTCTCCTGGGGGATCTCATCCTCTTCTCCTCCCAATGGATCCTGGGGCCCAGACGGGGACACTGTGGCCCTGAGAGCAGGTGGCCTTATTCTGAGATCCTAGAGTCAAGACCAGGCATGGAGCGGAAAACCCAGGTGTCCTGCCTCCCGGGCTGTGGCTGCTGGAGTTTGGGGTGGCGTGGCAGTGGTACAGCAGTGGGACACAGTGGAGGGAAGGGGAGAGGGAAACGGAGGTAAATGAGGGAGGTGGCTGGGGCATGGGATTCAGGGAGGACGGGGTCAGGAGCCCAGAGACCTGGGTCTCCATCCTGGCCTGGCTACACACTCACTGTGTGATCTCGGGCAAATCACTCACCTTCCTTGAGCCTCAGTTTCCCCACCTGTAGACCAAAGATTGGACTGATGGTCTCGGCAGCCCCTTCCAGCCCAGATCCTGTGTGAAATCCATGAACGGCTCCATGTGTCTCCTCCTCTCCCTCGTCTCTGCCAGGCATTTTCCTCCCCTGGCTCCTGGCATCACACTCCTTCTATCCCCGTAAGTTCCAGGGGTCTCCCTGCTACTCACCCAGGAGAGCCTGGCTGGCTGGGGCACGACAGCGCGGCTCTGCTGCCAGAGTCCGTCCCTAGTGACTGCGCAGGGAAGAAGTGGTAGAGGCAGGATCCAGGGCGCTGGGGCAGAATGGTGAGATGGGGGATGGGTCCTCTCAGGCCCACCTGGGGTAGAGTCACCTGTTGGCCAAATGGGGGCTGATCCATTGTGGTAGCTGGGACTGCTGCTAGTTTCCTTTTCGTTTTCAGCACCTGCTCTTGCTTTTCTTCCTTCTCGCCACCAGGGGGCACAGGGAGGCCATGGAGCTCCGCAGCTGCTATTCCTGTGGTTGTCTCTTCCGTGTCGCTTGGTTGGGCTGTGAGGCAGCGCTCCAGAGTGGGGAGGGGAGGTCGAGGGCCCCACCACGCTCCTCCTTCCTGTCTCCACCTCAGTCAGCTGAGGCGGTCCCCCTGAGTGCTGGTCATCAGTGCCGACCCCCCAGGCCTGATCCCATTCCCAAAAGGATGGATGTGAGACCACCAGTGAGATCCTGTGCGCAGCAATGGGCCGGGCGGGTTTCCCCGGTGGGCTGGGGTCCCCCACCCTGGCTGTGCTCTGCCTCCTTGAGCCTGGGGTCTTTCCATGCCGGGTCCTCGTTTCTCCAGGCTCGGCTGCTCCAGGGGCTAGTATTAGGGAAGTGGAGCAGGGGCCTGGGAGGACGGCTGTTTTCACAAACCCCAGGAACCGCATCTAAAAACCAGCACAACGGATGCCCGAGGGTTTCTATCCTCGGCTCCGTCCTGCACCTATATCCCCCATGCGGAGGCTGCTTCCCCCATCTCTGTCCCTCATCTCTGCCTCTTCCTCATTGTCTGCCTTTATCTTCTCCCTGTCCCTCTGTCACGTTCTTGGTGTGTTTCTCACCTTGCCCCCCAAGTCAGACTGTCTGAAGTCCCTGTCCCAAGGACTCCACCACTGCCGCCCTCCCTTCTCCCCTCCCTGAGGTGGGCTTCCTCACTGGCTGTGTTCGGGACCTGTATTGCAGACCCTTATCAGGCCCCACAGTGGGGGCTCCTGTCGCTGCTGGACATAAAGGCAGGGACTCTGTCGGGGCCAGGCTGGGGTCGTTGCTGCTCGCCTGCCAATGTCGCAGGCGCTCTGGGCTGAGCTGTCGCAAGGGCTGGGGGCGGGCCGGCTTCTGGGGCTCCCGCGTCTCCGCCCCTGCCCGCCGGGGCGCCAGGCCGGATGGGCTGCACTGTGAGCCTGGTGTGCTGCGAAGAGCTGCGGCCCGGACCACTCTGCGGTCCCCAGCCCCCGGGGAGTCCCTGGGTCTCGGCGCGGGCTGAGTGCTGGGAGTCCGGGGGTTTGGCCTGTGCAGAGAGAAGGCAGCTACCGCTTCAGGTAGGGGCTGCGGGAATGGGTGAGGGACGACGCCCCGAGTCGGGAGCTGGCGGTTGGCAGAGCCCAGGGCACCTGACACAGGTTAAGTAGCCAGCCCAGGACGGTGCTAGTCTGCTTGGGAAGTGCGGCAAGGCAGGTGGACCAAGGGGGAGGAAGGACCACGACCGGGTGAAGGGGCCTCCAGTTGGGTAGAGGGCTCCCCTGGGTCTCTTGTGCCCTTGGGAGGAGGGTGATATAGGACCTGACCCCTAGAAGGGCAAATAGGTTGGGTGAGGTTGGTTTAGGAGTCACCCAGGAGGGGCAGGCCTGGAGTGCTGGGGCAAGGTAGGGAAAGAGTTAATCTTCCTCGAGCTGGACCAAGGGGCAGCTCTGGCAGTGTCCCTTCATTTAGGAGGACTCTGGAGTTAGGAGGGTGGGGGCCCCACTGGAGCAAGGACTTCCCCAGGATGGTGGGGACAGGCTGGCCTCTCACCCCTGCCTTCTCTGTGCTGGGTAAGTCTCAGAGACTAGCAAGTGGGGAGCTGACCTGGCAGTGGGGACAGGTCTGAGCTGGGAGGCAGGTGTCTGCTCTGGAGGAGTCTGCCAGGGAACCATCAGGCCTGGGATAGGTGTGGTGCTGGTTTCTTCCTGGGAGAGTAGGAGGAGGTGTTTGGGGTCACCAGGGATGGGTAACTCCTCTCTAGGTCCCTGTGACCTCAGGACTCGCTGTTGGTGGGTCTTCTTTCTTCACCCTGTGTCCCTGCCTCCCCACCTCCCACACAGCCAGCTTTGACATGGGGCAGGTGCCTGTTGGGCCAGGTAAAGGTGGGCAGGGACAGGGACAGGGAGTGGGGCTGTGATGGAGGGAGGAGCCGGGGCTCTGGAGGTGGATGATCAAGGGGAGAAAGAGGGGAGGGTGTGTGTGCCGGTGTGTGACAGTGGCAGGGAGAGGGATGGGGACGAGTGTCTGCATCAGATGAGCTGGTTTCTAAGCGGCCTCTGGAGAGAGCCTGGAGCTCGCCTGTGACTCCCTCCCTCCTCTGTCTGTGGGGATCAAGCTCCATCCCAGCTGCTGTGCCCTGACTCTGGCTCCAGTGAGGGTTGCTGCTGCTCGGGGCTCCCCCCTTCAGGGGTTTAGGGAAGAGCAGCCTGCACCCATCACCTGGGGCCTCACTAGAGGAGGGGTGATACCCTCGTTCTTGGGGCAGATAAACATCTCCTGGGTGCTGATCCCCTCAAAAGCCAAGAGTCAGTGGCTACCCAGACATCTGGGCTGCCTGCCAGGGCGCACCCACTGCCAGTCCTGCTGCAGACACACCCCCCATTCCTGCCCCAGGCCCTGCCGTAGGCCCAGCATCTCTCTTTGACCACAGCCTGAGCTCCTGCTGCCTGTGTCCACACCCAGCCTCGCTATTCTCCTGTCCCCTCAGCACAGCCCTCTCCTACCCAGGCCACATCGCCCCCTTCCCCTGTCATGCTGCCTCCTCCTCCACAAGCAGGCTGTCCTCCTCCTTCTCCTGGACTGCCTTGTCCCCCAGGCCCCATTGCCCACTCCTCTTTCTCCCCTGGCCAGCATTTGGCTCCTGCTCCTCCCCTTGGCTTTGAGAGGGTGCATGCCTTGGCTCTTAAGCCTCCAAGTCCAGCTCTGGGTTGTCAGTGCCTGCAGCTGTGGGCCCTGCCCCTCCCAGGTGGCCTCTCTAGGTCCCACAACTGCCCTACACCCTGAGCCCTCCTATGGTCCCACATGTCAGCCTCAGGAGCAAGAGGTTGGGGCTTGGCACCCTCCTGAGTCCTCCAGCCAAGCCTTCTGGGTGCCAAGGGGCCTGGCGGGCATCTCCGGGTGCCAGTCGTGCCTCCTTGCTCTCTGCTGTATCCCAGGACAAGTGGGTGCTTGTGGATGGGGCGGGAGCAGTGGGGAGGAGACTCCTGGCTGCTGTTGCCTCTTCCGTTTCTGCAGTCAGCTCTTCTGGGCTCTGCTTCTTTCAGCCCGGAGAACTACTGAGGTTAGACGTTCTCCTGGGGCCTGGTCCTGCAGCCTCCCCTGCATTCCTGTTGTGGGGCCTGCAACCCTTTTGGAAGTTCTAGGATCTGGTCTGACTCCCTCCCCCATGGGTTGGATGACCTCCTCTTCCTCTCTTTCTTGTTATGTAGAATCAGAGACCCCAGAGCTGAAAAGGATCTTAGTGCTTCTGAGCCTTTTGAGGACACAGATCCCTTTGAGAATCTGATGTAACCTATGGGTGCTCTTGCTAGGGAGAAGGTGCACACACACACAGACACACACATACACTCATACACACAGGCACACACACACTCACACAAGACACACTCATACACACAGACTTGCTCACACACAACACACACTCATACACTCACACACACAGACATGCTCATACACACATGCACACACACACTTATACACACAGGTGCACTCACACACTCACACAAGACATTCATACACACACAGACATGCTCACACACAACACACACTCATACACTCACACACAGACATGCTCACACACCCACACTCATACACAAAGACACACTCACACACTCATACACGCTCACACACAACACACTCATACACTCACACACAGACATGCTCACACACTCACACTCATACACACAGACACACTCACACACATACAGACACATTCACACTCACACAAGACACTCATAGACATGCTCACACAACACATACACACACACACACAGACATGCTCACACACACTCATACACACAGACACGCTCACACACTCACAAACACACACATACACTCACACATATGCTCACATGCTCACTCACATACACACACATACACACATACACTCCCACACTCACACTCATACATACACTCATACACACAGTTCACACACATGCTCACACACATACACACTCATACTTATGCTCACACACTCATACCCATGCTCACGCATACATGCATACACACACGCTTACACACAGTCTCACACACACACTGACACACACAGACACACAGCCACTGTGCAAACATACACAATGTCATATATTTCTTCAAGCCCCACTATAGCCCTGATTTATCCACCCCGTGTATTTCAAAACAGCACACTGAAGACCAGAGGGGGCGTCCTCAGTGTGACTTGCCCAAGGTCACACTAGAAGTGAGTTTCAGTGCTGGGACCACATCCCAGGAGTCCTGGGTCCAGACAAGTGAGGGTTTCATCCCCAGATGCAACTTTTGCTTTCCCCAGAGGCTGCCTGTAAGCCAGATGCGCTTGGCCATTCATTTATTCAACACTGATTCAAGCATTTTTGAGCATCTGCTATAGGCCAGGCATGGAGCTTGGGGCTGGGGATAGGGCAGAAAGCAGACAGCTCGGGTCCTTGCCCTCAGGGGGTTGTCAATCCAGTGGGAGAGATGGAACAGACTGCAAACAAGTCATTGAGCTGACTGGAGACAGTGCTATGGAGGCTAAGTTCAGGATGTGATGGGTGAGGATTCCAGAGGGATTGCACCGGGAAGGTGAAGGAAGTGACATCTGAATGAGGAGCTGAAGCAAGAGCAGCTGGGAGGAAGAAGCATTCCAGGTGGTTGGAGCAGCCGACTTGAAGGTCCCAGCATGGAGAAGAGCCGGGACCTGTTATAGAAGTGGACAAAGGCTTTCCTGGCTGCTCCTGGCTCCCCGGGAGCCCTAGCACACATGCTGTGTGTATATGGATTGGGAGGGAGAGAGTCAAAGCAAGGTGCCTGGGAGGCAGGGCAGGCAGGGAGGTGCCCGGTGGTCAGAGTTAGAGACGGTCAGCCAGGGAGAGGGCTGAGTGGGGCCATGACTAACTTGGGAGAAAGGACTGGACATGGAGATGGCTTGGATGTGGACGAGGAGCAGGAGGAAGTTGAAAATAACCCCTCTCATCTCACAGAGAGGGTGGCTGTGAAGGCATTTGTCTGTATTAGTGTGTTGAAATATTTCCTAAACACAGAAAAGTGTACAAACTTCCCACTGACTGAACACACGCACGTACTCACATACTTGGCATGCAGAGTCTAGAAACAGAACAGTGACAGCTCTCAGAATGTGCCTCCTGCCCCTTCCAGTCACTAATCCCCCTTGGAGGGCAGTGCGCAATCCCGACTTCTAACCACAGGGAGTTACTTGTTCTAGAATGTCTAATAAATGAATGGCACTTGTAATCAGTGGAGCACATCATATGTATTCTTTTGTGCTCAATATCATGGTTGTGAACTTTATCTATATTCCTGGGTGTGGTCTTGAGCGTTCCTTCTCATTGCTGGACAGCGTCCCACTGTGTGAAGACACGCTGTCCATTTATCCATTCTGCTATTGACAGGCGTTCGAGTCATTTCTAGTTTTGGGCTACTGTGAGTAGCACTGCTAAGAACACTTTCATGCATGTGTTTTGAAGATCATGAAGCCAGATTTCTGTTTGGTATATGTGTCCCTCCATTTTGATGATGTCTCTGGAAGACCCACGTGTCTCGGAATCAAAGGAATCATTCAATGAAGGGAGAACTTCAGCACCTTGATGGGGGTGAGGGATGCCTTGGGGATGGGAGAAGATTCTCTAGCATCCTCTTATGTCCCTTTGTAATGATTCTTCTCAATTCACTTGCCCCCCGGCCTTGTGCCTCAGGAGGGAAAGGAGAAAGAAGCTCTGGAGTCCTGCATTGGAGTGGGGTGGGTGGGGGTCCACCGATCACCTCTCTAAGTCTTACTCACTCTCTGGGGGCAGGCCTGAGTCCCTAGCAGGGGCAGGAGGGCGTGAGGCTGAAGATAGGGCTGCACCCTCTATTTGTTTGCTATTTCCGGAAGGGAAAGAAGCCAGCCACTGCCTCCTCGTTTGATGTATGAACTTGCCCAGGGCTCCTGGCACTGGGACAGAGCCTGGTGCCAAGGGCAGGCAAGCTAAGGCAGACCCCAGAGGGGCCGCAGCCTGTGAGTGGGAAGTATAGGCTGCCATCTTCAGAGAGGCCAAGTAGTGGGGAGGAAAGGGGACCCAGGCTATGCTTAGGGGCCAGGTCCCCTTGCTGACTGTCCCAGCTCTGATTTTTAAATTCACCTCCACCCCCAAGACCCCAGCCTGGTGCTTTTGGCCAGCCCTTCTGCCTCCCAGCCTGAGTAGCTGTAAAGCCCAGAGCAGGAAGCTGCAAATCTACCCCAAGGATAGGGGATGGAAGACCCCAAGCTCTAGGGTCCTTTTCTGGCCTGAGATATGAGAGTGCTGGGTGCTTCTGCTGCTGTCTGTTTAAAGTGTGCCTCCCCAGTAAGCCCATGAGCCAGGGTTTTCAGGCCAGTGCCAAGCTTTAGTGAACCTGGTATCCCAGGCACTTAGCAAAGAACCTGTGACATCTGGATACTCAATAAAGGTTGCCCAAGGGATGGCTGGATGAATGGTGAGAGGTGGACAGGTAGAGACCCCACAGACAGGAGAGAGAATGCAGATAGGGCAAGTGCAAGAGGATGGTGGTGATAGGCCCGGGTGGCCTGCTGTACGGGGTGGAGCTGTTCTGTCTGGGAAATAGAGGTCTCCCCTGGGCCCATCTGGGCCTGAGCTTCTCTGGGCACCCAGCAGGAGGGTGCAGGTGTGGGAATGGGGGGTGGAGTAAGGCCAGTGGGGGCCAGCTCATGCATGGCTGGAAGTCAGATAAGAATGTGTGCAGGGTCAGGTGAAGTCAACTGACAGAAGGACTTTTTGAGGTTTGAAGAGCATGAGAAAAGACTTTAGAGCCTGGTGACCAGCTGGGGCTGGCAGAGGTGGCAGTCACCAGGATGCTGGAAAGCGGTGTCCTCCAGGCCAGCTTGTCTGGGCCTTCCTACCAGCATCCTTTCCCAGGAACTTCTGAGCGTTGCCACCAAATCCTACTTTACCCACCTCTTCCTGCCATGGCTGAAATTGAGAGGGGTCCAGTGTGGCCTGGAGAGTATCCTGATTCCTTAGAGTCCTCTGGCCCAGCCTGCAGTCTGCAGGGCCTCTGGCCTGGAGCCTCTGGGTGGATGCTGGCTATGCACTGGGGAAGCCTCTGAATCCTCACCTGTCTGCTCACCTTTCAGCCCCTCTGCCTTTCTGCTCATCTCTTCCTCCACTCATCTGCCACCTTCTCTTTCCCTATCCACCCTCCACTCCCACCGTCCCCTCACCTCTGCCAAGCCCCATGCATACACATGACATCTCTACCCCAACCTCTTCTGGGAAGTCAGTGCGGGAGGCAGAGGGTCCAACACATCACCCTGAGACAATGTGCCGAGGGCTGTCACCTGTTTCTAGAGCAGGGACTGACCTGTTCTGCTTGGGACAGTCTGGAAAGCCCTCCCAGAGGAGGCGACACTTTGAACAAGTTCTTAAAAGTTTCAGCAGGAGTTCACCTTCCCAGAGGGAGGGGCAAGGCCATTTCAGTCAGGTGCAGAGGTGCTAGAAGCATGTGGCCCCTTCAGGGAGTGGAGTGGTTAAGTGTGGGTGCAGAGTAGGGTCGGGGGAGAGGCAGGATCAGAAGCTGGGAACGAGGTGAGTCTACATGCAAAGGGCCTTGAATGCCAAGCTGAAGAGTTTGGGCTTTACACTTATCGTGTAGGCCGTGGAGTCCCTGAAAGGCCCCCCAGAGAGGGACCGATGATTTAAACTATCCCTGGCTCAGGGTGGAAGACGACAGGGGGGTGTAGGGTGACTGGAGCAGCTGGTGGGTGTCCTCACATGGCTGGGCCAAACAAGAATGAGCGTGTGTGTGTGTGTGTTTGTGGGGTGGGGTGCGGTACAGGTATTGTGTTTGCCGTAAAGTCTCTCCTCCCTTCGTGGGCCCCCAGAAGCCGGCTGCCCTTCCTCCTCCCTGACTTCCCCTCCACCAAGCCCTCAACACCCCAGCCAGTAGCCCCAAGAACTTGAGCCCACCAGGCCAGTATCTGAGCCAAGAGCTCACCTCGTGTGGCTGGCCCTCCGCCATGTCCTCTTGGCTCAGTTTCACCTGCTGCCAACCCAGACGTCATTCCCATGGGGGATGGGCAAGGGACAGGCCTGGCTTTCTTGGGACCTTAGACCCAGGCCAGGCATGTCTGCCCTGCCCTTGAGGGTTTGGAGGGGAAGGAGAGGAGGGAAGAGTGGGACTGGAGTCTCCTGATCTGGGTGCTGCAAAGGGCACCTGTGGCGCAGCCTCCTGACATACGCGGTGGGTGGGAAAAGGGCTGGAGGGAGGTAGGGATACGGAGTGTTTGGTCAAGGATGGCCAGAAGTGGTTGGGTGGGAAAGTGCCCTACAGCCACCTTTTCCTTTCTCTACTGCTTCCTTGGGCCCAATATTCCAACCTGGCCTGCCCTGGGGAGGTAGAGGAGCTTTCACTTGCAGGGTCAGGATTCTCGGGCCCAGAGCAGGCTCCTGGTCTCCTCTGGTCTCCTGTCTGCCTCCTTTCTCTCCTTCTGTCACTCTCGTGTTCCATCTGTGTCTTCTTGTGAGTCTGTCTCGTCCACTCCTCGGGAGCCTCAAGTCACTTTTCTACCCTCTTTCTTCCCCCAAAAGGCAGGCGGTAGGGATGGCTGGCATCTGTGTTATAGTGTAAGGGAGTAGGTGTACAAGCGGCCTTCGAGCTTACACTGAGTTCCACTTGGGCTTGGCTACTTAAAGGCTGTGTGTTGATGAAGATCTTATGTAACCTCTCTGTGCCTTGGTTTCCTCCACTGTCCTAAAAGCATTTAGTATAGTGTGGGACATATTGACAGCTCTTAATCAAGATGTTATTCCTGGTGGTGTCATTATCTAAGGGATTTAGTTTAACTCCTCTGAGAAACAAGATGGGACTGAATGGAGGATTTTACTAGGGGAAATGCCTGATTTTGAAATGAAAGGGCTAGGGGAGGCTGGGAGAGCCTCACACCGCAATGTAACCTGACCCCAAGGGAAGGAGAGAGGAAAAGAGGCCTGGAGGATGCGTCCTAGCCTCATTGCACTCCGAGAGGAGTTCGGCAAAGCCAACAGGGAACCATGGAGGTGGAGTTGATCTAGAAAGACCGTCCCTAGTGCCAGTGGGGTGATCACACCTGTATTCCCAGCCACCCGGCAGGCTGAGACAGGAGGCTCACTTGAGCCCAGGAGTTTGAGGCTGCAGTGAGCTATGATTGCACCATTGCATTCCAATCTGGGGGATCTCTAAATAACAGAAATTAAAAAAAAAAAGAAAGAAATCCCCTGTCTCCCAGGCAGGGATCTGCCTTAGTATCACCACTGCACTCTGCCAATGGCAGGGACAAGCCTGTGGGGGGGTCTGGCCTCAGCAAACACAGCAATGGATTTTAAAGTATGTAGCCAGGCCAGGAGATTACAGGCTCATACCTGTAATACCAGCACTTTGGGAGGCCGAGGTGGGCAGATCACCTGAGGGCAGGAGTTCGAGACCAGCCTGGCCAGGATGGTAAAACCCAGTCTCTACTAAAAACACAAAAAGTTAGCTGGGCATGGTGGTGCACGCCTGTCATACCAACAACTCGGGAGGCTGAGGCAGGAGACTGTCTTGAAACTGGGAGGCAGAGGTTGCAGTGAGATGAGATCATGCCACTGCACTCCACCCTGGGTGACAGAGCAAGACTCTGTCTCAAAAAATAAAATAAAATAAATAAAGTATGCAGCTGGGGCCCTCGTCATTTCTGCTTCCTGCAGCAGAAGGTCTGCGAGGTGCATTCTTGTAGCTGCTGCAGGGCTTTGAGGCATGAAGAGGTCCAGGGCCTTTGGTCCAGGGAGTCAGAGGTAGCATGGGAGGGGTGGGTAGGGGTGACCCAAGCACCTAGAAGGAGGCAGCAAGCTGGGCCCCAGGCTATCATGCTCCCTCCAGGCCTAGGCCTGCTCAGCCTGGCTGCCTGCCCTCCTGCCATTAGGCTGGCTCTTGGCTGTTGAGTTAATATCCCTTTCCTCAGTTGTTTTAGTTGACATGGTGCTGCTTGGACTAGGGGGCTGATCCCATCTGGCCTCTGACACCCTCTCTGTTCCCCTCCCCGTTTCTCCTTTCTGCTTAGGATGCCTCTGTGCTAAGGGGAAACTGAGGCATGGGTACAGAGGGTTCTGGATAGGGGCATTCAGGAATAGGCATTGTACCCTTCACCTCTTCCCCTGGACACAGCCTTCTACACCAAAGCTCATGCTACGGGAGGATGGGCAGCTTCACCCTCCCCCTGACAATAACCTTGGGTGTCCTCTGGGGCTGGCCTGGGCTGGCTGATGTGTGGGGCAGGGGTGCTCAGAGCCATTGCCAAGCTGCAGTACCATTAGGGGAATGAAGCTGGAGCAGGAGAGACTATTTCTGGGCACTGAGCTGAGGCCATCTGTGGGAGGTCAGAGCAGTCCAGACTGTCCCCTGCCTCCACTGCCCCCATCAGCTCCCCACCTCTGCAGCAGCCGGCAGACTGCATTGAGATGTGTGAGGCACCCAGACAGCCTCTTCAACCCCAGCCACTCAATATCCTAAGCAGGGCTAATTTATTCCCTTGCCTCTTACTGGGATTGCAGCAAAGCAAGCAGGGACATGAGTGTGTTGGAGGTAGTATTCCGTGGGGGGATGGGGGGGTGGGTGGTTTCTTTGTGGTTCTCTTGCATCCTTCCCAAGACCCCTTTGATCCTGAAGTGACTCCACACTATGTCCCCAAGGCTTCAACTCAGAGGGGAAACAGTAGCAGAGGGAATGGGGACTCGGAGTCCTTTCTTACCACCTCTTAGTGGGGTGCCCTGGGCAAACTGCTTAGTGACTCCGATCTTCAGCTTCATCACCTGTAGAATGGGCAGACTAGAGCCCACCTCAGCTGCTGTGGCAAAGTGTCAGCTTCGGAGTATAGAGCATATGCCAAGCTCTGGGACACAGTGGGCAGGCAGTGTGGTTGGTACCTGCCTGCACTCTGTCCTCATGGGCATCTCCTTGCCCTCTTTTGTCACTCTCTGAAGTCTGCTGACTTCTGAGGTCAGCTGGGGAAGGGTGTAGGGGGAGGGGGCTGTTTCAGAAGCTTCTCTCTGGGATTCTGGCATTGGGAGTAAGGGTGGGGACAGATGAGCTCAGAGCCTCACGGCAACAAAACAAGGAGGGCTGGTGGGGGAAAAGCATGGACCTGACCAGGGCAGGCTGGTCTGGCAGCAAGTCTGGGCTCTGCCACCGACTGATACTGTGAGCCTCCGTTTCCTCATCTGGAAAATGGGAATGATAACACCTACCTCACAGGGTTAGTGAGATCATTAAGGTGGGTAAGGTATGTAAAGTTCCCAGCATGAAGTAGGTGCTCAAGAAACATCAGTTTCTTTCTCTTTCTGGAAGGGGCCTTTGAGGTCATCTAGTTGACCTCTTCACTTGCTGACTTGGCCAGGAGACAGGTGGGCCGGGAATGGAGGAGAGCCCTGGGCTTGGGGGTCTCTGACTTGGCAGGCAGGCCAGAAGGCAGTTAGCAATCATGATAATGAATGCCTTTAAATTAAAGAGTCTTACATGATGCTCACAGCAGCCCTGAAGGGGGACCTGAGCCGGCATAATTACCCTGTTTCACAGAGGGGGAAGTTGAGGCCCAGGAAGGTGGCTTACCCACAGTCTCTCCATTATTGGTGCAGAGTTGGATGACAGCCTGGTCTCGGGGTTCCCAGCCCTCTGCACTTGGTCTCTCCAGTGTCTCCTCGCCTTTTCTGCTGAGAAGCACAGGCCCCTCAGCCTAGACCCTTTAGTGGGGAGGGCTTCCTCTTGTTCTCAATGGTCCCTTGGTAGCAAGAGGTCATTGACTTACTTGACTAATTTACTGCCCCTGTCCTGGGACCTCCTCCCCAGATTGGCCTTTGAGCCTGAAGGCACCTGGCCCTTCTTCCAGCCAGACGTGAGGCCACGTGAGGGGAGTGTCTGTGGCAGTCACCTTCTTTGAGGTTGGGGTGGGGTTGGGCCTGTTGCCCCCTGGCTCAGGGTGGGCGAGGAAGCCCAGCTCCCTCTCCCTCAGTAGCATCCTTCAGGTTGGCTCTTCTGACTGCCCCCTCACCAGGAGGTGACTTCTGGCCCAGCTTTCTCCCCACCCCTGACAGATGGAGTCCCATCCCCCATCTCTGCCACCCCTAACCCCCCACCCTTGCCTGCTGCCCCTTCCCCCTAAGCCCTTTAGCTGCCTCTGGGCTGTGAGAATGGCCTCCATGTTGCTTCCCAGAGCCACTGACTGGGTATTTCTCGCTCTGGGGGCTCCCCTCTGCCCCTCCCCCCATTTATCTCCCCCTCTGTGAGCCAGAGGCCCTTTGTGAAGCTCTTTGTGTGGATTTGTGCTCCCAAGGCCAGGCAGGGGGACAAAGGGACACCCCTGTCCCCTCTTCATTGTCCCCTCTTCCCAGGAGGCCGTGTGTGCCTGTGTGTGTGTATGTGTGTACGTGCGTGTGTGCGTGTCCACGTCCCAGCTTGACATCTTTTATATGTAACTTGTAGGGCAGAGAGGGGTCTTGAAAGGATTCAGGGATGCAGCGTGGTCTTGGGCCTCCCAGACCAAGGCTGAGTGGCCTTAGTGGGAGAAAGGAGGCTGCGGCTTTTGAGAGGAGGCCGTCAGGCCTGGGCATGGTGGGGTAGGGGCCAGGACATTGACTCTCCTGCCCAGGAGTAGGGGCTGTCACCATCGTTACCTCCACCTCTCTCTGAGTCTCCCTGTCACTCTGCCTCCCTGCCTACTCCTCTGTCTCTTTCTCTCCTCTCCCTCTCCTGCCCCCTCTCCTCCTCCAGCTCACTCTCCCTGTGCCTATTCCTCTTTCTCACCAGGCCACCTGCCTTCCTGGGTGTTGAGAAGAGGCCAGGTCTGTTCCTCCTCGCCCCCCGATGCCAGTGCCAGGGAAGCCCCTTCACCCTCTGCCCTCCCGGTATTTCAGCCTTCCCCAGATTTCTCCCACCTCAACCCCCTCTGCCCTTCCCCCGCTCTGAGGTCTTCTGGAGGTACTCCTCAGCCTCAGCCACGGTGCCCCTTCACCCTGGCCAGCCTGCTGATCCACAGTCTAGAATAGCACTGGGTGGCTGGCTGCCTGCTGGGTCCTGGCTAAAAATAGACCACGCTTGGTGTGCTTTCAGGGCAGTCTGGGGCAGAGACAGGGTCTAGCCTTCCAGGTCCCTCCTGGTCTCCTTGGGGGACATGTCTGCTGGGGCCCTGAGGCCTTCCCCCTACCCTGCTGCAATTGGAAGCCTGGATGGAGGGCCTGGCCCCAGCGACTCCTGGGAGGAAACTTCTGGCACTGGTGGGCAACACGTGGGCAGAGAGAGGAACGTGGGGTGCCGGGATCCACCCTGGAGTCCTAGCTGGTATGTGATAAGGGCAGAACTCGAACCCCAGTGCAGACCACGAGACTGGATGCACAGACCCTCCAGATGCCAGGCAGCAGTTGCGTTGTAGATTGAGTGATGAGCCTGCTCTACTCGCTCTAGGCTATGGGCATCAACTTTCCTACCTGGAAGGTGGGGGCTTTCTGCCTCTTGGGGGTGCTATTAGGCAATCTCTGCTGGGTCCATGGGTGACAGAGTTCAGAGGGACTTTCTGCAGACTCTTCAGTTCAGCAGTCCCCATCCCTTTTCATTCCCTGCCCCAGCCCCTCTGTTTCTTCCTTCCAGGCCTGTGGCCTGCCCTTCCCAAGCCTGGGCCTCCGTTTCCCCTCTGGTCTCTAGATTTTGGACTCATTCTCCATCAGGAGGTCCTGAGCCCCAAGGGCTGTGCAGAGCTCTCAGAGGAGGGCCTGGCCTCCTGCCAGTGTGGTGAGGAGTCGGGGGCAAGGGGCTGGGGTCAGCGGCTGCCTGGCACAGGCTTATTCAGTGCTCTGCCAGGGACTTGGGCTTTAACAGTTCCAAGGCCTTTTTTGTTCTCAGAATGTTCTTTCTATCTAATAGCCTCCTGTTCTTGTTTCGTGGATGCATTGTCTTCTCTCATCTCGCTGAGGACGTAAATGGTTGCTTATCTTGCAGCTTCTTCCTGCATTGCACTTGCTTCGTCCGAATTGCCTTTGCTCTCCTCCCTTACCCTGCAAGCTCCCTTAGTAAAGGGATAGTCAAGGGGGGATTGGTTGCTCTGGGGTATCTGGCTGAGTGCTTCACTGGGGGAACTCCTGTCTGTATCTTTGGGTTCCTGCTCTTGGGCCTCCACTTTTCTGCCTGGGGCAGGTCACGGTCAGGTAGCAAACACTCACTTTTTGCTAGCCCCCAGGCCTTTAACTCAGAACCCCCAGGGTCAGGGATGACAGCTGGACACAGAAGTTCTTCTTCCATATTCTACCAACCTTCCTGTTTTAGGATCATGTTTACCCTATCCCCAAAAGCATCTGAGCCACCAATCCTCAGCCTTTGGGGGCTCTCTGCTGTCAGCGAACCTGGCTGCTTCTCGGTGGTTCCCCAGGCAGCTCAGGGGTCAGCGTTCTCAGGCTTATGATTCCTATTTGCCTGTCACTCCCCGGCTCCCAGAATTTTGACACTGTTGTCAGAGGTGATAATCAAGTTATTTAACCAGTGATCCTAGGGACGGGACTGCAAGGCTGGAGGGGTCCTTAGGTCCCCTGCTGAGCCAGGAGTTGGCCCTTTCCTTGCTGAATTGAAGAGAGGCCTGCAGATCCAGGGGAGGGGCTGGCGTATTGGGCCTGTGGGGTGCTGTGGCTGTTCACCCACTGGCACAGAAATATTTTAGCACCCCCACAGCCGCCATGGCTGGGTCCTGCACAATGCTGAACATCTGCTCGCTCTCATTGCTCTTTCCGCTCCTTTTTTTCCCTCTGGGATTTATGCTTCAATAATAGAAAAAAGGAACCCCTTATTGTTGTTTTAGTGGGGGCTTAAGACAGAGCGAGAGTCAACATGTGTGTTCAATCGACCCACTGCACCCGGAGGATCCACTTCACATTTCTGGGCTTGGCTCTCTTACCTGCAAAAAAGAGTAGGGCAGTGGGGAGGCTGCAGCCGGGGAGTGGGGGAGCGGGCAGGGGGATAGCTACTCTGGACTCTCTTCTTCCTGGTCTTAGGTGTGATCTTGGGGCCATTGACAGGATAGTGAGGTTTGAAGCCAGCAGGAGGGTGGGAGGGCAGGTATCAGGAGGCACTTCTCAATCAGCCAGGGTGTGAAGTCAGAGAACAGGACACACTGGGGAGGCACTGGAGTTAGATCCTGACCTGACCTCAGGATTGTAACTGATTTCCCCTTTATGGACTCCCTTCTTCCTTTCATCAACAGAAATCTCTCCCCAGGGCCTCCCTGCTCTGAGGCGAAAGGGCAAGCCCCTTGCAGAAGGAGGAAGTTTAGGGTGGGCAGGGCAAAGGCATGAGGAGGCCTAAGGGCCTAGAAAGAGACCCAAGGGTGGAAAGAGGCCCCGTGAGTCCTCCTCCTTGGTGCCCAAGCCTGGAGGGAAAGAGGGGTTTTTTCCAGGGAGATGGGGTGGTCATGGAGGAGGATTAGGGGTAGTTCCTACCTGCAGGGCAGCCCCCAAAGTGTCACCTCATTATAGTCAAGGTGACATAGACTAAGAATTATCTGGCAAGCTACCTCATTTGCATGTCCTTTTGCATCCAGTTTGCATGTCAGCACCGTCATTTGGTGTCCACGAATGGTCAGAAAGTTCCTTTAGCATGAACTTTTCTCTTTCTGGGAGATCCAGCTCTTCCCTTTTCCATTCTTCTCTCTCCCAGTCCCTCACTCCCCGTCTATAGGGTCCCAGCCTTCACCCTTATCTTCCAGGGGACCCTCCTTGTCCCTCGGGAGACATGTGCTTTATGTGTGTCTGTGTACATTGTATATAATTCCTTTATTTTTTTTTTGTTTTTTCTTTTTTTTGGGCGATGGAATCTTGCTCTGTTGCCCAGGCTGTAGTGCAGTGGTGTGATCTCGGCTCACTGCAACCTCCACTTCCCAGGGTCAAGCAATTCTCCTACCTCAGCTTCCCGAGTAGTTGGGACTACAGGCACATGCCACCACACCTGTCTAATTTTTGTATTTTTAGTAGAGATGGAGTTTCACCATGCGGGCAAGGCTGGTCTCAAATTCCTGACCTGGTGATCTGCCTGCCTTGGCCTCCCAAAGTGCTGGGATTACAGGCATGAGCCACCGCGCCCAGCCTAATTCATCGATTTCCAGGCCAATGTTTGCTTTCTTCCTTTGGCTTCACAAAGAAAATGTGTCTGTCCCCTTTCTATCCAAGTCCCAGACTCCTTCCTGTTCCCCAGTTGCTTCCCAGCTCCCGCCTCACATCCTCAGCCTGTGCACCTCAGTCTGCCCCTCAGAGACAGAAAACTTAAGGAAGGGGACAATCTGAGTGGCCCAGGTGAGGCCTGATTGGGGAAAGGGCTCTGAGGCATGGGAGCAGATGTCTGCGTGAGAAGCGGCCTCGTTCCCCATGGGGTCTAAGATGGCCCTGGAAATAGGTTTTGGTTTCTGGAAGAGAATTCATACGGTGAGTTCCAGGCTAAGTGAGATTGGAGATTTGGGGACAGGGCCAGCAGGGCCAGCCTGTTTTCTTGCTAAGTTGAGCCAGGGCTTTTGATACTGAGATTTTATGCTGTGTCATGGGACAGTGAAGACTCAGACCTCATTTGGAGTTTAGAAGAAGAGCATGGGGAACAGTATGGGAATAATAGGGTGAAAAGAGAGGCCTCTCTGGCCGTGTGGTGCCTCATTGGAAGTTCTGCCTGATGTCTGACTTGAGTATTTTTTGCTTTAGTCCTAGCCTGTTTCCTGGTGTTTGTCTTGAGTTGGGCTGCGGGGGCTCAGGAAATTGTTGCTGTGCTTCCTCCTTTCTCTTCTTGGACTGAGAGGCATTGTACCCTCCAATTCCTCTCTTTTCTTGGGTTCCAGCCTCTTCATATGCCTCCATTCTACCTCTCCTCTAGCCTGCTAACTGGATCTCCTAACAAAGCTGTTTTGGCCTCAACCTTCTGGGACTCCTGGCTCCTCTCCCTCAGGCGTTCATTCCCTGGACAGTGGTGTGAACTGTGTGTTCCAGACAGTGTGCTCTGGCTGAGGGCTCTGGCGGGGAGCGTCTGTCTAGTGGGTGTGGGGTGGGCAGTGTGCAGCTGGCAGAGCCAGGAGGGGTTGTGGTTGAGATATTGTTCAGTAGCTCCCGAGGGTACCTCGATGAATCAGGTCTCCTGCTAGACATGTTCACATTTAATTTAATCCTCACGATTACTCCATGAGGTTAGGAACCTAGTCTCCATTTTACAGAAGAAGAAGCAGGCTCAGCATAGAAAAATAACTCCCCAAGGTCACATGGCCCACACGTGCCAGGGCCAGGAGTTGACCTTGGTCTCTTTGCTGGCTTTGCACCTGGATCCTTCTCTTTGGGAGGTGAGGGTGGGGACAGTGGAGATGAAGCAACTCACATGTTTTCTTCTGCATGCTCTCAACTGCTCTGGGAGGAAAGAAAACCAAACACAGAAGCAGCCAAGTTGCAGATGAGGACACTGAGGCTCCCAGAGGGGCAGTGCCCCAGGCTTATCCATCCACAGGGCTGGCAGGGCCCTGGCAGGGATGGGGCTAGGCTGCCCAAGGGATGTTCCATCAAATACCTCCTCATCTGTGGTCTGCCTGGGGCTGGGCCTGCTCTGCTCTGCCCTAAAGCCACCAGCCAGAGTGAGCATAGAATGTGCCAGAAGCCAAGTTCAAGTGGATCACAGAGGGGTCTGGGATCCTTGGGGTGGGAAAGAGAGGAAGGAATCAAGTTCCATGAGATCCTTGGCCAGGGTGGCTCCTGATCACAGGGGCTGCAGCTGGGGTCTTGAGGGTCTCAGTCCATACTCCCCACTGGGTTTGTCCCTTCCGTGGTCTGAGCCTGGGGAGGCAGGAGTCACTGGGAGCTCCCAGGCATGCTTGCTTCTGGAGCCTCAATGTGAGGCTGTGTCTACCTTGTTTTGTGCCTCAGTTTCCCTGGCTGGCCAGCTGCGTTCTCTCCTCGTTCTTTGATTCCTTTACTCTTCTCCCCTCTCCAGGATGCTGGCCCTTCACTGCCACTCGCTGCTCTTTATGGATGCTCAGGAGCCTCCCACCTTCCTCCCTGTCTCCCTTTCCTTTCATGTTCCTCCTGCCCTGCTGCTTTGCTTGTTTTCTTCTCACCACTCACACTGGCTTGGCGCTTGCTCACATCTCCAGTCTTTGACGCCAGGTCTCAGCCCCAGTGCCTCTCCTATTTTGGATTGTCTTTCTGGGGGGGTCCATTCCCTTCCTCCTGTCCTCATCTGAGTCTTGGGTCCACCTGGGATCTGTCTGTGTGACCTGGGTCCCCCTGGCCATCAGCCCTTATCACAGTTCTCTGGCTATCTGCAGGGCATGGACTGAGGGCCCCGGGCTGAGTGGGGCACTGGAGAGTCCTGGGGTTCTATTTCCCAGACTCCTTCTCACACTGCAGTAACCATTGTCTGGGAGTGGGCCCTGGGGAGGAGCCCAGTGAGATGATCCAAGGGGAGAGAGGTGGGTGGGGTGGCAGCGAGCCAGATGGAGGGGAGCTGCTGGATAGATGGACCTGAAGTGGGCGGGGACCTGATAATCCATCTGTATCTCCCCTGTGTTCCTATCTCTCCCTCCTGGTGTCTCTAGCTCCCTGCCAGTCACTGTCACTGTCGCAGCCTCTCTGCATCATCTTGGATCCCAGGACTGGGAGCTTTAACTCAGCTCCCCTCCCCTTGTGCCTCTCAACCCAACCACCCTCTCTGTCCAGTTCAGGAGCAGACTGGCCAGTGGGCTGGTTTCCCAGGAAGGGGAGGGGGCTGCAGTGGGAGCGGCTGGGGGTGGGGGTGGATGGTAATTGTATTAGCTAGTGCTGATGCCACCGGGCTTCCCAGACTGGGCCCTCCCCTGCCCTCCCCCTTTCCCTGGCCCTCCTTCCTCCTTCTCCTGCACTTTCCATTCATCTCACTCTCTCTCCTAGTTCCATCAGAATCAATTAGACAGTCCCTGCTTTAATCTCATTGTGGGAGCCTGGGCTCAGACCCAGCGCCCAGCTCCTAGGTCTGCAGTCTCCATGCTGGGCCCTGCAAGGAACACACCAGGGCAGAGGGCTAATCAAGACGACCCCAGGCCCCTGTCCCACTCCCCATCCCCAGATGCTCTGGCCTGTGGGATCCCCATGGATCGATACCCACCATCACTCCAGGCCTATCCCACCCTGCCCCCACCCCCCGTTTATCATGTCAGCTGCTGGGTGGTGATGGAAGTCATTTGGAAAGGGGCCCAGAGGACCTGGGATTCTCAGCCCTGAGAATAAAGGGGGGTGGGGGTGGGATGGGGACGGGGGCTTGAATAATGAGCTGCGAGGGTCTGAAGGCATTCATTGTGCAGAAGAGAGTGATCAAGCTGTTCTCCTTCCTCAGGCAAGACAGACTAAGAGGAAATGGTCTGGAATTTGAAAGGGGGGATGGAGGTTAGGTATCAACAGGAACTTCCTGCCTGTCAGAGATCAGAGACCTGGGCTAGTAGTGGTGAAGGGGACAAAGAGAACTTAGGGACTCACCTCCTTGGGATATCTATGAAAGGAGAAACATTTCTTCCCCTCTCTTTCCCCCTCCCCCTCCCTCCTCTCCCTTCTCTCTGCTTTTCTGGCTATAAGGCTGTGCTATGGAAAAGCCGTGACTCAGGAATGAGGGCCTCCTTCCAGTTCTGGCACCGCCACTTTCTAGCTGTGTGACCCCTGGCAGTCACTTTACCCCTCTGGGCCTCAGTGTCCTCATGTAAATCAGGGGCAGGGGCAGGGGCAGGGGTTCAAGTTTAACCGGAATCAGTACTATATTGGGGAGCTGTTTCAGAACAGGGAGATGGGAGCTCTCACCAGGGGGTGTGTGGAGTGGAGGTGCCTAAAGACTTCATGGTCCTGACTACAGTGACAGCAAAACCCTGAAAATGGCAATTCCTACTGGCCCATAATCCAGCTGTGGGAGGGAGCCAGTGGATTTGGAAACAGAAATGGCTTGGCCTTGCCTGCCTGCCTGCCTGCCTGCCTGCCTTCCTTCCTTCCTTCCTTCCTTCCTTCCTTCCTTCCTTCCTTCCTTCCTTCCGTCCTTCCTTCCCTCCTGCAATCCTTTAACTTACTGAATAACTCATGATTATGGGCCACCTGCAGGTACCATGCTAGGTACTAGGGATGTAGGCATGAACACTGACAAGGGCCTCTGGGACTGGCATTCTGGTAGGAAAAGGGGTGAGACAGGGAAGAAGCCAGCAAATGTATCAACAAGAAACAGTTCTAAGTGCTAGGAAGAAATGAACGTATTGATGTCACATAGATTTGAGGCTCAAAGCAATCGAAGGACTTTAATGGGGTGATCAGAGGAGGCCCAGGAGTCATTGACACAGAGTCCATATTAGATAGACTCCTGCAGAGTCCAGCTCCGCAAGAACCCATATTCTGTTGTATGGAGAGAGGCTGGGTGTGAGTTCCGTGCCTTGTATATGGTTGGGCAGTTCACCCATGCGTGCAGCTGGTGAAATCCATCCCTGGTGTGGGTGCTGAGGGGCCTGGGAACCTGCTTGGAAGTTGGTACCCGAGGGACAGCCCCTTGGGAATCATGGGAGGACTCTCTGTGACTGGGAGAGTGGTGAAACTCTATCTCTCCAGCGGGTGGGGGAGAGGTGGGCCTGCAGTGATGTTCCCATCTAATGGTGGAGAAAGGCTGGGGGGTCCCCGGGGAGTGGTCTCTGTGCATCTGTCTGTGGGTGTGAAAGCAAGAGCTGGAGTCTCCGATCAGATGCCCAAGTGATTCTCCCTAACAGGAGCTGCCTTTGTGCCCCTGCAGACAAAACCAGCCAGGGAAACTGTGGGCCTGAGGGCCTGTGACAGAGGGGGCTCTGTGCCTGCCCTGAGCCAGGTGGGCCCTCCTCCCATGACCTGCTCTCTTGTTTCCCCAACACCTGTGCTGGCTGCCTCTGGGAAGTTTCCCATTCTTTTCTTGCTTCTCTGGGGGAATAAGGGGCCCTCCTAACCCAGATCCAGGGCAAACTTGGGGAGAAGGGCCCAGAGAAGACACTGTCTGCAAACATGGACTCCATCCCACCTGGCCATAGACTCTGGAGCCTCCTCCCTGGCCTGCACTCAGAATCCAGATCTCTGCTTGCATGGATATGGTGGGGTGTGGAGAAGTCATTCCTCCTCCTCCAACTCCTGGCCAGACCCCCAGTATAGCCCCCCTTGCCAGTCTGGACTCTGTGGCTGAGGAGAGGTGCGGGAGGGAGGATAAGCAGGGGTGCTAAGGCTTGGAGGCAGGTCCAGGGTTTGTGGGAGCCTGGAGAGGGCCATGTCACATGAGCAGGGGGACAAGCAGTCCCCAGAGGATAGGTTAACCTGGGAGGATGGTGACCAGCTCTTCAAAAGTAGCACTGGGGAGGGAGATGCGAGGAGCTGGGGGCCACTGTTGGACCTCCACATGGGGGCTGCAGAGAGATCTCTTCATGTGATCTGGCATGAGGCCCCCAGGGCAGCCCAGAACCTGCCCAGGCTTCCCTGATCCCTCCCTAGGGGGGATGTTTTGGCCTCTAATACATGGTTCCCTGTGTCTGAGTGTCTGTGTCTGGTCCACTGTGGGGAGCTTTGCATCTCTGCTCAGGGACCTGGAGGGAAGACGGACTGAGCACCTACCAGGTGCTGAATGCAATTTCTTTCTTTTTTTTTTTTTTGAGATAGAGTCTCGCTCTGTCACCCAGGCTGGAGTGCAGTGGCGCAATCTCGGCTCACTGCAACCTCCGCCTCCTGGGTTCAAGCGATTCTCCTGCCTCAGTCTCCCAGGTAGCTGGGATTACAGGTACCTGCCACCACGCACCGCTAATTTTTTTTTTTTTGTATTTTTACTAGTGATGGGGTTTCACCACGTTGGCCAGGCTGGTTTCGAACTCCTGACCTCAAGTGATCTGCCTGCCTCAGCCTCCCAAAGTGCCAGGGTTACAGGTGTGAGCCACCGTGCATGGCCTGATGCAGTTTCTGATGCTTTGAGTGTTTTGAGGGAGAAAAGGGATCAAGACTGAGAGAAGATCATTTGGGATTAGAACCCCCCACCCAACTCTCCCACTCCCATATGTGAATTTTGGTGAAAGAAGAAGCAAAGGGGGTCCTGGCTAGAATCTTTCAGGAGGTTCTGGAGTGGCTTCAGGAGGGTCTGGGGACCCTGCAGCTGTTATCCTTGGGATTCTGACCTCCCTTGGTGACGAAAACAGAACAGAGTACTTGTGGCAGTATGGCATTGACCTTCAGGTATTGAGGCACCTGGCATGAAGCTATATGGGGTATGGGGGGTGGGGGGCCAGAAGTTGGAAGTGGGAAGCTGGGATACCCTCCAGGCAGTGGCAGGCCTGGCTTCAGGTCCCTGTGAGCCTTGGACTCTCTCCTCTCTCTTTGGAGTGTCCTTGGCTTGAGGCACCTCATGCTGGGCAGTGGCTGGAAATGGACTCTGCCCTGCTGAGCTCAGTTCATCATTGGCTTCAGGCGGGGAAGCCTTGGATGCCATCATTACTTCCTTCCCTTTCTACCAGCTCACTCTTCTTTCCTTCTGTTTGTTGAGTGTCTCTCATGCCCAAGTGCTGAGAAGGTTTTGGTAATTTTCTTAAAAGTCATGTTGTCCTCCTCTCTTAATCTAGGCAGGGCCACACTTTAGCCAATATTGTCTGAATAACTTCCTCCTATTTTAGAAATTCCACAAGTGATTCCTTTGGATGAAACTTCATTCTACTTGCGATGCATTAAACCCCATTTCCTTCTGTCTCATGTCTTATCTATTTCCCTTTATCTATTTCCTCTGACAAGGAGTAGGGAAGCTATAGAGATTGAAGGCCCCTAGAAGAGGAGGAAGGCCCCCTCTGCAGACTTGGAACAGGACTCAGCAGTGCTGGGGCTTCCCTTGAGATTGTGGGCATGAACAAAGGCCCGGCCTGTTGGAGATGGGCTCACTTTAGTGTGGGGATCACACTACCTCTCCTCCTACCTCCCTGATGCCCCCTCCAGCTTTTATCCAGAGCATGTGTGGTGGTTGTTGAGTGATCCCCCTTGCTGGAGGGCTTGTTAGAGGATGAGGGCCCCTAATGTCTCTCTTTCCCCCGTCTCTATCCACTCGCCAGTAGGAACCTCTTCTTCCTTCTCCCTCCCTGGGGTCCTGCTAGTCTCCTCCAAATGCTGGACCCCACTGCCTTGTCTCGAGGTGGGGAGCTGCAATGGGGACGGGCAGGGCCTGAGGAATCTGTCGCGGGGGGCAGGCGGAGGAGAGCTTGGGGGCAGGGGTGAGCTAGCTGAGAAACTTTCAGGGCCTCCGCCCACACAGTGGGAAAGGGACCCTGGCTGGTGCAGGAGAGGAAGGGGACAGGGAGGCAGCATCATCTGGAAAAATGGCCCTGAGATGGTGCTAGGGCAGCCCAGCCCCAGGGGGATGGGGGAGGGGTCTGGCTGGGCTCCAGTGGCGCTTGCTGCGGAAGAGGCCCCCTGGCAGCTCCTCCGCCCCTCTTCTCTCCCGGCTTGGCTGGCTGCCTGCCCTCCCACTTTCTCTGCAGCCACAGAACCCCGGGCAATGCTCATGGGTGCCCCTCCAGCTCTCCGCACTCTCTGCCTGCCTCTCTCTGCCTTTGTCTACCTGTCTCTGTGTCTCTCCCCATCTCTCTCTAGAGTCCAGGACCTCCGCCTCCCCTCTTTTTCCTTCCCTCTCCCTAGTTCTAGGGTCCTAATAGGATGACCTCACACAATATTCCTGAGAGGGCCCCATCCTCTGTTCAGCTGAGCACAGCAGAGGTAGGCAAGGGCACGCAGAAGGGAGAAGATGTGAAGTGGAGGCCCTGAACCCAGAGCAGGCGGCTGCAGCTCCAGCCCTAGAGTGCTGGTCCAGCTCTCCTCTCTCCCAGGCAGGGTCCCTTCCAACCTGTGGGGGCTCTTTGGATGTGCTGAACGTCTGAGCGCCCTCACACTGAGTGGGATAGAGAGAGATCCTGGCTGAGGAGTCGGAGTGTGTGGCCAGGGTCAGAGGTTGGAGGTGGGACTGGACAGCTGGTCCAGATTGTGCACAGAGTCCCCACGTGCACGCCTGGAACAGGGATGTGTCTACTTGGGTCATGGAAGCCGGAGGCCTCCGTTTAAGTTAATTACATTATGCCCTGGGGAGCAATATGGGAATTGGAGTGGGCTCTGGAGGGAATCCGCATTCACTCACACACGCAGGCTCACACCCTCACTGCAGCCAGGAGCACAATGCTGCCGCCGCCGCCGCCCCGGCTCCCGCGGCTGCTGCTCCTTCCTCGCAGGTGGACGCCGGACGCCCGGCGCCGGGCGCCGCCTCTGCCGGCTCCCCTCCCGCCTCCCCCGCGCGGCTCCCCGAACCTCAGAAGTTGCCGGGGTGCCGGCATCCGCCCCGCAGCGCGCCCGGGAAGCAGGAGGCGGAGGCTGTCACGCAGCCAGGGGAGGAGAAAGCCGCGGAGGAAGAGTCCCTGAGGGTGTAAGCCCCCTGCTGCCCGCGCCCCGTGGGGGTTCCCCGGAGATGGAGCCCAGTCCGGGCCGCGCCGCGGGCCTCCCGCGCCGCTCCTCCCGCTAGAGGGGGCAGCAGGACACGGGCTGCTCCTCCGGGGCTGAGCCTCCGGGAGACCCGGGACAGGGTAGGGCAGGGCGCCCGCCTTCCTACCCCGCCCCAACCCCGGAACTCTGCGCCAGGAGCGGCGGGTCCACCTCTTCCGACCCTCGCGCCCCAGGCGCCCACTCTCGGGGTCAGCATGACTCGGCTGAGTTGGTGCTTCTCCTGCGTGATCCGATGGGGCAAGTACCTCTTCTCGTGCCTCCTGCCCCTGCGCTTCTGCCTCCGCAGCCAGGTAAATGCTCTCGGCCACACCTGGCCCCTTCCGACCCCCCCCCGCCCCCTCCCTCCCAGACGCTTCCCTCCCGCAGTCTCCTGGGCATTCGATCTGACTTACTACCCTCCACTCTCAGGGACCCTCCGTCTCGGCCATCGTCAGCCTGGTTCTCAGCAGAGTTTGGGACTCCGGGGGAGTCGCCACCCAGGTTGCTGGGATCCGGGAAGGGGAGTTGCTGCCCCTCCCCCAGCGCACACCCCTGGGTGTCTTGGGCTTGGATCAGAAGTCTGAAGGATAGCCCCGGAGTCTGTGGGAGGGCGGCGGATTTGGGGATACGGAGTAAAGTTCCTGGGGTTTTAAGCATCCCTCTCAAATTTCCGTGGGAAGGGAAGGTGGGTTCCTGGAAATGCCCCCTGTCCCCCGATCCCCAGAAGCCACCGAGTTAAGGCAGCGAGGTAAGGAAGTGAAATGAACACGGGAATGGGGTGGCTGGGGGACGGCAGGAGGGATTTCCCACTTATTCAGGATGGAGGGACCAGGGAACTGGACAGGGAGAGGATGGGGGCTGGGGCGCCAGGGAGGGAGCAGCAGCTGGGCTGGGGGCGGGAGCAGGGGTCTGGGGAACCTGCAGTGCTGTGGGTGGGCGTGTCCTGGTTGAGCATCGGTCTCCCTGGGATTCTCAGAGAGGATGCTTGATGTTGCCTTCAGCGTGTGTGTAACGTGTGTATGTGTGTGGGTGGGGGGAGTATAGACGTGAGGGTGGAGGTGGAGGTGGGGGCATAGCTACAAAGTAGGGAATTGGAAAAACTGTGTGTAACTTTAAATTCTCCCTGGAGGGCAAGGAGAACCCCAAGATCATGACCTAGAGCCCCCAGGACCCCAGGAGCCTCTAATGAGGGGAAGGATCCCAGGGACTGGAAGTCCTGGCTTTCCGACCCACTCTCTTGGGGCAGGGACGGTCCCCTGTCACACGGGAGGGGGAAGTCCACCATTCTGGTTAAGAGTCCCAGCTATGGAGCCAGCCACTTGGGTTTGAATTCTGGCTTTACCAGCTGTAGACCTTAGGCTAGTTACAGGATCTGCCTGTATCTTGGTTTTCTCATCTGTAAAATGGGGATAATGAAAATATCTACATCGTTTGGAGTGTTGTGAGGATTAAATGAGGTAATGCATTTAAAGTGTTTAACTGTGCCTACTCCATAACAGGTGTTTGATTAAAAAAAAAACAGGGATATTATCATTGTTATTGTCTGCTTCCAGCAGGGATCTTGCAGACCATTAGGCAGGCCAGAGTTGGAGTATGTAGGGATGGAGAGATTTCTCCCAGTATCCATGCTTGCCATCCAAATGGATGGGAAGGATTCTTCTGCTCCATTAGGAGCTTGGACTTTTAGCTCCTTCTCCCAGGTGCTACCTCTGAGCTTCAGTTTCCCTCTCTGCTGTTCCGCAGTGGGGAAAGGTGCCAGCAGGCTTCTGTTCCAGTTACCCAAGGTATGCTTTGAAATCTTCCAGCAAAATGCATTGTCCTCAGGGATTGGCTGAGAGGCAGGCCCTGCAGCTGCAGATCACAGGGCTGGAGCCCTGTCCACATTCCACTGGGTTCTGGGTTCAGATGCCATGGAGTCTGGATTTCTAGATTTGAGAAAAGGAGCCTGAAGTGGGAAATGGCCGGCCAGGACCAGGTCAGTTGGACCCCAGACTGCTTAGCAACACCCCCTCCCCATTTGCGGAGGTAGAGGATGACGGAACCACTTCACTCCACTCTCCTTTTCCTTCTGGGCCAGGATTTGAGCTGGCGACTGGGGGTCGGGGGTGGATGAGCAGCTGCAGCTGCCTCCCTCCAGCCTTTGCGGGGCCTGAGTCAGGCAGGAAATTAGAGCTGGGGAAGAGATCAAGATTGTGGAGTAGAGCTCTGGGAAGGATCTTATTAAGCATTGTTGGGATTGGGCCCAGACACGTCTCCGCCCAGGGTGATGGGGAAGGGGCGGTAGGGGAAGGGGTGTGAGTGAGGCTCCTTCTCGTGTCAGCTGGGGATACTGAGGCTCACACAGGGCCTGGTTGGAGCTCTGTCTTCTCTCTCAGAGAGCACCCACATTTCTGCAGTGCAAGAGAGTGACCTCAATCTGGTACTAGAGGAGTGCTGGATGTGGAGGCTGAGGGCAGGGCCTCCCCCAGACCATGTCGTGCCTTGGTGGGCATTAGAATGTAGTGCCCCATGCTCTGGGCTGATGCATCTCATGCCAGGGCTTGGTGGGTAGGGCATGGATGGGACTTGAGCTCCCACTCATGCACCCTCTGCTAGAGGTCTGGGCACCCGGGACTCAGAGGCTGAGGTGTATGAGGGTGAGGGGTAGGGTGAGGCAACATGGCTTACCTAAGGGAGGTCCTAGGGGCATCAGGGGACAGACCCTGACTGCACCCAGATCTCTCCTCGCTGACTCTTCTGGAGCCACTAGGGAGCCAGTTGGTCTCATCCTGACCCATGTAGTAGCACTATCCTTGGCTCCCCACTCTCTCCTGCCAAGCAAGACCTGGCTGAACCCCCCCCCCCACCCCCCGAGCCTCAGGGTCAGCCCTTAGGCGAGTGGAGAGAACAGTTAACATGTCACCACAACATGGAAGCATAGCCCCTAGTCCTGGGGTGGCCGTATTGCTGTAAGAACATTCTCCATCCATGGGAGATGTGGAATCAGATGACCTGAGCTCCATTTTCACACATCATACTAGCTGTGTGACCCTGAGCTGGTTGCTGAACCTCTATGTGCCTCAGTTTCTGCATTTACAAAATGAGGGTTAGTAGGAGCCTTCAAGACAATGCAGCAAGCCAAGTGCCTAGTTAATTGGTATTAATCTTTCCTGGGGAAGGGGGAGAATACCAGAATCTGAGGGGCTGAGAGGGTGGAGGTCCAGGAGCTGAGTGCTTTGGTGTAGATTCCTGGGTCTCGTGCTGTTGGGATCTTTACCTGGACACTGGTGAAGAACCCCATTGCCAGGTCTGCCCTTACCTGTTGGATGTGGGCCCCTCAGGATGGTCTGGGAGGAAGGCTGCAGTGTGAGTGGCCCCATTGTGAGAGGTGGCAGGCTGCAGGGTTTAGGGAAAAAATCCAGGGTCTGGGAACTGAGAGACTGGATCTCTGCTTTTTATGGGCTCTGTGACCTCTGATGAGTCACGCCACCTTTCTTGACGCAGTGTGGCTGTCTGTTAAGCAAGGGGGCTGGATTAGGCTAGCGGTGCCCTGAGACTAACCCTCCTGGCAAACACATTCGCTTGGACCTTCAGAGTGGTTTTTTTTTAAGCCAACACTTTCAAATTTGTATTTTTTCAATTTTGTAAAAATATTTTATATAAAATATGGAGTTGAGGGTTCTATGGCAGATCAAAACATGTGGAGATGTGGGCTTGTGTTGCTGCATGCTGTAGTGGGGAACCAAGGAGTGGGCATCCCCCTCAGCTGGGGCCTGTCCTCACCAGGCCCTTGTGACCCCTTGCCCGCTCCCCTCATTGAACTTCTAGGTGACCCCCAAAGGCTGTTACCGTGACCCCTGGGCAGCTGAGCTTGAAGACCTTTCCAGCTTTAAAATGCTCTGTTACCTTCAGATGCTGTGACCAGTGGTGACAAAGGAAAGGCTTAACGCCCTGGTAGGAGAGGGGTGGACATCAGTAAGAATATTTTGGTGGACAAGAGTCAAAGGAAAGGAAGAGTGAATTGGATGGGGCTGGGGCCTTGGCCTGGGAAACTCGTGTCATCGCAGAAGGTGGAGCTGGAAGGGACCTTGGAGGCCATCAGTCCTGTTATTCTACAGGTAAAGGAAACTGAGGCCCAGGGAGGGGCCTGCCAGGCTCAGGCTCTAAGGCCATTAGCTCATTCCTGACCACACTCACCCTTCCTTCTGCCTTGGCTCCACCCTCCTCCAGCCCCAGGGCCAGCACCACAGCCCACAGACCTGACTCTGTTTCTTCAGCTGGCTGCTGAGCAGGGGGCTGGAGGGATGAGCGGAGGGAGGTCTCCGCATGCAGCGGGAAGGCAGAAATGGGGATGGCACAGGGTTGGGGCTGGGTTCTGAGGCTTCTGGGATGCCAGTGTAGAGCCCCAGCCAGTCCTCCAGTGTGTACTCCATGTCTGCTGTGTGTGAGACAGGGGTCTGGGCACAGGGTGGGGATCCCAAGATGAATGAAACCATCCAGGCCTGCGGAGAGTCTGCAGCTGGCTAGAGCTTGGGAATGGGGCATTGGCAGCAGGCAGAGGTGGCTGCAGATAGGGTGGCACTGAAATTGTGGGCAAAAGTGTACAGGCAGGGCTGCCTGAGGCCCTTTTGAAGGGAAAAGAAGGAAGGTTTGGGAAGGAGGCAGTGAATGCTTACAGTAGGAAAATATGTTAGGATCCATTGACTAATTGATTGAGTGATTGAGTCATTCTTCAACCATGTCTGGTGCCTGCTGTATGCCAGGCTCTGGGGATACAAAACACAGGACACGTCCTTGCCCGTGTGTGGGTTGGGGTGGAGACACCAGGCTGTGAAGGAGGAATAAAGGCTGACAAGCCTGGAACAGGGTCATTACACACAGTTAGAGACACCTCAGTCGGCAGAGTTTAACATTCAACAGGGAAAATGGTGGTTAATTAGCAGGAAGGACATCTTGATGATAAGCGATTAATATACAGGAGAGACCCCATAGGCTTGGAGAAGAGGGATGGGGGTATTCTGGAGGGAGGGTTTCTCCAAGGGAACCCCCAGCACTAGGGTCCCCTACTTCCATTCACAGTCCTAGCTGAGGAGTCTGGGGAAGCAGCAGGGCCTCCTCGGGCTGTGTAGGAGGCCAGACAAGTTGGTGTCACTGTGACTTGGTTTTTGGTTTGATTTTCCAGCATTTCTGGGAAGCCCCAAGGTGACTTCTCAGAACTCCAGAGAAAGCTGCCTGGAGGCGTCTTCAGTGACGCCAGCAGTGAAGGGCTGTGGGAGCAGGCAGCGGGGAGCTTGGTGTGAGTGGGCACTGGGATGTCAGGGCTTAGCTGGCTGAAGGCTTGAACTTGTCAGGGGACAAGGGCAGCCTGGCAGAGCTGGTGATAGTGGCTGAGGAGGGGCTCAGGGGCTCTCAGAGAGGCCTCCTGAAGACCACTCCCCTTTGCTTGCCTGGTGCTCCAGCCAGGGGAGACGGGAGGGTTTGCAGAGGTTTCTGTCTATGGACATCCCCAGCTGTGACTGCAGGGCCAACTGCATGTGGAACACTGGTTCATTTCAGCGTTGGCTAAAATGTCAGTGAAGCCCCAGGAGGCTTAGAGTAGGGGGTCCAGAGGGACATTGTGATCCTGGCAGGGAAGGACACTAGAGGCAGGATCTTTCCCAGCCCCAGAGCTCTGGAGGACTTGGAGAAGTATGGAGAGAGGACCCTGACTCCTCTACCGGAACAAAGACTCTTCACTCAGGTACCTGCTTTAGGAAGGGCTGGAAATTGACACTTCACTTCAGTGTCCTCCCCTGACTTCTCAGAACCACCAAACAATAGATGGTTAGTCCCTTGTGCTGTGGACAACCTGTGTATCTGAATACTGCAGTCTTTTTTTCAGATGAAGAGTCAGTGTTTCCCCTTCATTCTGGGGTTTCCCAGGTAGATGTCTTGGGTGGTCCCTGGGCTGGGAGTTGGCACAAGTGGCTGGGCAGATCCCTGTGAAAGAGGAGGCTGGTAGTTGCACGGTATGTGGTGCTGACAGACAGCGGCATGGCATGGCCTTGGGTGAGTGGGGGGGGGAGGCAGGGGATCTGTAACCCTTCGTGCATGTGGCCCCAGGGCATGTATAGCACAGTGTGCATAGGAGGCCAGGCAAGAGAACTTTTCTTGCTAAGTGACTCAGTCTAGGAACGAGGTCTCCAAGTGCCTACTCTGGGAGGGCTCTTATGTGTTGACGTGAGTTGGACTGTGTCCTTGTGTGTGTGTGTGTCCACAGGAGGGTGTGGGGCTGAGCCCTCCCTCCTTCTCCTGGACAGCTCCAAAGAACAGAGCGGGTGATTCACTGGCCCCCACCCACCCTCAGTTGGTCCAGCCAAGGCCAGAGCTCAAAGAGGAAGGGTTTTTTTTGGAGGGGAACGTGGTGGTTCCAGACAATGAAGGCCTGGGGCAGACTTTGCTGGATTCCCCCTTAGTGCTCCGTGGGAATACTTTTGGGTTTTGACCCAGCCTCCTTTCCACCCTCTAGACCCCCAACAATTGTCCCTGGGCAGAGGTGGGGGCGAGGGGAGGGGAGGGCTGGTGGGCAGGGGACACTGAGGGGAAGAAATAGGCCTGTGGAATGGTGGGAGGGGAGAACTGGGCCCAGGGAGGGGGAGAGGGGAGGAGGGGGAGGAAGTGGGGAAATGCAAACCAAATGTTGGCCCCGGGTACAGTCAAGAAAAACACACTCTCGCGGGAGCCTGGAGCGGGGCTCCCTTTCAGAAGGGCAGGAAAGGCTGGGACAGATGTTTGCAGGAAAGAAAGAAAGAAGGGGGAAAAAAAAAGAAATAGGAAAAAAATTGGAATGAAACCCACAGCCTGGGGGCAGGGCCATTCTTCCCCAGTCTCGGGCCCTATTTCTTCTGTGTTAAGGCCTGTCCTGGGCTCTGAGCTTGGCGCGTGGGCACCAGAGTCTGTCCCAGTCTGTGTGTGCAAATGCATGTGTGTTCCGAGGAGGCCAGGAAGGCAGGCACGGGTACTCAGAGAAGGGGAGGGGCCAAGGCACCCTGAGTGTGCTGATTGTGTGGGCCTGGGGCTGTCTGTTCATCCATCAGTGGTCTGGAGGGTTCCAGGAGTGAAGGCCCCCAGGCTGGTTTGCCAGGGGCGGGGGTCTGCAGTGAGGAGGGAGGACTCCAGGCCTACCAGCACCAGATCAGAAGACTGAGGAGCCTTGGTGGCACACAGGGGTTGTGTGTCCGGGGGTGGGGGGCACGGCCTGGGGGGGCCCTGCCTCTGGTAGCTTTCCCTTTTCCCTGTCCCCTTTACACCCCCTGCAAAGCAGGGTTCCTGACCCTCAAGGCCACCGGTGGAGCCTGGGAGGAGGGAGGAGAGAGGAGGCTGGGACGAGGGGTGGAGTGGGGGGAGGAGGAGGAGGAGGGAGGGTGAGCTGGAGGCAGCAGGGCGAGAGGCCCAGCAGATGCTGGCGGAGCCGGAGCAGCCGCGGACTCAGAGAGCCCTTCTGCCAGCGCCGCGGGGACTCTAGCTTCAGGGGCTCTTCACAGGCCCTGGGCGTGCCTCAGTGACGGGACCCAGCAAAGATGACGTGGATCTGTCTGTCCTGCATGCTCTGGGTAGGTCTGGCTGCTTTAGCTGCGACGTTACTCTTCCTCAAACCCCCCGCCCCCCACCGGCCCCTGCCACCTTATCCTTTTGCTGAGAGCCCGGGGTCGGGGGGTGTCAGTCTTGAAGGAGGGGCCTTTCTGTCTCTGACCTACAGAAGGACAGACTGACTTGAGCAACCCTCAGCCGGAAGACTTTCCCCACCAACAGGGCCCAGGCCCAGGGTCCCGGGTCAGTACATCCCCTGCCCCACCCCCCCACCCCCCAATGGAGTCCCAGAGCTGTAAGTGGAAGGAGGCCACAGAGAAGTTTGCTTCTCTTTAGAGCCTTTCCTCCCGACTTGCATCCTACAATGGGGTGAAAATTCTTCACCGCCCCCCCTCAGTTGCTGAGCCCAAGATCTTGAGGAGGAGGCAGTGGTGGGGCTGGGGAGCAAAGAATAGTAGTCCAAAATATTAAGTCTGGAAGAGCTGGGCTGTGGGAGAATTCTCAGAGTCCATCCCTTTTATTCCTTCTACACCCAGTTTCAGCTTCCACCCACTGCCATCCCTTCCTCCACAGCCCTCCCCTGCTACCAAGACCTCTCCATCCTGGAGGAGGGAGCCATGGCCCGCTCTTCCCCCTTTCTCTCTTGGCTCCAGGTTCAGGGAGGTGGGTTTCAGGATGGGGATGCCAGGGGGGCCAGCAGAGAGGCCTGGGGGCCACGTGGTGAAGGTTAAAAGTCTTAAGGCCAGACCTGGGCTGAGGCTCCTGGGTAAAGGGGGATGGGAGAGGGCTGCCTGCTGCAGAAGGGCTGGGGGTCAGAGGAGGAGAGGACCCCTTCCTCAGAGGGGCTCCTGTGGGGCTGTCTTGGCCAGGCAAAGGCATGCATGGGGTCAGGAGGGTGAGGAAGTCGTCCCTGGCTGAGGTTACTGTTGGGCTCTGAGAGAGTGATGGCTGGTTTGGGGGAGGGGGCTTCAGGGCTGTGATCCAGATGTGGCCTTTCCTGTCCCTTTCCTTGTTCTGGCCAGTCCTCGGGAGGGCCCTCTTGGCCCAGGCAAGCCCATGCTGGGGGCAGTTGTGGGAACACAAACTCGGGCAGCCAGGTGTCCTCTGGGCAAAGAAAGAAAGGGTGGGGGAGGGGGCCTGGAATGAGGCGGTTTGGGTGGCATGTTGGGCTGGGGTGCTGGGATGGATTGGATTAATAGATTGAGAGTGACTGGGGAGGCCTGCACACAGGATGCATTTGTGGTTTACTGGGCTGGTGTTGACATCTGGGAAATGGGAGCCTTGGCCAGGTTCGTCTCTGTGCTGAGGACAGAGGTAGGCAGGAGGGAGCTCTGCAGCAAGAAGGATGGCAGGTAGACGTCCAGGGGTGACACAAGAAGGATGGCAGGTAGACCTCCAGGGGTGACGAGCTGCTGTGACTGGAGAGAGGGCTCTATAGATCCCTTCAGCTGACTGATACTGGGAAAAGTGCCTCATCCTGGTGAGCCTCTGCTTTCCCGTTGGTGAAATGAGGATTGCAGAGAAACAGGGTACAGAGAGGTAGGGATGAAATTTTGTATCCAATTCCCCAGGGCAGTGCCTGGCAGGTAGAGTGCCCTATGGGTGTTATACCCTCCCTGAGAGTAAGGGGAAGAGTCTGGGGACCAAGGCAGCTGTGAGTGCTGCTTCCTTGAGTGTCTTTATTTTTATTTATTCATTTTTTTTTTAATTGAGATGGAGTCTCACTCTGTCACCCAGGCTGGAGTGCAATGGCATGATCTTGGCTCACTATAACCTCTACCTCCTGGGTCCAAGCAATTCTCCTGCCTCAGCCTCCCGAGTAGCTGGGACTACAAGTGCGTGCCAACATGTCCAGCTAATTTTTTATATTTTTAGTAGAGATGGGGTTTCATCGTGTTGGCCAGGCTGGCCTCGAACTCCTGACCTCAAGTGATCCTCCCGTCTCAGCCTCCCAAAGTGCTGGGATTATAGGTGTGAGCCACTGCGCCTGGCCTTGAGTGTCTTTAAGACTAGAAAAGCCTGTGTCCCTCCCCTGTCTCCTTTTCCTCTCCTCTCCTAGTCCCCATCCTTTCTAGGCTGGCTGTGATGCCCATGGCCAGGATGGGCCAGAGACTGGGGCAGTAGGGACTGGACAGAGGAAGCAGTCCTGGCACCAGATAGGACTAGGCTCAAACCCTATTTCCATCGTTTGGTATGGGCAGGCTTGGTAAAGCAGTTCCCTTCATGAGCCTCAATTTCTTGATCTGTAAAGTGCAGAGAATAATATACTCCTTGTATGGCTAGGGTGGGGAAAGAGACAATAGATATCAAAAGATCAGGTATGTAGGCATGCAGTAGGTGCTCAGCAAATGCTGGCCCCTTTCCCACTCCACAGTCTCCTGCCTGGTTCTTGGGATCCTCTGTATCCCAGACCTGATGCTGGGGGAGGATCTCCCTGGGAATGGTGTCATGGGACAGGGCTCTACTCCTTGGGCTCTACTCCTGGGCTGACTGCCCAGGGACTCTGACCAGCTACTCTGAGGCCAGGAAGTGACTGAGATAGTTCTTGTGCCCTAGAGTGAGTGCTTGCATCTATTGGTTCACATGTTCCTGTATGGGGAAAGCTGCAATTGTGTCATCTAAGAAGTAATATATCTGTAGTGCATAGTTTTAACAAGTCCTAGGAATAAAAATCACTTTATTAGCTGAGGAGCAGAGCTATTTATTATGCATAACTTGATTTTCTCATCAAGTGCTCCCATTTGCTATTACATATTCAAGTACGGTTTATTTAGAAAATAATTGCATGCCTAGCAATTGAGGCTTTTTGATGTTGTGCTGGAGGAGTTAGAGGTGGAGGCCCTTCCTTCCAGAGGGACTCACTGGTCCTCAGGAACTGGGAAGGGGCTCAGGGTGAGGCTGAAAGAGCCACCAGGCAGGGGCTGGGGGTCAAGTGCAGCTTTGGCTCTGCCCTGAGCCAGCTAAGTGGTCTCAAGCTGGTCACTCGACTTTTCTGGACCTCACTGAAATGTGGGCTCTATTCTCTAAGGCCACATCCAGCTGCAGACGATGATGTATTTTGTTTCCTGGAGTTGGTGTCCTGCCCAGTGCTAAGCACACATTTTTGACAGAAGGGTCCTCATGAGCTCTGGATTCCTTGTGCACAATTCCGGTCATGCAGACATCAATCTGACTCTTTGGTCCTGAACTCGTTCTCTCTAGTTTGGTTGACCTGTAAGGGCCTCCTGACTGTGGGTTTGGGAGGTAGGCTGGGCTGCATGAGAATCACCAGGGTCTGAAATAAGACTCTCCTTTTGCAAAGTTTTGCAAAGTAATGTGTGAGGCACAAAATTGGGAAGAGCACTGCCCTTTTATTCTGCAGTGTTGAAAGGAAGTGTAGCATGCTGGCCGAGAGTGCAATGCCTGGGCTGGATCCCGGGCCTGTCACTTGACAGCTGTGTGACCATAGGCAAGTAGTTTCACATCTCTGTGCTTTGGTTTCCCCACCTACCTATAGGGTTGTTCGGTTTTGAATGAGCTAATCCACACATACATTTAGAAAAGTGTCTCTCACATGTAAGAGCTCAAGAAATGTTAGTGCTTCTTGTAGGATGGCACATTTTCAAGGCTACCCAGCAAGTCAGAGTCAAGACTCCAACCCCATCTGCTGCATCCTCTGCCAGGCTTCTCCATTCTGGGAATGCTTTGGGGCAGGACATGTGGGGTCCGTGGGAATCAAGCCCTGAGAATGACGCATGAGCCCTAAGTCAGCGAAGAGGACTGTGGCGGGCAGCCCAGGGTCAGGGCATGGTGTTGGGGAGGTCGTGTGATGGAAGAAGCATCCCATCATTTGGCTTTCTAACCACACCCCCCACGCAGCTTTCCATCCTTTTCACGGATTATTATGGAGGGCCTGCTCTCTTCAAGCTGCTTGCACATACTGGCACATGATTGCAAGCAGGATGGGTGTTACCAAGAGGGAACCTCTGGGGGATGTAAGGGGGACCTAACCTGGACTGTAGGGAGAAGGTGTCAGGAAAGACTCCTCGGGAGGTGAATTTTAAACTAGATCTAAAGATGAATCTGGCCAGGCACAGTGGTCACACCTGTGATCCCAGCACTTTGGGAGGCCAAGGAGGGAGGATTTCCTGAGCCTAGAAGTTCAAGACTGGCCCGAGCAACATAGTAAGACCATGTCTGTACGAAAAATAAATAAGTTATCTGGGCATGGTGGTATGCGCTGGTAGTCCCAGCTACTTGGAGGCTGAGGTGGAAGGATCACTTGAGCCCTGGAGGTCAAGGCTATAGCGAGCTATGATTACACCACTGCACTCCAGCCCAGGCGACAGAGCAAGGCCCAGGGCCATGGAGGAAAGGCCCTGGGAAAGTTCCTCACTCCAGCGCAGGGCGTCATTGTGAGGATTAAACGAGGAAATCCAGTCCAATCCCTCACTAGAGTGCCTGGCCCCACTGATGGGGCCTCAGACTAGCCCCATCTCTGAGCAGTTCCACGACAGGACATGATTTCGTTTCAGTGCAGAAAATGGGCTTGATATTCAGAAATGTGGGCAGCCTGCATTAGGAAGGAGGAGAGAGAGAGAGAGAGAGATGCTGATGGAGAGAACTCATCTCGCTCAGGAGAGAGAGAGAGAGAGAGAGAGACACTGATGGAGAGAACTCATCTATCTCACTCAGGAAACTGAGTCAGGAGCTAAAGGCTCTTGGGCAGTGGCCTGGGAAGTGCTGGGGAAATGTCACTGTCTGCCCTCCTTCCTTCCTTGGTGATTCCTGGTGCTTGGAGACCAAGAGCATCTCCTCAGCCAGAAGATGACAGTACCTGGTCACCTGGTGTCTTGGCTTGTAACAAGTGTAGCCCCACGTTCTCTTTCTTCTGAGGGCTGGTTCATGGGAATGGGGTATAATTTCACTACAGAAAACAGAGGCCAGGCAGTAGCTTCACCCATGTGATTCTTCAGACTTGTGCTAGACTCAGAGGACACAGAGCAGATGTGTGTCTGACACGTCTACCTGGCAGGTAATCTGACACACACAGAAAAGACAACACGAATCGCTCACCGCTGCTGAGCGCTCACCATGCGCCAGGCCCCATTCCACCGACTTTACGGCATAATCTCATTTCATCCTCACAACAGCCTATGGGAGGTGACTGTCATTGGTCCATTGAACAGATTAGTAGAGTGAGGCAGAGCAAGTTAAGCACTTTGCCCAGGTAACAAGTGCAGGGGCCGTTAGACTGCAGCAAGTACTGCTGTAGGCTCAAAGAAAGAGCGACTGGGAAAAGCAGGGGACACTAAGGTAATCATATTCCTCCCCAGAATTTTAGCCTGCACTGACGCATGAGGAAGTGATCAAAATCCAAATCGAGGGGCATTCTGCAAAACATCTGTCCTGTAACCTTTAGAAACATCAGTGTCAGAAAGAAAAATGAGAGGTGGATAACGTGTCTAGTTTAAAGGATGAGAGACCCAGCCACTAAAGGCAGTTCAGGATCCTGATTGTGTCCTGAATCCAAAATGAAAACGAAAACAATGCCCCGGCTCTCATGGACATTCTTGGGGCAGTAGAATGACTGTATTAGACAGTGGGATTGTATTGATGCTGAATTTCTGAGTGTGATCATAGGAGAAGGGAACATGCGTGTTCATCTTTTCCGAAGCTTTTGCACTTTTCAAACTAAAATGAGGAGACAGCGGGTAGGGATATGGATTCTGACAGGGGTCCAGGGGTATCTGGGAAGACCCCTGCTGAGGGGATGAGGTTTGAATCAGGCCCTTGAATGTGCCTAGAAGCTGGACAAGCAAAGAGGGGAGGAAGGGCATTCTGGGCAGAGTCTTAGAGGTGCAGTGGGGTGGCGGGTGGCTGGAGAGCGTGGAGCAGCCTGGGTGGACACAGGGCAGGGAGCCGGGAAGTGGATCTTGGGGATTGGGACTGGCAGGGTGGGCTGGGTAGGGACCAATACTTCTTCTCCTGCTGGCTCCAGGGAGGGCAGGGTTTATTCTGGACATCTGGGAAGACATGGCAGCATTTGGGGTGAGTGGAGGTGCCAGACCTTACAGAGCTGTAGTTGTGATCCTGGGAGGCTGTGTAGGGGCGATGGGTGGGAGCGGCCTGGTGTCGGGGCCCAGGAGGCTGCTGCAAGAGCCCTGGGGAGAAGTGCCAAGGCCTGATATAGGGCAGAGGCAGTAGGATTAGAAAGCATAGGACGATGAATGTTTAGGAGGCAAAATTCACAGGATTTGGCAACTGGTTAGTTGGGGGTGGGGGAGGTGCAGGGAGGAGTTGAGAGTGACTCAGAGCTTTCCACCCAGGGCGACCAACAACATGGTCAGGCCAAGAACATGGCTAGGGCATGGGGGTGGGGGATTTGTGTGTGTAAAGGTGAAGTGGGGTTGGAGGAAGCTGGGATTTGAGGTGCCCATGGGACTCCCAGAAGCCAGCCGGCAGCCCCACTGGGGATCTGAGCCTTCCCCACATAAACGACGCTGGATGCCCACCAGGCCTCCCAGCCTAAGGGTGAGGGGGCATGGGGCAGTGGATGGCCAGGAGGCTGAGTGAGTGCGACAGGAGTTGACCTCCCAGGTCTGTCCTAGGCCTGTGTGTGGAGATCCCCTTCTCTGGCTTGCAGACTCTGGCCCTCTCCCCACATCATCCAGGGCTTTTTGGCCACAGGAAGGCTTGTGGGAGGCAGCGCTGAGGGAGTTTTGTAGGAGGAGCTCAGGAGCTGGGGACCCCGGGGTCTATCACCCCCTTTCATCACCACCCAACCCTCACTGCTGCTCTGCCCCCACGGGGCAGGGAGGAACCAACAAACAGACTTTCCCACCCCAGGGCCAAGGACTCTCGCCAAGGCTGTCCAAGCCAGATGTGCCACACCCCTCTGGCTGAGCGGCCCGGGCAGGAAAGCTGGGCTGCATGGAAGGAGGGAAGGGAGAGGAAGCCCCGAGGGCCACGAAAGCCCTCTGATGCTGGGTGGGCTGGTGGCAGGGTGGGGGCTAGAGCTCTGGGCTTGGAGGGAGGAGAAGAAGGACTTATAGGCTGGAGCCCTTCCCCTTTCCTGGGCCCTGGCTCTTGAGAGAGGTGGGGGTTGAGGGGTGTGGGTGTGGAGAGACCAGGCAGCTCCCAGCTGTGGCTGTGTCTCCTTTTGCCCCTGAGTTTTCCCTAAGTAGGTTCCTTTGCAGCCAGCAAAGGAAGGGCCCCGGGGTGTGCTCCGTGAGGCCGTCTGCCACTTGTCAGGAAAAGTGACGATCATTGCCCTAACAAGCCACTACCCTTGAAAAGCACTTTGCACTTTTTGGGGCTTGTTTACATCCTCTGCCTGTACCTGCAGAACAACCCGGGGGGAGGGCTGGGTAGGTACCAGGCACCCCGCTTTTCTTCTTAGCCCATATTTTTGCATCTGATTGTTAAGTTTTTTTTTTCCCCACTGAGTCTCATTATGCCTTCTTGCAGTGCCTGCCCCCTGGTTTTGGTTTTGCCTTCTGAACTTCAGATGATGTCTGGTGCCTACTTACAATAACTGTTCCTTCATATATTTGAGGATAGGAGGCTCACCGACCGTAGACTTTCTCCTCTAGCATCCTGGGAACATCAAACCTATGGGACAGCTGTTTCAACAAGACCAGCGCAGTGTCCCTGTTTCACAGCGGAACTAAGTGGATGCCAGCAGAGCCTGGGGGCCACTTGCCTGGAGGTGGCAGAGCTAGTCCCTCGCTCCTACCAGAGTTTCACAGCCTCCTCCTTGGAGGAGTGATGTCTCCTCATTCATTCCACTCTCTGAATCATCTGCAAGTCCCACCCCCATCACTTTCAGTCCCTTCATTCCAAAGGGAATGTTGTGTCATTTCCCCCTCTCTCTACACTCAGACTGTCTGGTCCAAACTCCTCATTTTCATGTGGGGACTGTGAGGCTCAGGAAAGGTCACTGATATTTTCAATGCCACATAGCCTAGAAGGCAGTTCTCCAGACTCCTCCCTCAGTGCTCGCTCAGCCAGAGCCAGAACTCAGTAGGGCTGAGGGGCAGGAATGTCCTGGGGCATCCCCTGTGGCTGCTTAGAGAGGCCTAAGCAAGGGCAGAGATGGACCTGAAGCCCTGTCCCTGCCCTCCAGGCCCCAGGGGGGAAATATTTTGTAAACTCAGATTTCTTGGGGCTGGGCTGCCAGGGCAGGCAAAACTGGGGCCCCTGGGAGAAGCTGTTCTGGAAGGCTGCACATGCCACCCATGGGGTCACTGGGCTGCCAGGGCTCTCTTCTGGGAGACTCTGCTGCCCCAACTGTGCTTTGGGAAGAAGGCCTATATCCCTAGGGTTTGGGAAAAGGGCTGGATATGGGGCATGGGGAGGGAAGTTTGCTGGGTAAGTGGCAATGGGAAGCTTTGCCTGACTTTGTGGGGTGGGAGAGACAGGCTTGTGGGTTGCCAGAGTCGGACCAGGAGAGCTGGCTTTAGGGTTTCCTTTCTGCCTCCCCCAGACAGCCCTTAAACTGAACCCCAGGTCCTCTCTCTGCACCTCCCCCACCCCCAGGCCTGGACTGCTGCAGTTGACACTGACCAGGGCCCCCACCCTGGAATGTTTGTGGCAGAAATCTAAGGGAAGTCCCCCAAGTCCAGGCCCGAGACGGAAACCAGGGGAAGTGAGATAGATGAACAGAGGAGACTTACCTGCCCCTTCTTGTGGGATGGGGGTCAGAGAGTGAGGCCCAGAGCTGCCCCACCCTCACCCCAGCCCCAGCCAAAGCTCCTAGAACCTAGCTCTCTGGAATATCAGAACCCAGGAGGTGGCTGGCTGGATCTACCCCTCAGAGGCCTCCCTGACCACCAGGGGGCACTGCTGGGCTCCAGCTCCCCACCCTCCGCAGTCCCCACTTCTAGCCTGGGCTTTTGTCTCTGCTCCCCCATCCCTGACGTCTCTGTCTGCTTCTCTCTTTGAATTTCTAACCAACTTCAGAAAGGTTGAAAATACAGTGCAAAGAACATTTGTCCCCTCCAGAACTCTGAGAGTAAGTTGCTGACATGATGCCCCACCACCGTTAAATACTTTCCTGATTTTTCTACAAGGACTCTCTTACCTGACCAGCCCCGCTATCAAAATCAGGAAATTGACATGGATACTTTAATACCATTCAGTCTAGACCCAGGGAAGTCCCGCCAGTGGTCCCAGTGATGTCCTTGTGGGCATCAACAGAATCTGGTTCAGAAGCCGCCGTTACTTTCGGTTGCCAAGTCTTTTTGCTGCCTTCAGTCTGGAAAGCTCCTCAGCCTTTCCTTGATTTTCATGACCTTGTCACTTTCGGAGATTCCAAGACGTTTAATGTGTAGGTTGTCCCTTAGTTTGGGTTGGCCTGATGTTTCCTCATGATTAGGTTCAGGTTGAGGCTTTCTGGCAGGGATACCGCAGAAGCGGCGTCTGTTCTCAGTGCACCCCTGCTCCCAGCTTGGCTTCATCATCCCATTACCGTTGCAGTGATGTTAACTTTGATCACTTGATTAAAGTGGAGGAAGCCAGGAAAAGTTACTTTCTTCTTCTTTGTAATTTCTAAGTATAATGTGGGGAGGTGCTTGGAGATGACGTAAGTATCTTGTGCCTTATCAAATTTTGTTTATTCAGTTACAGTCATGAGTCACTTAACAATGGGGATACCTTCTGAGAAATGTGTTGTTGGGGGATTTTGTCATTGTGCAAGCACTATAGAGAGTACTTATATATACCCAGACGGTACAGCCTACTGCACACCTATGCTACTGTATGGTATAGCCTATAGCTCCCGGGCTAAAATCCCGCACAGCATGTCACTGTACTGAACGCTGTAGGCTGGGAACTGTAACAGGTGGTAAGTATTTGTATATCTAAACATATCTAAATGTAGAAAAGGGACACTAAAAATACAGTATCATAAGTTTATGGGACCACTGTCATTATGTGGCGATGACTGCATTTCTGATCGTCAGCAAAGACGCATTTAAGCCATTCCTATCATCATGTATTTTGATGCTCTGATCTTCCTGGATTTGGCCTTTGGGAGCTCCTGTGTCCTTCTGTCTCTCTTTCATTCTCTGACCCCCTTGTTAGTTTCTGCGTGTCTCTGTCTCATCTCTCTCATTCTCTCTGTCTGCCTTTATCTTGGTCTTTCTTTCTTCTCTGTCTGTCTGTTGCTCCTCTCTCTCTGTCCTGTCTGCTTCCCGCACCCCTCTCTCTCCCCTGTCCTTTTCTCTTTCTCTCTGTCCCCCTCTCTTTCTATGCCTTTGCCTCTTTGCCTCTCTGGCTTTCTGCCTCTGACTCGGTCTCATTTTGTCTGTTTTTCTCTCTGTCTTTCTATGGCTTAGTCTCTGTCACTCAGGACTCACCTCTGCAGTGTCTTCAGATAGGAGTCCTAGACACGCTGGCTTGTGTGTGGGATACCATCACTCTCCCTCCTCTGGACTCACAGTCCTCCTCTCCAGCCTCTATTTCAGACCCAGGGGGCTCTGGAGCAGGTGCAAGGAGGGGAACAGGAATGAGTGGATTTTCCTCCCACCTGCTCTGCACACTGCAAGGCTGGGATCATGTCTCTGTGTGTGCGCCCACGTGTGTGGAGGGGTGTCAGAGAGGTCTGTGCCTGGGAGAGGGGAGAGAGGGAGCTGCTGGTGTCTGTGTCTTGCCCCCTCCTGCTACAGCTGGGAAGGGAATCAGGTTAGACCCCAGGGTGAGTGCCTGGGGCAGGGGATGCTTTCTGTGGGGAGTCCTCTGAATAGGCCCCCCTGCCCCGCAGTGGGGCCCAAAAGGTGGGCAGTGTCTGTGCAGGGCTTTGCATCTTAGAGCATGTTCCCATATGTGATTTCAAAGGACAGACTATCAGAGCTCCAGGGGTGTGGTGCCATCCAGAGAGAGAAACTGAGGCCTGTGGTAGTGGTGGAGTGGTGACTGACCCAGGGCTTTATGGTAAGTCAGGCTCAGAGGAAGGCTTGGGCCACCAGCCTGCCTCTCATGCATGAGGTGGTGTCATTTAGAAAAGGATAGTCACATCTCTGTGTTTTCATAATGCAAAGAATTGAAAATAAAAATAAAGATGGAAGAAGCCTTCCGGGCTGGGGCAGGGGATGGTGGAGAGGGTGGAATGGGGAGAGAATGAGGGGAAATGGCACTGTGGGGCCATGGGTTAGAGAAGCGAAGGCCCATCAGCAGTACAGTGGACAAATAAACCTGCTGCATCTACACAATGGGACGGCGCACGGCAGAGACAAAGGAGAAGCTGTGTTGGATGCAGCCACCCAAAGGGACCTCAGATTCATGGTGTGTGAAGGAAGCCAAACGCAAGACTATGCACTGGATAATTCCATCTTGAGGAGGTTTAAAAATCTGGCACCATGACTCTTTGGTGATGGAAGCCACAATAGTATTAACCTTGGGGCGAGGGGACACTGACTGGGAGGAGCCATGAGGGAGTCTTCGGGGATGTGGCTCTGTGGGGTGTATGTGTGGAACGTATCGAGTGACACATTTAAAATGAGTGCAGTCTGCTGTGTGTGAGCCATGCCTTCATAATAAATGAAAAAAAGCCAAGGTAGGAGCCATGCGGGGGCTGCAGGTCCCTGGAGCTGGACTCTCCAGCTGCCGTCTGGACTCAGGCCATGGGCCCCACCTGAGTCTGGGATGAACATCCTGTCACCCCACACCTTTCTCTGTCCCTGGGCCCTCCTCCCTCCTCTGGACCCTGAGGGGCTCTTGCCATCCTTTTCCCTGTCCCTGCCTACCTCTCCCCCAGGCTCCTCTACTCCTTCCCCAGGACCCCAGCCTTCTACCCAGGGCTGACTCTGTGCCTCTCCTCCCACAGCCAGAGGATCTGGAGGCCCCCAAGACACACCGCTTCAAGGTGAAGACCTTCAAGAAGGTGAAGCCCTGTGGGATCTGCCGCCAGGTCATCACCCAGGAAGGCTGCACCTGCAAAGGTGAGCAGCGGTCTGGGCTGTGGGGGATGGGAGCACCCATCAGGGGAATGAGATGGCTGGGCCTGGGCCAGGCTGGGACTCTGCTGTGCACACATCCTTGGGGTCCCAACCTGACGCCTTGTTCTCATCTGGTGGAGGATGCTGAGCTCACTGGATGACAAGCATGTGGGTGGGTGTGGTGGGCATGGCAGGTGGAGGGTAGCATGGAAATGGCATGCAGCTTGTATGAGGATGAATGGCATGAAGAAGGTATATGGGTGTCATGCGGGTGGCATGAAGAAGGTATATGAGTGGCATGTGAGTGGCATGTGGAAGATGCATGATTAGTATGTGGTGGCATGTGGAGGTTTTGTTGAGGGTGTGTGGATGGCATGTGGCTGGTGTGTGGATGATGCATGTTGACGATGTGTGGCTGGTGTGTGGATGATGTGTGTTGAGGGTATGTGGCTGGCATGTGGATGGCGTGTGGATGATGTGTTTGAAGGGTGTGTGGCTGGTGTGTGGTGGCATGTGGAGGTTGTGGTCAGGGTGTGTGGCTGGTGTGTGGCCTATGTGTGGATGGTGTGTGGATGATGTGTGTTGAGGGTGTGTGGCTGGTGTGTGGTGGCATGTGGAGGTCGTGGTCAGGGTGTGTTGCTGGTGTGTGGATGGTATGTGGCTGGTGTGTGGATGATGTATGCTGAGGGAGTGTGGCTGGTGTATAGATGGTGTGTGGATGATGCGTGCTGAGGGTGTGTGGATGGTGTGTGGATGATGTGTGCTGAGGATGTGTGGATGGTGTGTGGATGATGTGTTTTGAGGGTCTGTGGCTGGTGTGTGGATGGCGTGTGGATGATGTGTGTTGAGGGTCCGTGGCTGGTGTGTGGATGGCGTGTGGATGATGTGTGCTGAGGGTGTGTGACTGGTGTGTGGATGATGTGTGCTGAGGGTGTGTGGCTGGTGTGTGGATAATGTGTGCTGAGGGTGTGTGGCTGGTGTGTGGATGGCGTGAGGATGATGTGTGCTGAGGGTGTGTGGTTGGTGTGTGGATAGCATGTGGTCTGTATGTAGAAGCTGTGTGGAGGGTTTGTGGCAGGTGCATTGAGGTCACATGGCTGATGTGTTTTGAGGCATGTGGATGGGATGTGGTTGGTGTGTGGGAGTCGTGTGGGTGGCATGTGCTTGGCACTGGGAGTTCTGCAAAGAAAGGACGCCCCAGCCCTCTCCTGTGGCAGCTCAGAGGCAACTTTAAGAGGCCCCGAGTCAGACTCAGCGGAGGACCTGTTGTCTGCCAGGCTTTTCAATCGCTATTTTCATGAGCTCCTGGAATGGCCCGGGGCTTGGCTGTCATTATTGCCTGAAAAGTTGGTGTCTTGTCCCAGATCACACAGTGAAATCAGCAGGAGCTCCCTGCACCCAATATCAGTGGCTGACACCTTCACTCACCCCGTTGCCCCATCTGATGCTTCCCTCTCCTTCACCCCCACGTCCCACCAATTGCAGGGCCTCCCAAGGACAGCTGGAGTCCCCAAGCTTCTTGGCATCATCCCCTCCCAATTCCACTGTCATCATTTCTCATGTGGGTGACTGACTCACCTTTGCCTTCTCCTGTCTCCTGACCTATTCTCTGTGACCCACCGTCCACACCAGCTTCCAGTGGGACTTAAAAACATAAGCCCAATTATGTCAGCTCCTGGCTTAAAGCCTTTGGGGGTCCCTCACAATCCCCAAGACAGAGTACAGACCTCTTTCCCCGGCTGCCAGGCCTGGTGGGCTCAGCCTTTGCCCAGCTCTCTGCCGCATGTTCCTCTGCTCCTGACTCCATGTTCAAACCACTGGCACCTCACATGACTCCTCACTATGTTGGGCATGTCAAATATGCCAAGCAGGCCATGCCCTTTTTGCCCGGAGCCTTTGCTCATGAGTCTTTCTCTCCCTGGCTTCTCTCTCTTGCCCCTCCCTCCATGTCAAAGTCCCAGCAGGCTGGGAGGCTGGGCCTCAGAGCCCACTGAACAATTTCTAAAGCGCTTACTGCATACCAAGCACTCAAAGGCATGACCTCATCTGATGGTCACACCCCCCAAAAGGTGCTTGTGTCATCCCCGTTTTACAGAGGAGGAAACTGAGGTTGGCAGTGGTCACGTCGCTTGTCAAGGCACCCAGGAGTGGGGCCCGAGTGGGGATTTCAGGACGTGGGCTCTCAGGGGGAGGGAAAGTGGCTAACCAGGACTTTTGCAATACCAAAATCAGCCACGCGGTGTCACCCTCCTCCCAAGAGGTCTGGCTGGGGCTTGCGGGCAGTTTAGGGTTGGAGCCAGGGGAGAAGTCACAGAAGAATTGCTAGAGGTGAAGTTTTGCATTTTGTTTGCATAACAGCCCCACACCCTGCCCTGCGAAGATGCATAAATTAGCCCCTGGCCCTTCCCCACGGTTCCTTCCTTCCCTAGTGTCTTCCCGTCACTCCAGGGACTCCCAATATGGTGATACGAGGCAGTCTGGGGGTGGGGGCAGAAGGAAGTCCTGCCAACATTCACTGTGTGACCTTGGGCATTTCTCTGGCTGCAGTCTCCGGTGGCCCTCACATTCCATGGCTCTAGGTTCCCCAGCTGACCTGGCCTGAGGGCTTGGGTTGAGGAGAGGATTTGACCCCATGTGAACAGAAGGCTCCCAGGGTGAGCAAGACATGGCCCTGGTTTCACCTAGATCTCAGCCTGGCCCTGCTGGTGTGAACCGGAGGGGAGGGTGAGTGGACAGACTGGTTTGGCAGCTCTGGCTGGGCTCTGGAGGGTGGGGAGTTTGGTGGGAAGAAAGCCAGGGCTACACTGTAGCAGGACCAGCAGGTGTCAGGACTGGGACATGGAAGGTGCAGGGGCCAGGCCCAGATAGGGAGAAGGGAGGAAGACTCCTGACTCTATAGGTCATGTGTGCAGCCTCAGCAAAGGGACTGGGATCTCCAGGCCTGGGAGGAGGCTGGGGCTACTGGGTTCACTGGTGGGAGATGCAGGAGTGAAGCCACTGTCTGTGCTTTGGAGTCAGGAGCTCATGATGGCATGAGGTTGATAGTTCCCCTCATCCATCCATTCACCCACCCAACCAGGGCCACCCGATATGGTTGTATGGGTTTTTCCCTGGCTGAGGGGGCATGTGTGGACCAAACTCCAGCTCATGTCTGTTCACTGAGCCTGACTCAGTGGGTTTACTCTGCTCCCAGCCTTCAAGTCTTGGCTACAACATGGCAACTCTCTTGATGAGTGGCTCTGGGTGATAGGTGGGGTGGGGCGCATGGAATGTCAAGGCCCTGGATTCCCAGTCTCCATGGGACTTGCAACATTGAAGAAAGTTCTGCTGGAGGCAGGGGGCAGTGAGGAAGCTCTTTTAGATCTGGAGACACTGGGGCGTTTGGCCTGTCTCCCCTTGGTTGCCTGGACCTATAGCTTGGGCCGCCCTTCCGTTTTCCTCCCTCTTGCATTTCCCATTTGATGTAATATGGCCAAAAGAGGTGGGAAAGAGAGGAAAGGAACCTGGGGTCTGGTCCTGGTTTTGGAAGACTCAAAGATGAATAAGGCAGATAGGAAACTAAGAGGGTGGACATGCGGGCGTCATAGATGTACAGGCAAAGGGGTTCCTCCGGACCTGTGAACTCCTGTGAACTCCTGCATATGAACCCTGTCCTGGGTCTCTGGGGGGCTGCTGTGAGGAGCATTGAGGTTCTGTGTGCCTGTAAGATGGGTCCTCATGCTAGGGATGAAGGCTCTGTGTGAAAGATGCAGAGACAGATGAGACAATGGCAGGAGAACAGGTGCAGGGGCGTTGTTAGTGGCCCAGGCTCTACTTCTGGCCCTGCTTCTCACAACCTCTGTGATCTTGGATAAATCAATTAATAACTCAGGCCTCAGTTTCCTCATCTATGATTAACAGGGCTGGACCAAGAATACTTGCTGAGGCCCTGACAGTGGGGAGGGCCTGGAAAACTCCCTGGTTGGAGTCTGCAGAGGTAGGATAGCTTCCCCCACGCAGGCTGCTGCTCACCTCCTCCGCGCTGCGTGCAGCCATCTGGCAATCATGAACTGAGCTGTCCTCTGGGTCAGATGCTGTGCCAGGTCCTGGTGCTGAGAGCCAGCCCCTTACCTGGGAAGACAGACACAGTCAGACAATCATGGAGCACGGTACCAAAGCTGACACAGGTACGTGCGTGCGTGCGTGTGTGTGTGTGTGTGTGTGTGTGTGTGTGTATGTGGAGGGCCGTTTCTGACTCAGTAGAGATGTTCTTGTCAGGCTTCAGCAGGGAAGGCATGTGCAGGTTGGGTCTTGAGGGATGTGTAGGAGTTCCTCAGTCCAAATAGTCGGCTTCCCACAGGTCTCTAGGGAAGTGCTCTATGGGAGTCCATGTGCACAGGAGGCCCCAGAGGGAGGCTATGTGGACTCAGAGCTTTGCTCAAGGGCTCTACCTCCCACCAGGCCGAAACCCACAGGAAGATACCAGGATGGCAGCTCAGCAGCCCGAGGGCTGCCATCAGGGCCTGATCTGGGGCCCAGACTTGGATAAAACTTCACTTCTCAATGCCTCTGGTGAGCCTGGAATGGGGGACAGTCACCTGCAGTTTCCTTAGGGCAGGATGCACCTGGAAAGACGATCCGTCCTTTAACAGGACAAGCCTGTGCAGAAGCCGGCACCCACTGGATTTGGGGAAACCTTGTTTCTAGGAACTCTTTCCCCCTGTTACTTCACTGGGGAACCTAGCTTCTGCCCTGTGTCTGAGGGCCTCCTTGGAGCCACCAGAGGTAGCCTGGTAGGGTGGGAAGACCCTGGGTTTCTAGCCCTAGCTTGCTATTAATACAACCTGGCTGTGTGACCCCAGGTGAGATGCTTAACCTCTCTGGGTCTGGCTTTCCCTTTTCCCTAAATGAGGAGGTGGGATTATTTAATGAGATTAGAGGCTCTAAACTGTGTTCTGAAGGAGCTGTAAGGTTTTTGGAGGAGCTTTAGGGGCCAAAGAGGGTAAGAAAGAGATGAATCCAAGGGAATCTTAAGGGGTCAGGGCTCTGGGACCCCTGCCCACCTCAGTCAGAGGAGCTGTGGTTTTAGGAGTTAAATCCATCAGGAGGCAGGATCCTGTGGTGATCCCGTCCTTGACTTAGATGTTCTGATTCAAATCCCCACTCTGACCCTTACTAGTAAGAACTTGGGCTGATTGCTTCCCCCTCTAAGCCTCAGTTTCCTTAATTTTAAGATGGGACAAAAGCCGGGCACAGTGGCTCCCGTCTGTAATCCCAGCACTTCGGGAGGCTGAGGTGGGCGGATCATCTGAGGTTGGGAATTTGAGACCAGCCTGACCAACATGGAGAAACCCCATCTCTACTAAAAAAGAATACCAAATTACCCGGGCATGGTGGTGCGTGCCTGTAATCCCAGCTACTTGGGAGGCTGAGGCAGGAGAATTGCTTGAACCTGGGAGGCGGAGGTTGTGGTGAGCCGAGATTGCGCCATTGCACTCCAGCCTGGGCAACAAGAGTGAAACTCCATCTCAAAAAAAATAAAATAAAATAAATAAATAAAAAATAAATGGGACAAACAGCAGTACCTCCCTCATCAGGTACTGTGGGATTAAATGAGATTATATATATATATGCTGGGCTCCAAACAGAGCCTGATATATAGCAAGCATTCAGTGAATCTTAACCAGCATCATTGTGATTCCACACAGGAGCCCATCTGCTTGAGGAATTTAGCTGTAAAAATAAAAGTTTGAACACTACTGGATGGGATGATCTAGAACAGGGTGTCCAATCTTTTGGCTTCCCTGTGGCACCTTGGGAAAAGAAGAATTGTCTTGGGTCACACATAAAGTACACTAACACTAACCATAGCTGATGAGCTAAAAAAAAAAAAAAAAATCTCATAATGGTGCCAGGTGTGGTGGCTCACTCCTGTAATCCCAGCAGTTTGGGAGGCCGAGGTAGGCAGATCATGAGGTCAGGAGTTTGAGACCAGCCTTGCCAACATGGTGAAACCCGTTCTCTACTTAGAGATACAAAAAACTTAGCCGGGTATGGTGGCGAGCACCTGTAATTCCAGCTACTCGGGAGGCTGAGGCAGGAGAATTTCTTGAACCCGGGAGGTGGAGGTTGCAGTGAGCCGAGAACATGCCAATGCACTCCAGCCTGGGTGACAGAGCAAGACTCTGTCTTGGGGGGAAAAAAAAAAAAAAAAAGAGGCTGAGGTGGGAGGACCACTTGAGCCCAGGAGTTCGATACCAGCCTGGGCAACATAGCAGGACCCCATCTTTACACAAAATAAAAAAATAAAATAGCTGGGTGTGGTGGTGCACACCTGTAGTCCCAGATACTCCAGAGGCTGAGGTGGGAGGATCACTTGAGCCTGGGGAGGTCGAGGCTGCAGTGAGCTATGAGCACACGACTGCACTCCAGCTTGAGTGACAGATGGAGACCCTGTCTCAGAAAGAAAGACTAAAAATAAGAAAGAAAGAGTTGGGTGCATATAAGAAACCATCTTATGTGCCCCCCTGCCTTGCAAAAAAAAAAACTCATAATATTTTAAGAAATTTACGAATTTGTGTTGGGCCGCATTCAAAGCCATCCTGAGCCACATGTGGCCTGCAGCCTGCAGGTTGGACAAGCTTGATCTGGAAGGTTTCTTCCTGTTCTTACTTCAGAGCCACACCATGTCCCCCGACCATCCCCTGAGACACCTTGTATCAGTCAAGGTTCTCTGCAGAAACAGAACCAACAGGATGTGTGTAGAAAAAAAGAGATTTATTTAAGGAATTGTCTCACGTGATTGTAGAGCTGTGGCAGGTTCAAAATCTGCAGGGTAGGTTGGCAGGTGGGGTACCCCTGCCTGTTGTAGCTCGAGTCCAGAGCCGTGTGCTGGCAGAATTCCTTCTTGCTTGGGGAGGTTGGTTTTCTTTATTAAGGCCTTCAACTGATTGGATGAGGCCCACCTAAATTATGGAGGGTCATGTGCTTTATTCATAGTTTACTGATTTAAATGTGAATCTCATCTAAAAAATAAAACCAACCGACTTTCTCAGAAACATCCAGAATAGTGTTTCACCGAATATCTAGGTACCGTGGCCTAGACAAGTTGATTCATTAAATTAACCACTGCATACCTCCAGCCCAGGTCCTGGAGATGAACTGGCAGGGCAGGGTGAGTGGCCGGTGAGCAGGCAGGTGGCCAGGCCTGTGCCTCTGTGCCGGCCATGGAAGGAGCTGAAGCCGGACCGGGCATGCGAGTGGTTATCGCCGGGGTCAGGTGCACACTGAGGCTATGTGCTCATTTTCCGACCCAAGTCCAGGAGGAAAAGGCCATTTAGATCCCAACAATGTTGGCTTCCTGTGTTCCCGAGAGGCAGGAAGCAACCCCAGGACAGAGTACCGGCAGCCCAGCTGGGGTGGGAGCTGGGGCCAAGGGCTGGGGGTGCAGTTCTTCACCCCAGCAGAGTAATCTAAGGGTCCCTTCCCACTAAGGGGCTCTCTGCTCCCTCTCAGGCCACCACTGGGCCCTGCTGTGCAGGGGCAGTGCTGACATCGTGGGCAGAGATAGGGCTCCTGGGGCTCCATGGAGCTCCGGTTGGACAGGGTCACTGGCTCAGGAGGGTGCATACGTGGGTTTGTAATTTCGGGGCCTTCTGTAGTAGCTGGGAGGCCATGATCTGCTCAGGTAGGGCCCATCCTGACATGTGTATCTGGGGGAGGACTCAGGAGAAGAGAAGGCTGGGGTTTTCCTGCTCTTGTTTCTCCCTGCATGTCCCCATCCTTCTGATGAGAAATGGTACCTATGGAGTGAGCATCCCTGTCACTCACAGACTGGTCCCTTGTCACTCACAGACTGGTCCCTGTCACTCACAGACTGGCTGTCTCCCCAGCAGTGTCTGATGTTCCCAGGGTTGGAACCTGGGTTTTTCCCCTTTCTCAGTTGAAGGGAGGAAGGGGTGGGTGGCATTGGTGGTGGGGGGTGTCTTAGTCGGGCTGTTACAGAATACCTTAGCCTCTTAAGAGTTACTTTCTGGGACACAATGACTAATTACTTGGTAGGGTAAGGGAAGTGAGGAAGGAGTTAAAGCGAGAGTTTGCAGGCACCAAGCAGCAAGGTAGGACCCAGGAGATGGCCTCTGGCCTTGGTTCCCAGCATCTGCTACCTTTGGCTTTTGCATTCTGATGGGTCTTGTGTTCTGGTATCAGTGATCTAGTACTGCATAAAAAATTACCCGTAAACTTAGTGGTTTAAAATAAATACAGGCTGGGTCCATGGTTCACTCCTGTAATCCTAGCACTTTTGGAAACCCAGGCAGGAGGATTGCTTGAGCTCAGGAGTTCGAGACCAGCCTGGGCAAATGGCAAAACCCTCTCTCTACAAAAAATGCAAGAATTAGCAGGGCATGGTGGCACATGCTTGTAGTCCCAGCTGCTTGGGAGGCTGAAGTGGGAGGATCGCTTGAGCCTGGTAGATGGAGATTGCAGTGAACTGAGATTGTGCCACTGCACTCCAGCCTGGGTGACAGAGCAGAGCAAGACCATGTCTAAAAAAAAAAAAAAAAAGAAAAGAAGAAAAGAAAAAAAATCAAAATTAGTATTCCACATGGTTTCCATGGCTCAGGAATTCATGAGTGACTTGGCTGGGTGGTTCTGGCTCAGAGTGTCTTATAAAGGTGCAGTGAAGATGTCACTGGGGCCGTATTCATCTGAAAGCCTGACTGGGGCTGGAGGATCCAGTTCCCACATGGCTCAGGTAATGCTGTCAAGCTGGGGCTGGCTATTGGCAGGAGGCCTCAGCCCCTCACCACATGGCCCTCTCCATAGGGCTGCTTGAGTGTTTTCACGACATGGTCACTGGCTTCCCCCAGAGCAAGTGATCCAAGAGACCAAGGCTGAAGTCAAAGTGTCTTTTATGGTTTAGCCTCAGAAGTCACACACTGTCATTTCTACAATATCTGACTGATTACATAAATCAGCCCTATTTAGTGTGGGAGGGGACTCCAGAAGGGCATGATGAGTAGCAGAGGCAAGAAATATTGGCAGCTACCTGCAAGGCTGGTTGCCACAGTTTCCCATTCTGTAACACATCTGAATATTTCATCGATCTGAAAGTGAGAGGCCAGCAGATTGACAGGCCCAAACTTGAGATTACAGCAAGACGGATGCACGTTAGAGAGGAGGACATACTGCCCCTTGGGAGGATATGTGAGACAGGTGGATAGGCACGCAAAGAGGGCTTCCCTGGAGGAAACTCAGCAAGCGGGCCTCCTTGGGGTTGGAGGCGGTTGCTTCTGCAGGTGTCAATATCCATTCATGGGGGCTTGGCCAAGCCTGTCCTGCTTGGCATCTGCCACTTGCTTTCAGTTTGCTAAGCTTTTGTCTTCTGGGCTGGGAGCTGGGGTGGGAGTGGTCTTCCCTCGTTCCCCTCTGTAGAGCTGCCAAGGACAAGCTTTCTGCATTCCAGTGTACAGGAAGCACTCAGCATAGCGTATTGCAATTACCTGATGATTTCTCCATTTGCCCCCCCACTTGAGGGCATTTGCTGAGTGTGTGCCCACTGTGTGACAGGCAGGGCTGCCCTGTACAGTCAGGCAGGCCATGCACTGCCAAGGGTGCCTACCCGAGAGAGCACAGGAGTCAGCCCACCCTTTGCCTACCAAGCCATGCATTTTGGCACAGGGCTGATCTGCCTGGAGAAAGGGCACCTTCTCACCATTTCCACAAAGACACTGTGCATGAGCCCAGCTGTGTGTCCCTGGGGCTGGTCTGCCCAGGGGATGGGCCTCCTTCTAGTTTGCACAAAGATGCTGTATGGTCTCATGGGCCTGAAGCAGACACTGTCCTAGCTGCTGGGGCTACAGTGCAAAGGAGACAGGCATGCTCCTTGCCCTCTGAGTGTAGTGTGGGGAGATAGATTAGAGAGAAGTTACCCAGGGCAACTTCAGAAAATAACCAGGAAATAACCGGTGTGCTGAAAAGGAATAATTGGAAAGCTACTCTAATTTGAGTGGTCAGGGGAGGCCTCTTTGAGGAGATGACTTTGGGTGGATTCCCAAAGGATAAGAGGGATTTGGTCCAGGGAACGATGGGGTGCTGGGGTGAGGGGGAGTGTACCAGGCAGCTGACACAGCAAGTGCCAAGGCCCTGAGGCACTCTGGGAACTGGCAGAGCAGGGAGCATGCTGGAGGGAGGTGGAGTCCCGGCCCCCATTGTGTCCCTCATGTCTAGACTGGGGTGGATGCTTAGAGATGCCTTTTTGGTTGAACATGAGATGTTGAGGTGGCGGTCTACAGCTCAGGAACGATCTGAGAGTCGGGGGGACATGACTAAATTGGGGTGCGCATAAACCACAGGGGATATCTTCAGACAGGTCCAACTCAGCAAACGTTTATTAAGCCTCTCCTGTGTACCAGGCTCCTCTCTCTCTCTCTCTCTCTCTCTCTCTCTCTCTCTCTCTGTGTGTGTGTAGGAGAGAGAGAGAGGCAGGTCCCCCTGGAAGGAGCCCACACTGTTGGACCAACAAAGGGGACGTTTCCTCTATTTGGATGGGGTGGGGCAAGGGAGGCTGCTGGTGTCCAAGAGGGAACACCTTTGCGAAGTGAGGGAGTTGCTACCCGGGCTGGTGGTGGTGCTGAGGGAGAGGGAGAAGCAGAAAGACCAGAGTGATGGGTAACGCTTGTGTGGCTGAGTGGGGAGTATGTCCTGCTGTGGCCAGGGTGGAGATGTCCCTGAGCTAGGCTGGGTGGCTGGTGGGGTCAGGAAAACCTTGCTCAGCACCGGTGAGTCACAGGCCTGGGCTGGGCCAGGACTAGGTTCTGAGAGAAGAAGATCCCATGTTAGGGCCAGTGGCCAAGGTCCCTTTCCAGGCACCACCCAGTGTGCTTCCCAGCTTCTCCCCCTTCCCCATGCCCAGCCCCTTCTGCCTCAGACAAATCAGAAGAAGCCTTAGTGTGGGGAACCCCGGAGCCTCCCTGGGCTGCTCCGGGCATTCATCTGTGCCTCAACCTCCCTTTCTGCAGTCTGCTGAGAATCAGGTTGGTTCAAAGCTGGAAGGGGGTGGGGTGCAATAGATCCAGGAGAAGGAGGTGGATGGCTGTGGTCCTGGGCTGTGGCTGTTGAGGATTTGGAGTCAGGGCACTCCCCTATCTCCCCCTCCCCAGTTCTCTAACCAGAGTTCCTAACCCCCCAGCCTTAGCAGGTCCTGGGCAGCCAACAAGACCCAAAGCAGTGCAAAACCCAACTCGGGAGACCCCTCGCCCACCCATGAGATCTGCAGGGAGGTCACCAAATCCCTTGGTGGAGTCCCAGAGCCCTGGGGGGTGGGGCGGCAGGGCTGGGGACATTCCAGGCTTCGGGAACCTTATAGGAAATTTGATTCCAGCTTCTGGTAATGGGAGGAAGAGCAAGTCCTGTGTGTGTGTGTGTGTGTGTGTGTCTGTGTGTTTCAAGTCATGCACATGAAGTTTATGTGAGCATCTGTTCACGTGTCTGTGTCCACAAATCTGTGTCAGGCTGCAACTGATGGTGTCCCACAAAATTGTGTGTGTTGGTGCCCTGAGTCAGGGCTCTTCCTGGATGAATCTGTGTGTGTGAGACTGTGTGTGTGTGCGTGGATGGCTGTGTGGATGGGTGGGAGTGGTTCTGGGTGAGTGTGTGGGTGTGGGTGTAATGTGTATATGCGTGGGCCCGCTCCTGGACTCTGAATTGTGTCTGTGTGTCTGTCTCTGGGGCAGAGTAAGTGTGATTGTGGTTTGCGATGTCGTCTGCCTGCCTGGTGTGTGTGTAAGGGGAGAAGGCCCCCCTTATTCCTTGGTGGGGCTGGCGTGGGGCCCGGGTCCGGGCTACCTCTGCCCCTGGCAGGGGTCCAGTGGGGGACCCCCCCCTTTGCTCCCCCCACCTTCCCGCACCCGGAGGGGCTCTGGCTCTGGGAGCCCCCTGCCTCCCCGGCCGCGGGTCCTCAGTCCCGGGCACTCCCGCCCCGCAGGCCCGGCAGCCGCTCCCCTCCGTCCCCTCCCTCTCTCCCTCTCTCCTTCCCTCCGTCCCTCCTTCCCTCCTTCCTTCCCGAGCGCGGATTGCGGGCTGGGGTGGGAGGAGATTTCGCGGAGTTTCCATTTCATACCTCGCGGCTAAAACTTTCTTTCTGTGTCTCGCCCTCTTGCAGTCTGCAGCTTCTCCTGTCATCGGAAATGCCAGGCCAAGGTAAGGGGCCGCGGGCTGGCGGGCCCGGGAGGACTTGGGACAGGCCTGGCTCGGGGTCCCAGATTGGAGCGGGGGCGCCGGCGGGGCGGGGGCGGTGCCCGGGGCGTCCCTCCTCCTCTCTTTGTTTATGCAAAGCGCCTGGGCCTGGGAGCGGGCGCAGGTCAAGGTGAAGGCGAAGGCCCGGGGGCGGGGGCAGGGGCGGGCTGGGGAATCGGGGGATCTGGGTGGGGGGCGCGGAGCGCAATCTGGGCGGTTACCGGGGGTGGCTGATGGGGACCGAGCTCCCAGAGAGCGGCCTTTGAAGGTGTTTCTGCTAGTTCTCAAGGGGGAGAGGGAAAGGGGGAGGGGATCCATTTCAATTACCCCGGGCCGCGCACAACCCCAGTTGGCTCAATTTGGCCAACCTAGAAAACCTCAGTGTCCACAGCCACAGGACCCCGAGGGCAGGAGAAGCGGGTGGGTGGGATAAATGGAGAATGAGGTCGGAGGTCAGGATTGGCTGGTCTGGAACCGCCTGAGAGACTGTCCCTTCCTCTTTATTGGCCAGGTCTTCTTTTGGTCCTCAATTTCCCCATGAGTATTTTCTGGCTGGTCTTGATGGGAAAGGGAAACTGAGGCAAGAAGACTGGAGGGATTGCTGGGCCCTGGTTGGCCAGGCTGGCTCAGCCCCTGATGTATCCACTGAGGTTTGGACACAGGAGTCATATATCAGCTTCTTGGAGTAACAGGGGGTGGGGGATTGGCACCAAGATGGATTATGAGTTTGGGAAGGAAATGGTTCTGTCCAATGGGCTCAGCTCTGCCTAGGGGTGGAAATGGCGTTCCTTGCCTTTCACTTGCAGCCAATGTCTGCACCTTCTGCCATTGTTGCTTGTAACCCTCCCTGCCCTTTCACTCCCTACGTTTGCTCTTCATATTTGACCTTTCAAGGAGTTCAGGGAGTAGAAGGAGAAGATGCTTCCAGAAGGAGCATTCATTGAGCAGTTGAGGACCTGTATCTGGTACATCTCATGTTTTGCTTCTTATTAGCTGGGTGGCCTTGGGCAAGTTATGTACCTCTCTGAGTTTCTGTTTCATTCTCAAGGATATGGGAATAAGAAGCCTACCTCATAAAGTTGTTGTGAGAATTCAATGAGGTAATGTATGTGAAGTGCCCAGCCCAGTGCCTGGCACAGGGTGGGTGCTCAAAAATGTCATGACTGATGCTCAGCTACTGGGAGCTTAGAGGGACAAGTGTTACCTTGGGGAAGGGGTGCTGACGGATCAAGCAGGTCTGGGAAGAATCTTCCTCCAAAGAAACTTTACTAAAGCCGAGCACACACCTTGCTGGAGGGCGTCTCCATCTGTAGACTCCAGCTTGGAATGCTCCCCTTGCAGAGATGCAGAGGGCCTGGCTTGCAGCAGGTACCTCCATGCAGTGGGTTTTCTGCCCCTTCCCTTGTCTTCTCCTTTCCTGCGGCCTCTCTCAGCCTTTCCTCCCCTGGATGGAGAGTACGTTTCTGCTTCTCCTTCCACCTCCCTCCTTGTTCTGTTTATCCAGAGCAGAGTTTTTTGCCTTAAACTCCAGAACTTTCCAGTTTTCTTGCTCCTCCCCAGTCTACCCCTTCGTACTGCCCTTCCTGCAACCTTTTCTTTTAATAGCAATGGACATTTGTACAGTGCTTTGGGTCTTAGACAGCATTTCACATGCATTATCAGACTTTGTTCTTTTAATTCCTTTAGAGCATAAAACATTGGCCAAAAGATTCTGTTGTTTTACAGATGAGGAAACTGAGGCGCCCCACGTTGAGTGACTTCCCCAAGGTGTCCCGGTGTAATTCTTCACCTGCTCTCTGTCCCTGGGCCTTTGTGCTTCCTTCTCCTTGTCTCTCACTGCCTACTGGCATGCATTTCTCCATCCTTGCCTGCCATTCTTCCTTTTGCTTTCCATCTCTTGACAGCAGCAGGATATATTTAGGAAGGATAAGGGGATAAACTTCCGGGCAGTGAAGGGTCTGATTGGGGGAGATGGGTGGCCCAGAGAGGCCCAGAAAGATATGACAGATGGCCCCTTGTCATGCAGTAGCCTTGTGCATGGGAACAGGCAAATGGCAAAGATGACTTTTTGGGGGCATAGCCTACCTGAGGAGTCTCTCACGTGTGCTGGGGGCTCAGAATGCACCAGGCTGCCGCAGTGCTGCTCTGCCCTGCCCAAGGAGGCCAACTAAGTGGGGGAGAGGGTAGACTGGCAGGGCAGCAACCAGGCAGACAGATGGGCTTTGTATAGGAGTTTCCTCTATAGGGAATGGGACCCACTGGTGGTGAGCGCTCCACCCAGCTGGTGGGTCTTTCTCTGAAACCAGAGCTCTTACTGCCGCCCTGCCTTTTCCTCCTGCTGGGAAGGGCAGCGGGAGCCACAGAGCCACAGCAGAGCTCTATACTGTGGATTTTATAGCCTCGTCAACCTTGAGGTCATCTTGTCCATCCCCTGCTTCTAGGCAGGATTCATTAGTAATCTCCTTCCACGGGCCAAATGCTGTTCTAAGTGAACAGATAGAGAAGGTCTTGGCCCTCATGGGTCTTGCAATCTAATAGGGGAGACAGGCACTAAATAGGCAAACAAGTTTTGAAGGGAATGAGCTGGAGCAATGGGTTAGAGAATTCTGCTAAGGTAGCCCAGAAAGACTCCTTGGAGGAAGAGTCATGTGAGGTGGGACCCAGATGATGATGTGGGGGAGGAGAAAGAGCAGGTGCAAAGGCCCTGAGGTGAGAGGAACTTGTTACGCTTGAAAGAGGGCTGGAGAGTAGTGAGTGCTGGGGAGTTTGGGCTGGAGGGACGCGATTGGATTTCCACTCTGAGAAGGCCACTCTGGCCTTGAGCAGGCACCAGGGTGGGAGTAGGGACATGGGCCAAGAGGCTGCTGATGTTGCCCACTCGAGAGAGCCTGGTGGCTTAGTCCATGGTGCTAGCCAGAAAAGCAGTGAGGAGGGGCTGGGTCTGGGATGCCTTCTGAGGGAGAGCTGGAGCCTCGCTGAGCCATCGGATTTTGGGTGTGAGAGCAGGAGTGGGCTTAAAGATGACTCCCAGATTTTGGCCAGAGTAATTGGGTGCACATGGTTTCACTTACTGAGATAGACGAGGTATGCGAGAAATTTCTAGGAAAGATGGCTCCAGGGTTTCAGCTTTGCTTGGTCTCCTTTTCACAGTCCCCCCATGCACTTGGGGTTTCTTGCTGATGTTGGTCCTCTCCTATTCAGCCTGCTGTAGTCACTCCTCTGGTAAGTGGCTGGTTCCTAATGCCTTCACACGCCACCCTCACTGTTCCTGCAGCACGAAGCGATAGTTCTGACAGGGGCTGTGTTATGTATACAGAGTGATATGGTGTAATAAATGGCCCCCAGATTTAGTAGCTTAAAATAGCTTCAAACACTTATTATCTCATAATAATAAATGTTTTGGGGGGTCAGGATGTTGGGGGTGGCTTAGCTGACTGGTTCTGGCTAGGGGTCTCTCATGGGGTTGCAGCTGAGATGTTGGCTGGGGCTGCAGTCTTCTCAAGGCCTGACTGGGGCTGGAGGATCATTTTCCAAGGTGGTTCTGTCATGTGGCTATCAAGTTGGGGTTGGCTGTTGCCAGGTAGCCTCAGTTTCTCACCACACGGACCTCTCCATAGGGCTGCTTGAGTGTCCTTACAACATGGTGGCTGGTTTCCCAAGAGTGAATGAATGATTCAAGAGAGAGCAAGGCAGAACCCACAATGTCTTTTATACACTATCCTTGGAAGACACACTGTTATTTCTACAATATCCTATTGGTTACATAGGTCAGCCTTATTCAGTGTGGAAAGAATCTACATAAGGGCTTGAATACCATGAGGCAAGAATCAGTGGGGGCCATCTTGGAGGGTGACACTACAGATGCCCAGAGACAGGGCAATGCTGACCTGGCAGCTAGGAGGCCGTGGGTGTGTTGGGAAGGGCAGGGTACGGGAATCAGACATACTTGGGTTTGAACTCTACCCCTGCTGCCTTCTAGATATGTAAGCTGGGTTGCAGAGGATTAAATGCACATTGGCATATAGTAGGCACCTTTCTCCTTTCTTGGAACGATAGTCAAAGCCTGGAAAGGATCCCAGATATTCTGTGCCCAGCTCTCTGCCACTTGGACGTGCTTGAGAGAAAATGTTCCTGCTGGTAGAGGTAGAGCCTCGGTGCCGGCTCATAGTCAATGTTATCTATGTGTTGATTGCCCATCGGAAGGTTGAGAGCTAGGTTCCACCCCAGCTTCCCGAATAGTACCTAGTCCATAGTAGGAGTGCCTATAAAGGGATAAAAGGATAGAATAAAGGAATTTTGAGAAACAAGTCTTCCTTTCTGGGGAGAGGCTGAGGGGATGGAGGAAAGCAGGAAAGAAGTAGCAGCAAAATCACTTTAAATACCCCTCCCAAAAACCTTCCTATCTTCTGACACAGAGGGTGCTGCAAATAATAATTCTAATCATATTCCTTTTTCTAATTGGGGTATAATTCACACTCTCAATTATACAAAACTCAAACGTACATCCTGATAGATTTGTACATACATGAGAACCAGATCATGATCTAGAACATTCCCAGCACCCAAAAAGCAACCCTTATGTTCCTTCAAGTCAATATACCCCAAAGGTAATTGCTATCTTTATCTGTATCATCAGAGATTAGTTTTGCCTGTTCTTGAATGTTCATCGAAATGGAATCACACAGTATGTTTGCTTTTGTATCCGGCGTATTTCACTCAGCATTATGTCTGGGAGGCTCATCGTGTTCTTGCGGATTGCAGGAGCTCATTCTTTTTAATTGCTATGTTGTATTCCATTACGTGAAGAAACCACAATGTATTTATCCATTCCACTGTTGATTGCCATTTGGGTTCTTTCCCGTTTGGGACTGTTAGGAGCAGACCTGCTATGAACCCTTAGTCACCTCTGTCTACACAGAACTTTGTAATCTACAACATGTTTTCCCTCGTCTTTGCAGTTCTGTGAGGTGGGCAGGGCTCACGGTGGCCCCATTGTACAGATCCAACATCCAGGCCCCATGACGGTGCCCAACTTGGCTAATGGCACCTTGGCATAGGGGCCTTCGATGTGATTCTGGTCTGCTCTGGGTTAAATGGGCAGGGAGCAGGTGAGGAGAGAGAACAAGCGTGAAAGCATCAGACACTGGAGAGAGGGGCCTGGGTCAGAGCCAGGAATCTTACTGTAGTTCATGGAAACCCCATTCTACATCTCCTGAAGGAAGCAAATTCCCAGTCTCCTTAATTCCCACCCTTACCCCTCATTGGGGTCCTTATCTGTCCCCAGTTGTTTCTCTCCTGTTGAGGATTTAAAATGAATGGCCCAGGACTTGTCTTCCAATTTTTTTTTTTTTTTTTTTTTTTCAGAGACAGGATCTCACTCTGTTGCCCAGGGCAGAGTGCAGTGGTGTGGTCACGATTCACTGCAGCCTCAGTTTCATGGGCTCAAGCCATCCTCAATCCTCCCACCTCAGCCTTCCGAGTCCGAGCTGGGACTGCAGTGTGCGCCACCACACCTGGCTAATTTTCTTTTTACTTTTTGTAGAGACAGGGTCTCGCCATGTTGCTCAGGCTGGTCTTGAACTCCTGGGCTCAAGTGATCTGGCCGCCTTGACTTCCCAAAGTGCTGAGATTACAGGCATGAGCCACCACACCCTGCCTGCCTTCCACTTTTATGTTAGCACATGTGCTGTGTGTATACAGCAGCTTTTCTTCCTTTTTGCTTTTCTCTTCTGTCCCCTGCTATATGACTCCATAACTTTCAAATAACTTTTATTTATGTATTTATTATTTTAAGTAAAACTTTTAATTTTAGAATAGTCTTAGGTTTACAGAAAAGTTGCAAAGGATAGTACAGAAAGTTCCTGTGTGGCAAGCACCCAGTTTCCCCTAGCCCCTGGATACATTTTGAAAAATGCTTTCCTCCCTGCTGATCCTCACTCCTTGTTTTGAAATAGCAGTTTCAGTTGACAACAGCAGCCTGTTCCAGCCAAATACTCTTTGTCTGCTGCAGGTCAGACAAGAGTTCAGTGAAAGGACCAGGCAGCTGCTGGGCAGGCAGATGGCCCAGGCTTCAGCCTCTTGGGTGGCTCTTTCTTATCCACTGGCTTCCTTCCTTAGCTCTCTGTTACCTCTTTCCAGTCCCAAGTACCAACTGAGGCGGAGGGAGGAGGCTGCAGCAACAGCTTGGTCTCCTCCCCTGTACCAAAAGGGCTTAAATCTCATCCTTTAAGCTTGAAAGGAAAGGAAATCCCATAATTAACCCCCACCTTTCAGTCTCATTGCAGATTACCTTTCCTGCTAGTCTTGTAAACACACCTGCAGCCTTCTTTTACAGTTGGGTTGGAGGCTTGTATTCTCCTGCTACCAGAAATACCTGAGTGGGAGGAGGTTCATGGCCCCAGGACCATCGATGGCTCTGAGCCTAGTGGAGTGTTTAAGCTCTTGGACTTTGGAGACAGACTTAAGTTTAAATCCCTGCTGCATCAATAACTGGCTGTGTGATCTTGGGCAAGTTACTGAACCTCTCTGAGCCCCAGCTTCTTCATCTGTAACATGGTGATTCTAGTAGTACTTATCTTGTAGAGCTCTTGTGAGGGCTGGGAATGGTAACCCTACTAAAATGCTAAGCTCAAAACTCAGTTGTTAAAAAGTTGCTAATATGTACTTATTATTTTGTATTCTTCTGGCCTTCTCCTACTTCCTGTAAGGTGGAGAGAATCTGAGAGATCAACAAAGCTTTCTGAGGGCAGTGGTGTGAAGACTGGATAGACACTGCTTTTGTTTTTCCTTCTTTTCTCTCTCTCTATTATCAAGGAAGAGTGAGGAAATTCTATAGGCAAATATGATATGTCTTTCGCTTGTTTGCCTGCTGAATGGCCCCTGAGATCTCTAGCAGTGGTTTGAAGTCTTGTCTGCACATTAGAATCACCTTGGTGCTTTAAGAAAACCGATGTCTGTATTCTACTCCCTGGAGGTTCTGATTTAATTAGTTTTGGCTACGACCTGACCTGGGCATTGGGATTTTTAAAAGTGGTAACCAGTGGTGGGAATGTAAAATGGTACAGCTGCTCTAGAAACAGTTTGGCCATTTCTTATAAAATCCAACATACACTTGCTGTATGACCCAGAAATTCCACTCCAAGATATTTATCCGAGAGAAGTAAACACATGTCTGTAAAAAGACGACTTGTTCACAAATATTCATAGCAGCTTTATTTCCAATAGCCCCAAACTGGAACGAACCTTTATATTCAATGACAGGTAAATGGATAAAGAAATTGCAATGTCATAGTACAGTGGGATACTACACTGCAATAAAAAGGAATGATCTATGCGCAACAGTGTGGATGAACCTCTAAAACGTCATGCTGAGTGAAAGAAGCCAGACACAAAAAGGGCACATACTGGGTGATTCCCTTTTAATGCAATTTGGAAAAGACAAATCGCTAGTGACAGAGCAGATTAGTAGTTACCTGGAGTTGGGAGTGGTGGGGAGATTGGCTGCAAAGGTGTGTGAAGGAACTTCCTTGGGGGATGGAATTGTTCTCTATCTGGATTGTGGTAATTATGCATGCACCTGTCAAAACCCGTTGAACTCTATTCCTAAAAGGGATGCATTTTGTTGTATGTAAATTATATCTTAATAAAATTTATTTTAATAACATTTCCCATGTGCACTTCCTTTGCAGCCACATTTGAGAACCATTGGTCTATGGCTTCTGGAGACCAAGCTCTGTCTTCTTGGCCAGTGCTAGCACAATCCCATGTATTTAATAGCGCTTCCTGGGGTTGAGGGCTTTCTTTCCTGGTTTTTTTTTTTAACAACTTTATTGAGGTATAACTAATTCACATACCACACAATACGCCCATTTAAAGTGTACAATTCAATGATTTTTTTTGTATCATCACAGAGTTGTGTGACTGTCACCACAGTCAATTTTAGAAGATTTTCAGCAGCTCGGAAAGAAACCCTGTACCCTTTAGCTTGAACCCCTAATCCCTCTATCTCTCCCCGACCTCACCCCAGCAATCAGTAGCCACTAATCTTCCCGTCTCTATATATTTGCCGATTCTGATGGTTTCATAGCTGTGGTCTTCAAGACTGGCTTCTTTTTCTTTGCATAATATTTTCAAGGTACATCTATGCTGTAGCTCCCTTTTTATGGTTGAGTAATATTCCATTATATGAGTGTAGCCCATGTTGTTTTTCCATTCATCAGTTGGTGGACATTTGGGTTGTTTCACTTTTTGGTTATTATGACTAATGTTGCCATGAGGATTCATGTACAAGTTTTTGTGTGGACATCTGTTTTCATTTCTCTTGGGTGTGTGTAGTTGGGAGTGGAATTGTGGAGTCATAGGGTAACTCTATGTTTAATGTTTTGAGGAGCTGCTCAGCTGTTTTACACAATAGCTTATATTGGTTTTCTAGGGCTGTCCTAAAAAAGTATCACAAACTAGGTGACTTAAAACAACAGAAATGTATTGTCTCACAGTTCTGGAGGCTAGAAGTCAAAAATCAAGGTGTTGGCAGGCCTGTGCTCCCTCTGAAACCTGCAGGGGCCCTTCCTTGCCTCTTTCCAGCTTCTGGAGGTTTCCAGCGATCTTTGGTGTTCCTTGGCTTGTAGGTGCATCACCCATCCTCTGTCTTCACGTGGTGGCCTACCTGTGTCCTCACATCATCTTCCTTCTGTGTCTATGTGTCTCTGTGTACAAATTTTTTTTTTTTATCAGGAACTGTCATAGATGGTTAAGGCCCATCCTCATGACCCCATTTTAGAGCTTGATTACATCTGTAACGACCCTACTTTCAAAAAGGTGCTGGGGGTTAGGACTTCAGCACATCTTTTGTGAGGGACATAATTCAACCCATAACATAGCTGTGCCATTTTACATTCTTGCTAGCAATATGTGAAGTTTCCAATTTTTCCACATCCTTGTCAACACTTGTTATTATCTGACTTTTTGATTGTAGCCATTCTAGTGGATGTCAAGTGGTATCTCATCATGGTTTTGATTTGATTTCCCTGATGAGTAATGATGTTGAGTGTCTTTTCATGTGTTTATTGATTATTTGTGTATCTTTTTTGGAGAAATGTTTATTGACATTGTTCATTTAAAAAATTGGGTTATTTGTCTTTTATTATTGAGTTGTAAAAGTTCTTTATACGTTCAGGATACAAATTCCTTATCAAATATAGATCTGAATTTTTTTTTTCTATTCTCTGGTTGTCTTAAAAGCCAGTTTTGAATTTAGTTGAAGTCTAGTTTATTTTTTCTTTAGTGGCTTGTGCTTTTGCTTTCATATCTAAGAATTTATTGCCAAATCCAAGGTCACAAAGATTTACCCCTGTTTTCTTCTGAGAGTTTACAGTTTTGGCTCTTATATTTAGGTCTTTTATCCATTTTGAGTTAATTTTTATATATGATGTGAAGTAAGGTAAATGCTGTTTTGCATGTGGTTATCCATTTGTTCCAGCACTATTTGGTGAAAAGATCATTCTTTCCCCACTGAATGATCTTGGCATCATTAGTATTAAGTTTCAAAATTGGGAAGTGTGAATTCTCTGACTTTATTCTTTTTCAAGGTTGTCTTGGCTATTCTGTGTCCCTTAAATAAATTTTAGGATCAGCCTGTCAATTTCTACAAATAAGCCAGTTGGAATTCTGATAGGGTTTGCATTGACTCTGTGGGCCAACTGGGGGAGTATTGCCATCTTAACAATTTTGAGGCTGGGAGTGGTGACTCATGCCTGTAATCCCAGCACTTTGGGAGGCCGAGGTGGGTGGATCACTTGAGGTGGGTAAGGAGTTCGAGACCAGCCTGACCAACATGGTGAAACCCCATCTCTACTAAAAATACAAAAATTAGCCAGGCATGGTGGTGCACAGCTGTAAACCCAGCTACTCGGGAGGCTGACGTAGGAAGATCTCTTGAACCCGGGAGGCGGAGGTTGTATTGAGCTGAGATTGCTCCACTGCACTCCAGCCTGGGTGACAGAGTGAGACTTTGATCAAAACAGGAAACAAAAAACACCAAAAAACAATTTTGAGTTTTCTGATTCATGAGCATGAGATATGTTTATATTTATTTATATCTTCTTTAATTTATTTCAACAATATTTTGTAATTTTAAGAGTATATATTTTTTACTTCTTTTGTGAAGTTTTTCTTCAGTATTTTGTTCTTTTTGATGCTGTTTTAAATGGAGTTGTTCTTAATTTCATTTTTAGGTCTTTCATTGTCAGTATATGAAAATATAATTGATTTTGTGTAGTGATGATTTATCTTACAATCATCAGTATTTATTAATTCTAATAGTATTTAAGGGGTTCCTTAGGATTTTCTACATACAAGATGATGTCCTCTGTGAATATAGTTTTAGTTTTTCCTTTCCAACCAGGATGCTTTTTATTTCATTTTTTGCCTAATTGTCCTGACTGGAAACTTCAATACAATGTTACTAGATGTGGCAAGAGCAGAAATTGTTGTCTAGTTCCCGAACTTAGGAGGAAACTATCCAATATTTCACCACTAAGCATGATATTAGCTGTGGATTTTTCACAGATGCCCTTCATCAGGTTGAGGAAGTTTCCTTCTATTCCTAGTTTGTTGAATGTTTTTGAAATCATGAAATGGTGTTGGATTTTGTCAAATTCTTTTAATGATGATCATGTAGTTTTTGTTTTTTTAGTCTATTGATACAGTATAATACATCAATTGATTTTCAGTTGTTAAAACCACCTTTCATTCCTGGGATAAGTCCCATTTGGTCATGGTGTATAATTCTCTTTCTTAAATGTTTCTGGATTCACTTTGCTAGCATTTTCTTGAGGATTTTTACATCTATATTCGAAAGAGATATTGGACGGTAGTTTTCTTTTTCCTTTGATATCTTTGGTTTTGGCCTCATAGAATGATTTGAGAGGTGTTTGTTTGTCTTCTATGTTTTGGAAGAATTTGTAAAGAATTGATATTGATTCTTCTTTAAAAGTTTGTGGAGAACATTTAAACCTGTGAAGCCATCGGGACCTGGGCTTTTCTTTGCGTGTAGTTTTTTGATTGCCAGTTCAATTTCTTTATTTATTATAGGTCTATTCAGATTTCTAATTTCTTCTTGAGTCAGTTTTGGTAGTTTATGCCTTTCTAGGAATTTGTCTATTTTATCTTAGCTATCTGATTTATTCATGGTATTTCTTCATAATTCTTTTTATTTCTGAAAGGTTGGTAGTAATGTCCCCTCTTTCACTTGTGATTTGAGTAATTTGAGTCTTCTTTCTTTGAATCTTAATCAATCTAGCTGAAGTTTTGCCAATTTTGTTGATCTTTTCAAAGAATTTACCTTTTCCTTACTTTTGCTTATAGCCACTGTTTATTTTTTATTTTTATTTATTTATTTATTTATTTTTGAGACCGAGTCTCGCTCTGTCACCCAGGCTGGAGTGCAGTGGCTTGATCTCGGCTCACTGCAAGCTCCGCCTCCTGGGTTCATGCCATTCTCCTGTCTCAGCCTCCCAAGTAGCTGGGACTACAGGTGCCTGCCACCAAGCCTGGCTAATTTTTTTTGTATTTTTAGTAGAGATGGGGTTTCACCGTGTTAGCCAGGATGATCTCGATCTCCTGACCTCGTGATCCGCCCACCTCAGCCTCCCAAAGTGCTGGGATTACAGGCGTGAGCCACCGCACCCGGCCTATAGACACTGTTTATTAAGTATCCCCTGCATGGTGACTACGTGACACTCTTCTCATTTAATCCTTGAAATACCACATATAAAGCAGATGTGATTGTTCACACTGTCAGATGAGCCATTGAAGGGAAAGTCTTAACACCAGTTATGCAACCAGCAGGCAGTGATGTGGGCTTCCTGCTCGGGTCTGAGAGTCTGGCTCTAATGTCTGATGGATTTCAGTACAGCAAGGGACCTTTCGTGTTCCACACTCAGCCTCTACTCCCCACAGCTGTGACTTCATGATTTTCTGACTTTATCATTGCTTAGGGGAGAGCAATGGGTCAGTGTTCCCTTGTGCTGTTCAGTGAGCCTCAGCATCGCTTGGTGAGCCTGTTCAGCATACTCCTGCCCTGTCAAGTTTGACTCAGTGCATCTGGGGTTAGACTTAGGGATCTGCATTATTTTCCAACATCTGATGCTGGGTCCCTGGCAGCGCTTGTGGAGCCCGTGTTTGCCCTGGGAAATGCCTCTTCAACTTAACTGGATGCAGGCCCTGGGGAAGTTACTGCTTCCCCTGGTGTCTGTTCTTCTGGCTTCAGCTTCGCTGGGGATGGATTCAAGGATGAGGTAGGTTTTGGGGGAGAAGCTACTTTCTCTTGCTTTATAACAATTTTGCAAGAAGCTTTAACTTCCCCTGACATCTTTGAGTCTCTCTCTCTCTTGCTGTCTCCTTACACACGCGCGCGCGCGCACACACACACACACACACACACACACACACACACACACACGCAGCCTGCTCCCCATAGCAGGGAGGGGCAAGGCTGGGGGTGAAGAGACACTGAGCTGTGACTGGCTTCTCATTTTCCTGGAATGTGGCTCCCCAAAGGTCTCATATTTTTCAGCGTTTCTGACGCTGCGGCTGTGTAAACATCACACAAGGGTTTGCTGCATCTGAGAGACCAGAGGAGTTAGAGAGAGGGGGAGGGTAGGAGCCCAGAGCAGAGAGAAGGGCAAATGGGAGATGGAGAATGGAGAGAGAGAGAGAGGAGAGGAAAGTCCTGGGGTCCTGGTGGAACAGGATGCTGGATGAAGCACGCTAGAGGGAACAAAGACCAGTGGAGTCCCACTGAGCAGGTGAGGGATCTAGGAGGGCGGGGTTTGTGGTGTGGTACCAGGGGAGGGCAGAAGGTCCAGTTCAGGTTAGGAGCTCTATCGGTGAGGTGGGAGGAGACCCCTGGTCCACACCAGCCACCCTGGCTGCTTCTGGCTTCTAGCTCGGGGGGTCTGTGGTGCCCGTTGAGCTGGCTAAGCAGGGAGAGCAAGGCCTTTGCTGGTGGACGGCCGCCTCCCGGGGTGTGGTGAGCCTGGCAGTGGTGAGTAGCAGCTCCTTGCCTCCTGGGGCTCCACCTTGGCTGAGAGAACCTGCTGGTGTGGAGGGAGGCCCAGGATGCCTTATGAGAACCTAGCATTCTCTGCTGCTGGGCTCTGCCTGGAGGCTCAGACTCAGTTGTAGTTCTCTGAGCCTCCCAAGCCACTGACCTAGAACTACCCACTTCCTGAGCCTGGACAGCAGGAGAGGTGGCCTGGTGCATGCAGTTGGAGTCCCTGTGGCCTCCGGCTTAGGAGGCTCTTGACTCTGCTATTTACATGAACCTTGTTGTATCAGGCAAGTCACTCCCACTCTGAAATCAGGTTTCCTCAGCTGTATAAAAATGGTGACATTGATATCTTGCTGATATCATGCTGACCTTGCAAGGTTGGTGGGAGGATTAGAGAGAATGTAGGTAAAATCCTGGCATGTGATAGGCTTTTGCTCAATAGATAACTCTTGTTCTATTCTTCTGAGATCCTAGGATAATAAAGAGCTAAGTGCCCCAGAAATAACAAACAGCTAAGTGCCCCAGAAATCCACCAGCCAGCAGGCCAGGGCAGCTCCACTGAATGACTGTGGTTCGCGTTCCCTTAACCTGTTCCAATGGATTCCTCTGCCTGCAGCCACCTGCTGGCCCTGTGTATTCCCCTCCCCTGCAGTTGTTTATCTCTGCTCCGCCCTGCCAAGGATCTTTGACACCCCTGCTCCCTCTCTCTGGGGGTTCTGGCTCCTGGCTGATGAGTGACTTGGCCAATGCCCCTTGCAGCGGGCAGGTGGGTGGGATGTTAGCGGGGGGCCGTTAGGAGGAGAGGGGTGTATGTGTCTTGGGGCACAGCAGAACACAGAGCGAGTCACAGATTAACCCCCTGGCCTGTTTCCTCTGGCGCGGCCCGGCGCACCCAAGCGAGGGTGTCCAGGGGTGTCTGGGTTCAGACTAGGTCCTGTTCAAGGAAGCAGGGGAGGAAGGTCACTCGTGGGTCACATGTGGTTGGAGGAGCAGCAGGAAAGCCCTGGAGCCCTCGTCTGCATACAGAACTCACACTGGCTTGAATTCCACATCAGCGCGCAGCTTCCAAAACTCCTATATCCTAGCACACACAGGATCTATTTAATCTAATCCTCACAGCAACACTACAAGATAGGTATTAATATAATCGCTAGGGCACAGAGGAGGAAACGCCTCAGATGATTGAGCAGTGCGCTCACACAGCCGGTAAGGTGGTGGAACCAGGACCGGGGACTTGAGCCCAGGCTTAGGGAGAGGCCTGGGGAGAGAATCTGAGCTGAGTGCCAAGTCTGACTTTTCTTCTTCAACACTCACTATCTCTGACACTGGACAAGTTGCACAGCCTCTTTGTGACTTGAGTTCTTGATCTGTAATAGTCATAAACATAGATCTTGCTTCATAAGATGATTGTAAGAATTAAATGCATTAATGCCTACAAAGTGCTTAGAGCAATAGATAAATGCTAGCAATTATGATCAGCACCCCTCTGTGAATAAAGTCTGAGGACAGAGGCTGCAGTTGGGTTGGGTGGAGGAAGTGAGTGTAAACTGGCTTGTCATGTTTTGCTTTACTGAGGCCTCCCGAACCTCCAGGGAAGACAATTTGAATGTTCTCCACTGGACCAGCCGTCTTGTGAGGAGGTGAGCTCTCAGTAGCTGTCTTACGTTGTGGGGAGGAAGGTTGGACTGGAAACAGTCAAAGTCTCTTGTTTTAAGATTTGGGGCCTGGGGAGTCAGAGCTGATTTTTAAGAAATTTTACCACACCCGACTAATTTTTTTTTTTTTTTTGTATTTTTAGTAGAGATGGGGTTTCACCATGTTGCCCAGGCTGGTCTCAAACTCCTGAGCTCAGGCAATCTTCCCACTTAGGCCTTCCAAAGTGCTAGGATTAGAGGTGTGAGTCACTGAGCCTGGCCTTTTTTTTTTTTTTTTCGGTAAATGTACATATTTTCATGGCTCACGTGATGAGTTAATACAGTCATATAATTTGTAAAGATCAAATCAGTGTAATTGGGATATCCATCAACTTAAATATTTATCTTTTCTTCATGCTAGAAACACTGGAATTATTCTTATCTAGCTATTTGGAAATATACATTAGAGCCGATTTGTTTCCTGCCTCCCCTGCTTATAGCTGAGTAGCCTTGGGCCATTTTCTCAAGTGCGCAGGTTCTCAGCTTCCTGGTCCATAAGCTGGGGTCATGAGTCCTGCCTGCAGTCTTGTGGTGAGGATTAGATGAGCTAGGTATGGAGAGTGCTTTTACGCTCCCGGTGCATGATAGCCAGTGACCTGTGATGGCTGTGGTGTGGTGGCGGTGGCATGGTTATTGTCATTAGATGCAGTCTGGCTCTCTCCAGGTGATGACCCCGTGCCGGAGCACCTGTGCCAATTATCCCTGGGCCAGTTCTGTTTTCCGTGTTCCCTGGGTGGTCTGCATTCTTCCTCCTCTGCCCTCTTAGTCTGAGCATCCCTTGTCTGATTCCTGGAGGTATCTCGGGACCTCTCAGGTTGAACTCCTCTCCCCTTCCAAGGACTTAATTCTTGAACTATCCTCTGACCCTCATCTGACCCTAATCTGTGCCTTCCTTAGAACCCAAGTTTTTGTTTTGTTACTTTGTATTCTGAGATGATTAAACTTACACAAAATTTGCAAAAATAGTACAGAGTTTCCTTATATCCTTCACCCAACTCCCCCTAATGCTGACATCTTACATAACCATGCACGGTTATCAAAACCAGGACATTCACATTGATCTGACGTTAATCTGAGGATTGTAGTAGAATTTGGCCAGTGTTCCCACCACTGCCCTTTTTCTGATCTAGGATCCAATCCAGGATCCCACATTGCATGTGGTCATCGTGTCTCCTGAGTCTTCTCCTATCTGGGACAGTTCTTCTGTCTTTCTTTGTTGCTGATGAGTTTGGCACTTTTGGAGAGTGCTGGTTAGTTATTTTGAAGAATGTCCCTCAATTTGGGTGTGTTTGATTTTCTCTTTCCATCATTCTTTCTACATTTATTAACTGGAATTCTACTGTAAAGAATGGTGCCTTATCCCCATTTTACTGATTTATTCCATTATTTATTTGTCAGTATGGACACCCTGACATTCACTTTATGGATCATAAACTCATATGGTCATTTTTTTTTCTTGAATCCAATTGATCTAGCCATGGCCAATGGGAGCTCCTTGTGTTGGTAGGACCCATGGTTCTTAACTTTTTGTTTTCTTTTTGAGATGGAGTTTCGCTCCTGTTGCCCAGGCTGGAGTGCAATGGCATGATCTCGGCTCACTGCAACCTCCGCCTCCTGGGTTCAAGCAATTCTCCTGCCTCAGCCTCCCAAGTAGCTGGGATTACAGGCATGCGCCACCACGCCCAGCTAATTTTGTATTTTTAGTAGAGATGGGGTTTCTCCATGTTGGTCAGGCTGCTCTTGAGCTCCCGACCTCAGGTGATCCACCCGCCTCGGCATCCCAAAGCGCTGGGATTATAGGCGTGAGTCACCTCACCCAGCCTGGTTCTTGACTTCTCTTATCTACTCATTTTATTCATCAGGGTTCTCCAGAGAAACAGAACCCATATTAAGAAATTTATTGTAAGGGATTGGCTTACACAATTGTGGGGCCTGGCAAGTGTGAAGTGTGTAGGCCAGAGACTCAGGTAGCAGTTGATGTTGCAGATTCTTGAGGCAGAATATCTTATTTTTCAGGAAACCTCAGTTTATGCTCTTATGGCCTTCAATTGATTGGAGAAGGCCACCCACCTTTTCAAGGTTAGCCTCCTTTACTTAAGGTCCCTGACTGTAGACATTAATCTGACTGTAGACTGTAGACTGGAGTAGTGTTTGGTTAAATCACTGGGTACTATAGCCTAGTCAAGTTGATACAGAGAACTCATCATCACACTCAGCAAAAGTTCTTTTCTCGGGAGTATGGAAATCATTTCCTATGTCAACATGGGTTGGGTGAATGAAGAATGGGGGGGTCCCACCGGGCTGATTTGGGATGAAAGTGTATCATTCAGGTCCTGGCATCTTTCGTTTTCAGCTGTGACCTTTGATTCCCACTCTCTGTGAGGGTTTGTGCAAATCCCTCCTTTCATTTGTAAGATGGGAGAAGCATTGTTCCTGGGTATGTAGGGGATCAGAGGATTTTAAAGGCCTGCCTTTAAGCCAGAGTGAGAAAGCCAAGGGCTTGGCTTCAGGTACTTTCAGGACTTGGACCTGGAGTTTTCACTCCTCCTGGGGACACACCTGGGATATTCTTCCCTTTAAGGAGAGGCTAAGGTGGTGCCGACCAAAGTGGTTCCTCTCTCTGATCTGAGCAGTTTGGAAGAGGGTAACAGACAGACCAAAGTGGGTCAACCATAGAGCCCAGGCAGGAATTACAGCTTCAGCCTCTCTCTCTCTCTCTCTCTGTGTGTGTGTGTGTGTGTGTGTGTGAGAGAGAGAGAGAGAGACACCCTGAGATGGTGGTGGGAAACCCTCTGGGATTTGAATCGAAAGCCACTGAGCAGGGCTCCCTAACTGGACAGAGCTCCCTGAAGTTCTATAGGCTGCTGGGGGAGGATGGGAGGAGAGGGAGTATGTGGCTTTCCAGGATTTGGGAGGGAGACATGGAAGCTAGGGAGAGAGGAGCCTTCCTGCAAGGGGAAAACCCTACATACATCCCAAAGACCTCCCTCACTGATGGGGCCTTGGCATCCTACTGCTTCCCTGGGTGCCAGTTGTTTTCCTTTTTTCCACGAGGAGAAACTGAGGCTCAGAGTGGTTCGTGATTCAGTAGAGGAGTGGCTACCAGACAGTCACTGAGGGTAACCAGGTGCTTTTCTTGGTCTTCCTGGAGGACAGCCTAGGGGGAAACAGATCGAACTGCAGCTGGAGGGAATTGGGGTTGTCCTAAGGAGGGGTTGTCCTCTGGTGGTAGGGAGACTGGAAGGGGGACAGGGGACTGAAGGAGCAGCTGGGACTCCCTTAATTGGAATCTCAAGGACAGAAATGGTTGTGTTGGGCGGGGAAAGGCTGAGCCTTCCCGCACTGGTGGGGTGTGTGTCTGGAGGTGTGGATCAGAAGCTGGGCTGCTGGTACGTGGAGGCCGAGTGCTAGAGTCCCAGCCTGCCTGGCATGGACCTGTGGAAAACAGCATGGGCCATCTGTGCCCTCTAAGACCACATCTGTTCTCACATGCCCCCTGCCCTGCATCCACCCCTGGGAGCCAGCCTCCTAGACCTGGCCATGTTCCCAAGAGGCTGAGACTGAGTCCCCCACTGGTCCCCCTTGCCCTCCACTGTCAGAGGCATCCAGCTGCCTCTGTGTTCTGTGTGGAGACCAGGAGATGGGGCTAGTATCAGTGAGCATTCTTGGCAGCACACTTGACCACCCCCAGCCTCAATTTCCTCAAATGTAAGATAGGGATAATGAAAATAACACCTGGCTTGCAGGGTTGCTGTGAAGAGCTTTGTAAATGGTACATGTTGTGGGGTGGATGTCCTGTTCCTGGATGGGTCAATGAGTCGGGGACACTCCTTCTGCCCCCCACTCACTGGGTGAGTTAGTGGAGGGACTGGTGGAGTCTCCTAGGACCCCAGTACAAGGGTAGGTGAGGGGCTGTGCAGCGGTGGCCCTACTGAGAGTCCCTTCTAGACCCTCTGCAGCTGCTGCTCCTCCTCCTCCTCCTCCTGCCGGCTTCCTTCTCCACCCTCCTCCCTTCACACGTGAGGATGATGATAAACACTCTGCCAGCTCTGAATAGGGCCTGACCTCAGCGGCGAGGCATCTCCCCTCACTCCCACCCTCCCAGCCCCAGCCGCATTCCTGGAGAGGCTAGAGCTGAGGCCCCCACTTGCCCCTCTCTCCCTCCACCCACAGAGGCGTCCAGCTGCCTCTGTGTCCTCCGGCTAATGCCCACCCAGCTGCTTCCCTTGGGCCAGTCTCATCAGAACCTTGAATACCAAAGGGCTTGAGTGTGGACATTGGGTGGGATAGTCCATAATAATAATAATAATAGTGGTTATCATTTATTAAGCAATTAGACACCAGTCTTCATGCTAAGGCACCAGGTTTTATGCTAAGATTCCATGCTAAGGCACCGGGTTCCAGGCTAGGGTTCCATGCTAAGGTTCCATGCTAAGGCACCAGGTTCCATGATAAGATTCCATGCTAAGACACCAGGTTCCATGATAAGATTCCATGCTAAGGCACTAGGTTCCATGCTAAGTTTCCATACTAAGATACCAGGTTCCATGCTAAGGCACCAGGTTCCATGCTAAGGTTCCATGCTAAGACACCAGGTTCCATGCTAAGATACCAGGTTCCATGCTAAGGTTCCATGCTAAGATACCAGGTTCCATGCTAAGGTTCCATGCTAAGACACCAGTTTCCATCCTAAGTGCTTTATGTGAGTTGTGTCAATAAATTCTTCAAACAACCCATGAAGAAGTTGCTATTACTACCATTCCAGTTTTAGCAGGAACAGAGAAAGTAAGGTGGGGAGGAGGGGGAAACTGAGGCTCAGAGAGGTGAAGCTGCATGCCTTACATTACACAGCTAAGGAATGGGTGAAACCAGGACTCCTGGGCTGCCGATGTCCCAACAGCCCCCTCCCCGCACAGTGCAGCACTAGGTTCCCCTTCAGCCTGTCTCATCCCAGGACACAGGACCCTGGTCCTGAGAGAAGATGCAAGAATGGGAGGCAAGACTTGCTCAGTGGCCTGGGGCCTGGGCTGCCATGAAAACTGGCTGCGGATCTCCAGGTGCTGAGAACCTTGTAGAAGGTTTGAGTTCCTCATTCTCCCATCCTCAGTTTCCTAGAGGTGTAGAGTTAGAAACCTGGGCAAGGAGGAAGCCTTCTTCAGGGCACTACCCTAACCCACCCTAACCTCACCCACCATCTGCTGGGCCTCAGGCTCCCGCTGGACTGGTTGCTTACCTGCCTGCCTGGGCGGTTCAACAAGTGCAGGCTTGGGTGTCAAAGAAATGTGAGTTCAACATCCGGCTCTGCCACCCACTGGTCTTGGGGCGTTGAGAAGGTCGCTTCTCCTCTCTCAGTCACACTTTACCTGTCTGTAAGATGGACATGGTTAGGTCTACCCATGAGGGCTATGTGGGGATTGGAGAAAATGGAAGTAAAGAACTAGTCCAGAGCCACCCTTGGTGAAAAGCCACTGTCATCATCATTTACCATCGTCATTCTCCATCCCAGCCATCCACCCACCCACCGCCAGCGTGCTCTTCCTCTGTGACCGATGTCTCCCGTGTAGCCATGAACCTGCATGCTCAGGATGCAGACGACGGTTTGGGAAGAGGGTGCGTGACTGCCGTGTGGGACTGCATGTCAGCTTCCCATGAAGGGGCACCTTGGGTGAGCTCACTGTTTCCTAACGGCATCTGGCATTTTCTCCTTTCCCATTTGACCATGTCAGTTATCACCATCCTACACGACTGCTCACTTCATTTAAAAAAACCCAGTTTGCTTTTTTTTAAACCTTTTATGTATTCTAAGTGATAGAAGGTATGGTCTTGGTCTACGATATGTTTTTAATTTTTCTTGAAATACATAAATATTAAAATAAAATTGTGCTATGTTTCCAACTAAGATCATCTTGAATCTCACACTTTAGGAAACTTGGAATCAGATGAGCTCCTCCTTTTGTGTGTGTGTGTGTGTGTGTGTGTGAATTCTTTATTATGGGAGATTTAAAACCTATACAGAAGTACCAAGAATGATGCAATGAACTCCTTTGTACCTACCCCCGGCTTCAACAACCATCCATTTTTTGCTGTTTTTGTTTCATCTGTTCTCCCTCTTCTCCCCACCTTTTTTTTTTTTTTTTTTTTTTGCGGGAGTACTTTTCAAGCAAACCCCAGACATTATATCACTTTACTTTAAATACTTCAGTATGCATCTTTAATAGATAAGGACTTTTTATTTTAACATTACCATAATACCATTATCACAGTTAACATCATTAATAATAATTTCTTATGATCAGCTACTACCCCATCTGTGTTCAATTTTCTCTAATTATCTCAAAAATGTCTTATTTGGATTGGTTTCTTTGAATCAGGCAGAAGAACATAGAAGCTGTGCTCTCTCAGGCCTCTGTCTATTTCCATAGTAATCATATATTGACATATATCATTGCCACCATCTTCACCGGCCAATTGGTGATACATGCTGACTGTTTCTGATGGGTCCTTATTTCATGGTTTTTACCTGGTGAAATCAGGAGTCCAGTGTCGGCTCCCTCTCATGTACAGCCTTAGCCTGCCAGTCCCACCGTCCTGTCCCCAGGAAGGAGAGGGGGCTCTGGAAGGGGCTGGGTGTGTATGCAGAGACACAGTGGGAGGAGTGCGGCACCTTGGAGTGAAGCTGGGCAGGGAGGGGGAGCTTGCATGGCTGCTTCACTGGATACCTCATCTCATAAATACCATGTCCCTGAGATGTCCATGTAAGGCTGCCTGGCTGGCTCGGAAGGGGCTGGCCACCATGGGGCCACTGGGCTCTGGGAAGCACAGCTGCCTTACCGGGGTGGGGGCGGGCCGCCCTGGGGGTGGCCTCGTGGGAACACACCCCGTCTTCCAGCTGCGCTCCATACCGTGGTCCTACTCCTCGTGCCCCCAGCCTGTGCTTTCATTGCTAGCCAAGGTCCTGTCCTCTCTGAGCTGCTGTCAAGCTTGGGTCACTGCTCTGACGCTCCCTGATCCCGTCTCCTTAGGGCTGGGAAAGTCACGTCCCAGAGTCCCTGAGCTGCTTCCTTCCTCTCCTTCCTTTTCTTAGGAGGCCTCATGCCTCAGTTTGACTGGCTGGTCTTATTGTCTTCCAGGAAACTGAGGCCATGGGGACACATAGGTCCTCTTCCCAGCAATCTCCCCAGGATCCAAGGCACCTCTGGGAAAGCCACAGCCCTTCTCTGGGCCGCAGTTTTCTCATTGGAGAAGTGCCTGGGACAGCTCTAGACCTCATTGACTGAGCTGCCCAGAGGGACACTTGAGATTTAGGGGTGCATGTGTGTGAGCTGTGTGTGTGTGAGTGTGTGGGTGTCCACAGACTTTAGAACTGCAGCCCTAGAACATTTGTCAGGTTACAGGGGGAGAAAGAGACTGAAGCGAGGGCTGTTCTCTAGGACCACCAGGATCCCACAGGACTTTCCAGCGCCTGTGTCTCCATCCTCTCCCCGCAGCCTTGCTCCTTCGGGTGTTTCAGATCCCCCTCCCTGTCTTTATTTCTTTGTTCTTTCTCTTTTCTGCGTCCTTGTTACTCCCCCTTCTGCTGCGCCCCTCAGGACTCTGTATCACTCATGTTCCCTCCAGGAGCCTCCCTTGTTCCCCAGGTCTCAGCCCTTCACCCTGATCCATAGCCCAAAGTTCAAAGAGTGGCCGGGTGCGGTGGCTCATGCCTGTAGTCCCAGCACTTTAGGAGGCTGAGGTGGGAGGATCCCTTTAGCCCAGGAGTTCAAGACCAGCCTGGGCAATGTAGCAAGACACTGTTTCTATTAAAAAAAATTCTTTTTAACCAAGCCAAACAAACAAAAAAAACAAAATTCAAAGACCCCATCCTCTTGACCCCTGGGTGGGGGAGCCCCTTTCTCTGACTTCACAGCTCCCATTTCCTCCAGAGCCTTCCGTGACTCTGGGACTTGGTGGGGGGGCTCATGTCCTCCAATCTCCTGTTCCAAGGACACCCCTCCCACTTCAAGGCAGCTGCAGAGGCCCCAGAACAACCCCCAGATGCCTGACATTTTGTGGGAGCGTTACCTGTTTGTGTGTGCTGAGAGTCCCCTGTCTCTGAGCCTGTAATGAACATGAGTTTTTTCCCTGAGAGGGACATTGTCCCTGATCTACCCAGTGTCACTGAAAATATTCAATTCCAAGAGCTGGCCAGGAGGGAGGATTGTTTGAGGCCATGGACAGACCCCTGGCTTAGGACTTGAAAGACCTGGGTTCACATTCTGGGTGCTATCTCAGTGAGCTCCAGTCCCCTCACCTGTCAAATAGCCACAGTCATGATGAGATAAGGTGTTGACCGCCTCCCACTGCTTAGGAGGGGCTCTGTAACCTCCTGCTGCCCAGGATCTGCCCAGGCACTGAGTACTTGGTGCCTGAGGCAGTACAGTGGGGTGTGTGTTGGCCCAGCTTGGAGGGACTGGTGGTGGACGGGCACTGTGCGGGAGGAAGGCTTGTGTTTGGGCCCACTTCTCAGGATGAATAAGCTTGGAGGGACTGGTGGTGGACGGGCACTGTGCGGGAGGAAGGCTCGTGTTTGGGCCCACTTCTCAGGATGAATACAGACCTTCCCCTCCTTCCCTGCGTGGATGTCTCTGAGGGGAAACTGAGGCCCACATGGTCCTGGGGCCCCTGGAGAGGGGGAAGCTGGCTAGAAGGGAGAGTGGCTGGTTCCTGGCCAGGGCACCTGTGTTGGTGGTGCCACCTTCTGCAGTTCCTCCCAGTTGGCACTGCGGGCGTGGAACCCACGGGGGTGAGACACTGAGGCTGGAACGTGCTGAGGATGCCTGGAGCCACTTATCTTGGCCCAGGAATGTGCTGCAGTGTTATTAGCCAGCAGTTTCTCCTCTTTGGAGTAACCCCCTGGGGACTATGGCGGACACCTGTCCGGCTCTGGCTGCCCAGACAGCCCGTGGGTACCTGCACCCAGCCGCTGTTGGGTGGAGCTCATGAGTGTGCCTGTGTGTGTGTGTGTGTACATTCACGGAAGTGTGTGCATGGATCTTTTGTGTGTCTGAGGACCCTTCTGTGCATGTGTATGTGTGGCGATGTGCCTGTGTGGGGGCAAGTGTTTGCCAATGTGGATCTTTGGGTCCTTTACTCATGAGAGTGTGTGGGCACCATGTGTGCAGGAAGCCCACAGGGGGCCTGGGGAACACAAAGGAAGCAAAGGCCCAAGGGGTGGCTGGGAGGCTGGATGGTGGAAGGAGAGGTCAGCAGCACGATGTGCAGGCAGGGCAGGAAGGGCTGCTGGGGCTCTTGACAGTGGGGTCTGCGCCACCCTCCTTGGCAGTGGAGTTGGCACTGGACTCTCTAAGGCAGCATGGTAAAGGGCCCTGAGGCCAGATGGCCTGAGTCCAACTCCTGCCTTGATCACTCCCTAGCCTTGTGACATTTGGACAAGTGACACCCTCTTCAAAGCTCGGTTTCCTGTTTATCATGGTGATAATCACAGTACCTGCTTAGTTACCAGGAGGAATAAACCAGATAGAGTACCCGGAGCACCCTCAGAGCTCCATAGATGATAGCTTATCATCATCATCAGCATCATCGCCATCACCATCATCATCAGGATTAGGGTCCATGCTGGCTGCGCTGCATCTCGCCTTGGCAGTCTCTTTCTGGCTGACATTCCCACACAGGATGGGGGACCGCAGCTCATTCGCTTGCAGCATAGCAACAAGATGGAGACCCAGAGAGGGCATGAGACTGGGCAGGGTCACCAGGGAGCCAGAATAGAGCCCTAGGAGCCCAGCCCCTGGCTCCTGCCTCCTTCCACATGCGGCACTGCCTCGCTCTGCTTAGAAGTTTGGGGAGGCAGCACCTCGCCAGGCTGGAGAGACAAGGAGAGCCTGGCGGGCTTATTAGCCCAAGCCAGCTTCTGCAGATGGCCCAGGACCATTCTGTTTGAATCTTCTTACAGGATCAGTGTCTCCCCTTCTGGCCCTAAATGCTCTCCTGAGTCTTCTGGTTTTGGGTTCCCCTGATCTGACTGCAAGTCTTGAATCCCACATGGAAAACAGCTGAAACCCAGGAGAGGTACCCAAGGGGGACAGCTGGCCACCTGGTGTCTCACTCAGCTCCTCACACCTGCTTTTGCCATGCCAGCTCTACTTTCTGCTCCTGACACAGGCCAGACGGGAGTGGAATTCCTAGGAGGCACTGGCCTCTTTAGAGCTGGGCTCCCTCTGCCTGCCAGCACATCCCACGTCCCCTCCCTCGGTCCTCCTAGGCCACCCTGTGGCTCCCCTAGTGTAGCTGACCCAGGGCGTCACCAGGATTGTGGAGGTGGGAGCGGGCTCTTTGGCACCTGGGCTCAGTGAGGTGGGTGGGAGTGGGCAAAGGCAAGTGGAACTGCCAGGGTCCCCCAGCCAGGGCAGGCTATGATTGGCCTGAACGCTGGCCAGAGACTTGTTTTTCACAACCACCACCAAGTACTTGGAAGAAAAATCCCAAAACCCAACAACAGAAATAACCACCAAACTTTTCTTTCTTTCTTTTTATTTTTTTAATTTGCAGTTAATGGCCGATTGGCTGTACATTATTAAACAGGCAGCTGGAGATTTGCCAGGGTAGATTGCTTGAGCCAAGGCTCACAGCCTGAACACAATGTTCCAAGAAAACAGTCACCCATGGGGTCCCTGGTGAGGAGCACCCAGAGGGCGGGGCTGTAGCTGTTGCCCCGCACTCTCCCACCCCTTCCGCCCCAGCCTCTGCTAGGATCATCTAATGGAGGGCAGGACTGTGCTGCTCCTGGAGCCCAAGCATCCTTCATCTGGGCCCTGCAGATCCCTCACTGCCCCAGGGGCCCGAGCTGCTCTTTCCCTCCTCATGGACATTAGGAACAGACGTGAGGCTCCTGCTTCCATCCCCAGATGGCCAGGCCAGCATCTCCTCTCCTGGGGACCAGTGTGATGCAGAGGCCTGAGCGCTGGGCTGGGAGCTGGAGCCCTGTCTAGGGTTGACGTCATTGAGCTCCTCCCTATGGTGATTTTGGGACTCCATACCTGTCCTCCCTGGGCCTCATTTCCATGTCATTACAAGGAAAGGACTGGGCTGCTCAACTCTAAATCCTCAACATTTTGTGAGCCTTGATTGGGTGGCCTTGGGGAGGGCTTGGAGTGATTGTTTCCCTGATTTGGGGGCCCTTCTTGCCCCAATCCTGTTCGCATCCATGAGACCAGGATCCATTTCTCAAGCAAGCCCTGCTGGGAAGGGGTCTTCATCAGCCCCATTCATGTTGTTTTAGCCAGTCCCTCCAGCCACCTTGAAGCCTACCAGCGTAAAGGTCAAGTGTCCACGCCATCCGAGTTGGAGAACAAGCTGAAAGTCTGGAGGTTGGGGACTGCCATCTTGGTGAAGCCAGTGCTGCATTTGGGTACATGGATAAGATCACAGTGTGGTGTCCATGTCCTCACCAGGCTGGGCCTGCTGACTTCTGCACTGGGCAGGCTGCTGCTGGCTTTTGTGTGTGTGTGTGTGTGTGGCGCGGGAGAGTCACCGGTTTGGGAAGTGGGCCTTAATGAACCCTCTCTGGGCCTTTTAGAGGCAATATGACATAGTGGTTAAGAGTACAAACTTGGGAATCAAGTCCTATCACCCCTGCTTATTTGCTGTCTCATTATCATTGACTTTGGACAAGTGGCTTCACCTCTTGCGTCTGAGCTCTCTCAACTGTACAAAGTAGGGTTAGAATAACATCTACTCCCAGGTATGGGGAGAGGAGGGAATGAGTGAATGCAGGCACTGGGGCTGTACCAGGGCTTGGCACATGTTAAGTGCCCATCAGCTGTTGGGATCTAAATGTCTCTCCCTCCGGCCGCCTGTTCTTTCCCTTCAGGTCACTCAGCACGATTTGTGTTGTGTGTTTGTGTTTGTTCCTTCAGCGGCTCCCTCTCCTAGATCAAGTGCTCCTTGAGGGCAGGGGCCCATCTGGCTGTGTTCATGTTCTGCCTGGAGGGCCTCACAGGGCCTGGGCCACTGCGGGCACTTAGAAAGTACTTGTGGAATGAAGGGGTGAGGGACAGATGGGATGGAGCCAACTGGAAAAGGATCAGAACCAGAGAAAGAACCACTGAGCACCTGGCATGTGGAAGAGTACAGAAACTGAAAAACCTGGGGACGTCTAGCCTGTGAAGCTACCACTATGGGAGACTTCCAGTGATTGCGTGGCTGTGTGTGTGTGTGTGTTGAATAAAGCTTTGGGGAGATTTGTTCCCTGAAGCAAAACCAAGGGTTCCAGGAAGCAGGTTTCCCCCAGTGGTGGGAGCCGCCTTGAGGATGGGGAGTGAGCCCTGAGGGCCTGGGGTGTGTAGGCAGGGGCGGGCGAGCCCCTGTCAGGTCAAGGAGAGCCCTGATATGCTGGAATGTGGTCCAGCCAGGCCCTGAGGCCCTGCCGGCTTGCTGCAGCTGCTGTAGTTAGGAGAGGAGTAGCAAACATAGCTGATGTCTCTGAACTTCAGTTTCCTCCTCTGTAAAATGGGATTCATAAAGGTCAATACCCAATGGGGTGCTGGCAGGATTAGAATGAGTTAATCCCCACAAAGCTCTAGGAACAGTATGTCAATTGGGAAACACTCACTAAATCTGAGCATTATTAGGCAGGGAGATACATGACAGAGAGATGAATCGTAATTCTGGGATGGGGGTGGTGACGGCTTCTTTGAAGGAGGAGAATGTCTGGGGAGCCAACATTTATGGAGAGCTGCTCTAGGCCAGATCTTGCACTCAGTACTCAGAGCAGTGAAATAACTTGCTCGAGGTTACACAGCTTCAGATGTGGTCGGTGCACTTCCAAAGCCTGGGATCTCTTCTCCACTCCTGGTAGGATGGGGCCAGGTTTCTGTGATTCCCTTCCCCCTGGAGGGATAGCTCCCCATTTCAAAGTGGAGCAAGGTGATGATTATTTTCTATAGGGGTGGATCCGAAGTCCTCAGGAGGGAAGTTTCCAGCTCTCTCCAACCCTGAAAGTGCTACATCACTAAAAACTCTAGGGAGCGGAGGAGGGTGCAGCAACGGGGAGATTTTCCCTCGGAGCCCGGGGCAGGGAGATTGGCCATGAGCAGAGCCCTGGAGGATGGGCTCGGGGAGATGGAAAGTGAGCCGAGGGGTAAACTGAAGCAGGGGAGGGGAAGGAAGGTGCTGCGCAGAAGAGTGCAGAGGAGGAAGAGGGCCGTGCGGGTGACAGCAGAGGAGGGAGGGGAACAGAAGAAGGAAGAGAAGAAGAGAGAGAGGAACCAGACTTGGACCTGGGCCAGTGGACAGCTCTGGGCTTTGGGCGAGGATGCCTGGCTAGGATCGGTCTCCATAGGGCTACTAGATGGTGGCAGGAGGGGAGGCCTAGGGAGTGGGAACCAGCTGGCCAGCACCAGGGCCTACCTGGGACAGCACATGTGAGCCAAGTGTTCCGCCACCAGCCAGACCTCCTCACCTCCCCCAGCCCAGGAGCCAGCTTGGCTAAAGGTCAGCTCTCGGGGTGTGGCCAGCACGCTCCCCAGTGACCAGGGCCCACAGGCCTGGCCTTGTCAGGATGTTATCCTGTTCCTAGCAGCTGCTCCTGGTAGTTTCTACCTCTTGGCCATTCAGAGATGAATGGGAAATGGCCCTAGGCTTCAAGGAGTTCACAGATGAAGGGGCAGAGAGACAGTGGAGGTGCACGTGGGCAGTGGCATTTGCTGTGGTTCACTTTCCCAAGACAATTTTTTCAAGGTGCTGATGGTGCTTGCTGTGTTTTTTATTATCTGAAATAAAAATTGGGCTCGGTTTCTTTAACCTTTCCTTGTGGTTTTTATTCAACAAATATTTACTGAGTGTCTACTGCTGTCCTCCTCTGGATGCTCTTTGGCTTATAGGGTACAGAAAAGAAACTGACATTTCTGATGGTGTCTGGTGGAGTAGAGTAGAATTCTTATCTCCTTTGGTCTAGATGCTAAACCTCCATTAATACAACCAAAAGTGCCTGTGCCTTTTGGGGGCAAGCATATCCTACTGTTAGCTAAACTGAATTTCTGTTTTCAATAAATTTTAGACCTTTTGCTGTATGAACTCTTATCGATTCAGGTTTTTTATGGCTTTGGAACCCTTGTTTTGGACATTACCCCAAGAAAAATGTTCCCTTGCTAATTCTGGCTCATTTATAAAGTCAGCTTTGCATTTCAGTTCACTTCAGCATCTTAGCTTTTCCTGTGCTTTTTTCTTTTCTTTTCTTTTTTTTTTGTTCCTTGGTGTGCTTGGTAAGCCTCCCTTCTAAGTTGTAACCTAAGTTACTGATAAGTATGTTGAACAAGCCAGGGCAGAGGATGGAGCCCTTTGGCAAGTCAGGAAGTTGACATTGATCTATTCATCAACACCCCTTTGCTTGCTGGCTAGGAATCTACTCAGCTTTCTCTCTTGTCTCCAGGAATTTCATCAGGGATCCTGCCAACACCTTCCTGAGATACAGATAGTCTAGATCTGGGGATTCCCCAGTTATCTGGTCTAGAAGCCTCAAAATAATGGGTTTGGGATGGTAGGTGTGATGCTATGGGAAGGAGGGCTCCCTGAAGGAATCCAGGCTGATGCCAGTGGTCTCTGCAGGGATAGGTCCAAGGGAAACCCTGCCCTGGAGGCAGCTAGAGCCCCAGGGTCCTTCCTGCTTTAAAATTATGCTTCTCAGGGGAGACAGGGGTTTGTGTGCAGTACTTTCTGCCAAGGACCAACGTCTGCCTAGAAACATGTTTCCGGGCATCTCCAAGAGACCTTAAGGCCATCAGATGAGGAGATCGAATCCAAGAGGGACTGAGAATTTCCTCTGGTCACCAAGGGCGTTGGAGGCTGAGTCGGGCTGGAACCTGAGGCCTTGACTCCTAGTCTGAGGCTCTTGGTGCTGAACCCAAGTGCTCTTCTGGCTAGAAACAGGCAGGGTGAGAGGAGGGAGGGGCTGCCAGTGTGTGCCTTGGGGATAAGCTGTTGGTGGGCCATTTTCCCCCGACTCTCCTTCCCTTTCCATCCTCTGCCCTGACACTATGGTACAAATCTGAGTAGGAAGCTGGAATGTGGAAAGCCCAGCACTTCTCCTTCCCGAGGTGGGGATGTGCAGCAAAGGGCCTGGCGCTGTGCACATTTCTGCACTTTGAGAGAGGATGCAAATGCAGATGCATGCCAATGAGATGTCATAGAGGACACAGTGGTGAGCAGGGGGTGCCCCTACTCCTGCCTCCTTCTGGCCTGAGTTTTAAGGATGAGACATAGAAGAAGACCTGACATTAGGAAGGAAGGGCAAGGATGGGGGGCTTCAGGGCAGCAGCGTGAATGTGGCTTCTGGGGTCATCTCTGGAGTGAGCCCTAGTGAGGAGGCCCCACTAGGGGGTGATCCTGAGATGGAAGCACCCTGGGAGACAGCCCGAACTCATCTCTAGCTGTAGCGGGGAGGGCATGGTCAGAAGAGGGAAGGTACAGCTCAAATGCATAGACATTGCATGCCTAGAGTGGCCCCTGGGGCCTGGCTCCCTATGGGGTGTGTTGGGCCTAGCAGGATTCAGAGGCCCAGAATAGCCTCTGCCCCAGGACATCTTGGGAAGGAAGCAGAGCGGTGCCCCAGTGGCCTCTCCCCTTGGGACCTGGGCATGTGGCCCTTCCTTCTCTGTGATGGAGGGGGAAGAAGAGAGTGAGGGCCCAGGGTGCTAGAGGAGGCGGCTCCAGTAATTGCCCCAGAGACTAACACTTCCCACCCATCACAGGAAGAGTTGGGGAACCGACCCCTCCCTGCTGGGAATCTTGTCAGCTTTTAGCGCAGCTCAGAGGAACTTCACCTTAGTGCTGTAAGAACCTGAGAGTCTGGCTCCTTGAGTGTGGGAGTCGGGTGATGTGGTGCCCTCCGGAGGTAGTGCTGGGACCTGGAATTCCTAGTTGTGTTACCTGGTGACATGGGCTTGAGTTGGAAGAGCTGCATTGAAATTCTATCTCTTTCATTAGCCGCTTTGTGCTTTTGCTTAACTTCACTGCTCTGAGCCCATCTCTAAGACTGAGGTGAGAATCATAGGCACTTCCACATTTTCACGCGCATCTGTGTGGAGTGCACATGGGAAAAGCTTGGCGCGGGGCAGGAGCTTAAATGTTGATTAAAGTGAAATGAAGGAACAAATGAAGGCATCTCTGGGTTGAACTCCCCTTCCTGTCCCGGCCACTGAGGGGCCCTGGGTGGGGCTGGGGCTGAGAGGCCAGGGAAAACTGGATTCACGAAGCTTGGACCTTGCCCCATCTTTCTCTTGACTTTCTCCTCGCCTTTCTTCTCTGCTTCTCTGTGTCCTTTGTCCCCTTTCTGTCGCGTCCCTTCTCTTCCAGTGGAAGTGCCTAACTCAGCACCTGGCCCCGACACACACAATTCATTGCTCCCTGCTCTCCTCAATGGCCTCTCTGTTGCTCCAGGCTCTGTCCCGCCACCCCCAGCTCCATCTCTTTCCTCCTTCTGGGTCTCTGTTTCTGACACCCTCTTTGTCCCATTCTCTCTGCTCCTGGCTCTCCTGCCATCTGTTTCTGCAGCCTCTGTCTGCAGCTCACAGGCATCCACTGGGCGCCTGCTCGATGCCAGGCACTGCCATCTCCTTTCTCGGTTCTGTATCTCCTCACCTCTTTTCTCCCTGTCTTCTTTTCTTGCTCCCCCACCCCTTCAGCCTCCTGCCCTCCCTCCCCCAAGTTCCATCGGGCTCCAAGGCTGGTATTATTCAGTTTTATGAGAAACCCCCAGGCCTACCCTTGAAGGGACCAACCGCAACTGGAACCAGATGTGCAATCCTGCATTGGGGTGGGAGGGAGGGAGGTAGGGACAAGGAGAGGAGCATGGGTTGGCTTAAGGAGGTGGGGAGGAGGCTGGGGATGGGAGGTGGAGACCCTGGGAACCCTGGTCCTCAGGGGCTTGGAAGGAAGAGTTGGGAGGAGGGAGCCAGGGGGCTGAGCAGACTTGTTCAGAGAGCAGTTTTTACTGTGTGTGTGTGTGTGTGTGTGTGTGAGAGAGAGAGAGAGAGAGAGAGAGAGAGAGAGCGATGGTGGAAATGACACTGGGGAGAGCTGAGGGTAGATGATGGGCTGCGGGACAGCTCTTAGAATTAAGGAGGAAAGCTGCTCTTTTTCTGTGAAATCCTCTAGCTTGTTGACTTCCTTTCTTAAGGTTTCAAGGGACTTGCTGGGTTTATAGTTCTATACCCAGGTGCTGGAGCAGGCAGGCTGGAAAGAGGGGTGATGATGGGGTAGGGGATGGATAGTGTAACCTCCAAAGTCTCCTGAGAGTGGCTGGAGGAGGGGTCTTCCAGGTCGCCCCGTCTCCCAGCCCAATCTGTCACAGACCTTTGTGGGATGTGTCTGGGATGTCCTGGGTCCTAGCAAAGCCTGTGTTTCTGCCTGCGATTATATAGCTTCAAAAATAAAAGTCTTCATATGAGTATCTTTGGTACAGCCTAGTGCTGTATTAAGCATTTTAAAATGCCCTTTGATTCAATCATGAACTGATTATCCATCCATCCATCTCTTCATCATTCATTTATTCATTCCACACTTATTGAGACTCTACTATGTGTCAGCCTTGTGCTGGGCACTGACCAAATGAGGAAAGGGGAAGGGAGACAATGAACAAATCCCTTATCGTTCCAAAAATGGGAGCCATAGAAGTGCACCTGACCCACTGCATGTCAGGGCGTTAGTGAGCCGCGGAAGCCCCAGGTGCTCAGAGGAGGGGACAGTGCCCACCAAGTGGTGAGTCTGGAGAAGGATCCAGGGAGGATGGCTTCTGAATTGAGCCCTGAATGCTGATAGGGAGGAGAGGGAATGGTGTACGAGAAAGGCCTGACCGTCAAAGTTGGAGGATGGAAGGAGACAAGGTTGGAAAGGCTGGGATGTTCCACTGCAGAGCTTGGACTGGAAGTAGCAGGCAGTGGGGAGCTGGGACGCTTTGATGTCCGTTGGGATAATACGGATGTGGGTTGGAAGGAAGAGAAGGGGAAGATGGAGGATTCTGCTGTTCCGGATACCTGCTAGTGGGAGGGGTTCTAATTTTATAGCACAATCCCCACATCCACCTCTAGAGAGCTGAAACTGACCCGGGATCCCCTAACTTCCCTCATCTAAGCAGAGCTGACCCAAGCCCCAGAGGAGCCCTTAGTCTGCAGTGGGGGTGGCAGGTAGGGGTTAAGGAGGATAATGTTGTTGGGGTCACCTTTGCCGTAGAGTTGGGACCAGTGAGTGGGAGACTTGGTTTGAGGCTGGGCCGACGGCTAGGGAGGACTAGGCCAAGTGTCCCCATAGTCCATCTGCTTTCACCATCCTTGCCATTTGTGGACAGCATCCACACTCTCACAGATTGAGGCTGCTGTTGAAGCTGGTGGGTTCTGGATGCTGGAATTTGGGACTCAGAACCCAGACCCTCTTTCCAGCTAGGAGAGGACGAAATCTTGCTCTGGAGGCAGAGGATGAGTGGAGCGATGCTTCTATCTCTGCCCTCCCCATATAAGGTCCTGAGAAGCTGTCCTTCTCTCCCCTATCCCCAAGGGTTTCATTGTCTCTGACTGGGGGCGAGGCAGCCCTCCAAAGTACTGGCCATCTCCCTGTGGCTCTGGCCCCACATGCTCCAAAATCATATCCCCTCTCAGGGACTCCCCTGTCATTGTACTTCTGGGGAAAACTGAAGCCTGGGGAAGGGTTTGGCTGAATTAATAAAATTAGTGTGTGTTAAGACCGGAAAAGTTCTTAAAGACCTTTCTGTCGCAGAGGAAACTGAGGCTCGGAGGTGCAGGCCACTGACCCAGATGCGGAAGAGAAGGAAGGGCCTTTCAACCTCTGGATGTCTGAGTGGTGTGGAGCTTGGCTGTGGAGCCAGCCAGGTTCAGGTGTGAGGTCCTCCGCACAGTCCTGCTTGGACTTCCACAAGTCACCTCTGTGCTCCGAGGTCACGATCTTCAGCTATAATAACCGGGTGATTAGAAGACTAAGTGAGAGTTAATAGTCTTTAGTGGCCAGCATCTGATAGGTGTGTAGCAAATAACTTTTCCCCTTCCTTTCTAAATAATCCTATCTGCTTCTTCACTTTTATCTTTCATATGGTGCTCTAAACTTTTCACATCACTTCCCCCATTATTTTTATCATGGAAAACTTCATGCATGTACAAAAGTTGAAATGATTATATGGTAAACTCCTACAATGAACACTTTGATATATTTGCTTTATCACATTTCTGCCAATCCATCTTATTTTTTGATCCATTTCAAAGAGAGTTGAAGCATGTATTTCATTAACTGGAGCTCAGCTTAAATGACTTTTGAATGTACAGTCACAAATGTCCTAACTCAGCCCAGAGAAAACAGCAGAGATTACTATCTCACATTTGACAGCTAAGAAAAAAGCAGGTTCAGAAGTGAGATTCCTGGCCTCCAGTCACAAAATGAGTTGGAAACAGCGGAAAGCAGAGTGCTGTAGAAAAGCTGAGAGTTGCTATATTATTATTATTATCATCATCACCATCTCAGCAAACATTCTTCTCCACCCAGAAGCCCTTTGGCCATTTCTCTGCACCTGCGTCTTTTCTATAGAGTCTTGACCCCTCCCTGCCCGCTTCCCCACCCCTGTCCCCCAAGCCTTCTGGCCCTTCCCGTCCTGTCCCCAGGGAAGCTGCTGGGCCAGTGGCTGAAGGAGGGGCAGCCACATTCCCTGGTGATCTCCTGCCCCAGGTGTCTGTGCCCTGACACGGCCTTCCCAGAGCCAGCTAGAGTGCAGCCAGCAGAGCACTGCAGGGGTTAAAGGAGGCCATGGCTGGCGGAGGGGGCCCACTGCTGGCTGGCTCCGGGAAGGAGGCGGTGCACTGTTGGCCCGCCCCCTGGGCTGGCCTGGGAGGGAACCCGACTAGCAGAGCCCTCTGCTCAGTTGCTCCCAGCAGTGGCCCTGGGACCAGCTCTGCTCCTTGCACCCCGCTCCCTGCCTGGACACAGGCTCACTCGCTGCCTTCTTCTGGGGGAAACCAGCTTCTTGCCAGCCACAGCTGCTGCCTCCGCCACTGGCCACCGCCCCTGTCCTGGGAGTCCCTTGGCCCAGACACCCACCTGACTTAGTGGCTCCTCTGCAGGAAAGGTGAGTGAATGAATGTGCGTGTGTGATGGTGTACGTGTGTGTGAGTGTGCGTGTTATATTTGTGTGTAGAGGGAAATGGAGCCGGCCAGGGCTGCTGGGCTGTTGATACTGATGCTGTCAAGACCACAGATCAGATTAGGAGAAGGTGAGGTCAGCCTGCCTGTTCCCATGTCTCTGGGTCAGGCAAGCTGTTCAGAGGCCAACCTTGTCAGTCCCCTGTCTTCAGATGTTTCTGTGGTTCTGGCAGGGATGTCTGGGGTGCGGCTTGTCCCTGCTCTGAGAGAGCAACCAGTCAGAAGGAGTTTCGTTTGCTGGGGAAGTTGCTGGTGTCAGTGGCTGCTTGGGACTGAGGCCAGCTACAGGAGTAGGGAGGGACACAGGGACCAAGGGAGGGGGAAGCTTGGGAGTCTCTTCTGCTACTTGCCTGCCCATTGCAGGGGGATGAGTATTTTTTCTTCTTCATCTCTTTCCCTGCCACCCACTTGAGCTGCTGTGAGGGCACCTTTCTTCTAGGGGCTCACTTAGCTCCCTGAGGTCTGACCTTGGCTGCAGGGAGGGGCTGGCAGGCCTGGCAAGGTTAGGGTTCAAAGCACTTTTCCCATCTCCACTCCTCAGTGTGGGCCCTGCTCCCTTGCCCATGGGCACAGACTGGCAGAAGTGCCCCCTCTGCCCTCTCCAACCACTAGCCCTTACTCCTTCCTCACCCCTCTGGGCAGAAATGGCTAATCCAGGTGGTTAATGAACAGACAGGGGCAGCTGCCTTCCCCCTGCTCCTCCCTCTCCCCCCACCCCTCCTGTCCTCTGACTCTGATGCCCTGCCTGCCACCCGTTCCCAGGCTGGAGAATCCATACAGAGCTGACCTCAGTGTCAGTCCCCCAACCCCCAATCCAGGACTTGGGCCAGGACTGCCTGCCCAGATGTTTTAGGCTGGCTACTGTTCTAGAAGAGGAAACTGGGTGGGGGTGATAGGGGGGACCCGGAGAAGCCTGCTGTGCTCCCAGGCTGGGCTCCCTGCAGGGGAGGGGATGGGGTTGGGGGATAGGATGGGTGCTGGGTGGGGAGGAGATGGAGGAGGAGGGCAGGCAGGCAGGCGGTTGTGGGGGTGAGAATAGGAGGGGGACCTGGAAACTAGGGTGCCAGGGTCTTTGGAGACAAGGGCTTCTCTTCTGGAAGTCCCAGCTGCCTCTTCAATGTGGCAGCAGTGGGGAAGGTGTAGGGGGAGCACCCTCTCTTCCCCTCCTGAAGCTGCCTGGGGTGGGTGGAGACCATGGTGGCTCACATGTGACCTCAAGTTGCACCTGCCCCTGCCAGCTGGTGGCCACTCCTGTAAGCCTGAATACAGCTCTCCTTGGACCTCAGTACTTGCTATAGCTGGGGCACCCCTTGCCTGAAACCTCTGGCCCAGGGTTGTGGAAGGGAGTGAGGGAGGATGTGGATTGAGATGGAGAGGTTGGGGGGAGAGACCCGAATGGGATCAGCACTGGAGACCCAACTTGGGGTTGGCTTGGACTCTGCTGCCCATGGAGGGCAGGGATTTGGAGAGCAGTGGGCTGGACCAGGCTGGGGAGGGTCTCGGCCAGTCCGGCCGAGCACCAGGGCTGGGAGCCAGCACTGTAACCAGGAGCTGAGGGTTCTTGGCGGTGGAGGAGGCAACCTGGGACCCTCTGCTTCCAGGCGCCTGGCCTTGAGCCCTTCTGGCTCTGCTTCCCCATCCCTCATCCCATGCTTCTTCACACTTCACTTCCCGCAAGGCCCCAGTGAAGAATTTCCCAGGGAGGTGGTGGTGTCCAGGAAGTATAAGCACAGAGAACCTGGTGGCCAGGTGGAGCGGGGCTGGGTTGGGATGCTTATGGGTTCAGAGAAGATGTTATTGTTTTGCAGACCAACTTCTGGCCTCTGATGGGCTGTGGCTGAAGCCTTGGAGTTTGGGGACCCTCAGGCTCCTGTTTCTACCCAGATAGGAGCAGGAGTCAAGGGGGGCCAGAAAGAACTTTTGTTTGGTCTAAGGGAGAGGAGCCTCAGAGGTGGAATCTTGGCTCAGGTGAAGGAAGAGCTTCCTAAGGACCCTGGTGGGTCAGCAGGAGGATGGGCTATCTTGTAAGGTGGAGAGCATCTTGTACTGGGGGGAGTTTAGACAGAGGCCGAATAAGGGCTTGGAAGGATTCCTGGGCTGGGATGTGGTTAGAGGCGATGACCTGGATGGTCTCTTGGGATGCTGAGGGCCTGGGATACTTGGAGTCGGGGAGTTCTCTGACACCAGAATGGGGGATCAGGAAGCTGTGTCCTCTGGCCTGGGGCGTGGGCGCAGACCACTCGCAGGGGCCCCCTCCTTCCTGCCAATGTGTAAGGAACCAAGAGCCCGACGCTCTGCCCTGGCACTGTGCCCCTCCCTCACACCCGTGGCTCAACTGCCTACCAGGTCCGCACCCAGCTGCTTCCTGCAAAGGTTCTGAGGTTCTTCCTATGCCTCCTGGCCCACTCTGCCCCTTGCCTGTGGTGGGCTGCGTGACAGTGTGGAGTTGAGGGGACAGCAAGCACCACAGGCTTCACCCCCAATCCCTGCAGTTAGAGCCCATGTTCCCTGTTGAGGGGCTCTGGGGCTGGTGTGCAAGGACCGGGGGTGGGTGCTGGGATGTTGGGCATCTTGAACCCCTGCCCAGTTTGGCCTCCCCAAAACAGGCCTCCCTAGCCAGCCTGGAGATAGTAGACCAAGGGCAGTGCCAGGATCTGAGATGCAGAAAAACTCAGGCATGGGTCTCATATGAGCCTCAGTTTCCACATTTGTAAATAATGCGGGTTGTCCGGGCAGCATCAAGTGGCTTGCATAACTGGCATGGGGTGAGGGGTGCAAGGCAAGGCAGTTGCTCTCAAGGGCCTCTTAGGAGGGTGAGTGGGGGAGGAGCAGTCACCTCTCACAGGCCTTTCCAAACCTGCTTTCCCTGAGGTGGGCAGTGAGAGGAGAACCAGAGAGGGCTGGGGCCAAAGCTTTCCCCAAACCAAACAGGTTTGGGCTTCCCATGATGGAAGTGCCCGTGAGTGCTTCCGGGTGGGCTTGAAACCCACCCTGGACTCCATCCTTCCTACACCAGCCAGCCTCCTCCACAGCCCCTCTGTGGATGCCTGTGCCCCCTTTTCTCCTGACCAGAGAGGGTGACACAGTAGGAGATTGAGATCACCCAACTCAACCACCGCCTCCGACCAGGGGAGCCCCCTCACAGTCTTGGTTTCATCTGAGAGGGAGGTCCTTTCCGATGTCTAACTCCAATCCTCTTCTCCAGTCAGGGACTACATGAAGTTGCTAAATGACGACACTCTTTCCTGGGGTTTGAAAGAGACTCAGTGATGGTGGGAGGGTTGTGCAGGGAAGGATCGGGAGACCTGAGTGTGCCGTGAGCCTGAGGCACCAGGGCAGGAGCGAGGGGGACAGGCAAAGGCTCTCGGCTGCCAGTGCCTCTGGTTTCTTGGCTCAGTTCTGGAGCCAAAAGCCTCTTTGACCCCAGGAAACTGAGGCCCAGTTGAGCGATATGTTTGGAGGTGGGGGGCAGAGGAGATAGGCAGGAAAGCCCTCCCAGTTACCAGCCTCCAAATAAAGCAAATCAGAAATGGGTGGAGGGAGAGGGTGGTTTTTGGAGACTGGGGTTTGGGAGGACTGGCCTAGACTTTGTCCCCCTTACTATCCACCAATGGCCCCTCGCTCAATAGCTCCCTGGCCAGATGGCTCTTAGCTTTCTAGGGCTGTTAGGCATGCAGAGGTGTGGGCATAAGTGAGCTGGGACAAGGAGGTGGGGGTGGCAGGGTGGCCAGCCTGGCAGGCTTTGCCCACATCCCCTGGTGACACTTCCATTATGCAAGGTCACACCGGCCCTTCCCTCTTTCCTTCCCTCCAATGGTCTGGAGCGCTTTCCCGTCCAGGAGGTTGCTGGACGCTAGAGAGCCCCAGTGCAGCCTCTACCCAGGTTGGTGGCCTTGGCCATCTTCCTACTTGCCCCACCTCAACTTCCCTCAAGGGGAGAGGCTTGTCTCTGTGGAGCTGGAGCCCATGTGGGAGGGGTGGTGGGTGGGCCTGAGCCAGTCCTTGGAGCTACCGCCTCCAGGGCTAGTCTGGGCTCTGCAGTCCCTGCCTTTTTAGGCCTGGAAGCCTGTAGCTCAGCCCTGGGTGTGGGAGACAGGAGGGACTGGACCAGCAAGGCGGGGGCCTGGGGAGCTGATGGGGGTCAGGGGTCACAGGAATGGCTGGGGGGAATTCTGGCCCTTTGGCCACTATGGGGCCCCAGACCTGGGTCCATTTCCCCCAGGGACCTTCCTAGACCTTCATCTTCTCCTGCAGAGAAGATGGGACCCCACAGCGTTCTGTGATCCTTGCAAGTTTCCCATTTGCTCACCTGTCTTCTGGATGGATTACAAGCTCCTTGAGGGCAGACCTGCACCTCTGGCCTCTCTGGTGATCCTTGCTGTGCTTGGCAGAGTGCCGCTCAACATGGATGGCTGGCTAATGGAGGGCAGAGGGGTGAGGGTTTTGATGAGGCCTGGTGAGGATTTGTTAGACTTGGACTGAGAGGTCTGTCTTGAGGCAGAGAATGTGAGTCTGGTGCCAGACTGCTGGGGATCAACTTATGATGACCCGGTTTACCAGCTGTGGTCTCAGCAAGTGACTGAACCTCTGTGAGCCTCAGTTTCCTCACTATCAAATGGGATAATGTCTGCTTCAAGGTATGGTTGTGAGGATCAAACGAGTTAATTTATTTAAAACACTTTGGGCGGTGTCTGGCACATAGCAGATGCTCAATGAAGGTTAGTTATTATTATTATTATTATTATTGGTGGTGGTGGTGATGGAGTTCTCTCTCTCTTGTCTTGTTGTTCCATCTCTAAGATGAAGAGAATTATGGGACCAGAGAGTGGAGAAGATGCTGGTGTCATTTTCCCTTAAGAGGTCCTAACATCAGATCCCAGGGAAGAATCTTCTCTTCCCCCACTCTGTCTCTCTCTGCAATTAGAGGGCAGACAGGGAGCTGAGCGGCCCTCCGGAGGTCTTGTCTGTTCAGGGAGCCCATGCAGATCTGTGTTTACAGAGGACTCTGAGAAAGTTGCCATCACTGTAAACAAGATGCATTATTATAAACCAGCCTGAGCTCCCCTTCTGGGATCCCATCCCATGCCTTGATGAGAGTCACAGAATCGGAGACTCCCAGGCTGAGCAAGGACCTCACCTGGCCTCCAGGAAGCCTGCCCTGGACCATGGGCTACACCCATAGATATGGCATCTACATTTTAAAGTAGGATCCCCAAATAACTGCTTCAAATTATTGTGTCTTATGCCCTCTAGGTCCCCCCAAAATCTAACTGGCATTCCTCTTGATGCAGCTTTAATTCAGTCCCTTGTTGGTAGTGGGTAGGGGAGAACCATGTCCACTCTTCCTGCATGCCATATAAGCTGAGAGCTTTGAACCCGTGCAAGGGTAGGGCTCCTGGCCACAATCCCTCTCTGTCCCAGGCCTCTGCCCTCTCTGGGGTCTCCTGTTTTCCGGTGCCCCTGACATTCCTCATTAGCAGGGGTCAGCCCTCAAGGCCTGCCAAGCTGTATTCTCCACCCAACGCAGTTCCCACCCAGGGAGGCTGGGGTTGCTCTGGGTCGGGGGTGAACTCCATTTCCGGACCCCTGGCCCGCCCAGTTGCAGCTGCAAAAGGCATTAAGCTTTTTTTTGGAGAAAGAATGGGCTTGGGTTGATGATGATGACAGCTGGGGAGTGTTCCTGAGCTCAGCCTGGCCCTATCTTGCTTCCCTTCCTTGGCCCCTGCTCACCTCTGCCCAATTTCTAGGCCATTTCTCATGTAGAGGTGGGCCTTATCTTTACCCCTTGACCTTGACCAGACCTGGACAATCAGCTGGTCTCCAGCCACCCTGTATGGGAGCAGTTTTTGTGTTCAGTCCTGGGCTTGGTGCTGGGTTAGGGGATAGGGGTGGGGAAGAGGGCTTCAGGGGAAGCGGAAAGAGGGGCTCCACCCTGGGTCCATCTGGGTGGGAGAGCAGTGCTCCTCAAGTGAGCAGATCTGAGTCTAGGCCTGGCTCTGTCCCTAGCCTCTGGAGGAGTCCCACCTGAGTCCCTTCTCTCGCTGGGCCTCAGTGCCCTCAACTGTAAATGAAGGGCTGAAAGGTGCAGGGGTGGGGGGTCTGTGAGTCCATCTCCCCGGGGCCTCTGCTGGGCGTCCCCCAGTCCCAACGCTGTGGAACTTCACCTTGGATTGACCTTGCTTCCCTCCCCGCCCTGCCCCCAACTCTGGCAGTCGCTGGCAGGAAGTCCTGCTGATTAGGGCCCTAATCACCGGCTGAGACTCCCAGAAATGGCAGAGCTGGTTGAGTGAGAGGGGCCGCCAAGCCAGGAAGGGGGGCTGGCATGGGGAGAAGCCTCCACCCAGGGACATGAGCTGGGGTTCGGGCTATGATTTGGGGGTGGCAGAGATGGGCCAGCCCCAGGGGTTGGCTCCTTGGGTCCGGGGCAGTGCCTGTGGACCCACTGTGGACGCTGTGCGGCAGCAGCTGAGTCCAGCTGGGCACACGGGGCCGCTGGATTGTTCACTTTAAAAGCCTTTGAGGGCATCCACCCTATGCCAGTTAAGGTGCTGGGTATGAGGCTGGAAAGACCGGGAGACACGATCTAGTGGGGGGAGTAGGGGAGTAGGGGAGTAGACAGAGTGTTGCTGCAAAACGCAGTGGGAATGTCAAGCAGGAGGCAGCTCATGTGAGCTGGCAGAGCGGAGGAAGCTTTGGAGAAGAGGTACCATTTGAGATGGATTTTGAAGTTTGGCAAGGAGTTTTGCGGGGAGGAAAAGGGGCAAAGACTTCTTCAGGCACAGGGGAAGGCATGTGCAGAGGCCCAGTGGCATGCAGGTAAGGAGAAATAACAAGCGTGGGTCTCCCTCCCAGCTCTGCTACATGGGTCTGAGCCTTAGTGTCTGCATCTGTAAAATAGGATTCATATTTCCAACCTTGTAGTGCTAGCGTGGGTATGAAATGAGATGCTATTTGTAAAGTTCTCAGCCCAGTGCCTGGCATGGAGCAAACCCACAGTATATGGAGGCTTAAAATGGCATGTGTGGGAAAGGATGGCTTTGGGGAGAGCCTGAAACTGTTGCTTGGGGCTCAAGATGGGGGGATATTCTGAGGCAGGTTAAAGAGGGGAGCGGCAGGGGATTTTAATACAGGGAAGACATGATGAGACTGTGATTTAGGAAGGGCATTTGGGCCACTGTGACGGCTGTACTGGGCAGGGGAGTCCTAGGGGCAGGCCTCAAGCCAGGGCCTGGGTTCCTGGAATCCTATGTTCAAATTCCTCAGCCCTGGGGCTGGAAAATCCTCTCCCAAGTCACTTCATCTCCCTGATCCCTCTGGGCTTCCTTCCAGCATACCATCCTCCCCTCCTGGATTGGGAGGCCAAGGAGGCCCCTGAAATCTCCTTCCTGGGAGATCTTTCAGGCCAGGAGAGAGCCATCCTTGGCAAGTCTTCACACGCAGCCCTGGGATGGATGAACTGCAGCAGGCAGGAGTGAGGGTAGACTGTAGGCAGCTTATATTTTTAAGGCACCGAGAGGATCCTTTGGGGGCCTCCTTTACCATCTGACCTGGAACACAGTAGCCCCTTACTGTTTGTTGAATGAATGAATGAATGAACGAACAGGAGTGTTCCCTGGTCAGGGTGGAGGAGCCTGATTGCTCGGAGGCAGCCATGCCCAGCCTGGCTCTACGTGGCCTGGTGAGTGCAGAGAGTGGCTGCCTGTCCAGAGCTAGATGGAATGTTGAGTGTCTCAAAGGCCAGGTGCCTGGCATGTCGCAGGTGGTCAGGGACTGTGTGTTGATGAAGAAGAGGGAATTTCAGCAGCGTTTATTTCCTAGAGCAATGACCTCTCATGAGGCAGTGTGATGTGGGGGTCACCTTCACAGTGTCTGCAGCCACACGGTCTGCATGTGAATCCTGACCCCATCTCTTGCAGGCTATATGACTATGAACAACTTACCTGACCTGCCAGTGCTTCCCTTTGCTCACCTGTAAAATGCAGGAAACAAATAGAGCGGGTCTGGCATGCAGGCTGTTCTGCATAAACCTTGGTGATTGTTATTGCTGTTTTTGTTATGGTTATTACTATTATTGATACAGTGGGAGAGAGTGGGGCTGGCAGCAGGGGTTTCTTGGCTGGGATGAGTGCAACTGCCCAGAGTGGGAGGGGAGAGCACAAGAGATAGATGAGGCTCCTCTGGAGGCTTAGAAGGAATTCGGTGGCTCACGAACTGCTTCCACCACCACACATGTGGCTGCCTCTGCTGTGGCCGGCTGAGCTAGGCCAAGCGTGGGAGTGGAGGCAGTGGTCAGGTCTGGATTCCAGGCTGGAGCCCTGGGAGAGCAGAGGCGAGCCAGGGTGAGGGGTGGGGGCTGGGGGAGGAGAGGTGATTGGAGAGGAGGCCATGACTCTCCCAAGTTCCCAGCTGGGACCCTAAGAATTCCTCCCATCATCTCCTGCCAGAGGGCCTGGCCCTTGAGCTCCAGAGCCTCCGGAGGGCCTGCAGTCCATCTCCCTGCCTCCTGGGCAGACTGTTCTGAGTAGGTGGCCTGGAGTCCAGTGCCCCTTCACTGTTGGAAAGTGATTCCTCCCCAGTAACCGCTGTCTGGCTGCAACTCCTTCCTCCCCCTCCTCACCCTGCCTTCAGATCTCCCGTCTTCAGCACTGCTTTGCAACAGGAGGGTGACAGAGTCAACTTCAGGGGCCTGCTCTGACTTGGGGCAGAGAGAGAGGTCTGTGTAGTGCCGCGGAAGGACCTGTGGCAGGGGCGTCAGGTGACCTGCTAGTCCCTTTTGGCACTGTGTGACTTCAGGCAAATTGCTTCCACTTTTTGGGCTTTGGTTTCCTCAATTGCGAAATGAGAAGTTCGAGTTAGGGGCGTTCTCTCTTTTCAGCAGTGCTGAAATTCTGTAAGTGCATGGATCTTTCTGAACAGAGAGGCTCCTAGTCTTGGGGCCTTTGGCAGAGCTGTCCAGCATCGAGGTGGGATCCTGTTGGCTCTTCAGGCATCTGCTGGGATGCCATCTGAAATGCTGGGGAGGTCCTTCCAGCACTGGAATTGGAACGTTCTTTGCCCAGTGACCACTCCTCCAGGCAGCTTGATTTCTTGGAACAGAGCAGAGGGCAACAGCTGTCAGGGTTGGGCTGGCCAGAATCTCCCGTCTCTGTCCCAGTGACTCAGGTGGGGATACGCTTGGCAGGATTGGAGCCAATGAAGCAAAGGAGGGGACTGGGGAAGATCTGCTGCCTGCCTTGGCCACCCAAAGGGAACAGAGTGGGAGGAAGTGATGTGCTGGGGATGGGGGTGCAGAGGCAAAGTGAGTAACAGTTGTGAGTAATGGCTCAGTGTCTCCACTGGGTAGGTGGCTCCTAGACTGCACAGAGCTGTCTGGGGCTCCGGAAATTCTCCCCGGAGGCCCAGCCACTGAATCACAGCAGCCTGAGCTCCTCCCTCCCTGTCCTCCTTAGGAGCTGGGGGTCCCGGCCAGCAGGGTGCCACACCTCATCCCCTCTGCCTCTCTGTGCTTCTCTGGATCAGCCCCTCCCATCACCTATGCCTTCACACCCCCTCAGCTCCATCGATGCTCTGTCTTGTCTTCCAAGCATCCAGGTGACTTGGCTTGCCTCAAGGAGTGTAGAATTTGCAGTCTGGCTGTCCTGGGTTTGAGTCCCAGCTCAACCACTCATCGCTGTGTGACCTTGGCCAACACATTTCTCCGCTGTAAGGTTCAGTAGCCTCATATGTGAAAAGAGGCTACTGCTTGTTGAATCTCTTGTTGGAAGGATTAAATGGGATAATCTGTATGAAGTACATGTTCTTTGTATGTGTTCAAATAATATGGTTGTCCCGAGCCCTAAACTCTGTTTTGCCCTTCCTCACCACCTCTGTCCCTAAAATTCCAGCTACCTGTGCTTCCACCCCATAATGTTCAGGCTGCGTATCCTCCTATCTACTCCACCCTATTGTTTGTGCACCTGCTCTTCCATTTCTGACACCTCCCACCCAGCTTCTGCCCGTGTGCCTTATCCTTTCACCTGCTCTTCCAGAAGGATGGGTGGGGCTCAGATGGGACAGGCAAGTGTGAGGAGAATTTGCTGCTTGCCAAGGCTGCAGTGGGCACTTTGAAAGGAGCTGGGAGGTCTGGGTGTGCTTCAGGGGCCCTGGGCTGCTCTTGTTCCCCCCATCTCTGCTGGCTCATGCTCCCCCTGTTCCAGTCTGTACATATGGGCTCCTTTCCCCTTCTGGCTTCCTGGAATTGGCTGTGCTTGGGGCCATGCAGAGTGTCCCTGCCAGTGGATGTGTTGGCGGTGCTGATGTGTTTCTGTTTGTGTGGCTCTGGTTGGGGTGGGGCCCAAGCACCAGGGGGTGACTTTGTATCTGGGTCCGGCAGTGGTCAGGCATGTGCGCTGTGTGTGCCTTGGGCTGTTTTGAGCTGTGTGTATGCAGGGCTGCAGTGTCTGGGTCACCGGGTCTTTAGCTGATGCCAGCTTTGTCTTCTATCCGTTTAAAATCTCTCAGTGTTTTCCGAGTCAGAGAGCCAGGTCTTCTTCCGCCCCTCCGTTTGCCCTCCTCCTTCCCCTCCAGACCTGGTTTCAGATACGTGCATCTCTGAGGTCTGCCTGGGAGCAAGGAAGCATTACGAAGGGTGGATATGCGTCAAATGGAGCCAAACAATGCTGGTGACAGCCAGGCCTACTCTGGCCTTCAGTGCTGGCTGTGCGTCAAGCCTCTGCTGCCTGATAATTGGAAATGAGAGGGGGCTTCCCGCCACTCGGCCCCAGATGGATTTCAAGGAGCAACAGAGAGCTGGGCTGTCCTGCCCTCGGGACTTTCTGCTTGCGGGGGCTCCTGGTGCAGCCTCGTCCATCAGAGCAGATGGGGTTCCAGAACACCAGTCCCCGATGCGCGCTAATTGTGCAGAATAATTGCACTGCCTCCTGTCGCTGCCATCTAGGGGCCAGGAGTTTTCCACATGAGTGAATTTTCAGATAACTGAAGCTTATGCATGGAAGAATTCAGAGCTCAGGAAAAACGGTGGATTTTTTTGATGGAAAGTTCTCACATTGTACAGTGTCCCATGCTTTCTTTGACTTTGACAATAGATGGGATCTTAAAAATCAGCTCCTTCCTCTCCCTCTATTGTTTCTCAGTTTCTTCTTCTGTAAAATGGGGATACGAATAGGACCTGCTTCACAGGGGTGAGGTGAAGATTACGTGCTTTGAGACGCATAAGAAGCTTAGAACTGAGCCCAGTGCATAGAATTTACTGGTCTGTAAATGAGGATGCTGAGGTGCAGAAAATGCCATTAATCACCTCCAGGTTAACATAGAGGGAAGTAACATCTCCTAAGCATATTCTGTATCCCAGACAATTTTACTGATGGCACCTAAGTCAACTTTATTGAATACTTCCAGCCACTCTGCAAAGATGATCTCACCCCCATTTTACAGAGGGGCAAACTGAGACGCAGGGAAGTTAAATAAGGTATCAATAGCTGGTCTGTAGCAAAACTGGCATTTGAGCCCATGCCTGACTCCCAGTCCAGGTTTTTTTCTATCCCTCCTCTTACCCTGTAGTTAGAAACTCATGGCCTCTTAGTGTGTTCAGGAATCTGGAAATGAGGACCCGCAAACAGGAGTTACGATCTCATGGAGCTGAATCTGCTCCCAGGTACCAGGTTTGGGTTTAGTGCACAGCTGTCTGGAGTCAGGCGATGAGAAAAAATGACCTCTGGGGACGTCCAGGGAACATAAAGCCATAGATCAGCTTTGAGGATGTGGGATGTTTTTCCTAAGTAATATGTGGCTGGGTTGCTTTCCACCCTGTTCCTCATTTTGGCCAGCCTTAAATTCTTGAAAGGAGACATAGGTAAACATCAGAAAGGATTTCCTGGTTGTCCACCACATAGGACAGTGATACAGGCAGCATAGGGAACCCGAAGAGTCAAAAATGTAAGGCACTTCTTCAAATCTGAGATGTCTTTTATTAAAAAACATTTTAACGTTTCCGAAAATGGAATGCACCTTAGGATCGATGTGTACAATTCAAGTAGCCTTCCCTCCTCCTCAAAAACTGTTACTCAGTTGATGATGCTACATACAATCAACAGCATCCTTGAAATTAGGAAACAGGGAGGTGAACACCTGTGGTTTGCAAGTAATTCTACAGGTGTTGAAAGTGGAGAGGTCTCTACGCCCTTGTCCTGGCTGGCAAACAGACGATGGCCTAGCTTCAGAAGACAGGGGCTGATGTCTGTGTGGGTCTCTGATGTCTGTGTGGATTTGAGTGTGGCCCCAGCCTCAGAATTCTCTATTTTGGGCCTGGCTTAGCCCCCCGCACCTACCCTCACATGTCCCCGTGGTGGTTGGCATGGTCCTCAGCACTGCCTGAGACCTTTGGCTCTTTGGGTTTTCCCACTGCTCTTAGATTTTTTTCCCATGCACCCTTCCTGCCTTACTGTTCTAGCACAGCTAAGGTCAAAGACTTTTGTCCCTTCAAGTTTCCATCTAGAAACAGAAACCCTTGGTGGAAAGTGAGGGGTTGGGGTGGGCAGCCTCGCTCTGGGTGGAAAAACAGATGGACTTGAATCCCAGTGAAATCCTAGCCCTCTTCATACCTCCATTATAGCATTACTGGGGCTGTTTTACAATTCTCTGTTTACATGCCTGTCTCCCCCACCGGGCCACAAGTTTCCCTCCCGGGCGGGGCCATCCTCATTCATCTGTCTCCAGAGCTGGGAACCTGGCATGGAGGGGCACTCAGTGGGCATTGTTGAGTGAACACGTGGTCTCGCTCCCCACGCCTGTCACCTCCTTTCACACCAGTTCCACTAGAACCATGACCACAGACCACAGCCCTTTCCTTGAGCAGCTCTTCTAGGAACTTCCTAGAAGCTCTGTTCTCTGTGCTGCCGGCCCTGTCCCCCAGCCTCCCTGCTTCAGAATAGGTCAGGGAGAAGGGGTGGGGTTTTCCTGCTTTTTGGGTTGCTGGAGAAGGCGACTCTGAAGCCTGCATTCCATATTGCCTGTTCACACCTCCTCTTCTAGCATGGCGGCTGGCTTCCCCCTAGTCCTCCGGCCGCGTGCCTCAGCAGCTCTGACTGCCCCACTTTCCTGCCCCTCCATCTTCTTATGTTCCTCGGATCCCCTCTTTAATCTCTCTCCTCTGCTCCCTGACCAGCTCAGAGCCTCTTCCAGGCTGGACTCTCGGGCTCCAGCCCTACACCTCACCCATGGCTTCTCACTGGCTCTGGGGGCATGAGGCCACTCCAGGGTCCTGGACATTGGCCTCAGCCTGGCCCTCCAGGTCATGTGCAGTGTGGCATGGGTTGCCTCTCTGACCGCCTTTCTCTGTTTGGCCCTGTGTGCCCTGGGCACAGCCAACTGGTCTCTTTGTGTTCTCTGACCCCTGGCATCTCTCCTCCCTACCCATCTCAAAGGCCATGTTCTCCATGAAACTTTCTGTGACCCCCGACTGGGAAAGGTGGTGTGGTCCTGGGCAGAGCTGAGGCTTCGGACACAGCCGCGGCAGAACTTGGTTCAATTTCCATTATTTACTGGTTGTGTGACCTTAGGCTGAGAATGCAACCTCTTAGTGCCTCATTTCCTCATCTGTGAAATGGACTGATAGCCCCTAGCTCAGAGTGCGCCGTATTGAATGAAAGCGGACCTGAACGTAATTTTCTCTGGCCAGAGCAAGGGCTTTGAGGTGGAGAGGTGAGAAATGGGAGTGGAGAGGGAGGCATAGCCAGGTCCCGAAGGGCCTGATGGCCATATTAGGACATTTGGACTTTCTCCCGTGAGCTGGGAGCTATGCAAGAACTTTAGGCAGAGAAGTGACACTGCTGGATGTGCATTTTAGAAATAGCTCCCTGGCTGCCAAATGGAGAATGGGGTGGAGGGGACAAGGCGGAGGGCAGGGAGACCAGTGTTGTAGGCTGTTGCAATCATCTCTATGATTAATAGGACCTGAGAAGGGGTGTATGTGGCTCAGAGAGGTATTTAGGAGGAGGAGTTGCCTAGGCTTGGTGGAAGGGAGGGGAAAGAATGAAGGAAGACAGACACATGGGCCTCTGGCTTGAACGACTTTGGTGGCCGGGGCGGGTGGGGGGTGGAGGGCTGAGGGAGGGGTGGTGGGTGGAGATGGGGGTGGTGGCAGGTGTTGTCAGTGCCATGCAGGAAGGCCAGGAGGTGGCCGAGTGTGGGCAGGATCATGAAACCAGGATGCTGACGGGTCATGCCCTGGGCCCCTCCGTGCCCTCTGACCCCTGCTGGTGCTTCCCTGTGGCCTTGCCTGTCCCGGCCTTTTGTCCTGGCTATTGCGGGGACCCTCTCACCCTGCCCCGGTAGGCTTGCTGTCTTGTGCTCCCTGGGCCTGGCACTCCATAGGTACTCAGTGCAGCTCTGCTGAACCCCATGTCTCTGACCCCCCTGCTCATCAGCACATGCTCCTAAGAAGTCCGGCCTAGTGTGCAGCCTCACCTCTCCCAGCTTCCCTGATTAGGGGTGTGGGTGAGTGTGGCCCCTGAGCCGGGACCCTTGAGATCCCCGCTTGGGTTGTCTGGAGGCTAATCTCCAGAGAAGACTCCCTGCCTTCACCTGGGGTAGGCCCATCTGGGTGCCATGGTGTCGTGCCTTCTTCCAGGCTGGCTTGGGAGGGCCTGGCTTCAGTGGCTGGGAGGCCCATGGTCCCACAGCTTGGCCTGCTGGTCCCCCCGAGTTCCCCTTGTTGTTGTCAGCTTCTGACTGAAGCTGCCCAGAACTCCACATTCCGCAGGCTCCTGAAGGGTCAGGCACACCTGCTCTTCCCTGCCTCGTTCAGGTCTGGTTGTTGAGTGGCCCTTATGTGGACCTGGCAGCTGCTCTGTGTGTGGGTGTGGTTAGAGGTGGGGAGGTTCTTGTCTGAAGAGGAACTCCCCTGTCTGGAGAGCCCATCTCGAGTGGCTTGCAGGACAGGGAGCCTAGCAGTGGGCTGGGGGGTCAGTGAGTGGGGCTGGGGAAGAGGATCCTGAGACAAGAAGAGGAAATGGAAGAGGAAGCAGTGGGCAGCTGGAGCTTTGGGGATAGGTTGATGGGGCCAGTGATTTAAGAGGAGCTCAGCTCAGGAGGATTTGGGGAGGGGTGGGGCCTGGGGCCTTGGTGAGTCAGCCCTCTGGGACTCCCCTGTGTCCTGTCTGCTTCAGGTTCTGGGTCCCAGCCTGTGCTGGGTTTGGGGAAAGGGCCAGGCCCACTCCCTGTCCCCACTGTCTTTGGAGGGACACTCAGGGCTTGGGTGTGTGTGCCCTGGCTTGGTGTTGCTGGGAACAGGCCCCTTCTTGCCTCCAGGAACTTGATGCACTTCATTTCCTGGTCCAAACAGAACTCTATAAAAGGGAAGGAAACAGACTAGCAGGCCAGGGAGCCTGGAGAGGCTGGAGCAAGCCCCGGTGAAGGCCAGCTGCCTGGTGGGGAGGGCACAGGCCTGGGGAGGAAATGGGCCGGGGCAGTGGCCACCTTCTCTCCAGGATCCCTCCTCCTGAGGGCCTGAGGCTCAGCCTGGGAGGCCAGTGTCTTTGAGCTGTGCTGGGACCCTTGAGACCTCTGGCCCTTTCAGGCAAGCCTTGTAATCTTGTCCCCACACCCTCCCTCCATGGCCTTGGCATTCTTGCAGCTCCTTGTCTGTTGAGCATCCTCAGGTCCTGAAGGAGGCCTGCCTCCCTCCTGGTTGGCAGGCTAACAACTGGCCCTCTCCCCTGGGCCTCCCAGCTTGCCTTACCAGGTTGAATGGGGGCTGTCTGGGGCCTTCCTGAGTTCTAGTGGACTCATGGTGTGAGCCCTGAAGTGCTGGACTGTCCACAGATAGGAGGGTCACCTGCCTATTTCTTCATATGGGCATGGAGACTGGGGCCTTCTGGGATTATTGTCTGGATTTTTTCTGGACCGCTCTGGTATCATTTCAGAGAACAGGGCTCAGAAGCTGCCTGCCTCCTGGCCACAGGTTCCTGGGGCAGGGCCCAGAGGGTGAACAGCAGGCAGAGCTGTGGGCATGCCAGGTCTGCTCTAAGAGTGGGTAGTGGCACCCTCCCGTGCTCTGGGTGAGGAAGAGAAGTCAAGGGTGGGGATGGGGGTCACTGCAAATGTGTGTTTTGTTAGAGTGGAGATGAGGGCCCCTAGGCTTCAGGGTGCCTGATGGCCTCTTGTCTCTGGGTTATAGGGTCCTCTTCTCCCCCACTTTCTCCTTCCCCTTATTGTTATTAGTAATGTGACTATACATCCTTGCTTGCCTTAAACTTCCCACCCTTCAGCTCCCCCAGACCCTACTCCTGGACATCTTTATCTGGAGCATAGTTTCAGCCTGGTCCTTCTCCTACACAAGTGCCTTTACTGGCTCCCCAGTGCCAATGGCTAAAATTTAACTCCTTCACTGGGCATTCAAGGTTGCCTATGGTCAAGCCTAGAAAGACCGTTGTGCCATCCTTCTTCCCTTCATCCCTTCCAATGCCTGCTTCAATGCTCCTCTTCCTTTCCTTCACCCATCCTGTGTCCCAGCCAAAGGGGGGCTTCTTGTGGTTCTTTCAACACGCCAAGCATTCCCACCTCCATGCCTTTTTAATGTGTAATTCCTACCCCCAAATGTCCTTTCCCCATCTCTACCTTTCAAAACCTTATCCACTCACCAAGTGGGCATCAGGCTCTGAGCCAGGCATGGGGACTTCTCAATGGAAATGGCCCATGTGCTGCCTGCTCTCGGGGCTTTCAGGGGTAGTGGGTGAGACACACAGTGGATAAACAGAAGCAATGCATCCTCCATGCCAGGCTCAGGTGCCCTTGCTCCATGGAGCCTGCCTGGGGCCCCTGAGTTTTCTCTGTGATCCCATAGCCCTGGCACCTCTGCCACAGCATGGGCCCTGTCCCACTGTAGAGGCAGCGTGACAGGTGGGGCAAGGCAGGTGTTTGAATCCAGCAGACCTGGGTGAGCCCTGATACCATCCTTTGGAAGCTGTGCCTTCTCTGGTCTGGCAGAATTGTTGAGAGGACTGCCTGAGACCCTGGAGGATGTGGATGCTAATGCTTGCCTCGTGGGTGGTTGTGAGGAGTGAAGCGATGTATACACAAAAGCTTAGAACAGTGCTTGACATGCAGAGAGCTTAGCAATGAACACTTGCTGCCACAATGACTACCACTAGTTATTCCACTTGGGGTAAATTGCTTAACTTCTCTGAGCCCATTTACCTGAAAAACTTGTCAAGAAGATCGCAAAAAATAAGGTATGTAAAGCACCCAGCTCAGAGACACACAGTGGGTGCTCTACAAACCCCAGTTTCCTTCCCTCCCATGTAACTTTTGGGGCAGGGATGTGAGGTGGGTGTCAGCAAAGAACTTCTCTGGAAGCAACCCAAGTGTCCATGGATGGATGAATAGAAAAACACGAAGTGGTGTAATCTGTACAATGGAACAGTATTCAGCCTTAAAAAGAAGTTCTCATACATGCTACAACATGAATGACTCTTGAAAATATGATGCTAAGGGTATTAGTCTGCTTGGGCTGCCATAACAAAATACCATACGCCGGGTGACTTAAACAATAGAAATGAATTTTCTTATGGTTCTGGAGGCTGGAATCCAGAGGCTGAGATCAAGGTATGAGCAGTGTTGGTTTCTCCTGAGACCTCTCTTCTTGGCTTGGAGATGCCGCCTTCTCCCTGTGCCTTCACATGGTCTTCCCTGGTATATTTCTGTGCCCTCGTTTCCTCTACTTACAAGGACACCAGTCAGATTGGATTAGGGCCTCATTTTAACTTAGTTATCTCATTAAAGACCCTGTCTCCAAATACAGTCACATTCTGAGGCTACTGAGGGTTAGGACTTTAATATATGAAGGAGGACATAGAATTCAGCCTCTAACACTAAGTAAAATAAGCCAGGTATCAAAGGGCAAATATTATATGATTACTCTTATAGGAGGTACCTAGAATAGGCAAATTCATAAAGAAAGAGAGTAGATTAGAGGTAACCAGGGGTTTGGGGGAGGGGAAATGAGGGCTAGTGAGTGTGAGGATGTTTGGGATGATGAAAAGTTTCTAGAAATGGATAATGGTAATGGTTGTACATTACCGTGAATGTACTTAATGCCACCGAATACATTTAGAAATAGTTAAAATAGTAAGTGTTATGTTATGTGCATTTTACCACAGTAAAGAAAAGGGGACTAGCAGGAGATGGTGGGGGGACCCCTTTTCCACTCAGTCTTATATGAAATGCTGAATGCCCAGATGCACGTGGGTCTCGTTTAAGCTAGGGGCAAAGCTGTCCTCTCCAGTCCCAGGGGCCAGGTGAGTGTGAGTGTGTGTGGTGAGCCCCTTTGGAGGGCTGGGCAAGCTTAGGAGTTTGGGATTTTACATAACCAAGGCTGAGAGGTTGGCTCTTTCTTGGTGGCCTGGGGACAGGAGTGTCACCCAGTTGGGGCCCTGGTCCTGCCACTTGCAGGTTTGGGAGGTGAGAGGGGCAGTGCTAGGCAGACGCCTGGGTTTTCTCTTGATCTGCAAAGAGCAGTGCCTGGAGTCCACAGACCATAAAAATGCCTGGAGTCCACAGGCCACACGCACAAAAAAAAGATTTATTTACATTTTTAAAAGGGGTTTGGTTTGAGAAACATGTAAAAACACGACAGAACATTTCATAGGCCATTTTACACAATAAAATAGGCAATAATAGCACTTATATTTTTGCAAGCATAAACACTCAGGAGTTTAATGATAGTCACACTGGTATAACGATTATGAGCAGATGAACCGTATTCATAAAGAAGTAAGCAAAAGGGAAATGTACAAACACATATTGCTGTGGTTGGTAATTGTGTACCCCTAGCTTTATAACTGCAGTCACCTGAAATACCATGATGAGACAACCCAGGTCTTATGATGAGACTGATCAAAAACCTCAGTGGGCCACCACTGCATAACCACTGCGCCAGACACCCAAAGGGCCAAGATCTCAAGAAATTTTGTCTTTCACAAATGCAGGTGTAGTGGGATTATGATCTAAACTCCTTCCCAGCTGATTAACCTGGGCAAACTTCATGACCTTGTGGAGCCTCTGTTTCTCCATATGTGAAATGGGAGCAATATTGCTGACTCTGCGGGCTTGGAGGGTCTCGGAGAGATCAGGTGTATGACAAAATTAGCCCCAGTGCCTGGTGCATAGTAGGTGCTTAACAAATGGCAGCGATTGTGGCCACAAGTGGCCACAGGTGCCTCCTTTCTTTAGGCCTTGAATCACTTTCATTCTTCAACAGACATTTATTGTGTACCTACTGTGTGCTGGCTCTGTGCTGGACTAGTTTGACGGATAAGATGTGCTTCCTGCCCTCATGACACTTGTTTTCTAGAGGAGGAAACAGATTATAGACAAGGAAGCACACACACCTATAATTACAAATTGTAATAAGGTCTGTGAAGGCAGAGATATGAGTGTGGGAGAGAGAATATTGTGTGGGGCTGTGTGTGTGTGTGTGTGAGAGAGAGAGAGAGAGAAACATAAGGGAATTAGGGAGGGTCTCTGGGGTGGTGACATTTAAGCCAAAGCCAGAAGGACAGGAAGGACACAGCTACGCAGACAGCTGGAGGAAGAGCATTCCAGACAGAGGGAACTGTGTACTCACAGGCTCCAAGGAAGAACAGAACTAGGTGTTGGAGGGATTGAGGGGAACCCACCTCTGTGTGTGGCTTCGGGTCCCGGACAAGGGGGCTGAGCATAGAACGAAGAGGGAGAGGAGGGCAGAGCCTGGGTCATGCAGGGAGTTCCCTGCCTGGGCTGGCTGCTCTCTAGTGCTTTTTCCCTCATGTCCTGGGGGAGTCTGCACGGGTGTGCCCTGTTGTTGGCATTGTGCTCAGGGACCTTTGAAGTTGAGAAAATACTAGTGGGTGTGGGGGCTGACGAGTGCCAGGCATCAGCCCTGGTCTGGGAGGCTACCATGCTCACCTTCCAGCTGCACCCACGGGGCTCCACCTCGCAGCCTCCAGAGCCAGACTGCTCTGCTGCAGTGCTGGGCAAATTGTTAACCTTTCTGTGCCTTAGTTTCTTCATCTGTGAATTGGGGGTAATAGCATCCAATGAGAGCAAAGGGCTTGGTACAGTAACTAAGCTTTGGTTAGTATGAGCAAAGGGCTGAGTGTAGACATAGTGCACTCACTCCGTGAGCATTGTTCCTGTGGCTGTGGATGGCTCCGTGGATGTGTGTGTTTCTAGCATAGAGGACAAGAGCATGTCTCCAGACCCGGACCCTGACTTTGCATCGTGCCTCCTGTTGGCCAACTCATTAGCCTCTATGTGCCTCAGTCTTCTCATCCACAAAATGGGGATAATAATGACAACGCTCAGCATTGTTACGTGAATTAAATGAGTTAATTAATGCAAACTGCTGAGAACAGTGCCTGGCACAGAGCAAGGGTGATGGGAGTTTATTTGCTGCTGTGATTTTTATTGCTATGTTATTGAGAGTGAAAAGATTGAGCAGGACACCCTGTCAGTTCCCAATGTCTAAATGGTTTGCTTGAGGTCCACTGGGGGAAGGGGGCTTACCTGAGGCTGACTTTCTGGGTCTGAGCCCTGGAATCCTGCACTGACAGCTCTGGGAGGTGAGCCTATGACAGCGCTGGCACCAAGACCCCCTATAGCCACCCCCAGAGTCTGCCCCCTGCAGAGGGAGGCTTCCTTACCTGGGCCCCCTGGGGACTCCAGGACTGTGGGGCCACAGGGCATGGGCCATAGAGTGGCAGGGGGCCCTGGCTCTCCCTGGCACATTCCGGGCTCCTGAGAGGGTGGCCAGGGGCCAGGGTGCCGGAGAGAAGGCGAGAGCCTTTTAAGGAAACATTTCTTTGCTTAAAAAAAAAGAGAGAGACAAGAAACACTGAAACACACAACAAAGTCAGTGGGCTGGCCGGCCAGTGGGCCTGGAATGCACGGCTGTGGGCGGAGGATGGAGGACGCCGTCGGGGGTGGCAGGCCACGAGGGGGCACCAAGGCATCAGGCCCTTGGGCTGGGGCTTGACAGCTCCCCCGCAGGGCCAGGTTCTTAGGGGGTGCCTCTGCCTCGGGAGGCCAGGGAAGGGACCTGCGGTCAGGATACCTGGGCCCCCTCCTGTCCACTGCCTGAGAGTAGGTCTGGGAGGGAGACCTTCCTCTTCGTCTCAGAGAACACCTGTCTCTTCTGCTGCTGGTTCAAAATGTAGCCATAACCCCCTCCCTCCCTTTTCCAATCCCCAGCTTCTAAATGGAGAGCAGAAACACACCTCCTGTGAGGGAGGGGACTGGTGGAACCTGGGGCCCTGGCAGTGGCAGGCATCAGCCCGTCCTCTGGCAGCTTGGCCTGGCTCGCGGTCCCTGCCCAGCCCAAGCTCAGAAAAAGAACACAGCAAGGGTGCTGTCCTGGGAATTGTACTCCCTCCCCCAGGACTGAGGGACCCATGGTGACAGAGTGGGTTGGGAGAAGGCACCCTGGGGCCCTGGCCCCTGACCTTGAAAACTCCCAGTCCCCAGAGCAGGGTTTGGTGCTGTGCTTGGCAGGGACAGCAGTGTCCCCCGTAGCTGAGACCTGGTCTCGTGGGCAGGGTAAGCAGAGAGCCCTGCAGGCCACAGCCAGCTCTGGGGACCTCCCCTTCCCGCCCAGTCTGTTACCCTGGCACCCTCTCCCCCAGCCCTGGGCTCTGTCTCTCAGAGGCCTCTTCTAAAACAATCACTCATAGCCCCGTGCTGGTGTGGATTAAGGACCCCGGGCTTCTGGGGGCAGTTCTGTTCCCCCTGTGTCTCCTCATTCTTCCGAAATTGGGGCCACGAGTGATAAGCTTCCCTTCACATGTCATCTTGGGACTTAGACTGCCTGGGTTCAAATCTCGGCCACTTATCAGCTGTGTGACCTTAGGCAATTTAACCCATCCATGCCCCGCGCACCGCAACTGTGGGAATAACAATAGTAACCCACCTTACTGGGTTATTGAAAGGATTAAAAATGTTAACAGAGGTAAAGCATTTATAATCATGCCTGTCATCTAGTACACACTCAATAGTATTGGGTATTATTGTTGTTGGTTCTGTTCGGCCCCCTGTTCTTCTCCCACCAGTCCTAGAATTCTGTGGAGCAAAGAGGAATAAATGCTAGGACTCCATTTGGGCCTCTTTGCTGGAGAATGAGTTGGGCAGGGAGTCTGTAGCCCGACTGTGTCAAAAACCCAGGAATGCCAACTCCCAGCCACCTCTGCCCCTTCCAGAGCTTGGAGCACACTGTCCCACAGGTGCTGACCTTATCTGGGCTGCTGTGTCAAGCCTGGGGAATCCCTGGGCTGCTGGGATGACAGCATGCGGTCAGCTGGAGGAAGGGCTCAGCTAGGGTGCCCAATGCCCAGTCAGTACCAGCTGGGGCTGGGCTGAGGGCTCTTGCTGCCACCACTCCACCGGGCTGGTGGGTGGGGAGGGGTTGCCCACTGTCTGGGGGAGGCAGCTACCCCCTCTTTGGACATCCATGGCTTGTTCCCAGATAACCTCATGCCCGAGGGACAGTCTCCCACTCTGTGCCCACTGTGGGCCCCTTGCCTGGTGTTCAGGTTGGGAATCGGAGCCAAGGTTGAGGACTGAGCTCCAAGAAAAACGTGTCCTGGCTAGAAAAAAGGAGCACATTCAGTCTCTGATAAATGCCCCTGCTAATTGTCAGGGTAATGGCTCGCCTGCCAGGCCTGGCCAGGGGAATGTTATCTCAGGGAAGGGAGCGATGGAGCCTTCCCTCCCTCCCCTCTACTCTCCTCCTCCCTCTCGCTCCCTCCCCTCCACTCTCCTCTTCCCTCTCCCTCCCTCCCCTCTACTCTCCCCCTCTCCCTTCTTCCCTCTGTCTGGAAGTTCAAGTTGCCATCTCCTTCTCTGGATCAGAGAGGAAGATGAGGATCATGAAACTGGTGAAGATCATAGCTCACTCCCAGAGAGTGCTTCTGCCTCTCCAAGCCTTCCACATGTGTTAGCCACACTCATGGCTTTCTTTGGAAGGGCTGGTGGGTCCCTTTTACCAACCCATTTCATGCATGCTCCGGGAAAGTGCCAGAGCTGGTAGGAGCCTTCTGCAGCTCTGACCTTTGGGTGAGATCCCTTAGCAATGGGGAGAACCAAGGAGGTGACTCTCCCTTTTCTGATGATGGTCCTAATCACAGTTTTTAAAAATGTAAAATGAATTTTACCATATTGTAGAAAATTCAGGACATAGAGCAAAAAAAAAAAAAAAAAATCCTTCTTCTTATTACCTGAAGCTTCTGTTATTGAAATGCCGGTGCAGTGATCTCCAGTCTCCCAGCATGTGCATATTTGTCACAGAATTTTAATTGTGACGCTCATTTCATTTTTGCCTTCTGCGGCCCCCGCTCCCTTTCCCAGGCGTTATTGCTGGAGTAGTTTTTCTGTGTTGCTCCATAGTCTGCTGAAGAACTCTCAACCCAGAAGGTGTCAGCCCGTGTGAGGGAATGAAGCAGGGGGAGGTGTGGGGTGACCTCAGGAGGTGCTGGCTGTCTCTAGAGACAAGATATGCTCACCTGCCCGTTCTCTGTTCCTTCCACAGGTGGCTGCCCCCTGCGTTCCTCCATCCAACCATGAGCTGGTGGTGAGTGACAGCCCTTCCTTGCCCTGCAAGCCCTGCCTCCTCTCCCTCCGCAGCTCCCAGCTGCAGCTTTCTTTAGACCCAAATATGTTGGTAACTGGGGTGTCGGACAATTAGGTGGAGGAGGAGGGTCGACCTCCCTGGGCCGAAGCGGGCCTGGGAGGAAATGAGTCATGAGGTCCCTTCTGATGAGATGCAGTGCCTGCTATTTCCAACCTTGAGACTTGCGTCCTTAGAAAAACCCATAAAAGGGCATCTTGTGTGTCTCCAGGCCTGGCCAGGTGCCTGTTGTCCCGGGACTCAGAGGACCAGGGGCTGCCACGGCATCTCCTTCTGCCTGCCTGGTCCCGGGTCAGGCACCCTGGGGCTGGAGGCGGGGGATGACCCTCAGAGTCCATTCACCTGGGCAGTTTTTCCCTACAGGCGACCTCTGTTCTGCCTCTAAGCCCCTTGGCTTGACTTTGCTTTTCTGCTCCCTTTCCATTTCCCCCACTCCTCTTCCCGTCACCCCCGAATCAGCCTTGCACCATAGCCTGGACTGGGGTGGGATCCCTGTGAGTTGTGGGCTGTAGAGAGGGCCCTGCTCCACCCTGATGCCAGCTGGGCTGATTTGGCACACTGGGCACTCTTCCTTCCTGCCTCTCGCCACCTTCTCACCCTTCAGAGGTCTTCTTCCTCCCCACCATGGCCCTAGAAGCAGACAAGGCTCTGGGCGCTGCTGGGGAAGGAAGGGGGCTGCCTGCATGCACCTGTGTGCCTGTGTACAGGTGTGTGGGTGTGTCCCGGAAGGACACCTTGCGGGCACAATCGGATCAGGCTGTGGAGTTGCCTGTGGCAGTACTAATGTCGGCAGGAGCCTGGGGCGGGGCGTGGCTGTCCTGGGGCCCAGGCAGTTGTAGGTACCTCACACACCTCTGTTGTGACTTGCTCAGCCCAGACACTGGGTGCTCAGTCAGGCCAGAGTCTCCTTCCTTTCATCAATATCCACTTGCTGTATGACAAGGGGCTGGTCCCATCCTGTTTCTTTCTGGACCTCAATTTTCCTTGCTGTGGAGATGCTCCAAGGGGCCCCTCCATGTTGATGAGTGTTCCCTCTCCCTCCCTCCCTATTCAGGGTGGTGATGGAGTGAAATGAAGTGCACAGAAGTGCTTGGGACTCTAAGTGTCACTGCTCTGCACGCTCGGGCTCAGGCCTGCTGGGGTTGTTTACCTTCTTTGCAGTGGTCCCTCCTTCCCTGGTCTCACTAGGGCCAGGCTCTCCCGGGCCTCAGTGCTGCCCAGCCCTGCTGCTGCAGATGTGGAGTGTTATTCATACGGAGCCCAGTGGAGGGTCATCTGGCAACAGCGGGGGCTGGGGGGTGGAGTGCAGTCGGGCTTGGAACTGCCAGCAAGAAATCGCGCTTGGATTGCAGAGGGACACCATGGGAGTCCGAGGAGGGCGGGCGGGGAGGGGTGAGTGTCCATTTCTCCTTATTCCAGCTGAACTCCCACCTTGTGGCTAAGAACAGAATGTCCTTGGCTGCTTTATGAGGCTGGGGGTTCAGGGTTTAGGGACCACCAGGCAGAAGCTAGATGTCTGGCTGCTGGGAGTCTCATGAGCTTTGTTTACATGAAGAGCGGTCAGAGGTTAGGACAAAAGGGAATAGGTTGGCATTCCAGCTGGGGGGACTGCAGTTAGAATCCAGAAGAGACTCGTGCCTGAGCAAGGCTGCGTGTCTCTGTGAGGTGCCCCGCCTGTGCAGGGGGCTCTGCCCTTCGAGGAGGCTGGATCAGCCACCTGGTGGTGAAATGGCTGTGTCACCAGACGGTGCTCCCAGAGGCTCCCCTGCCTGAGTCACAACCCGCCTCCCCAGCGGTAAAGAGCGAGGGAGTTAGACCACCTCCTTCTGCATCCCAGCTCCCCCGCTCCCTGGTGTACGACCCTGACATTGCTAACCTCCCTGGACCTCCGTTTCTCTTCTTCATAATGGACGTTAGTGACGGTACCTATGCTGTAAGCCTGCCAAAAGACCAAAGTGAGCACATTAATCCATTTAATTCATGTTTTCCAAGTCCTTCAATGCTGGCCCACCTCACTGGAGCAAAAGCTCAGGTTCTTCCGTTGGCCCAAGCAGCCCTACGTGACAGGTTTCCTTTTGCCTCAGCTCCTTCTCGTTCACCCGTGTCTTGTCATTTTCCTCTCTCACCTCATCTCCTTCTCAGCACCTCACTCATTCTGTTTCAGCCGCCCGGCCTTCCTGCTGGTTCTTGAACATATATGATGCCTCCAGGCCTTTGCACTTACTATTCCCCCTGCCTGGAATGCTCTTCCCACAGATACCCACAAGGCTTTTCCCCCAGTCGCAAGTCTTTTTTTTTTTTTTTTTTTGAGAACAGTCTCACTGTGTTGCCCAGGCTGGAGTGCAGTGGTGTGATCTTGGCTCACTGCAACCTCCACCTCCTGGGTTCAAGCATTTCTCCCGCCTCAGCCTCCTGAGTAGCTGGGACTACAGGCGCACGGCACCACACCTTGCTGATTTTTGCATTTTTAGTAGAGATGGGGTTTCATTAGGTTGGCTAGGTTGGCTTGAACTCCTGACCTCAAATGATCCTCCCGCCTCGGCCTCTCAAAGTGCTGGGATTACAGGCGTGAGCTACTGCGCGCCCGGCCGAACCTCAAATTTTTATTGAAGTGTCAGCATTTCCCTTTCCCCAGCACCCAGTCTCCCTTCCATGCTTCCACTGCCCCTCAGCATGCATCGCCCCGATACACTATGCATTTTACTTATTTATCTTGTTTAAGGGGTTTTGCCCATGCCAGCATGTAAACTCCATTAGGACAAGGAATTTTTATCTATTTTGTTCGGTGCTGTGTCCCCGCTGCCTTGCACACGGTAGGTGCTCTATATATGTTTCTTGAATGGCTGGAAGGAAGGCATTCAGCCCGATGTCTGGCAGATTAGGTACTCAATAAACAGGACTGCTATGACTCCATGTTCCCTAGCTGGTGAATGGGTGGGGCTGTTGAGTCCTAAAGGTGGGGGGCCATGGGGGAAGGTGGCAGCTGCCTTCAGCTGGAAGCTCTGCTACTGTCCCTGGGGAGTGGGAAAGTGGCCCAGGGGAAACCGGGAGAAAGTTTGGCTTCCCCAGGAGCACTCAGCACCTGTTTCCTCACGGGCGGGCGAGGCAAGTGCTTTGAACAGGTTCACAAGAGGGAGGAAAGGGCGGGTTTGTATTTTTCCTTCCTTTTCCATTTGTTGCCTGCCCTTCAGCCTCGGTAGGCTGCTCTCCGGCCTCCCTGCCCATTCTCTGTCCCTCATGGTGTGTCTGTCCTTCTGTGTGTTGTGTTTTCTTCATGTCTCAGTTGAGTTCCAGCTCTCTGTCTGGACTTCTCACTGATCTTGCTTAAATTCCAACCCCTGGGATTAGGACCTCTCATCCCAGACATAGAATTTCTGCCCGGCTTCAGGCCCTGCCAGCCAAATACATTTCCCAACCTGTGCCCGGGCCAGCCAGGGTAAAGTGGCTTAATCTTCAACCATGTTTTCATCTTACTCAACAGATGTTGCCCAAGGCCTTGGGTAGAAGGGACCTAGGGTCACCACCCTCCTGTGGGGCACTGGTGGGGCAGGATGGAGAGGCAAGAGGGCTTGTTTGCCACGGACACTCCTGATCCTTGCAAAGAGCTGAAGCAGCTTTTCTCAACTTCTGAAAAATAAGTCAAAAGAATTTTTCAAGGGTGATCGCCAAATGGGTTGGCCACCAAGGTCGGCGGATGTCAGGTCTTCTGTGTGCGGGAGAGCTGCACTGGGGGTGGAATGATGTGCACATTGCTTCTACTTGCCCAGGCAGGCCCAGCACAGGGGCTTGGAACGTCCCTGTAGAATGACTTGGAGGTCTGCAGGTCAGGGTGGGGGGTCTGGAGGGGAGGAGGTGAATGGGGGAATAGGAATTGCCCAGTAGGAAATCATGCTTGGATTGCAGGGGGACACCATGGGAGCCCGAGGAGGCTGGTTTCACTCATAATAGTAATAGCAACAGTGAGAGATTAACCCTTTACTGGAACTTCATATCTGCCGAGCTTCGTTCTAAACACTTTACAAAAATAAACTGATTTAATCCTGATTACAGTGCAATGAGGGAGGTGCTGTGATGATCCCAATGTCACAGATGAAGAACTGAAGCTGAAGGCCACAGAGCTATGAAAAGGGGGAGCTGGGATTCTGACACGGTGGTCTGGCACCAGAGTTCACCCTCCTAAGCATGAATAATAACTGACGTCACTGTCACTTGCATAGCACTTGCCGTTTTCAAAGCCTTTTCCATGACGTGGGGCCATTGGGACCTCACAGTGACCTGTGTGGAAGCCTGGCAGGCCCAAGCCCACCCTGAGAAGACAGGAACAAACTGTACATGGAGCAAACTGGGTGCCTTGTTCATGGTCACACAGCTCGCAGTGGCAGGGCTGGGTCAGGAGTGGATTCTTGGTCTGTGTTTCTCCCCAGGCTGCCCTCGGTGCTTGCTCCTGATTTAAGTACCCGATGTTGCCGGGTGATGGGCTTCTCCTGAGCCCCTCTTTCTAAACAGCTAGCTTCTCTGTTTGCCAGTAGGCTTGGGATTTGAGGGAGGGTCTGTCCATCCATGTAACCATCCAGCCATCTTACCAATACATATCTCTGGAGCACCTACCCCCTGGGCTTAGGACCCCTCAGTGCCAGGCACTGTTCTACGTGCTGGGGCTTCAGAGTTCCTTTCTGCCACAGTTGTCAGTGCTTCTTGAAGACAGACGGGCATGGAGTAGACCTGGAGCCACAGGGTGGAGAGGACTTTGGACGCTATCTAGTCCCATCCTGTTCTTTTGCAGATAAAGAAACAGGCCCTGATCTTCTTAAGTGACTTTCTGAAGGTCTCGCAGTGTCAGATCTGAGGCATTGTGCTGCCTCATGGAAGCAGAGAAGGATGTGACGTTAACTGGAAGCAGAGAAAGGGAGCGGAGCACTCAGCTTCAGTGTGCGGGCTCGCTCCATCAAGGGTGATGTGCAGTCACTTCAGTCAGCCTGAACTCCGACCCGATGCATTTCATCCCAAGGCACTGGGCAGGCCATGGGTGGCCATCCTTGGGAAATCCTGAAAAAATGGCTGATTTTCAAAGGGGAGGGGCAAACTCTGAGCATTGCATTCCCAAGAGGATGCTGAGCATGGGGAGGGAGGTTGAAAACCCCAACTTGTGCAACCCCTAGGGCCGCTTAGCCTAGAGAGAGAAGACGTGGGACGGGCACAGAATGGGAGTGAGAATATGTTGAAAGACAAATGGATTCATTTTCCATTGTTCTGCAAAGTAGAACTTGGTAGGTAGAGGTCCTCAGAAAGAGGAGGAAACTCAGCTCCTCATTTGCCAAAAGGGGTTCAAAGTGCTCCTTAAAGAACAGCATTTAGGCTGGATGCGGTGGCTCACGCCTATAATCCCAGCACTTTGGGATGCTGAGGCGGGTGGATCACAAGGTCAAGAGATCGAGACCATCCTGGCTAACATGGTGAAACCCCGTCTCTACTAAAAATACAAAAATTGGCTGGGCGTGGTGTCTTGTGCCTGTAGTCCTAGCTACTTGGGAGGCTGAGGCAGAGGTTGCAGTGAGCTGAGATCGCACCACTGCACTCCAGTCTGGCGACAGAGCGAGACTCCGTGTCAAAACAAAAACAAAAACAAAACAAAAAAACCCAAAACATTCTTACTGATACCTATCAGGTATAAGGCACCATGCTGATGGAAGCACCAGCTCCACAGGGAGCTGCCTGGGTAGAAGTCCTCAGGCTCACTGAGGTCCTGTCATTTGGCTGCGTTACAAAGTGACAAGATCCACAGAGGTCCAGGCATCCCTGAATGTGCTGAATACCTCCCCTGTAATCCCCACTTTGAAAGGCCCAAGTAGGGTGAAGGGTTCTGACCTCAGGGAACCCTCTGTTCAGTGGGAGAGGGAGAACCACACTATGGAAATAGTGCCTGACTCTGGGGTTTTGACCAGAGGTGGTAGCCTTGGTGTTCAGGGGAGGAAGTGATTTGCTTGTGCTGTGGTGGTTGGGGAAACCTGCCTTCTGTTCAAGCCTAGTTTAAGTCTGGAACAAATAGAAGAGAGGAGGGAAGGAGGGAGGGCGTTTTGGAAGGTAGCAGGGCTGAAACAGAAAGGGCGTAGGACCTTGGTACCAATTGCTGAGTCTGAAAGAGGGCCAGGCAATCTAGTGTAAATGTTTTGGGCAAGTCTCTCTTGCTGGCGGGAAGAGAGAACCAGGCAATCTTGTATCACCAGGGCCCAAACAACCCTTGGTGACCCTGCCTGGGGCTTGTGGTGGGAGCAGTGTGGGTGCAGGAATGGGGGCAGGGATGAGCGTGACAGGCCTGGTGGGCCTGAGCAGCTGTGAACAGAGGCTGCATGCTGGAGAAGAGAGAGCAAGCAGTGGAGTGGCTGGAGGGAGAAGGGGCCAGATATTGGAGGAGTCCACAAACCACACTGGGGAACTTGAACTTGATGTGCTAAGCACTAAGGGCTATCCTGGGTCCCTGAGTGGGGAAGTGACCCAAAGCAGGGTGTTAGAGCTGGGAGTCTGCTGCCAGTTTCAGGGTGGCTTGGCAGGGAGGGACCGCCAGGGGAGGGCTGAGCTGGTATAGATGCTCAGTGTGGCTTCAAGGCTGCAGGCAAGGGTGGCTGGAGGGGTGTGGAGGAAGGGCACAGCCTTCCAGTGCCCTGGCCAGGTCGGGGAGGAGAGCCATATCCACTGAAGGACATGGCAAGAGGGAACACAAAATATTCCAACCTGTGCAAGCCGGCTGCATTGGGGGTGTCCACAGTTGCACAGCCTCAGTCAGGATTTGGGTGTTGGGCCCCTTGGGGTGAATTAGGAGAAGGGGCTGAGGACAGGTGTGGTCTGGCCAGATCCTTCCCCTGTGGAGAAATCAGACATAACTCTCCCCTTAATCACATGGAGCCTATTCTTTTCCTCTGGTGGCCTGGGCCTGCTGGGAGGGGATGTGGCCCCTGGAGCAACTGAGCAGATATACTTCAGGGTCCCAGGCTCCACTGCCAGCATCCTCTGCCAGCCCCATCTGCTCAGTGCTCTTTCTCTAGCCCTCACCCATCGGCTCCCACTTCCTCAAGACTGAGCGAGGGGAGAGCACAGGGCTCTGGGAGGTGCAGACCTCAGAGGTCTTAGACTCGGAGGCGCAGATCTGATCTCACATTGAGCGGCCACCCTCCCTGGAAACTCCGTCTCCTCATTTGCAGAAAGGTGTTCAAAGTGCTCCTTCTAGAGCCCTTGCTTATGACAGTGAAGGGAGGTGATGCCTTGGGAGGCACGGGGCACGGAGAAAGCGCTCTCTCCCTTTGCTGCCTTCTGCCGCTGCCGCTGCCTTGTTTTCGTGATTAGGCTGTTGATAGAGGGCTCTCATAGGTCTGTATGTGGGGACGATTAAATGGGGCCGCACCTCTAACGTGCCATCTCACAGCCTGCCATGCTCCAAGTGCCCCATAAACTCTGTTTCCCTGCCCTTCCCTTCTGTTTTTAGCCCCCTCCTTGCATTTGCTTATGATTCTATTTTTGAAACAAGTGAGCCTAGAATAACTTTCTCTGGGTCCTGGGTCTGAGGCCATTCCAGCCCTCGCTAGCCCTCCCTGCCAGCTCCCAGTTCCTTCCCCTCTTGATAGGCAGTGCGATGGTGACCTCGCAGTTCATTGCCATGGCAGTAGATCTGGTCATGGGGTGGTCTTTTTGGCCCCCAAGCCCCCCAGATTCCAGGCCTCCCAGGGGGCAAGAGTCGGGAGAGTTGGAGGGTGGAAAGGGGCAGGGTGTAAGGAATTTCCGGACGGAATGTTCCTCCGGAGGCTGAGCCCGCATTCTGCGCACCCTCCTCCCCAATCCCCTTCCCCTCGGCCCTGGGCTCAGGCATGGGAACCTCCCCCACCCTGTTGTTTCCTTCCTCTAAAACAGCAGCACAGATACATTTTTCCCAGCCCACCCTCCTTGCAGGCCACTAACCTGTCCTCCTGCGTGAGCCTCTAGGCCGTCCTGGCAGCCACCCCCCAACCTTCCAGCAGAAAGGCCCCTCCTGGCCCCACCTTGGGCCCATGCAGTGGGGGAGGGTAAAGGCATGTGTGGAGAGGGCATATGTGTCTTTTTTTGGAAAAAAATTGAGGAAAGGATGTGGAGCTTCCCTTATCCACCCTGTGGTTCCCGACCCCTCGAATTCAGGAAGTTCTCTCTGTTGTCTGATCTCAGTCTTTCCTATGCAGCCCAGTTCCTATTCTTTCTGTGGAAGTATGGTTAAGAAGTGTCTTCCTACTGAGGACCTGGACAGAAGTCCTGCTATAACTGGCCTTCAATTTTCAGAAAGCTTGTTCCCCACAGGAAGGCAGTTATCAGAGGAACTGCCTGGAGATCATTGCCAGGGAGAGGGGAGATAGCATGATGGGGAGGTGAGGAGCAAGGTTCAAACAGCAGCTCTCCTACCGACTGGCTGTGGAACCTTGGGTGAGTCACTACATCTCCCAGGCCCTCAGTTTCCTAAACTGTACCCTGCGGTAATGCTCGCCTCCCAGGGTGGTTGTGAGGACTGGTGATCAGGAAAGCAAAGAGCCCAGTACTGTGTTCCGGGCATTGCCATCCCTAAATGAATAGTTGTAATTCTTGCAATAAGTTTATGAAAAGGCATCTCAGGGCCAGGGCCAGGATGAGGGCCAGAGAGTGAGGCCTCTAGGGTGCAAGATCTGAGGAGTCATCACTCTCAGGATTATGCAAGTGCACTCGCAGGACCTCAGAGTGAGAGCAATGCCTTCTTAAATGTTGTGCCCCAACATTCGCCCTAGTCCCCACCTTGCTTTGCTCTAACTGCTGGTTTTGGGACTCTAGAGCAGAGCAGCCCGCTAAGAGCAGGGCTTGGTTTTCAGGTAGTGATAGGTTCAAACCCTGCCACCTGCTTCTAAGCTGGATTCTGAGTTGTCCCTCCTGGGAGGTAAGGGGGGACTCTGGAAGACCCCTGGTGGAACAGTGAGTCAGCTGCTCTCACTTTGGAAAGCCTGGGGACCTTAAGCTCCAGGCTTTGTCCTGGGACTGGGCAGTGGGTGGAGACAGACATAGGGGTCTGTCTGTGTTTGGCCTCCACCCACTTCATCCCTTTGCAGCTGACTTGAGGAGGAAGGAAAAGAAGAGCCTGCAGGGAGGCACCAGCTCACCCTGCCAGCAGGATGGCTGGGGGCCAAGGGTGAGGGCAGTGAGATGAGCCTGGCAGTGGGCTTTACAAACCTGGGAACCAGCTCCAGCCATGCCACAAACCTCACCATGAAAGGCTGGGCAGATCAGACCTCCCTGGACCTCAATTTCCCCATGTGTGAAACAGGGGGATGGAGGAGATGATGTCTTAAGTCCCTCTCAGAGCAGATGTCCCCAGGAGTGGCATGCAAGGATGGTTGTGTGTGTGTGTGTGTGTGTGTGTGTGTGTGTGTGTGTGTGTGTGTGTATGTGTATGTGGTAGCTGTAGAAACATCCTGGCCAGGAATGGAGTGAAGATGAAGGTCAGGGGCTTTGGTTCCAGAGGGTCCCGGGAGTGCCAGCTGGACTCATTAGGCAGTGTCAATGGTAGGGCTTCCCACTGGCCCCGGCCTCCCTGCAGGGCCTGGGGCAGTGGCAGCCTCAGGGGATCCTGCCCTCCTGTTACCAGTCCCATGCCTTTTTCCTTCCCAGTAGCCCCAAGGCTGGAAGTGTTGGGAAACAGAGAGATAGGACTTGAATCCTGGGAGAGTTGGGTTGGAGGGCAGAGGAGGGTCGGGCAGCATGCATGCTGGCTGTGTTTGCAAACACTGCAGGACAACTGGGATGTTTAGATGGTGCAGGGGGTGGGGACTTGGAAATTTTTAGCTCCTCAGAAAGCATCTCAACCAGTAAGCTGAAGGCATCTGAACTCTGGCAAGCGTCACCCTGTGGCCGGCCTCCAGCTGGCATGGGGAAGGGGTGGGGGCAAAGGGGATGGTGCTCAGATGATCACTGGCAGGAGGAGAAAGTTTCTCTTGCACTGCTGAGGCCTGTGGTTTCTAATATTGACTTCAGCTCCCTTGTGTGCACCATGCCAGACCCAGGAGGGTTGGGGCAAGAGGGTCACAGTGAGGCAGGGTGGGCTGGAGAGGGCCTGGGCCTCAGGGATATGAGGTGCTGCCCCGAGGCTAGAGACGATAAACAATAGTGATAGCTGACAAGTATTGAGAGCTTTCTAGTGTCTTGCACTCTTCTAAGTGCTTTATGTGCTTTATTGCATTTGATCCCCCCAAAATAACCCTGTGCGGGCCTGTTGAGGAGCAGGAAGGACAAGGTGACCTGCTTAAGGTTGCATAGTTAGGTAGCAGCCGAGAGAATTAGCATGTGGACCTGGGCAGTCTGCTGCCAAGGCCTTTTAGGGAGCAGTCAGTCCAAATCCTGCCACCTGCTCCCAAGCTGATTCCGAGTTGGAGTTGTCCTGCCTGGAGGCAAGGGAGCTGTTAGCTGAGGCTGGTTGTTCTCGGAGAAGCATCTGGGACCTGTGTTGCCTGGAAACCTGGTAGAAATGCACGTCCTTAAGTCCCACCGTAGGTCTAACTGTGTGTGTGTGTGTGTGTGTGTGTGTGTGTGGGCACCCAGGCACCTGTGGGTCAACAGCCCTCTAGGTGGTGCTATGCATGTTCAAGTTTGAGACCCCTGGGCTCATGCTCTGCTGAGGGTCGAGGCCTATTAGGAGGCTTTAACCAGAGGAGGAAGAGAGGCTTTTCTGGGCCCTGAACGGGCCTGGGGCAGGTGTAGCATCTCTAGCTTGTCCACCCTACTCCATGTCTGTCCATTCTAGGAGGCTGGGTAGCGGACAGGTCAGGAGTGAGGGCTTTGGAGTTGGGGGATTTGGGTTTGCATCTCAGTTCCGCTGTGGTCTGCCTTCTGGGAGTTCCCTTCCTTCCCACAGGAGACCAGAGCAGCTCTGAGACGAGGCAGCTGGGCTGTTCTGCCCAACCTCAGGTCTCCACGTGGGAATGACAGAGCCCCTGGAAAAGAAGGGAGAGGCTGGAGGGTAGAGAGGGCCTGGGGTGGGCGACACTGCTTTAGCGGGGAGGGGGTGTGGGGGGTGGTCCCTGGTAGAGGGGTGGGTGGGGCTGGGTTGTTGGCGGCTGAGGGGAGCACCTGGTCCTAATAAGCAGGCAGCTCCACGAGCTCTGACTTACCCTGAGTGGGTTAGGGGATTAGTGGGTTAGGATTAGGGCTGAGCTGAGAGAGGGCAGAACGTGCCATCATTATTCCTCCTCCAGAGCCATCCTCGGACTCCAAGTGGAGAGAAGGTGGTGTACCTAGCAGCAGGGAGGATAGTGGAGGAGAGGTGTGGGAGGGGTTGGCCCCTGTCCCCCCAACCCCTGTGCCTGGACCCCGTTGTCCCTCTACCGTCCCCAGCTGCCTTGGCCCTGAACTGCTCAGGAAGTTTCATCCCCTGGAGAGTAGTTTTGGCCTCAGCCGCCTGTCTTCCAGGCAGTAGGGGTAGATGAGTCTGGGCCATTTCCAGAGAGAGCACTGTTACCTCCGCTCAGCCCAGTCTCTTCCTCCATGCCTATCTGTGCCCACTCCTCCTCCCTGACGCCGGAACCTTTTAGAGGATCATTCTGTCCATTCCCCTGCCTTTGGACATGAGCAGCTCATCCCTCAGCTCTCAGGGATGGGGTTGGAGCAGGCGCCTCTTGTGCCGAGACACATGGTCTTAAACCTGGGTCACACTTGTCCTCGTCAAGGTTTGCTTCACAACCATTCCAGTTGTGCTCAGGCCTTTCTGCCCAATTTGAGGGCCCCATAACCACTTCACTGAGTTGGAAACGGTGGATCAGAATCCTCTCAGATTCTGATCAGGAGGTGAACCTGGCATAAGAAGTTTCTCTTCTTGCTATGGGGAGAAATCAAACCATCTTTAGTAGGAAGCCCTTCTGCTGCCCTGAGTGAAGAAAGGAGGGTGCCAGAGTGAGGGATGGGATCAGCCAACAGGAGTTTATTGATGGCCCACTATGCATACATCCACCCTGGTAGGAGGGAGTTTCCAAATGAATTGGTCCAAATTTTGCTTAGAATCTATTTTGGATGAAGGTGGAATAAGAATCACAAATAAAACAATAGTTGGGGAAACAAGTCATCTATTCCCATGATGAGATTATTCATACACTAAGGACCAGACAGGGAGGTGATTGGAGTTCAGAGGTGGGAAAGAGATCCTACTTGCTGGGGTGGCCAGGGAGGGCTAACTGGAGGAAGAGAGCCCTCCTTGTAGGAAAAGAAGGGAAAGCATTCCATAAGTAAAGACCTGGATGTGGGAACAGGCAAGAAGAGTTTAGGGGCTGGGGCTGATGGAGCAGAGCCTTTGTGCTTGGAAATGGAGGTGTGTGAGGCCCAGTGGTGGGTGGCCTGAAAGCCCACTGAAGTAATGAGACTGGCTGGCTGCACTATTTCAGGCTGCTGGGATTTCACTTAGAGCCCCAAGATGGGGTTCAAATCCTGCCGTCTCTATTAGAGTTGATGATGTTGGCTCAGTCATTTAACTTTCTTATCTGTAGAGTGGGGATAAAAGGTATTAATGGTACTCACCTCCCTGGATTCTTGGGAATAAATGAGATGCTGTAAGTCATTGACCTCTCCAATTTGTGGGGTCAGCAACTGTATGAACCAGAGGCCTGGCGCCGGGCACTGAGCGTGGGTCTTTGGTGAAGGTTTGTGGAACCAGATGGTTCTAGCACTATTAGGATGGTTTTCCACATGTCAAACTCTCCCTCCTGTGCTTGGGGCCAGCCAGATTATGCCTGAGTCTTGGGTTGGCCTCATCATCCCTGTCTCAGGGGGCATTCTGCCCATCAGGGCCACTAGCCATGGGGAGAGAGCCCATCCCTGGGATGTCTGCCCTAAGGGCTCATGCTGTTTCTCCTTCTGTCCACAGCCCATCACCACTGAGAATGCACCAAAGAATGTAGTGGACAAGGTGAGTGATGGCAGGTGGTGGTGGGGGAGCTGGAACAGCCTGGGCAGGTGTGAGAAGGCTGGAAGTGGAGAGTGGATTTGGGGGAGAGTGGACAGATGTGGTTGGGGAAATGCTTCCGGAGTAGATTTGGGGAACTTGCAGGGAAGTAGTGGGGCGGCTGCTGACTCTGGGAGAAGGGCATCTGACCATCCCTGTGTGTTTGGAAATGGGCTGCTAGGCAACTGGGCAGGCAGAGAGGGAGGGGCAGGGTGGGAGCTGAGAGGGAGCAGCCGGTGGTTAAATGTGGGCTTCCTTATGAAATATGCAGAATGCAAGAAAATCAGGCGGATCTTTCCAAACAGGTCTTTCTGAGCTAGCTGAGAGTTGGACAGTTTCCTCAAGGCTATGCGGAAGATGAAGGGAGGAAAGTAGGTGGGTTCTGCCATGGGGAAACTGAGGTTAGCTACCGAGAGAGATCTCCTGGCGATGGCCAGCAGGAAATCATGGGCTTGGAGATGAAGGACTTCGGTTCAAATCTTGACTCTGCCAAGGTTCTAATTATGTGACTGTGGGCAAGGCATGAGCCTGTCTGTGCCTCAGTTTTCTTATCTGCAAAATGAGAATAATAGTATCTCCCACAGGAGTGGCTGTGAGTTGTAAAGGAGAGGATTTGGTTAGTTCTGAGGGGGCCTTGATATGGGCAAAGAAATGTGAAACAAAGACCAAAGTTCTTTCCCAGGCCCCTCTGCCAACCTCCTCATCTGCCGCTCCTGACAAACCCAGCAAGGTGCATTTTGATTATTTTTCTTGCCTCCCCTCTCTGACTGCCTTTTCTCTGTCTGCAGGGAGAAGGAGCCTCCCGGGGTGGAAACACACGGAAAAGCCTCGAGGACAACGTGAGTGTGGATGGGGAGAAGAAGGATGGGGCTGGGCCCTGGTGGCCAGGGGGAATGGGGTGGGGTGGGAGGTGGATAATGTCTTGTTTCGTGGGCTTCCTTTACCTCTCTCTAGAAGGAGAGGCTGGCATTGTGGGCAGGCCCATTTCCTTACAGGCTGGGCCTCAGCCTTTGGTGCTGCCTCCATCTAAGCGAGATCCAGAGCTCATTCATCAGCGACTGCGCCAGGCCTCGGTGCTCAGGGCGGGTGGGAGGAGAGAGGGTGTGTGATGAGTGGCCATGGGGATCAAGGGGAAATGCGCAAAACCACAGCAAGGGAAACCGAGGGCTGAGGCAGAGAAGGAGCCCTGACTCTTGGCGGGGGGTCTTAGTCCTTGGGGAAGTGGTAGTGCTTCCCTGGAGACAAGAGTCTTAGAAAATAGCAAGCTCCACTGTGTGGCTTAGATGCTATTGGTTCAGGAGGAGGCTGGGAGATGGGTCCACGGGTCCCCATGGGCTCCTCCTGCCTCCCATTTTGGGGAGAGGGGAAGGGGCGGATGCCTGAAATGGAAGGATCCCACAGAAGGGCTCGGGGTCTCTTCCAGGACGTGCTTTGAGCCCCGTTCGGGGTTGGTCTTGTCTCCACACCCCAGGGGCAGACTCCCAGCACAGTGGGGCTTTGTCTTTTCTTCCCTGCCCCTCTCTGACCGTACTCCCTGTGCTGGCCCCTCCGTCTTCACCCGCCCTGGGCTGCAGAGGAACAGGGAGTGGTTTTGGTGGTTGGCACAGGGGTAGATGTTGATGGCACGAGGCCCTATCATCTGACAGCTGCCTGACCCACGGTGGGGAGGGCCCTGGAGGGAGTGCTGCGGGAGCAGGAGGGGCAGTTCCTATAGGCAGCCTGACTCCCATGGTGAGCCCACTGCCACCACCACATTGCCCTGGGGCAGCCCTGCATGTCCAGCCCTACAAAGCGGCAGCATCCCATGGACCGCATGGGGCCTCTCCAGGTGGAGCAGGGAGCATGCCTCTTAAATTAGTGGGGAAGGTTCTGCTCAAGGTATGCATGAGTTCCCCTGGGCGTGGGGTACTCATACTGGGGAGGGGCCCTTGTCCCGCTTTGTGATGTTTCTGGGACTGGGGTGCAGGGGGAACCTAATTTTTTGTGTGTACCTACTACCAAGGATGTACAGGTTTAATGTACTCAAAATATATCATACGTGCTCAATAAATGTAAGCCATTCTTATTACTGTTATTTTGACTAAGGGCTGGGAGCTGTGTTGGGTGTTTTGCGATCCTCCTGACACCCCTGTATGGCAGAGGCTATGAATCCACTTTATAGATGAGGAAGCAGAGGCTTGGCGTTGCTGAATGATTTGGTGAATGCCACTCCATCCCTTCCTGGGACTGCTGCTGGGGTCTGGTGTTATCCTGAACTGCTAACCTTTGGCAAGGGGACAGGGTGATGGTGTGTGAACCAAGCCTTCTAGGCAATGGTCTGGGCACACTCAGGAGCCACATCCTAGAGCTGCTGTCCCCACATCCCCAGTCTGGGCCAGATGGATCCCGTCAACTAGAGCTACAGCAAGAGACAGTGAAGTTAGACGTCACGAAGAACTTTTGATTGCAAGAGTGTGCACGACCTTGGTCCTAGGGAAGAAAGAGGTGGCCGTTTAGTTGTGACTGAGGCTCTTTGGCTTTTTTTAGAAGAAAGTATTGGTGATCTGGGATGGATGTGTCTGTGCCTGTGTGTCGGGGTGGGTAAGTGTGCTGTCTTGTCTGGCTATGGGAGGAGAGACAAAATGAGCTTTGGAAAGGTAAGCAAGTGAGCAGCTACCAGAACGGCCTGTGTACTGTAAAAGAGGAGAGAAAACCTAATTTGTAAGGCTCCTGTCACCTGTCTCAGGTTGGGTTGGCTCCAGGGTCATTGAGCCAGTCCCCTGCCCAGCCACGGGACTCTCCAGCAGTCCACCCCGGGGGAGGAGGACCTGGGCCTGCTGCTGTGATAATGTGGCTGTTTGTCAAGCTGTGTTGCTGTCTCTGGCCCACGGCCCAGGACTCACAGGCAGGAATGGCTGTTTTCCTCCTGCCGAGTTGGTGTGTAGTGGAGTTTGTGGATAGTGTGCTGTGTCGCACTTTGTTTTGGAAAAATCCAGGCTAGTGGGCAGGAAGGAGAGGGGAAGGGGTGTGGCTGAAGGGGGTGCTATGTGGGGGTTGGCCACAGCCCCCAGAGGAGATGTAGGAATGGGGCCGGGCCCCTGACGTAGGTTGGTCACCAATCTCTGGCTGCCTGACAAGGCCCCTGGTGTTCGCTTACAGACCCTCCTCCCAACTGTGCCCCTCTGGGGATCTGGGCTCAGGAAATGGCTTTTCTTTTGGTCCTGAGCTGTTGTGTTTGGTCTGTGGACCTCAAAGGAAAGCAGGGCTCTTCCCACAGAGGCATTGCTTCAAACCAACCCCACCCAAGGCTGGAGGTTCGTGCTCCTTGCCTCATGACGGGGAAGAAGGCAGCAGATAACAGAACCTGGGGTCATAGACCTTGAGCCACCCAGTAGTGTCTGAGTGGTGATCCACTCTTGCCTGCAATGAGGACCAAGGCAAAAAGAGTTGGCTGAATCTGCAGCAGGAAGGATGAGGGTTAGATACCAGGAGGAAATTCCTGACAGTGAGAAAAGTAAGACACTCTGTCTGGGAGGCTGTCGAATTTCCTTTCATGGTGCCCTTTCAGCAAAGGAAGGATTGTGTTTTGGAGGTAAGGATGGGGAGAGTTCTGTTTGGTGTTTAGAGAGTTGGATGAAAAGTTCTGTAATCAACCTGTGTCTTGAGAGGAGCCAGGAAGAAGTTCAAAGCCATTTGGGTAAGGTGATTTGTGATCCCCGGAGAGGAAAAGAATAGGATTACAGGCAGGCAGAGAGCTTATTTTCCTTTTTATAAGGTTTGTAAAGTCCTGTAGTCGTTTTCCCTAGGGGCTCCACGCGGAGTAGGCAGAAGATTATGTGAGCACTGTGCAGTGCCCATTTTACAGATGGACAAATGAGACGGAACCTCTACTCCTCACACTGGGTATGGTGATGAGTATCATGGTCTGTAAAATATAAGCTCTCTGAGGTCAGGGACTTCACTTCCTTTGTCCCCTGGTGTCTAGAACATGGCTGGGCACACAGCTGGTGGCACTCGGTGGATGTTTGCTGAATGAGAGAATGAGCATGAAGATTGGAGGCCCAGGGATGACCGGATGCCTTGTGTTACTCCCACTGTGCTTGTAAAAAGCCTACGTGATGAGGCATGCTTCCAAAGGCACCATCTCTAGCCTCGTGTGAGGTCACCTGTGTTTCTGGAGCAGTAGGGTGTGTTTGCTGACATGCCGTGCCCCTGCCCCAGCCCATTTGTTGTTCTCTGAGTTCTGTCTGTCTGTGTGTACCGACACTCAGACGTGTCACCGTGCATGTCTGCTGTCCGCCAGCAAGGGTCACGTGCCCCCAAACTTTGCAGAAAACAGGAAGCCCCGTCAGTGAGAGGGCAGCCCAGTGATTCATCAGGGGATGACAGTCCCAGCTGTTCGTCCCCCATCCTCTGCACTGGGGTCACTGTCCAGGGTGGCTTCCTCCCCATGCCTCCCCTCCCCTCCCCGCCCGGTGGAGCAGAGCGGGCTTGGACTTTGCCTTATCACCTCTGGAGGCGGCCTGGCCAGACTCTGTTTGGGCCAAGTTTTTATTTATCTTCACTGGCTTTTTTTGGGGTGGGGAGGCTGAGGAATGTGGAGTGTTGTAATGTTTGGAAGAGGGCGGTGGGGAAAGGGGAGCCAGGTCTCCTGTCCTGCTTGTCCTGCTTACCCCTGCACCTTTGCAGGCTCCCGGCCCCCCTTGGTTCCCCAGTTCCCCCTGCCAAGCCCATATCAATATGGCCCATTGTCTTTCTCCAGCTCCCTGGGTCTGGTCCCATGCTCCTGGCCACACCTCACGTCTTGGCTACCGTTGTGGCTTCCAGTTGTTCAAAGCAGCTGTGGTGGCTTCCTCCAAAAGTGGCTACGGATCAGCAACAGATGAAACTCAAGGGGCTATTTATAGCAGGGTGGCCCTGGGGCCTGGAGCAGGGCCTAGGGCCTGGGGAGATTCAGGGACTCCTCATTAGGGACCAGTGAAATGGAGATGGGTGAACTGTTGGGTTTCTGTGTTCCTCTGAGGGGGCAGTTTTGGAACAGCCTGGTTTGGGTCTTGAAAACCAAACACAGTCACTCGTTGACTCCCAGCTCCACCCCTGTCTAATCCCCCCACCCCCAAGCTTGACTCATGCAAACTGGAGTCCTCAGGGCCAGAAGAGCTGTGAGACTTAGAAACTTCCCCCCAGTAGCCCCACTTGGCTCTTCCCTCCTTCACTGCTGAGGAGCTGCTCATTGGTCCGAGGCAGCTGGGACTCTGGGCAGAGCCTTCTTCCGGACAGCTGGATGGAGGGTCCCCCTCTTAGCAGAGCTGCTCTAACTTGGGGCTCAGCTGGGAGCTGGACCTCGGAACCCACCTATCCTGCCTCGTAGGCACTGCGGAGCCAGGAGAGGGGTGCAGGGGCTCCTCTTCTTGGAGACCCCGTGGTCAAGCCCCAGGTTGGAGTGTGAATCCTGCCTGGCCGTCAACTTCCCAGGGACTTGAGGGTAAGTTATTCTGTGCCTCAGTTTCTTCCTTTCTTGGCAGATTGTGGTCCTGTCTCTTTAAAGAAGAGGCTGCAACTTGGCGGTAGGAAAAGACCATTTTCTGAGAGGCACATGGGTGTTTGGAAGGTGTCAATGGGCTCAGGAGGTCTGAGAATCTAGAAACTGGCCTTCCCAATTCTGCATCCTGTGAGGTGACTGGAAGGATGGGTAGAGGCGATGCAGGGTGTTGGTTTTCTATAGAGGTGAATGTTTGGTTGTAACTACCCTTTTCATTTTTCTTGATACAAAAGTAACAACAAAAACAACAGCTGTCATCTGGTAAATACCAGGCATGATGCGAAGTGCCTTATATGCATAACTCCTTTGGATCCTCACTGCCAGCCTGAAGGTTGTCCCATTTTACATGTGACATTACAAGAGGCTCAGAGGGGTTAAGTAACTGGCAGGGCTGCCCAGCAGGATCCTGGAATCCAAACTCTGTGGTCTGTGGGCCTCTGACCCTGTGCTTTCACACCCGCCATGCCATCCTGCTGCCCTGGGATGGATTGGGCCCATTTGCTTAAGTTTGTACCACTCGACAGCTGTGAAAAGGGGAGTGGGTGAGATGGTTACTGTCTGCCACAGACAGTGGGGAGTGGGCCCTCAGGAGCATGGCTCACTGTCTTAGGCCTCGTCTTGGTTCCTGCATGCTCCACCTGCCTGTTCTGGTCTCTAAACTCAATTGAATGACTTGATGTTACAGCTTTCAAGCAGAGAAGTGTGGGGTGATGGTGGCAAGACAGAGGGGCGCCATTACTCTCATCGCTCCTTTTGTGGTGGCAGTCGTATTCTCCTCCTGGGGTTTCTCTTGTGTTGGCGAGTGTATCAAAGTGAAGTGTGTTTCCATTGATTCAGTAACTGTTGAGTGTGCCCTCAGTGTGGATGGCACCAGCCCAGTGGGGTGCACTCCTCAGCATTCGGGATTCTTCCTTTTGTCCCTCTGGGGCTTGCACACAGGCAGGCACACTCACGTGGAATCAGTGTTGATGGCTTTGGCTTCGGGCAGGCTGTGTTTTTGCAGGGGTTAGGGTGGCAGGGCCAGAATGTTGGCAAGGAAAGAAGAGGATCATGTTTGCCCCCGTGGACAGCTCTCTGGTGTGCTCCTCCTGCCATCCTGCCCACCCCTGCATAATGCTGCTTCTCTTCTCTCCTTCCCAGGGCTCCACCAGGGTCACCCCGAGTGTCCAGCCCCACCTCCAGCCCATCAGGTATGCCTGGCCCGTGGGGGCAGGGGGCGGGAGTGCAAGCAGGGGGGTCACTGTGGGTGTCCCTGTTAAGTCTTGCCTCTGGGTCCCCCGGACTGCAGCCATAAAGCCACGGGTGGGGAGTGTGGGCAAACGTGAAAGGCACAGGAGAGGATGCGTGCGGATGCCGTTGGCAACAGTTGTGTTTTGAGCTCTTAGCCAGCCCTTGAGCTGAGTCTTTATTTACCTGCATGAGCTCATCTAGTCCTTGCAACAACCCCGCAAGGTACGTATTTTATTCCCTTTGGTAGAGCAGCATTTCAGAGAGATGAGGTGACTTGTAAAGGTCACACAGCCACCAAGAGGCAGCACTTGGATTTGCGTTTAGGGCTGATGAGCATTGAGGCCTGTGCTGGATCTCTTCCTCTCTGCAGACAGGATTCTGACTGGGCAGAGTCATTTATGAAAGGGAAGTTCCCTATCTGGCTGGGCTGGCAGGGGCCGGGGGAAGGGGATGCACAAGGGACTTTGTGTCCTGGCGATCCAGAGAGTTTGTTTTGCCCTCTCTGCCTCACCTTCACCCACTGAGGCTCCTGAGATGATTGGGGATGCCAGCCCTGCAGTAGAGTTGAAGCCCCTGGAAGTTTCTGGCCCAGCTGCCAGCTGTCCACAGACTGGAGGTGGCTCCTTAGAGGATCCCCTCCTTCCCTTAGACCTGGGCAGGTGGATGCAGAGTGTGATGCTGAGGCTGTCCGGCTGGTGGCACTGTTCTGCATTTGCGTCCTTCCTGGGATCCAGCCTGTAGACAGGGGCGGGTCAGTGCCCCAGATGGGCCACGTCTGACTCATGGCCCTCACCAGCACGGCCCCTCTTGCTCCCCTTCCTGTGCTGAGGGAGAGGCTGAAATCACAGGAGCTTGTCTTGCGAGTTTTTCTGACATTCTAGTTTCTTCCTTGGAGCCAGAACAGAGAGGGGTTTTGGAGGATGGGGAGGAGGGGATGCTGCAAGTTAGCTGAGGCTCCCCGCCCTCACACCCACTTGCTTGCAGGTATGTGTGCGTGTGGCTTCTTGTCCCAGACTGGTCACCACCTACAAGAACTGTCCTTGGGTAGGCAGTTGGCTTGAGATAGAAACTTCTCCCCCACAGCTGCAATGAGAAGCTTTCCATAGGGACAAGAAGTAGCTGGGACTCAGAGTCAAACTCAAACCGGGCTCCTTACCTCTGGGTGCTGGTCCCCAGTCCCACTCAGGCCCCTGTCATCCCAACAGAGAGGTCCTGCCATGCCTCATCCTTGGCTGCCCCATCTCCACACCCCACCTGGACTGGGATTGAACCCTGGTGGAGGTCTGGATTCCTCATGGCTTCTCAGCATCTGGGGGCTTGTTCTGTCTAGTGCCAGAGAGCCCTCATCACTTTTAAATACCCCAGTGGTATTCCTTTCGCTGCCCTCCACTCTCCACTTTATCCCGCTGTGGTGAAAGGTTAGCAGAATGAAATGTCAGTGCTGCCTGCATTTGATAGAGGGGGAAGCGAGACACTAGGAGGTCAATGATTGGGGAAAAAGCTGGAGGGATGGGGGAGGTGCTTCTAGAAGCAAGAGGTGGGCTTCCCAAGTGGGCATCCTGGACCCTTCCTCTGGAAGAAAAGTTGGGAGAGATGTAAAGATGCGAGCCCCTCCCTTCCTCACCCAGTGCCCAGTGGAGAGGATGGCCAGCCCAGGGGCCTCCCCACCTCTCCGGGAAACGCATGGTGCTGGCGGCTGCCCGCCACTGCAGCAACAAGGGCTCTGTGCCCTCTTGTTTTCTGGGCCCTTAGAAATCAGGGAGGCTGCTGCCAAGAAGCAGCTCTGGCAGGCAGTGGGAGCTGCCAGAGGTGGGGAGAAGGCCAAGGAACAAAGGGCAGGAGTTGGCCTGCCTCCGGGAGGGCTGGAATGTGTGCTGTGGTCTGGCTTACCTGGAACCCAGGTGAACGTGTCACCTGAGATGCCCCCTCCCCTGAGAGGTTTCCCGCCCACTCCACAGCTCGAGAGCTAGGGGCGGGCAGTGGGAAGTCTCCGTTCCAGGGCTGGAGAGCGCCCAGCGCAGGCTCTCCTTCCTCTTCCAGAGCAGTCTGGGGCCTTTCGGGAGACTTCTGCCTGGCCAGGCAGCCAGTGTTGGGAGCCAGAGCTCCTGGGTTCCTGGGCCAGTCTGGCCCTGGCTCTGAGCTCTGGAGTCACAGGTTGAAGGCAGTGGCCAAAGGACTGATGGGAACCAAGAATTGGTGTCATCACAGTTTGGTTCTGAAATGGCCTGAGGTCCTTGCCAGCCCTACCCAGCTTGTTCTCGCCGGCACTCCCAAGCCGGCCACATTGGCCTTGCCAGAGGAAGCCTGTGGCCTTGGCCTTGGGTTGAAGAGCAGCCAAGCACCCTGGGCTGCATATGGGGGTCACACAGGGTGTGTATGGGGTGCAGCTATCTGGGGCCTTCCCTGTGGGCTGGATTCTGATATGGACCCTCCGCTGCCTGCTGTCTCCCTAGAAACATGAGTGTGAGCCGGACCATGGAGGACAGCTGTGAGCTGGACCTGGTGTACGTCACAGAGAGGATCATCGCTGTCTCCTTCCCCAGCACAGCCAATGAGGAGAACTTCCGGAGCAACCTCCGTGAGGTGGCGCAGATGCTCAAGTCCAAACATGGAGGCAACTACCTGGTGAGGATGGATCCTCGTGCCCACTGTCCTGTGCCCTCTATGCTTCCATCTGCTCACCACCTCTACATGACTGGTATCCCTGCCACCAGCCCCTGTGCCAGCATGCCCTCTTCTCTTTGTTTATCTGCCTTTCCCCTCAGGCAGCTCTCGTGCCTGAGTCTTCAATCACTCTCCAGCCCAGCTCTCCTCTAAGGAGTGTGCTGCAGCTGGAATGTAGCATCTGGAACTCTGTGTGTGCATGTGTGTGCTGGCCAGGAGAAGAGAGTACCAATAAGAGTTCAGGTTATTGAGCGCTTGCTACTAGCCAGGCCCTGTTCCAACTGCTTTCCACGCACTTAACCTTTGCAGCAGCCCTAGCAAGCAGGCACTTGCCAGAGCACAGAGAGGTGGGGTTATTTGCCTAAGGTTGCAGGGTCAGGAAGTGGCAGAGCTGGCACAGGGTCGGTGCCTCTGAGAAGTCTGAGGGCAGAGTCTTGGCAACATGTGTCTTAAGGGACCCTGGGTTGCTGGCACCTGGCTCGGCCTGGCCCAGAGGAGTCACCTTGGCACACGGGAGAGAGGTGCTGGCGGTGGTCTCCACTAACGCAGAAAGGCTGATCCGTCCTTGGCCCCAGAGGAGGGCTCAGGTCCATTTTAGAGGGAGGTGCCTGTGGACTGGACCCACAGATCTGATCTGTACAACCTCAGGTGGCTGTCCCCAGGGTGTTTGAGGTGGGATGTAGGAGGCTGCATTAGTTTCCCAGGGCCACTGTAGCAAATGAGGTGGCCCTTTCTATCCATGGGTTTCACCTCTTTGGACTCAATCCATCATGAGTTGAAAATATTCAGAAAAAACCCAACAGTAAATAACAATAAAAAACAATACAAATAAAAACAATACAGCAGAACAACTATTTGCAGAGCGTTTATATTGTATTAGGTATTACAAGTAACCTAGAGATGATTTAAAGTCTACGGAAGTATATGCATAAGTTATATGCAAATAGTACATTTTTTATATGCAAGTTATATGTAAATAGTACATATTTTATGTAAGAGACCTGAGCACCCATGGATTTTGGTATCCACTATCCATGGCGGGGTGGAGGGGTCCTAGATCCAAATCCTCCATAGACACCAAGTGATGACTCTACCTCAAATCTGGTGGCTCAAAATAACAGAAATTTATTCTCTCACAGTTCTGAAGGCTGGAAATCTGAAATCAAGGTGTTGACGGGGCCATGCTCCCTCTGAATCCTATGGCAGAGAATCCCTTCTTGCCTTTTCCTAGCTTGCGGTGGGATTCCTTGGTTTGTAGCGCATCACTCCAATCTCTACCTCCATCTCCACGTGGCCTTCTTCAGTGTCTCTCTGTGTGTCTTCTCTTCCTACAAGGACATCAATTATTGGACTTAGGGTCCACCCTAGATCCAGGTTGATGTCATATTGAGATCCTTAACTACTTACACTGGCAAAGGCACTATTTCCAAATAAGGTTGTATTCTGAAGTTCTGGGTGGACATGACGTTTTGAGGATACTATTCAACCACTATAGAGACCCACCTGTTAGCTGCATTGGGGCATTGTTAAGAGCTTGGCTTTAAACCTCAGAAAGTCCTGGGTTCAAATTCTGGCTCTGCCTTTACTAACTACATGATCTTAGCTGTTTAGCCTCACTAAGCCCTAGCTTCTGTGTCCGTAAAGTGGGTCTGAGGTCTACCTCTTATTGTTGTTGAGAGAATTAAGCCAGCTGTTAGATGTAAAGTCCTTAAGACAGGCTGACAGGTGGCAGACATTCATTGAGTGATGGCTATTGTACCATAATAAAGTGTATTCCTTTACAGAGTGCAAGAGTGGATGCAAATCCACCTATTTCTGATTTTAGGAGTCCAGGGTTCTATGGGACTTGGTGCCCTGCCACCCCTCTCTCTATCCTGCCTATTCCAGACTGGGCTGTCCCCTTTTCTCCCCAGGAGATGACACAGTGCCTTTGAGTTTCCTAGGCAGTGGGGTGGAGGTGGGAAGTTCTGCATGCCCCCCTCGGAGGTAGAGGCAGGAATTCCAGAGACTGGAGAATTCCTTAGGATTCCAGTGGTCAGGAATGGGACCCCAGTGGTCAGGCGTTGAAAGGCATGTGCTGGGAGAGGTATGTCAAGGGTCTGATTGGGCCCACCCAGGATGGTTTGCCCCTCTGATGGAGGAAGTCTGGTGACAGAGAGGTTGCAACCTCATGGGATGAGGTTCTAGGGTCAAGGTATGAAGTGGAAACCAGAGATTGCCAACTACTTATCATCTCACACAGCTGGATTCCCGTTCGGTGTGGTGAGAGGCAAGCGGAACTGGAGACAAGTTCCATCCCCTTCTCGTCTTCCATTCGGGACATCCGCTCACGGAACAGGGTGGCTGAGTGTCTACATCTCTCTCTCTCTCCCTTTTCATCCTGAGGACCTACAGTTGAGTTCCTCTTCGTGACGGTGTGTCTGCTGGGACTCACCTGCATGTTCACGTATGGATAGAATTCCTATCGGGGAGAGAGAGCGAGAGCAGGCACAGGAGGTCCAGGGAGCTCATGGCTGTTCCGTGGCCAGGCCCCTGGCCGTGAGAGGACATTGACGCTCTGCTGGATGCTGTCGTGGGCTCTTCAGAGGAAGTTGGCAATGATGCCACGGTCCTTTCTGGGACCAGCAGGCCATGGTTCTCTCTCTCCTCGCCGCCCTCCTCACCCTCACCTCCTCATGCTCTCTTCCTTTTGCTCCTTCTAGCTGTTCAACCTCTCTGAGCGGAGACCTGACATCACGAAGCTCCATGCCAAGGTGAGCCAGGGGCTGTTTTGGGGTAGGGGAGGAGAAGGAGAACAGATGGACTCCCTCTCTGGAGTTCCCACATAATAATCTTGGGGAAAATGCTGTGACAGTTTGTCAGAGTGCCGACTTATATCTGGAAAATGGAAAATGATCTACTTATCATTTCCACAATGCCAATTACAGAAAGCAAAGCTTGGGGCAGTGACTTTCCACCCAGGTCTGCCTGCTGGGGAGTACACAGAATCACTTGGGTGAGGCTGGAGTTGTGAGATGTTTAGTTTTTGGATTTAAAGCAGTTGGGAGCCGCTGCTTTCGACCTTCCAGCTGCCGGTTTTTTTGTTTGTTTGTTTGTTTTTTTGAGATGCAGTCCCCCTCTGTCGCCCAGGCTGGAGTGCAGTGGCGTGATCTCAGCTCACTACAACCTCCACTTCCTGGGTTCAAGTGATTCTCCTGCCTCAGCCTTCCGAGTAGCTGGGACTACAGGCACGTGCTACCATGCCTGGCTAATTTTTGTATTTTTAGTAGAGATGGGGTTTCGCCGTGTTGGCCAGCCTGGTTTCAAACTCCTGGCCTCAAGTGATCTGCCCACCTTGGCCTCCCAAAGTGCTGGGATTACAGGCATGGGCCAGCGCGTCTGGACCTGTTGCTGCTTTTTATTCTGTTTGCTCGGGGGCTGTGTGTGGGCTTTGCCATGGGCATCTGCTCCTAGCTCTGAGAGTTTGGTACATGCTGTTGTGTGATCCTGGGTGGGTGATGGACTTCTCTGGGCCTCAGTGTGCCCCTCTGAAAGTGGCCTGGCTGGATTAGGTGTGCTCTATGGGTCCTTGCAGAGTTCTCTTTTACTTTAAAGTTGGTGAGTCTAGAAAGATTTTGAGAGGCCCGAAGCCTGCTGTTCAGGTCTGCCCTTTGTGTCCTTAAGGCTGCTCTTGGCTGGCCTGGAAAGTGGATGGTTTGTGTGACCAGGGCCTAGAAAAGAGTCATGAACATCAGGCAGCCTTTTGCTTTTTCCTCTCGCAGCCTGAGCCAGGCCTCAGGGCTGTCCGTAGGAGAAGAGCTTGAGGACAGTGCTTGGGGCCCCTCAGCATGTTGGAGGTCAGTCCTATGGTAGGGACCTTGGGGTCATCAGCTCCAAGCCTTTCTTTTTGTTTGTTTTTTTAACACACATATGGGGAAATTGAGGCTGGAAGAGGACCTGAGGCCTAAGGCCCCACAGTGAGTCAGTGCCAGGGCCAAGACCCGGGACCAGGGTCCCCAGTACTGGGTCATGCATGGCCTTTGCCCTTCACTCCCCTGCCTCCTCGCTGGCCAGTGGGCAGGGAGGAACCAAGTCCTGGCAGGAACCAGCAGCTGCGGGCCACTGCCCAGGTACTGGCACGTGGCGTAGGTGGCTCCCGCTGGCTTGTTTGGCTCTGCAGGGCTTCTGCCCTCTTCTCACTCATGGCTTGGGCCACAGGTACTGGAATTTGGCTGGCCCGACCTCCACACCCCAGCCCTGGAGAAGATCTGCAGCATCTGTAAGGCCATGGACACATGGCTCAATGCAGACCCTCACAATGTCGTTGTTCTACACAACAAGGTCAGAGCTGTGTGTGTGTGTGTGTGTGTGTGTGTGTGCGCGCGCGCACATGCGCACATGTGTGTGTGCCTGAATGTGTCCTTGGATGATTGTGTGTACCTGCCTATATCTTTGGATTTTGCGAGCATATAAGTCTGTGTGTATTTTTCTTTCTAGGGGATAATAGGTTCTGTCTTGGGCGGCACTTCTAAGAAGTGTAGGGGACATCAGCTTATGTCCACGGCAGTGGATGATCAGCTGTGTTTTTTCTGAGACTTAGTCCCCACCTGCCTCCCTCCCCTGAGGCCCCCTTCCTCCTTATGTTCTCCCTTAAATCCACACCCCTCTCTCCAGCCCTGACTCTTTTCCACCAAGGCTTCTAGATAAGCTCTGGGGCAGCAAGGCTGGCCTTAGAAATAAATGATTTTGTGTTTGGGGCTCTTTCAGGGAAACCGAGGCAGGATAGGAGTTGTCATCGCGGCTTACATGCACTACAGCAACATTTCTGCCAGGTAAGAGGGGCCTGGAGCCTCCCATCCTCTGAACATCGACAGTGTGACCCCCCTCCTCTCATCCACCCACAGCCTCTCTGCTCCCTGGAGTGAGGGGATACGCACAGAGGGAATGAGAAGCGATGAGGACGGGGGAAGGGGCCCCTGGCTCTGAGGCAGGAGCCTGTGGACAGAGGGCGGGAGGGAGGAGAGTCCACTTCTCTATCAGGGGTTCTGGTGGGGCAGCCTTGGGAGGCAGGCCCTGTCCTGAGCAACCCATGCGGCCAGCTCCTCGGAGCCACTTTTCCTTGCCAAACTGCCTTCTTTTTCCCTGGGCCAGCAGGAAGGGAGTCAGAAAGAAATGTCGGATCAGATCTGGGTCTGGCAAAACAGTCTAGAAGTTGTCTCATCTATTCCTCTGCCTCTGGACAACAGGGCCCTCTTCCTACCTAGGTGTTTGGAACAAGAATAAAGAACATCCAGTCACTGACTCCCTTTCCAATCCCACTCTGCAGAGAGGCAGAGGGATTCACCCATTCGTTTTGTTATTCACTCAACAAGGAATATGGCTGGGCGCAGTGGCTCACGCCTGTAATCCCAGCACTTTGGGAGGTCAAGGCAGGTGGATCACTTGAGGTCAGAAGTTCGAGACCAGCCTGGCCAACATGGTGAAACTCCGTCTCTACTAAAAATACAAAAATTAGCCAGGCATGGTGGGGCAGGTGCCTGTAATCCCAGCTACTCAGGAGGCTGAGGCAGGAGAATCCCTTGAATCTGGGAGGCAGGGAGGTTGCAGTAAGCCAAGATGGTGCCACTGCACTCCAGCCTGGGAGACAGGGAGACTCTGTCTCAAAAAGAAAAAAACAATAAATATTGAACAGACAATGTGCCAGGCTCTGTTCTAGGTCCTGGGAATGCAGCAGAGGGCAAAGCCAGGCCACTGCCCTCATGGGCATTAAACACATAAACAAATACATTAGTAATAGCAGGTGATAATTATCGTGAAAGAGTAAAGGGACTCAAGAAGGGCAGTGGCGAGGCAGGTCCATGGTTGGAGAAGGCCTCTTGATGAGGTGACACTGGAACAGAGACCTGAGTGACCAGGATGGAAAGGGCTGAGCCTTATCAAGCCTGTGGGATGTGCCCTGCACACTGAGAGAAGAGGAAGGATGGGAATGCGAGGGGCTGAGGTGTTTGAAGCTGAGCAAGTGAGGGAAGAGGAAGAGGAGGGGAAGCTGGGAGGTGGCAGAGCCATGGGGCCTCGCGGCCTCACTGAGGACTTTGGGGTTTGCTCTAAGAGTGATGGGAAGTCACTGGAGCTTCGTGATCTTTTCATTTCAAAGTGACTTCTCTGAGTGCTCTGTGAGGATGGTAGAATCTTCTGTGGAGGGCCTGCCAGGAGGCTGTAGTTTTAGGACTTCGAGCAACCCAAGTCAGTCTCACCTTTGCTTAATGATAAGCAAAGATGAGGCTGCACCTTTACTGCACTCCTGTACCCCTACTGTGTGCCATGAGTGCCAAGCTCTTTATGGATATTCCCTCACTTCATCTCCATAGTCACCTTTGAGGAAGGGGCAATTATCACCCTCATTTGATGGGTGAGGAGAATGAAGTTCAGAGAGATTCAGGAACTTGTACCAGGACACGGGGCTCATAAGTGGTAGACCTGAGCTGGGCTCCCAGGCTGCTGAACTTTAAAGCCTGGGCTGAGTGCGGCCCTGCACAGTTGGAGAGATGCTGAAACACTCTTTTCCTGAAAGCTTCTCGGCACAGGATGGCAGGGGGAAGAGGCTTGTCTTCCCTCCAGGACAAAGGTGCTCTTTGGCCAGAGTGCTCTGCAGGTCTGAGGGAGCAGGGGTGGGGAAAACAAGCGGCTCTTGGATGCAGGAGTTGCCTCTTTTGACCACCTGTCTCTCCCTGCAGTGCGGACCAGGCTCTGGACCGGTTTGCAATGAAGCGGTTCTATGAGGATAAGATTGTGCCCATTGGCCAGCCATCCCAAAGAAGGTGGGTCTCTGGGGCTCACAGCCCCTTGCATGTATGTGTGCACTCACTCTATGTGGGGACTAGACTTGTGTACTCACAGGGATGGGATAGCTGTGCCTAGGTGGGGGTGTACCAGGCGCAAGTTTTCAGATGCCAGCCTGCAGTGGTGTGAGCTCAGGCACACAGGAGAGCCCGGGAGCCAGCCTGTGGTGTGTGCCCGCAGATTGGCACAGCACTTGACTCTGAGGCCTGTGCTAGAGAGCAGTGCAACCTTCATGGGGAAGCATGAGTCTGGGGATAAGAAGGCGCTGGTCTAGGAAGGCATGTGCTGTTCTTGGCCCTGGAAGCAGGATTGCTTCAGTGCTTGGATGAGTCTACGGGAGACTGCATCACTGCCCCCTGCTGTGGGAGGTCAGACACTCATGATAAGGGTCACCTTCTGTTGGGAGAGTTTAGACAGTTTTACTGAGAGCTTTCAACCACATGGTCTCATTGGAGTCTCACAATAGCCCAGGCAGGAAACAGGGCAGGGATGGATTTATTCATTCAGCAAAATTTAAATCATCTACTATGGCTCCAAGCACTGAGATATCTGGGTGAACAGGAAAAAGTCCTTTCCCTTGGTGAGCTGATACCTAATGAGAGAGATGGACATGAAACAAATAACCATACAAACAAGACAGTGTCAGACAGCAATGAGGCTAGGAAGGAAAGAGGGCACTGCAGACACGAGAACTGATAGGGGAACGGGGCTCTTTTAATAGGGATGGTCAGGGAATACCTCTTAGAGGGGGTGAATTTGAGCCTAAACTGGAATCACGGTGAGCTATCGTGTGATGATCTAGGCATCCCATTTTGCAGATTAGAAGCTGAGCCGAGGGAGGGGGCGTGGCCATGGTCTATAGTGAGTAGTGGCAGAACTGGAAAGTACGTGAAGGCCTAGTAATGCCTGGGCTAGGGCAGTGCCTCCTGGTTGTGTGACCCACTGTCCTGAGGGATCCTGCTCCGTGGGTGACATGTTGCTCAAAGACATCTCATGCACAGGAAGGCACAGGCAGCATCAGGGGCAGGAGGTCTTTGGGGGAGGCTGCAGCCAGGATGGTGGGAAACCCAAGCCCAAACTGGAGACCTGGATGGTGGGACGCAGGCCCAGCTCTGTTTGCTGCTGGGAGTTGTGGGCCTGCCACCTGCCGTGATGTCAGCACCATTCTGCACACTGGTGACATGGTGCTGAATCCGCCAGGCAAGGGCTTATGGAGCTCAGCTTCTAGTGGATGTTACACATATAAGGAAACAATTCAGATAGTCATGAGAGCTGCAAAGAAAAGGCAAACTATGATGGCTAGAGAGTGATGGGGCTGGAAAGAGGGCTGATTCAAATGGAAGGGCCTTCTGAGAAGGTGACGTGTAACATGAGATCTGGGTGGGGAGAAGGAAGCCTCCAAGTGAACGCACGGGATAAAGGATCCAGAATGAGGGAATAGCACTGACTACAAGGGCCTGGAGGCCAAAGCATCCTATTTGCCTTTTTAGCCCCTGAGCACACTGACTGGGCCAACAAGGGCCTGGAGCTGTGAGTCCTGGAGCTCTCCAGCCTCATCATGCTGAGGGTCCCAACACGTGCCCCATCATCCCACCTTGCTTGGCTGGCTAGAACTGTGCTGTCCCAGCTGGGGGCTATTCCCGCCATTGTAATTGGAAGCCCAAGAAGTGAGTGAGTCCTCAGGTAACCCAGCACCTTATAGTTGCACAAAACAGTTGATAGCCAGCCTCAGAGTCAGCAACCAGAAATGGGATGTCTTTATGTGCAGAAAATTCTGGTTAGGGCCCTGGAGACAGCAGCTGTGGATCAACGAGAGTCTTCTCAGGGAAGAAAGAATGATTGGTCAAGCACTGCCTTGTCAGCCTCTGGCTTGCCATGTGTGTCTGCTGACTGTAATCACGGTGTGGCCTTTGACCTTGAAGGATAAGGATACTAAGAGAGAAGCATGCTGTTCCAATGGCACAGTGTGGCTTGGAGAGAATGGGTAGAGAGTAACATCTCTGAGTCTGAGTAGTGAAGGCCTGAAGACCAGGGATCAGTGTCACCTCTCAGGAATAGGATTATTTAGGGATTCCCTGGTGTATTAGTCCATTTTCATGCTGCTGATAAAGACATACCCAAGACTGGGCAATTTACAAAAGAAAGAGGTTTAATGGACTCACAGTTCCACGTGGCTGGGGAGGTCTCACAATCATGGCGGAAGGTGAAAGGCAAATCTCACATGGTGACAGACAAGAGAAGAGAGAGGGTCAAGGGAAAGGGGTTTCCCCTTACAAAACCATCGGATCTTGTGAGAATTATTCACTACCACGAGAATAGAATGGGGGAAACCACTCCCATGATTCAATTATCTCTCACTGGGTCCCTCCCACAACACGAGGGAATTATGGGAGCTACAACTCAAGATGAGATTTGGGTGAGGATGCAGCCAAACCATATCATCTCGTGTTCAACATATGCTTGCATAGCAGGCAGTTGGGGCGTGTCTGCCTGGCTCCTGTCTGACACTGCCTCTGCTTGTGGATGGGTCACCTCTCTGAGCCCAGATGTGGAAGTGCAACTGTGGGTTTACTATGCATTTATTGCCACCCTCCTGCCTTCTTGTCAGTGTCACTTGCAGGGAATGGAGCAGATGGAGGAGAGGAGGGCAGGGAAAGAGAGAGGGAGGGGCTTTGCCTGTAGCTCTCTCATTCATTGTCACCCGCCTCCGGACTCATTGTCCCTCGAACACAGACACATCCTGTTGGCACGATCCAGAGATCTGATAGGAACCGCTATTCCAGGTTTCCGGCTTGAGTAATGGGGCAGGGGCCTGAATAGGATCGGGTGCTGCCCATCAGATTATCTTACTTGAGTAGTCCGAGGAGGCCCCACCCAAACCCAGGGACAGAGGCCCACAGGCTTGGAGGTGGGCCAAGGAGCCAAGAGACAGGAGGGGATCTTATCATGGTCATGTGGGCTCTAGTTCCACCCTCTTCAGAGAGCTACTATTGGCTCCTGCAGAGCCTCAGAATACATTCTGATTGGTCTAGCTGACTCAGCTTGTCATTCCATGGCCAATCAGAAAAGGGAAAATGCCGACCAATCGACGCAGAAGGACTGATCTCTATTGGGCAGATGACCGATCTCTAGTTTATTGGGCAGATGCGTTGGAGCCCAGACTTCTTTCCTGCTCTCCCCATCCACTTCCAGCTTTGTGTGTTCTTGCTGTGTGTCTCTGGAGTCCAGTGACCCCTCCTGGACCTTATTTATCCTCTCTGTCTAGAAGGAGAGGGTGTGGGTTAGTTCTTCCATTCTTCCAACAGATCTTTGTTAAAGAACTAGGGGATGTTGGCTGGGTGCGGTGGCTCACACCTGTAATCCCAGCACTTTGGGAGGCCGAGGCGGGCTGATCACCTGAGGTTGGGAGTTTGAGACCAGCCTGACCAACATGGAGAAACCCTGTCTCTACTAAAAATACAAAATTAGCCGGGCATGGTGGCGCATGCCTGTAATCCCAGCTACTCAGGAGGCTGAGGCAGGAGAATCACTTGAACCCGGGAGGCAGAGGTTGCGGTGAGCCGAGATTGCGCCATTGCACTCCAGCCTGGGCAACAAGAGTGAAACTCCATCTCAAAAACAAAAACAAAACAAAAAAATTGGGGGAAGTTGACCCTAGAGATAGATACTTATTAGAAGCTAGTTACCTCGAATACCAAGTAAACTCAAGGATACAGAGAGAGGGACTTAATGCACTTTGGTATGATGTAGAGAAAGTGAAGAACTACATTCATTAAAGTCTTGCTCACTATTTGCTAGACTATCACTTGTGGCTACTGGATCTGTGGGCAGAACTGGGGCTGTGAGTATGAGCGCAAGCTTGATTTGAGCTTTGTGTGGGGGTGTGAGGGCGTCAGAGCTGTTTGGTGGTTGGGCCTGCCTTGTGCAGCTAAATGATGCCTGTCAGGGATGTGGGGTGGAAATTTTGGTCCAGCAGGAGATTCTCGGGCTGGGAGTGAAGCAGGAAAGAGATATTCATGTTGACCACCAGAGGGCGGTGGCGAACTCCAAGTGGGATGCTTGACTTGACCCAGCTCTAGGTCTGGTATACCTGCTCACTCTTCCTACCTAGGGCTCCCAGCAGCAGGCAAGCATGTCTGGGAGGGAGGCCTGGTTGGGGAGGGGGACCATGTTGGTTGGGGAGAGGGTAGAGTAGGTGAGTGGTCTAGGGCAATGTTCTTGGAAAAGAGAGAACAGGGATTACTGCACCAGTACCCACCTCACTCCCTGAAGCTGCTTCTCCCACCACTACAGGTACGTGCATTACTTCAGTGGCCTGCTCTCCGGCTCCATCAAAATGAACAACAAGCCCTTGTTTCTGCACCACGTGATCATGCACGGCATCCCCAACTTTGAGTCTAAAGGAGGTACCTGCCTTGAGCCCTCTGACCTCCACCCTTGCCAACTCCTCCCTTTCATCTTCCATCTTCTCTAAGAGGCAACCTTGGGTAGTAACAGACAGCCCGAGAGCTGCAGAGTCATAAGGCCTCCATTGGACTCTCAAGTGTATTGCTTCCTAAACTTTTCTAAGCACCAATCTATTTGCAGTGCCTGCTGGCCAATGATGTTGGATGGGCAATGTTTTTATTAATTTAATTTGCCTTACAAGTGAAAAGTTGGTATTTCTTCCCCTTTCTGCTTCCTCTTTTACTCTTTCCTCTTTTCCTCCTTCCCCTTCCTACCCCGTCTTCCCCCATTTCTTCCTTCCTTTCTCTCTTTCTCCCTTCACTGTCTCCTCTGCCCCTCCTGCCTGCCAGTTTCTGCTGTCTTAGCTAACACCCACCCCACTTTTACAGGATGTCGGCCATTTCTCCGCATCTACCAGGCCATGCAACCTGTGTACACATCTGGCATCTAGTAAGTATTACATGGGCGTGAGAGGCCAGAGAAGCCCAAGGCCCAGGGCTAAGGACCAGGTCAGAAGGTTGGGGAGAGGAGAGAATATTCTCAAGAGGGCTGAAAGGACAGAGTCAGAGAGGTTTCCCACTAACCCTGTGGCGTAGGGGCAGCAGGGAGAAAATGCCCCTCCCTCATCTCCCCTCCAGCAGCCCACTCTTTTTCTGCCCACCTCTCTCCCTTAGCAACATCCCAGGAGACAGCCAGACTAGCGTCTGCATCACCATCGAGCCAGGACTGCTCTTGAAGGGAGACATCTTGGTGAGTGCTGTCCTCTGTGTCAAGCCCCATCCTTGTTTATTTTCTCTCCCTTCTTTTCTTACTCCTTTCCTGCCTCTTGGGACAAGACAGGTACTCCTCCTGGGCTGCCAGGCTTGGAACCATAGGCTCTCAGGGCTCTTGGAAGACCTTCCAGTCTCACACAGTCTGTGTCTCTCACCCTGGGCTTAGCTGTTGTTCTGGAGCATCTCCAGGGAAATATCACTCAGCGTGAGCTGTTACCTCCTGGCTTCTTATTGGTGACAAGGACTCTCTGAATTCTAGCTTCAGTTCTTCCTGCTGCCATTTAAATCCATCTTACTTTTTGCACTCTGACTTGTATGTAGAAACTTCTTGGGAGGACATTTTTGTCCCCAGAGGCCAAGACTGGCCTCCAATTCTCTGCTGTTCTAGAAGTTTCCCCACAGAACTCTGAGATCCTGTTTGGTGTTGATGAGCTCTCCCTCACCGGGTTTGGGGTGAGCCTTGGGGGCTCAGTCAGCGGAGCTGATAAGGAGGCTCCCTGGGACCTGACCTCCCAGCCTCAGGCCCCTGACTGGTTCTGCCCGTCTTCCCACCCAGCTGAAGTGCTACCACAAGAAGTTCCGAAGCCCAGCCCGAGACGTCATCTTCCGTGTGCAGTTCCACACCTGTGCCATCCATGACCTGGGGGTTGTCTTTGGGAAGGAGGACCTTGATGATGCTTTCAAAGGTGCGCTCCTTGAGTGGAGCTGGGGGTGGGCACCCCTGTGGCAGGGAGAGGAGCTCAGTTTGAGACGATATGGTGGGTATGGGGACCATCTTTTCTGGACCATGTGGTCTGTCTAGTCTCAGGGTGATGGTAGGAGAGAGTTGAGAGAGACTTGGGAGAGAGTTGAGATTGGATGGTCTGGGAATTCCAGTTGTTAGTAGAAGTGGAGATAAACTCCTCCCAGTCCTTGGGCTGTTTTATATCTTGCAGCCTTCTATGACTTTCCCTGTCTCTCCTTCATCTTGTCCTCCCAGTTTGTCACATGTGTCCTACTGACAATCATTTTTTTTTTCAACATTCACTGGGCATCTGCTTTGGGCTAGGATCTGTACCAAGTGCCGGGGATACAAAGTAAAACATGGCATGGTCTCTGCCTTGGTGGAGCTCAAAAATCTTGTTGAGTTGGGAGGCAGACTAGCAGGGGATAATTACCCTGCAGGGCAGAAGAGCAGTAGTGGAGGGGTGTGGCAGCAGCAAGGGGGAACCATTTTCTGAGAGGAGAAGAGGTGGTTGGGAAAGGTTTGGTGTTTGCTTTTGCTTCTTTCTTTTATCCATTGGAAGTTTTATCTATATCACATTAATGCCTGGGACATATAAATACACATTTATTTACCCATCTCTCTCTCCATCCACCAATCCATCCTTACACACATCCATCCATCCATCCATCCATTCATCCATCCGTCTGTCCATCCATCTGTCCATCCATCCACCCACCCATCCATCTATGCACCCACCCATTCATCCATCCATTAATCCATCCCTTCATTAATCTGTCCATCCATCCACATATTCATTCATCTGCCCACCCATCCATCTATCCATCCATCCATCCATCCATCCATCCACCCACCCACCCACCCACCCACCAAGCATCACTTGTGTGTCTGTATGTGTCGGGCATGTGCTAGACCCTATAGATATGAACAGAAAGAAGTCAGGCCCTACCCTCAGGGAGTTCACAGTTTCCTCAGTGAGAGACACACAAACATGATACTATGAAGTGTTGCCTGAAGTGATGGAGACACGCACAAGCATGATAGGTGTCCCATGGAGCAGATGCCATCCTTGCTGTAACTTCTTTTCCTACATGCAGTGGGCAGTGATCTGTGTCCAGAGTGGGCTCAGGCGGAGAAAGACTGGACCTGGGGCTTGGAGGAGGGTCCAGATCTCCTTAGTGTGGTCTGGCTCATGTAGAAGGGTGTTTCTTTAATGAGCTCTCCTTGCACTGGAGCCAGAAGATGCCATCATAATTACAGTACAGAATGTAAATGATAACAGTCTTAACAAGGAAAAATAAAGGCATAGCTGATCAAATAAATAAGGGATTGGGCAGAAGTTGAGAGAAGGAAGGGTCACAGATTTCCTCCTCTTACGTAGTGGGAGTCAGGAGATACCATCGAAAATTGACATATCAATAAATAGAGGCATGGCCAGGCACGGTGGCTCATGCCTGTAATCCCAGCACTTTGGGAGGCCAAGGCGGGAGGATTGCTTGAGGCCAGGAGTTTAAGACTAGCCTGGTAAATATAGTGAGACCCCATCTCTACAAAAAATAAAAAAATTAGCCGGGCATGGTGGCATGTGCCTGTTAGCACAGCTATTCCAGGGGCTGAGGCAGGAGGATCACTTGAGCCCAGGAGTTCAAGGCTGCAGTGAGCTATGATTGCACCGCTGCACTTTGGCCTGGGCAACAGAGTGAGACCTGGTCTCTAAAAAGAGAAAAAGAAATAGAGGCTTAACTATCTTATTTAAAGTTTCAAAGATAATCAATAGCATAAATAAAAACAATAATCTAATCAGATTTAAGAAGACAGGAAGTAGGGGTAGTAGTATAAGTGAACCAAATTATTCATATTAATAGTGGTCAATCCATAGAGGTTATTTAAAATTCATGTCTGGCTGGGTATGGTGGCTCACGCCTGTAGACCCAGCACTTTGGGATGCTGAGGCCGGTGGATTGCTTGAGCCCAGGAGTTTGAGACCAGCCTCAGCAACACAGCAAAACTCCGTCGCTATAAAAAATACAAAAATGAGCCGGGCGTGGTGGCTTGCACCTGTAGTCCCAGTTACTCTGGAGGCAGAGGTAGGAGGACCACTTTGGCTTGGGAGATTGAGGTTGCAGTGAGCTGTGATCGCACCACTGTACTCCATCTAGGGTGACAGAGCAAGATTCTGTCTCAAAAATATAAATATGCACTCCAGGCTGGGCGACAGAGCGAGACTCCATCTCAAAATAAATAAAATAAAATAAAATAAAATTGGGATCTAGAAATAGTGGCATAAAAATAGTGGCTATTATTTAGAGTCTTAGAGGTAAATTGCTAGTAGAAAAGCAATAGAAATAGTTAGAATCAGTGACCTCATTACCTCAGGCAAGTAGGACAGGGGCTAGAGTGGGCAGGAAATTTAATTTCATTGTATAGATATAATTTCATGTATATATGTATAAATATACATTGATTATTATTATATTATTAACCATGTACATATATGGTATTTTAATTTTTTCTAGAAGAAAACTTTTTATGGAATCCTTTTTGGGACTTTTTGCCTATTTTTATTTTTCCTTCTCTTTTTCCAGATGATCGATTTCCAGAGTATGGCAAAGTGGAGTTTGTATTTTCTTATGGGCCAGAGAAAATTCAAGGTATAAGCCGAGTTAGAATTCATTCTCTCACTCCTTCCTTTTATCCTGACCCTATCCCCAGCACCCTTCCACCCCTGGTCTGTTCCACAGTGATCAAGTTATTTTTGAGAGGCAGGCCATCAGTAAAGGATCTGGGTTTCAGAGTGGACCCCTAGCTAAACATGAACCAGTGACTTAATCTCTGGATAATAAAAATAAAAAAGCAGACAGAGAGGCACTGGGTTGGATAAACTGTTCTGGTCCCATTAGGTCATCAGCCTGTTATATTCAGAGACTGAGGTCCTTGGTAGATGGAGGGAGTGGCTGGCGGGCAGGGGGCACACAAAGGTGCTGGATAGAAGATGTGTATTTATGAGAACTGAGGTGATTCAACCTGAAGGCTGGTTTAATAATAACCTTGAAGCCTCTATACTGGTTATAAGTGGAGACCAGTTGTTCACCATCTTATTCGAGAATGGAATGAAAGGAGATGAAGTTAGGTTATGGGCAGAGGGACTCTGGATAGACTAAAGAAAGGACTGCCAAGCCAGGAAGGTAACTCACCCTGACAGACTTGACTAGGAGCTATGCTGTCTTTGAGCCAGGTTTTTAAAAATTTACTTATTTATTTTTATTTTACCTTAAGTTCTGGGATACACGTGCTGAATGTGCAGATTTGTTACATAGGCATATATGTGCCATGGTGGTTTGCTGCACCTGTCAACCCATCGTCTACTTTTAAGCTCTGCATGCATTAGGTATTTGTCCCAATGCTGAGCTGGGTTTTCTGTGGATGGCTGGGAGATTCTGCCGTGCCCCCTAGGTTTCTGTCTGGAGCGGAGAGCGTTTTAAGAGGGGGCAGGGCCATGCCTGGGATGACCCTTTGGAGGCTTTATGTCCTTTCAATGTCGGGGCTGTGATTTCCCTGCTGTCCCTGATCCCACGTAGCTCATAAGCAGCCTGCCCCCCACCCCCAGGGTCTGACCCCAGGGGCAGACTTTCTAGTCTCTTGGCACTGCCTCAGGAGCCCCAGGGACACAGAAGAAAAAGAGGCAGGTACCCAGCCAGGGGTCCTCCCCGCTTTCTTCCAGGGGGTCTTCATTCTTCAGTGCCTGTCCTGATTTACCCCTATGACCCGGCATGAGCCTTTTCAAGAATGTGAGAAACTAGACTCCCAGTTCTCAGTCCAGCTTAAGCCACTGGTCCCGCCCACCACGCTCAAGAAAATGAGAAGTCCCTCAGGGAGCCTCTTTTGGGGAGCTTGTGGGCTTTCTCTGTTTTTCCAGCTGCTGATCTCTTTTCCCTCTCTGCACTGTCTCCCCGACTGCCGCTGCCTTTCCCATCCCACTTAGGCATGGAGCACCTGGAGAACGGGCCGAGCGTGTCTGTGGACTATAACACCTCCGACCCCCTCATCCGCTGGGACTCCTACGACAACTTCAGTGGGCATCGAGATGACGGCATGGAGGGTAGGTGGGACCTAGTGGCTCCCAGCCCCTATCCAAACTGCACAGCCTCTGCTCACATGACCTTGCTTCTCTTGGCCTGCTTTCAAGAGATCTGGGTTCGAGAGGAGGCAGAGGGGAAGTGTGAGGTACCTCCGAGAGCTCACCGTTAACTGGGGGAAGATAAGGCACATATATGAATGTATTAAATAAAAGTGAGGACAGAGCCAAAGAAGGCAGCAAAATGGCCACAAGGGGGTTATCGTGGAAGTGTGTTGCTACAGCCAAGTAAGTTCCGTGGACAGTGAGTTCTCTGGGATTGGCAGGGAGGGATTTTGAGAGCTGGAGTGATCTGGGAAGGCTCCTTGGAGGATGTGGCCTTGAGTGGAGCTTGAGATACCCCCCACTGTGCTGCAAAAACAGCATTTGTCACATGTGTATTAAACCCACTGTTGGGTTTCTTCAGGCTTGCTGCCTGAGTTCTCTGGGGTCAGAGTACTAGGAACAGAGGCACAGGATCTAGGGCCTACAAGCTTTCATCAACAGCCAACAAAAATGTTTGAGAGCTGGGAACAAACTGATAGGCTCTGAAATTTGAAAAGAAAGCAGCAGAATTGAAATTAATACATGTTTAATTTAGCTACAAACCTAACATTATGTCAAATGGTCCACTGCAACTCAGGTCGTCTCTTGAGAGTTCTACATGCATTCTATTTATTTATGTGGTCTATCTGCATATGTGTAAGGAGACGTGGGGCGGGCTCCGAAAGTGAGCATGCCCAGAGCCCAGGAACTCTTGAGATGCCCTGCCTGGGGTTTGGCCACAAGCTTCTTTTCTTGAGTTGGTCGTAGGACTGCAGAATGTTGGAGCTGGGAGGACCTTCAGGATGGTCCAGCCCATCACCCATCTGTGTTCAGTTGGGGTGACTGAGACCCTTCCCAGAGGCAGAACCTCCTGATTTACCCCCGTGACCCAGGATGGCCCTTTCAAGGATGCCAGCACCCAGCGTCTGGCTTCTCCTCCCAGCTGAAGCCAGTCCTGGGTGGGGCTGTGCCATCCTGGGGCCCCTGGGTCCCATGGCAGAGCTAGGTTAGAGATAGGTAGGCCTGGGGGCCTCCCTGTGCCCTCTTTCCTCTACACGGCGCTGTCTTCTGTCTCCCTCCCCAAGGTTTTGGATTTGATGACTCCTCTCTGAAAATCTTTGGGCCTTTCCTTGAATAAAGATTTCTCCTCTGACCTTGGGGTCACCAGAATGAGCACAAGGTTTCAGAGAGAAGTGGGATGAGGGAGGGTGGTTGGACTAGAATTTGGGGACTCACTGAGAGCACATTTTTTTACGTGCAACATTGAAAAGTGGATGGCCTGTCCTCACACCTGCCTCAGTTCCCAACCCCTTTTCCTCCCCCAGGGGCCCAGCACCCTCAGATTGGCCAAGACACCCCACCAGGCCCCTCCGACCCCCCAGGCTGCTTGTGAAAAGCACTCCTCCATCCCCGGGCGCTGAGCGGCCAAGCAGAAAGCAGAGGCTGGAGCGAATTTGTTCTGAGGTTTCAGTGGCTGCCAGCCTAATTGGTCGTTGTGCTGGGGATGTTTGCATTTTTAACAAGAACATTTGGCAATTGGAAAGAATTTTTACTGTCTCTCCATCTCTTCTTGGTGCATGGTCAATGCGATGATAAATGTAAAAACATTTAGTAAACTATAAAGTGCCAGGCAAATAAAAGGTAAAATAATTAACGGTGAGGAGGAGATGTGGGAAAGACGGGGCTTAGGATGTATTTGGCTGTGGGGGAAGGAAGAAGAGCAGACGGTCAGAGTGGGAGGCAGCCCAGGGACAGCAGAGCCGAGAGCGGCTCCCCCTCTCGGCAGAGGGCCAGCTTCTCAGCCTCCAGACAGGGCCCCTCTGTCCTTGCAGGATGAGCTGACCTTTAACTGACCAAAAGGTCCTGCTGGTTCCATCCCTCTGTCTGAGGGAATGGATTAGAAGGGAAAAAAGGAAGGGCGAGGGGGCAGAAGAAGCGGCCAGGGCCTTCCCTCACCAACCCTCTGTCCCCTCTACCTGCCTATAGCGGCCTTCATGAGAGGCAGTTAGTATGTGGTTAAGAATGCAGCCTCTGCAGCCAAACTACCTGGCTTCAAATCCTTTGACAAGGTACTGTCCTTGGGGCCTCGGTTTGACCTGCTGTAAAATGGGAATTCAGTCAACAAATCATTTTGAGCCCCTTGTGGGCAGCACGGCCTGAGGAAGGACTGCATGTGGTGTTTTCTTGGGGGTCCGTGACACATTTGTGTCAGCTGTGGCCAGTGTGTCAGGCGCCTGCAAGACATGGCTAAGGGAGAAGGCCTGGATTTACCATGCACCAGCCATGGCACCAAGAACTTGGTAGTTGCCATTTCATTTGATGCTCCCAGCCATTCTATGACTCTTATTATGTCCAAATGGGGAAACTGGAGCACAGAGGGGTTAAGTAACCTGCCCCAGCTTGCCAAGCCAGTCAAGAGCAGATCTGGGTTTCAAGCCACCGCGTTGCCCCCTGTGCTGTCCTGGGTTGGCTGACGTCCCTAGGGGCCTGCTTTGGGCATCTGGTTTTGTGGCAGTACCTGGGTCCCACTAAGCCTAGTACCTCTCTGGCTGCTACCTCTCACCCATGGACAGAGAAAGTCAACCCATCCTGACTGTTAGGAAGAGGGAGGGTTAGGCGAGGGGGGTGTGCTGGAGCGTGGCACCCCGGAGGCCACTGGGCTTGCCCTGAGGCAGGCGTTCAGCAAGACTTCAGTGCAGGCAACAGCTGAGCCCCTGGCCCGACCCACAGAGAAGAGTGTGGGCCGCTCACTCAGGAATGCTTCTGATGAGTGGCAGGCCTCTCGAAATAGGTAGAGGGAAGGGTGTCCAAGGTGACCTGGGGCCATTTCTGAAAGTGGCCCCCTGCCTACCTCTTCTATTTCAGGCCCACTGCGGGAGGGTGATAGTAGAGGCCAGACCATTCCCTCTGGAGCCCACCAGGAGACTTGGAGGAGGGGGGCAGGGAGCACCCAGCCAGGCAGTCAGCAGCAGATGTCATCTCTGGCCTGCATCCTCTCGTGTGGCCTGTGTCCCCACCTTGCCCTCTCCTGGCAGTGAGGCATGGCCAGCACCAGGCTCAGAGCTCCTGGTCCCCCAGGAGGCCCTCCTGCTGCCCCTGACTTAACCATCATCTCAGGAACTGCTCTGCATTTAACCCTTTCCTCACTGCCTGCAGCCCCCCAACCCAGCTCCAAGTTCAAGTTTACAGCTTGCAGCACTGTGACACTTAGAGCCCTCTCCCGAATTCTGTTGAATTTCTGTTCTCTGAAGGCTGACTTCTCAGGCTCAGGTGGCTGGGCTAGTCATAAAACCCGAGAGGGAGGGGGCCTGCCAAAGGGGCAGGAAACCCCGAAGTATGGGCCCTCCTTGGCATTAGCTCAGCTCAGCCTGTACCAACCCCATTTCCTGGATGAAGACCCCAGAAGTAGGCAGAGGTTAGCAATCTTGTCCAGGGTCATGAGACAAGATGTGGAGTTGATATTGGAATCCAAATCCCTTTCTACCTCCCTTGGAGCTCAGCTTAACAGCACCCCGGAACCCATACCCATAATCCTTCAGGTGGCTCCTTCAGGATGGTCGTCCCATTTCTGAAGCCCTAATGATGACAGGGGCTCACTACCACAAAGGGAAGCCCGTTTATGGTGGGACGGGTCCAGCTGTGTCTCTGTGTAGCAAAGTGTGGCTGTGGTGGAGACTTTGGGCTCACCTGCTCCTGGGCCAGGAGGAGGGGGGCGTGATGAGGGTGAAGAATCAAAGGGAAGCTCAATAATAAGGACCCTCGGACTGGACGAAGTTCTCTGTTGTGGGACAGTGGCTGGGAGGACAGTGCCTGCCATCTTGGGGACCCTTTACTCCCAGAGCAGTGCCTTCTGGTGAATCCCATGCCTGAAGTATTATTAATCTGCTCTGGCAGCCACAGCAAAGCACCACAGACCCAGGGGCTTGTTCAACAGAAATGAATTTTCTCATAGTTCTGGAGGCTACAAGTCTGAGATCCAGATTTCAGCAGGGTTGGTTTCTCCTGAGACCTCTCTCCTTGGCTTGGAGATGCTGTTTTCTCCCTGTATCTTCACATCATCTTCCCCCTGCTTGTATTCTTACCCTCATCTCTTCTTATAAAGACACCAGACGTATTGGAGTAGTGCTCACCCTAATGATCTCTTTTCACCTTAATTGCCTCTTTAAAGGCTGTATCTCCAAATACAGTGGCATACTGAGCTGCTGGGGGTTAGGGTTGCAAAACAGGAATCTGAATGGGGGAACAGTTCAGCTCGTCACACCTGAGAAGGAGTTTTCTGGGTCACATGTATTTGGATGCCCCAGGCCTTTGATCCTGAGTGGGAGGAAGGAAAGGTCAAGGACAGGTGGTGGGGAGAGGTCTGGTTCCCTCCTTGCGGGCACCTCTGCCTCTCTCCAGTTAGATCTGGAGCCTGCCGGCTCAGTGCTCTGGCTAACACCAGTTTTGCAGCCTCCAGAAACCCCATTAGCAACTTGGCCTGAGTTCTGATGCCCCGTGCCCAGATTCCAGGTCCCCATGGGTAGGGGTGGCGCTGTGTTTTTGCCTCTGCTGTATAAAGCAGGCTCCAAATTCCTCCATAGTGTTCCGGGGCAAGCCTTCTCGGAAGCAAGCCTTGAACCAAGGGATATGGACTGCCCTCTGCCTCTGAGAAGCCTGCAGGCTGACCAGGCCTGGGTTCCTGCCTGCCTTCTCATCCACCCCCCACCTTTCTGTGACTTCCTTGGACATCAGTTGTTTAGAGTTTCTCTTGACTCAACAGAGAGGATGGGAACAGGGGTTGGGCAAGTGAGGGGTGCTCTCAGAAAGTAGATTTCTCAGGGATAAAGGACAGGGTGACTCAGGGGAATGACAAACCTCCCAGCCTGGCTGACAAGGGTGAGGGGCTGGTGTCCACCCCACTTCTGCATCTCTCCTGGTTGGCGCCCATCAGTCTTTCCCTTGTTTCCATGGACAATCCCACCAGAACCGGGGGCTGGTGACAGGGGGCCTTGGTTTTGTGCCCAAGCTTCTCAGCCCTCAGGGGAGATCTTCTAGTTCTAAAGGGTGCCCATCCACTCCCCAAGTGCTTTTGTCTGGGTAGGGGAGGAGCCTCTGCCTGGAGCCAGGAATCCCTGTTCTGTGATGACTTCTTATGAGCTGGGCTTATCCAAGGACTCTGTGATACTTTTTTTTTGAAAGAGGAAAGAGGGAGGGAAAGAGATACAGCAAACAGGCAGAGACCAAGAAGGAGAAAGAAATAAATAGATGAGAGACATGGAGAGATAGACAGGCATGGATAGATATTGGCCTGGGAGGCAGAAGATTTGGGTTCTGGGTGTCTCTGGTAACTCTTTTTCCATAGGTCCTTTTTATTTCTTATGAAATGTGAGGGCTGGAGTAGATAGTATTTCTTTCCATTTCTTTGAGCTCAAGCATTGTGTCTTTTCATGACTTGTGAAGACCTAAAAGGGGCCTGCCAGGCTTCCCTCTCAGACTTTCGCAACCCATGGGCTTAGAGCAGGAAGGAGCATGGCTTAGTGGTTCTATCAGTCAGGAGAGGCTCAATTATGCCACAGTGACAAATGATCCCACCTTCTCAGTGGGCCTGACCCAACAAAAGCATATTTCTGCTCATACTACATATCCACTGGGGGTCAGAAAGGTCTCTGTTCATCACAGATACTCTAGGCTGAGGGCAGCTTCATCTTGTAGGTGCTTCCTTCACTGCTGCAGCTGTGGGAAGAAGACACCATGGCTTGCACACTGCTCCTGCCTAGAACTCACATGTTTTCCTTCCGCTCATGTTTAATTGGCCAAAACAAGCCAAACACCCATGCCTAGCTTCAAAGGGGGCAAGGAAGTTGTGCATAGAGGATGAGAAGCTGGAAATAAGGTTGAACAGACCAATCTCTAGGAATTAAGGCTATGGGACCTAGAACCAGAAGATCTGGTTCTAAGCTCTATTGTTTATAGGTGTGTTTCTTGGCCAAGTAACTTTGCCTTTCTGAGATCCAAATGTCTTAATTGTAAAATGGGTTCAATAACAGTACTTTCATTATAGCATTATTGTCTGATATACAATGAGGTAATATACATGAAATGTGAAAAGCAGAGTGGCGCATGCCATGCTGGCAGTGATTTGTGTCTGTTATTATTATTATTGAAGTGCTGGAGGAGAGAAGATACAGACATGATTTTAGCCCTCTCTTCTTTAGAAAAAGCCGCGTTCCCCTTGCCCCTCTACTCTCTGGGAACCATCTATAGCTGGCTCTGTTCTGGGAACCCCACTCTTGGGAGTCAGGAGACATGCCTCTGACATCAACTTGCTATGTGACCTTGGAAAAATTACTTCCCCTCTCTGGTTCTCAGTTTCATTATCAGCAAATTGAGGATAATGGATTTCAAAAAGGGCTTCCAGCTCCAAAGCCCTAACAATGTTGAGGATGCTGATGCTGATGATGACCTTGAGATGAGAGCACTGTGTACTTTCTGGGTGCCAGGCACCACTGACTGTATGTTCTCTTGGTTAATCCTCCCCAAACACCTGTAGGTGGGTGCTGTTTTGTACTTACTGGGCTGAACAAGCAGAATTTGTAGGATGTGATTAAAAAGCTACTTGTTTTGTATACTACTGCCCTTTAAGTCTACCCTGTTTCCCCTTCCCCCAAATGACACTGGGGCAAGTTCCATCCCTTTTCTAGCCACTCTCAGGTAATACAAGGTCTTTTGGTGGGTAATAAATAAATACGCCCAGTGCTGGTGAACTTGCTCCTCCCCCTTGTCAGCTCCTACCTGGCTGCTAGCTGTGTGTGTGTGTGTGTGTGTGTGTGTGTGTTGGTTGGGGGGCGGGGGTGGTGGTGGTGGTGGGGAGGCTCAGTAAGTCTTCTTTCTGTTTTCCTGACTTACATATTTAGGGTTAGGAAGGGAAGAAAGGGGGAACATTCCAGAACATTCTTTCTTGCCTGGTGGGGTTGCACAGGCATTCTCTGTGTGGAGACAGAGACACAAATGATATCTCTTGGGTTCTTTGCCAGTGGAAGATTCTGGAGGCATTGAATGCCCTCTGGCTTCTCTCCTGAGGCACTTCTGTAGGTATTTGGGAGACCCTGTCCAACTGCCCAAAAGTCTTTCATTCGCTGTTCCCTTTGGGTGGCGAACATGGTTCTGTTCAGATGCTCAGGACCCCCTTCCTCAGCCCAGTCATCCTTCGCTCCCTCCAGCCTCCTCCTGCTGAAATCTCTCACCCCTGCAGGTGGCCCTCATGGACAGCATTTGAGGCAGCCCAGGGGCTGGCTCTCTCTCACCTTGGTCCAAAGTAAAAAGTCAGCACTCCTGGCCCCCGCAAAGACCCGGGTTGAGGTGGCCAGTGCGCCCCCACCCCTGTTCCCACAGCACAGTTAGGCCCCTGTCTTTCACATCCTCCATGCGCCCGCAGGTACCTGCTGAGTCTCTGAGCAGACTCACTGAGATGAGGGAGAAGCCTCTAGAAAGGTGGGACCTGCCACCAAACACCGTGCTCTCCACAATTCCTCTTACAATCTTCCACTTTCTAATCTTTTTACACCTTTGATATGTATGTGTGTGCATGGTGTGTATGGCGGTATAGTTTGGAGCCACAAAGCAGTTTTCAGCCATCACTCTCTTTTTAAAAACTTAATAGCTGTATAGATATAATTTAATACCACAACTTCACCTCTTTAAAGTATACAATTCAATGGGTTTTAGTATATTTAGGCTTGTACAACCATCACCGTAATCTCATTTTAGAACAGTTTTATCACCCCCACCCAAAGAAATCTTATAACTAGCAGCAGCCACTCCCACTTCTGCCACCAACTCCCAACCCTAATCTACTTTCTGTCTCTGTAGATTTGTCTATTCTGGACACTTTACGTAAATGGAGTGATACAATATGTGGTCTTTTGTGTCTGGTTTCTTTTACTTGACCCAATGTTTCATTCACGTTGTAACATGTATCAGTATTTTATTCATTTTTGTTGCTGAATGATATTCTATTGTAGGCCATACCATATTTTGTTTATCCATACATCACCATCAATTGATGAACATTTGCATTGTTTCAACTTTTTGGCTTGTGTGAAGAATGCTGCTGTCAACATGTATGTGCAAGTTTTTGTGTGGACTTAGGTTGTCATTGCTCTTGGGTAGATAGCCAGGAGTGGAACTGCTGGATCACCTGTGTCATCATTTGAGGAACAGCCAGAGTGTTTCCCAAAGTGGCTACACCATTTGGCGTTCCTACCAGCAATGTATGAGACTTCCTCCGCATCCTCACCCACATTTATTTTCTATCTTTTGGATGCTAGCCATCCTAGTGGGTGTGAAAGGGTATTGCATTGTGGTTTCAATTTGCATTTTCCTAAGAATTGATGATGTTGAACATCTTTTCATGTGTTAATTGGCCATTATGGATCTTCTTTAGAAAACTGCCCATCCACATCCTCTGTTTCCTTTTTAAATTTTTGTTTTGTCTTTTCATTATTGAGTTGTAAGCATTCATTTTATATTCTGGCAACAGGTCCCTTAGCAGATATATAATTTGCCGATATATTCTCCCATTCTGTGAGTGGTCTTTTCACTTCTTGATGTCAGTCATCTCTTCTGCAAGGCCTGCATGGTGGTCTTCTGCCTTACTTTTGAAATGTGTCATTCCTTGTCCTCAGGCCTCTTTTACAACTGAGACCCAAGTACTTTCACGTTAACATCTGGTCACAAATAGTGTTCCCATTTGATAGATGAGGAAACTGAGGCAAGTAACAGAGAAGTTAAGGACTTCGTCCAACGAAGTCTTCTGGATAAATGGTGAAGGCAGGATTCCAACGTGGTGGGTCTGCAACCAGTCAGGGATTTGCACTGCTACTTAACATTTTATGATCTTCATCTGTAGCCCAAAATGCTTTAGGCTGTATGGCCTGATCTCTTTCCAGCTTTAGAAGAGGTGCCTGGATTAGCCTGGAAAGGTTGCTCACAGAGAGGGAGGCCGAGTTTCAGATCCCTGGATGGTAGAACAGGAAAAAGCCCATGAGTTCTGCCTTCCAGCCAGCCCCGGGCCTGTGTAGCCCTGTCTCCCTTCATCTCCTGGGGCCCAGGCCGGATGGGAGAGTGGTGAGAAGGTGTCCTCCAGGTTTGAGAGTGAGAGATTTCAGCAGTGGGGAGCAGAGTCCCAGTGCTCACTCTGGGTGGGGCTGTGGGAGAGAACTCGTGTGCACCACGCTGTTTGCCCTTGATGTATTTTCTCAGGTTCTGACATTCTTGCCTTCTGAACTTTTGAGTAAGACGTGGGAGAAACCAGCAAGAGAGGGGAGTACAGGATTGCAGGTGGTCCCAGATAACTCAGGGAAATAGTCCAAGGTTCCTGGGGAGTGATACATGTGCCCCTTGTATCTAAGCAGAGGGCTTCAGGGGTGAGTTTCTACATGTGGGTGCTGAGAGCCTGAGATTCGACCCTGAACTGATTTTTGTTGGGAAATGGTCACCTGGCCTCCAGAGGGGATAGCCCTTCTGGCCTGTGACTTCAAGGTGGTGGGGGCAGTAGCAGGGGAGGGAGGAATTCAAAGCTGCTACTGAAAGCTTCTGACCTTGATCTATCACATCATATAGGACAAAGGGCTGAGATACTAGCAGGAGAGGTTTGGGTTAGCCTCCTGGTAGAACTTCCCAACTGTGAGAGGGTGAATCAGCTGTGACAGGCAGATTGGTCCTCTTGTCCTCTTGGCCCCCTTGGGCAGTGATGTTGAGGGACAAGAGGGGTGGATCTTAGTGTGTGCTGGTCTGCATAGAGGCCAAGATAGAGGCCTGGATGAGACAGCTCCTTAAGGAGGATTCTCGGTTCTTTTGCCTCCCCCAAGAGGGGAGTCCTCTCCTGACTCACTGGCACAATTAGTCTTGAGAATTCAAATACAAGGCAAGCCTGACCTTGCGGGTAAAAAGATGACACCACTGACCCAGTATCTGCCAGCCACCTGCTTGCACTGTTCTCTGTCGAGCAGCGCTGGGTTTGTCTCAATGCCCTCGGACCCTTAGCTGGCCCTGCTCTGCGAGGCAGCTGGCATGCTTGGGCAGCAGCCTCTGCCCATGGAACACACGGTAAACCAATACCCTCCCGAGTGAATGTGCCTTTGGTGCTCTGTAATCTCTGCCATCGGGTGCAGGCTGGAAGGCCGGAGCCACGCTCAGAGCCAGCCGGAGCTCTGGGCACAGTCTGCTCTCTTGTGCTCAAATATCCAGATCGAGGCAGGGGTCAGGGGAGTGTGTACTCTTTCCCCCTCAGCCTCCCTCCCTGTTTCCTCTCCTGCCAGACCTGTAGACAAGTGCAAGCTATCCGGACCCATCAAGACCCCAAGATACCGACTCTAATTATATCCAATAAAAGGAATTTAAGCTTCTATCAATCAAATACTTTTTCTTACTCACCTAAAGCTGCTTTGCACCCATCATTACCTTCCTCTCTTCTTCCTTTCCTTCCTTCCTTTCTGTTTCCAGTTACTTAACTGATCCCCTGCTAGGTGGTGGGCACTGTGTAAGCCCTGGGGATATAGAAAGCTGTGCCCTGGGGTTGTCTGGAGACGGGGTAGGGGTGTCAGCCCAGTGCTGTATCCACTCTGCCCTGCAGCCCGTGGGTAAGGGGCTCGGGCAAGTGCCCTGTCTTCTGGGGATGATTATGATCAGAGGGGCTGGCTTTGCAGAGGGTCTGCATTTGAAGGGCCCCTGGGAGGATAAATGGCATTGAAGGCAGAATTGTTTTTCAGATTAAAAAGTGGCATAACAACGTTGTTCAAAGTCTGGAAAGTAAAAGGAACGAGAAACAATCAAATCTGACTGGCTTCCTCACACAATTGCTCTGGTCACTGCGGTGGGGTGGGTGGGACCTTAGCGGGATGTTGGAGGTGGTGGAGGTGAGCTGAGGGCCAGGGCACCCTTGCAGGAGGCCAGGGAGGTGAGAACAGTTGCAGTGTGGGGCCAAGGGAGGGGCTGGTGTTCCCCGGGGGTCCCTGCTGCTCCCAGGAGCTGAGCTGAGCTGGCCCAGAAGCCCTCACCAGAGTCCTGGGGCTCCATTCCCCCGTCTGCTATTGAAGGGGTTCAGGGGCCTCTTTTCTCCTTTGTTTTGCTTTCAGTTTTTCAAAGCAACCTTTACAAAATAAAGCACACCAAACCCGCAGTAGATGCGTCCACAGAGCCTGCATTTCTTGCCCTGGTGGACTTGGCTGGCTGAGGGCTGCCTTTCCTCACCTCCTCCCCATGTGGCCGCCTGGGGAGACTCCATCAGGCCACTCAGAGTCCCACGCAGGTGGGGGTGGGTTGATGCCACCCCTGGCTCTGATGGGTGTGTGGCTCCTACAGTGGGCCTTCTTGCCTTCAGGCTCCAGCCCTCCAGCTTCCCCATTCAGCTCACAGCAGCATCTAACCCTCCGTGGTGAAGGTCCTCTTTCTGGACTATTCCAAATGATTCCTTGCTGGATCTATTGAGGCCTTGGGCGCTCCTCCCTGCCTTTTCAGAGGCTGATTTGCTTTGGCAAAGTTGAGCTTCTTCACTCATTGTCCTCGCCTGGCTTTGGGGCCAATCTCTCCATCAGCCTCGGAGAGGCGGCATCCTCCCTGGAGCCTGCCTGCATCTACCCACTCCCTCCCCTGCCTGCTACCTGGCACCCTGTCTTCCTGCAGCAGAGGCCCTCCCTCTTGGTCCACTCTCTGAGTCCCTGCTTTCTGTCTGATGGACAGTTCTGAGGCTGTTTATGGGAAAAGGCTTCAAGGGATCTGGGGTCTGGCAAATGATCAGTCCCTTTTCCTTTGATAACCCTCCCTCTACTTCCTCAGCTGCTCATGGATGATTCATCCCCTATAAATCTCCTTTCTTCTCTATGTCCCTCTCCCTGACACAAGACCTTCTAAAATCCTACCAGAGTCACTGAGCTCACATAGCTTCAGTAATCGGCTGCCTCCATTAAAATTAAGGACAGTGTCTTAGAGTAGGCTGGGAAGGGGTGGAACCCACGTCCTTGGGAGGTGATAGTCTTTAGATGGGAAGATCCTTGGGAGGCCCCGTGCTGATTGGGAGCATGGCCTTGGGACTCAGGCTGTCTGGGCTTGAGCCCTAGCTTTGCCTCTTGCCTTTTGTTGACCTTGGACAAATCATTTAGCTTTTCTGGGCCTCAGTGTTCTCACCTGTAAAGTGGGGAGAAGGCTAGTACCTGTCTTATAGCATTGAGAATTAAAAGTAATCATCTATGGGCACCTAGCTCAGCGACTGTTATACAGGAAGTCATTACTAAGCATTAACTTTTGCTAATACCACTACCTGACCTTGGGTAGCACTTTATAAAATGCTTCCCCGAGTTCACCTTCAACCATCCCAGTTCTTGAGCTGGACTTTGAACCAAGGCCTCTGGCTGCAAGTCCAGTGTTCTTCCCACTATGCAGAACTAGGTGTCTGTGAATCTTTTCCCCATCATCATCTAAATGCCAGGCTCCATCCCCAGGTGTGACCCACTTCCTCTGCTCAGGGGTCCTGCCTCCTTGGCACTGGTCGTCAGTAACCACCAGGCTGCAGGCTATGGCCTCCTCCCTTTGAGAAAACACATCAGCATGCAAGAGGGTGGGAATGACATAAGGATAGGCCTAACCTTAAGTCCATGCAATTGAAGAAGATGAAGAGAAGGAAAAACCCCACATCATCTACATTCTTTAGTACATAAGCTGTCCTCAGTCACATTCGCTTCTTCATTCAATAGGTCTTTACTGAGTGCTTACTCTGTACCGGCCACTCACTGTTCTAGATGCTGGGGACAGAACAATGAATGAAACAAAGATCCCTGCCATGCGGCGGTTCCATTCTAGTGGAGGCAGACAATAACACATTTAAAAACAACCATAATAAATAACTGACAGAGCCTGTTAGAACTTGAGAAATACCCTGGCAAAAAATGGAGCAGAGTAAGGGTGATTGGGAATGGGGGCATTGAAGAGTTGACATTTTTAAAAAGGGGAGTTGGTCAGTCCCGGCCCTCTGAGGAGGAACACTTGAGCCAAGACTTGAAAGAGGCACAGAAGCTGGCCAGACAAATATCTGGAGAAGAGCATTCCAGGCAGAGGTAACAGCAGGTGCAAAGGCCCTGAGGCAGGGGCCCACCTGAGATGTTTGGGAAGCCGGGAAGAGGACAGTGTGACTGAATGGAGGTTGTGTTGGGAGATAAGGTAACAGGGAGTAGATCACCTGGGGTCTGGTAGCCATAGTAAGGATTTGGCTTTGGCCTCAGCCTCTTTATAGAATGATACATTGTAAAGATCTTTCTGTAATGGCAGGTAAAGAGTCTTCTCATTTTGTTCAGCTGCATACTATTCCACTGTATGTGTGCACTATGTTTTAATAACTAGGTTTTTAAAAACTGCCTTTAAATCATAGAAACATTTAAGCTGTTTCCAATCTTTTGCTGTTTCCAAAAAAATGCTGCAGTGAATGGCGTTGCACATATACCATTTTCATTTGGGTAAGTCTATCTATAGGACAAATTTCTGGAAGTGGAATTGCTGGGTAGAAGAATATATGAAGAGATAATTTTTATAGACAGGGCCAGATTGGCCTTCATAAGGACTGTATTAATTGATGCTCCCAGACAGTGATTTGGCTAGGGATGAGGAGGAGAATCTATCCGCCCACCTCCTTTAATATGCACCCCCCAATATGTGAGATACTGTTAGGTACCCATAATTTCTTGTACTCCTCATGACTCTCCTGTGACCTGAGTTCTCTTGTTCCTATTTCACAGATGAAGAAACAAGCACAGAGAGGTTAAGTAACTTACTGATGCTTACACAGCCAGGTAGGGGTAGAGCTTGGATTCTGACACCCACCATTTCTCAGCATAACATTTCTCACCATTTCTGACAAGGGTAGGAGTCCTGAGGAGCCCTGCCCTGCTGCCCCATGCAGTTGGGGTTTGAGAACCTAGGGAATAGGAACTGAGTTAAAGTGGGAAGCCTGCCTGTCCAGCTCTGCCCAATGCTGTGCCTGTGTCCTGGAGACCCTTGCAGGCCAGTGATGGGGGAGGGGAGAGGCCAGCCCAAGGGATCTGGAGCCACAGTGGCTGAACTGGCCAGCCCCAGCCTTCTCCCTGTCCCCTCCCTCTGCCAGCCCCAGTGGAGAGGCCTGAGAGGCTGCGGACTAGCTAATTCTGCTCTGGTTGAGGAGCTGCCTGCCGCTGTCTGCCGGGTCAGCTTGCTCCAGGGATTAAGTTTCAGCATTTCACTGATGAAAATAAATCAGCCTCTTGATTGCCCTGCATGGCCCTGGGAACCTCTGCAGCCTGGTGTGTGTTTACAGACTTCCTGTAAGTCCCCTTTTCTGTCCTAGCCTCAGGGACTCCATGGCTGCTGCAGAAATAGCCTCAGACAAGTTTGGAGCCTGAAGCCACCCGGGCAGGTCCAAGCAGGAGAGGAGATACAGGCCTGCCAAGTCCAGGGGCTCTGGGATCCAAACAGTGCCTGGTAGAGCATCTTCTCTGAGTTGTATCCTTGAGGATCCAGATCCAAACAGGACTTTAGGGATCACCTATACTTGCCCTCTGCCATTGCACAGTGGAGTAAACTGAGGCCTGTCCAAAATCACCCCTTAGAATTCTGGCTCTTTGGCTCCTAGTCTGCTGCTGCAGCCAGGCAGCATTTTCTTTAGGTCTGTTTGTTACACCGTGGCTGGTTAGAGATCTAGGGGCAGAGTTGGAGAGGTGAGTTTTAGCTGCTGCTGGAAGGATGGAGGTCTGACATTCAGGAGAACCCTCTTGCCTTTGGGGGATCTGAGTAACAGGAACAGGTGCCAGGACTAGATTTTCTAGATTTTCTGAAAGTTGAGGAGAAGAACCTTTCCACTCCACGCATCTGTCTAGGTAGGATGAGTGACCATGGCTTGTGGACATGGGAAAACAAGGCAACTTCTAGAGGGTTCTGACAAGGTCCTAGCTCATTCTTGTGCAAAGGGGACTCAGGAGTCTCACCCCAAAGTCCCTTTTCTCCTGCCCCTCTTTCTTTGCTCAAGCATTATTTACACTCACAAGACTATCCCTCAGGGACCTGGGGTGTCCTGCCTCAGACACTCCTGGCTCCAGAATACTGGACCTCAGTTGTTCAATCCCTGGGCCATTTATCTCCCTGTGCCCTGGGAAGCAGCAACAGAGCTGTTGATGGATGTGGGGAGCTTCAGACTGCCCAATCTTTACATCTTTACAGCCAGTCGATGCCCTGGCTGCTTATCTGGGACTTATGCCTTTGATTGCTTAAAAAAATTGTTAGCAGCAAAGTGTTCTTTGATGTGTGTTCTTCTCCTTCTCCAGGGGCAGTGAGATCAGATTTTGATATGAAAGCTCAAAGCTTCTCAGCTCTCTCCTTCTTCCCTGCCTTCCTCTCTCTGTCTGCACATTGCTTGAGAACCTTCGAGAAGCAGATGGGCGCTCCTCATGTGATGCAAAGGCAGAAAGGCCCAAGGGTGGTGCCCTGGCTTCTGTCTGCCATGCAGGCCTGTGCTTCATGGTTTGGTGGCCTCTGCATAAGTGAGTCACTTTCAGCCTAGCCCTAGATGGGCTTATTTGGGGAAGGAAGCAGATACCCACCCAGATCCTCCACCCACCTCTGCACCTACTCATGCATGTAACCACATGGACTCCTGTACTCATAGCCACCTCTCATGCATGGAGCCACAGGGACCCCTTGACTCATAGTCACCTCTCACACATGGAACCACATGGACCCCTCTGCTCACAACCACCTCTCATGCATGGAACCACATGGATCCCTCTAGTCATAGCCACCTCTCATGCATGGAAGCACATGGACCCCTGTAGTCATAGCCACCTCTCATGCATGGAACCACATGGGCTCCTCTGCACACACCCACCTCTCTGCATGGAACCACATGGATCTCTGCCCCACTGCGTACCCCAACTCTGCCCCACTGCGTACAGTATTGGGAGCTGTAATTATAAAACTGCCCAGCCAGTTTGATAACCCAACTTATATGTGGATGCTGAGAGAATGGGCCTGTTTGGGATCAGGAATAGTGATTGACCTCACTTGCAGAGATGGTTTCATTCGTGTGAATTATAAACCAGCCCTGAGGCAGTGTTCTACTTGTTTCCAGAAATGCTTTGAGCTCTGGTAGCATTGTGAGGATAAATGCATAAAATTCCCAGGGAACCAGTTTGATGGGGACAGTGCTCACTTGCCTGCTGGAGTTTGTTATAAACCAGCATTGTGACTTTATTGTCACTCTCCACTCCTTTTTTCTTGTTGGATCTTCTAAGATCTAAACCTTTGCCTCCTCCATCTCCTTTCTTGTTTCTCCTTCCTTTCTGGGAAGCAGAAAGAGCATGAATGTCAGAGTCAGACTGGCAATGTAATCCTGAGCAAGCTCCAACCCCTGAGCCTTAGTTTCTTTATCAGGAAGATGGCATAACAATATCCACTTTGAAAGGCAGTTGTGGAACCAAGCAAGGGAACTTCCATTAACGTGCAGGCACATACTCAATAACATGCCTGCCTCATTCCATTCTACCCTCTCCTTCGCCCTTGCTCCCAAAGCCCCATATACCCTCTCCCCATTCAGTGAGGACTGCCACTGACATGGTGTCCACGTCCTGGGAGCAGTAAGGGTGGGGAGAAGCAGAAGCGCGGTGAGTGGATATGTCCCGACCCTCATCCAACACAAACATCTGCCTGGGAGTTGACAATTCCCTTCCTGAGTAATCCTCTGGCACTAGGGCTCCTGTCCTGTTCTTAGGGAACATGCTCCTGGGCCTGGCCCTGCCCACTGCCTTCCTGGGATGGGAAGTGTGAAGACCCTGGAAGGCTGAGGCCCTGCCAGGGGTGCCTGAAGCTTGTCCTGCTCCGATGGCCCTGTCTTCCCTGTCCACTGGGCTGGGAGGCAGGGAGGAGGTCCTGGGGAGGTCTAAGGACATGTTTTCATCACATATGCAGCTGCTGTGCCCACCCCAGGCAGCGGGCCCTTCCTCCCTCTATCCCCAGACGTTTGAACCTTGACACCATGCCTATCTTGGGAGACCCCTTCCTTCTCCTGTCCTGACTGCTCCCTCCAGCCATGTCTTTCTCTTCCTTGATGGCTGTCCATAGAACCAGAAGTTTTAGAGTTCAAAGCTTATCTCCTCCCACTCATTTTACCACGTTGGAAACTGAGTCCCAGGAAAAGGAAATCACTTGCCCAAGTTTAAGCAGTGAAGTAGTGGCCCAGATGGGGTTGAAACCCAAGACTCTTGAGTCTTAGTTCGGAGATCGGTCTATTACACCCCAGGCTCCTTCATCCCTCAGTCTAGCTCAGGGCCTCTCACCTGTGGTACTATTGGCATTTGGGACCAATACAATTGCTTGGGACCACCACAACAATTGCTTGTTGTGGGGGTCTGTCCTGTGTATTGTAGGATGTTTAGCAGCATCTTTGGCCTGTACCCACTAGACACCAGTAGTATTTCCTCCAGGTGTGATAACCCCAAATATCTGCAGTATTGTCACACATTCCCTGGGGGGCCCTGGCTACCTGGGGGTGCTCCTCTTTCCTCTAACCTCTCATCTTTGTGATCTCACCTGTCCCACCTGCAGGGTGTGAAGTAGTCTTTCACTGGAGACACTCTGTTCTGTTTCCTCCTTCTGTTCTGGGACCCGGCTGCTTGGAAACCAAAGCACTCAGCCATTCTGTTCTTTACGAGGAAGAACAAAGAGCCAGGCCAGGAATGTTGCTTTATACCTACGAATGAAAAGAAAGAACTTGACAGGAAGGGACTAAGCCTTGGAGGGGGTGACCAGGGAGGCTGGGCCCCCTTCCTCCCTGGAGAGACCCCTCAGTGTGGGTGAGGGGCCCTGGCCACCTGGCTCCAGCTGTAGGTCTGCTGGCTGGAAGGATGGTCTGGAGGGAATGGGGGCATTTGCTTGACCTACAGTTGGGAAGTGTGTCTTCATTGTAGAATTGTCCACCAATATCCTACTTTCCTCGCACAGCTAGACCTGCAGACATTTGTGGTTCTTCTGTAATGAGAGTTCACAGTCTCTGAGCACCCATCTCATGGCATCTGACTGAGATCTGGCAGTGGGGAGGACTCCCTCTGAGAGCCAGGGGCCCTGGTGGCAATCTCACTCCAGCACTGACCATGTGTGACAGTGGGAAACTCTTCCCTTCGCTGACTTGGACAGATGAAATCGGGTGGGTGGGTTGGGCCCAATGAACTCACAACATCCTCTGGCTTGACCATGCGGGGATTCTAGGAAATTGCCTGGGCTGACTGCCCACAGTGCGGTGCCATGTGGCAAATCTGGGGTCTTGAAGAATCCTTGGCACCTGAGAAGTTTCCAGAAGGTATCCAGACCCACCCTCCTACCTCTAGAACTTGTGTTTTATGAAACTGCCCTGCTCAGGGCCACCTCAGGGGGTACAGGGGATACTGGGCTGCCTCTGAAGACAGAGTAATACCATCATCTTTCAAGCTTAGTTTAACCCACCCACTATTGGGAAAGACTTTTCTCCTGCTATTTCCTGTAGTTTGTTTTAAGAAAAAAAATTGTCTTTTTTTTTCCCCCAAATAGAAACATGGTAAGACGAAGTGTATTCTTTTTTGAACCAGATTTGCCATGCCCTGCCCTCTGCCCAAGCCCCCAGGAAGTCCTTTCCTATTTATGCATGCAGCTGAGGTTGTGCCCGTCCTTCTCTCCTTGTGGTCCTTGAGGCTGAATTCATCTCTGCAGGTGGAAGTGGCAATGCATTTTCAGGCACACCATTGGCAGTAATCAGTGTTGGGATAGGCTCAGTATTTGTTAATGGAATGGCATCACATCCTTGTAGTCTGCACCATTTTGGAAGCCTCTTCTCTATGCTGGCCATTCCAGGCCATGATTTTTGAGCAGAGATCGGGTGGGCCAAATTGTATGTCCTGAAGCTTAAGCACTGGGTGTGATACATATGGGCTGGTGAGATAGGGTCACAGAGGTACTGCTCAGGGGGCACAGGGCTAGGGAAGGGAGACGGGGAAGCCCACGCTGCACTACTCGTGTTCTGTCCTTTGGAGCACTTCTGTGTTCTGTACACTGTGCTGAGAGCTTTTCATGTGTTATATCAGTCTTTGCACTACTTACTGAGATACAATGACTAGTATACCCATTTTACAGATAAGGAAACTGAAGCTCAGCCAAGTAATTGGCTCAGGGTTGCCTTAAGCTAGTAGTTGGTAGTATCTGTATTCAAACCAATGTCTGACTTCCAAGTCCATGTTCTTAACCTGGCAGATGCTGAAGTGATGAGAATGAGAAGGGCCAGGCATAATCTTAGGCTGCATTAACAAAAGCATGGTTTCCAGAAAATGGGAGGTGACAGGCCTGTTGTGCCTCTTTTAAGTCAGAGCGCCCACATGGGCTGTTTGTGGGTCCCTTGCTTCAAAGTGATAAAGAACGACTGGAAGCAAGTGCAGAGAAGCAACCAGAAAGTATGTCAGGCTCAGGGACTTGCAGGGAGAGGGGTTGCCTGTCAAAGGGGAGATTCAGGAGGGCAGGCACGTCTCATTCAGTATCTGAAGGGCTCTAGCGAGGGGGCGATTGGCTTGTTCTGACCCACTCCATCGGGCACTGTAAGGCCAGTTAGTGGAAAAGAGGGCTCCAGGGTGTTTTTTCCTATGTTGAGCTAAAATCCACTGTTACGGCCCCCTAAAGATGAGCTGGGCTTTTGGAGGAAGACAGTAAAATCCCTGTACCTGGAAGAATTTGAGTACAGCTAGGAACAGTTTTTGCCAAACCTGACTCTCTTATTATTTGCAGCTGGGGAGCATTTTCAAATTCAAAGTCCCAGGCCCCATTCCAGACAGTTTTGCCTCTGTGTGGAGCCAGGGGATCGGGGTTCTTATAAAACTCCCTGGGGGCTTTCTAGTATAGCTAGTCCCCCTGGATGATAGTGGAGAACCATCAGATGGGGTTGCCACTGGCAGGAACTATTGTGTGGTAGTGTTTTCCAAAGTAAGGTTCAGGTTCCAAAGTATGGTCAGACTGCTAATTATATATGAACTGATATTAGGTATATTTATTTTGATGTGTATTGGAAAAAAAGGTATGTATTTTGCACATTCAATCTGGGACATCATGGATATTGTGCTTAGAACTAGTTTAAGTTAAATGAAGTTTATTTTTATAACTTACAAAATAATAATGTAGATGATATTCAGATGGACAAATAAACATGAAGGTTGCGTGCAAACAAAATCTCTGCTAATACTGTTGTGGGTTGGTTGGGGTGGGGACAAGTGGGTGAACTGGGGTGCCTTAAACCTTTCAAGAGCCCGAGGTTTGTTGGTTAGTTCTAGAAGACTCTATGGAGGTAGGAGGATAATTGCAATAGTTTGTCCAAACTGTGGTCTTCCCCAGGTGGAGCCTGAGGCATAGAACCCCTCTGCTTCCCCTCCCCTGGTCTCCTTATTTTTAGTGGTCTCTTTGAAGTCTGTGACACCGAGCTGTCCCATTTTATCTCATCAGTGAAGATAGGTCAGTGGCCAGGGTACAGGGCACTGGGTACCATTTTTGTTCTTCCCCTTATTTTCTTTCTTTACCCTCAAAGAACAGCAGCCAGAGAGGGGTGCTGAAAATGGCGAGGGGCTGAGGGCTCAGGTGTCTGAGGGGAAACACAGGGAGTAGTTGGGCTGTGCCTGGCAGGGCTTTCCCTCCCAATCTCGCTGTACCAAACTTAGCTGGGAAGGTCTGGGCACGAGGATGGGGTAGCCATAGCTCAGGGCAAGCCTGTGTCTGTGGAAGCATTTTGGGGTTGCAAACTAACTGGGGCCCTCTGCATGGAGACACCAGTCGCTGAAGCTCCCACTGGCCTGGCCGCAAAGCCCAGATCACCTCCTGTCCACTCTGAGAATTGGGTTGGGAGATTCAATTGATATGCAAATAAGTCACAAACAACATGTTAATAAGAGTGGGGATTTGGTGTCTTATTATCAGTTAGGGACTCCTGGCACTTTCCAGGGCACATCAGGATAATGGTGGGAACTTGAGGGCCGTTCACCTGCCTTTCAGCTGCATGGCTCTCGGATCTGGGTGGTTGGGAACGAGGGTGAGGCATTGCGAACTCTGAAAAGTGATACTCTGCTATTCATGATTTCCACAGATGGGAACAAACAGAATACCAATAGCCAGTCAATTGGAAGCATCTCAGGTGGCCTGGAGGATCAATATACCTGGCCAGACACACACTGGCCTTCCCAAAGTTAGGCCCTCCAAAATGTCAAGTTGCCAAGCCAGAATCCAAAGCTTTGCACTGAGAACTTCATGTTGGGGCTCCTGTCCCCTCCTGGAGCCCTGCCTGGGTGACACCCCAGTCCTTCTATTCAGGTCCTGTGTTCACCTCTGGGAAGTGCAGGACCCTGTGGGGTTTTTTCTTTTTCCTTTTCCAAGCCAAGGAAGTGTTCTGGCTCCTGGACTCTGCCCTGTGGAGGGGAAAGGGGGAGAGAGAGGGAAAAAAAGATTTCCACCTTATTGTTCAGCAGCTGGAAAATTGTTGTCATCTGTTCTGCCTTCCATTTGCTGAGAATGGAAAAAAAATGTGGAAAATTTGGGGAAATAAATCTCAATACCCTCATAGGACCTCTCTCCCCTCCCTCTCTGGCCCTTGCATCCCTGCCTTTCCGCTTGGGGCTCAGTTTCACTTTGCTCCCAGATTCTCTCCCTGCTTCTCTTCAGGGCACTGGGGCTGCCATGGGTTTGGGACTGGGGCTGGGCTGGGCTACACTGGGACTGGGCTGGGCTGGACTGGGACCCGGTGGGGCTGGGCTGGGCTGTGCTGGGACCAGGCTGGGCTAGACTGTGCTGGGTGAGAGTTGAGCAGGGGCTGGGGCTGGGGCTGGGGCTGGGCTGGGGTTGGGGCTGGAGTTGGACTGGGCTGGCCACTTTTCCTGACTCCCGGCCGGTGGGAGTGAAGGGCTTGGGAAGCCACCGTGATGTCATTCAAGAACGGCATAGCTGCAGGATGATAAGTGAAGCCCTGGGGACCCAGCTGGCTGAAATTACAGACAGTTTTATCCCACTGGCTTCCTACAAGCCAGAGTGAGGCAGAGCAAGCTGAGCTGGGGAGAGAGCGTGCAGGAGAGTGGAGGGAGGGAGGGAGTGGGGTGTGTGTGTGTGTGTGTGTGTGTGTGTGTACATGGGCAGGCAGGCGGCACTGGCTCCTCCCACCCCTGACAGTCGGAGGGAGCTTGAGTAGGACACAGACAGCACTTGGAGCTGCAGCCATGTAGGAATTATTGGGAACTTGGGGCACCAGGATCAAATCAGAGCGGGCTTCCCTCCGCTTCCTCCCTCTCCCTCCCTCCCTCCAGAGGGTAAGTGTCTGCTGGGCAGTTGTTTTGCCTGTGAGTGTTCTTGTGTGGCTTTCTGCTGGATCTGGGCTGGGGTGCTCGTGCTTCTGTGCTGGGAGGGTGTGGAGGGGCAGGCTCTGTCACGACCCCACCTTGGAAGGGCTTGTGGCTGAGTGGGGCTGTGGCCCGCTGTGCTGCTGTCTGATGTGGATGTGACGGGCCTGGTGGTCCCCTTCCTGGACTTGCTTCTGGGACACGTAAGAGCCATAGCTTTCAGGGCGAGGGTATCTGGGTTGGTGGGGGGGCCGTGTGTCTGAGTTGTCCTAAGTCTTGTGGGGGTAACGGTTCGTCTTGTGCGCGAATGGGGTTGGCAGAGGGAATGAGGTGGATGCATGGATAGCTCTGGTGAGATGTTATTCAGGACGCCCCCTCCCTGCATCTTTGGCCTGAGCTTTGGGGCACCTCCAGTGCTCACCATTCCCCACCGGCCTCCTGTGGGCTCCCATTCACGGCTTTCTCCTGACTTTGGCAGAGATTTTGGCAGCTTGACTCTCCTCTAGCCAGGGATCTCTGAGTGCCCAGGCTGGCACCCTGGCCTGGCAGAGAAGGACTTCAGCTTGTTGTGGGCTCTGGAGCTATTTTTACCATCCTGAGTGTGCCTGTGATATCTGCTGCCCGTATAGGCTGAGGGTAGGGGTGGGAGTGCCAGGCTCGGGTTATAGCTTCAGGCTGGGGGGAACACAGGCCAGGCCGGAGTCAGGAGGCTGGGTCTGAGAATTCACATTTGCCCTGCAGGCGTGGGCCATCCAGGGCAGGGCAGATCACTTGCCCTCCAGGCCCCTGGTCTCTCGGGACTGAAGTCAAGGTCACGATCAGGTTTTCTGCTCCTACTCCCTTTTTATGGAGGGCATGGTATGAATTCAAGTAAGAAGATACCTGGGACAATTGCCACGGGTCCTTCCTAAGGAGGGTCCGGGGACACATTTATCATCATCGCTTGACAGAAGCACCATATATTATGTTGTCCTGTGGTTCTGGGTCCACAGACATAGTTGGAGAGTCCACCTTCCAATGCCTCCAGCCCCAGCCATCTTCACCTTGAAGCAGCATTAGGGACAAGAGCACTGAATAGGGAGCCAGGAGTTGGTTTTGTACTTCCTTGCCGGGTGACCTTGGGTGGTCCTGAGCCTGCTGAGCTTCATTGTCAGCCTATAAAGTGAGGGGTGGGCAGGGGGATTAACTACTCCCCTAAGGCCCTTCAGCTCTAAAAGCCCCAGGGCTTTTAAAAAGCTCTCTTGGCTGAGCCAACCTCCCGGGCCCTGGAGATCCCAGTTCTGCTGTCCCCCAGAGGGCCTGGAGCAGCAGAGGCAGCCGTGGGTGGGAGGGGCTCTATTTTTTATTTCATTCTGAAGCTGACTTTCTCCATCTTCAAGGCCACAGGCTGACATTGAGATTTGGGCTCCGTGTGGGTCTTGGACCTTGAGCCTCCCTCTTTTTTTCTTGGACTCAGCAGAATGGGAAGGTGGCCAGGAGAAGCCCAGCTGGTCCACCCTCCCTGGGTCCAGAGGCAAGCTTGTAGGTGACACTGGTGAGGTCACTTGCTTAGAGGACAAAGCCACCTGCGACAAGACTGACAGCACAGCCCTGAGAAAAATCTTGTTCTCTCCTGTTCACTTTCTGAAGGTGTGTGCTATTAAATGGAAAGAAAAACAGGTGTCTATTTGTCACTCATGGACTGGTCTGTCCCTGCCCACAGGGTTCCAAGGCCCTGTGCTTGTTGTGGGCTCTGGAGCTATTTTTACCAAAAAATCTTTGGTAATTTTTTTTACCAAAAAATCTTTTTACGTGTTCCCAACGTGCACCTAAGTCTCCTGGGCTGCACTTGGCACCTGCCCTCTTTGCTGTTTCAGAGGCTGTGTCTCCTCTGTGTGGCTCTCCTTCAGAGGTTCCGGGATTTCTCTTCAACCTCTAATTCTGCAGATCTTCAGAGCCCCTGCAGAAGCCCATTCCCCTTGAGAAAGTTCCAGAGCTCGCTGCAGGCTGTGGGGAACAAAGGGCTGCCTCAATCCCCAGCTGTCTGTGGGAAGGGAAGCTGGCATGGGTGGAGGCCAAGACTGTCACAGACTGAGCCCCAGGAAGTCCCTGCCACCAATGCCAGGATGTTTCAGGAGGTCGGGGTCTTCCTGGAGCCACATGCTGGGGTTCTCCACGGGGCCCTCTGTACCCTCATGCCTTCCTCACATCACTTCCCCTGGCAGGTTAAAACCCAGTGGAGCACCCTGAGCCACTTCTTAGGCTCCCGCAGCCGCAAAGCTTCCACTCAGTGTGCCGCCCCATTTCCCCTGGATGGAGCCTGGCATTCTCCATGCAAGTCATGGGTGACAGAGAGGATCCCCAGAGACAGCACCCTAACTTTTCGATGCATATGTTGTATCTTGGGATCCACAGATGGTTTTTGGGGTGTTCATCAACTCCCTTATTTCACCAGATCTCCCAGGGGTCCTGGGTCTAGGGAAGTTAATGTCCACTGGGCTGGAGTGTAGCTGGAGAGGTCTGTAGGGGATGCCATGGGGTAGGCTCTGGCTCAGGGACCTCCACCATGCTCAGCCTTTGCTGCAGAATATGAGGAATACATGTCTTCATGTTTCGGCTGCACTGACTCTCTTCCCTCACCTTTGGGGAGAAACTCGGGGTCCACCTAGAACCCCTGATTTTTCACTGGGTGGTGGTGAAAGAAGAGTATCTCAATGGCTGACAGAACTACATAAAGCTTTCTCGGCTACTCGGTGTAAGGCAAGAAGCATTTATGGAACAAGCACTCTTCTCTAGGGCCATTCTGTACAGCCATGCAGGTTACATATTGAACTTCAAGAGGCATCATTCACACAGACCACATTGTGGATGGCACCGTCTGGGAACCGGCCCTAGGGAGAGGGAGAGAGAGAGAGAGAGAGAGAGATAAAGGCTCTTCCTCAACAAGCTCTCAGCAAAGTGGGAAGACAGACATGGACATCAGTAATGACCATTCTGTGGGTGACTGTTGTCACAGTAGAGATGTCTACAAGGGACAACAGGAGCACCGTAGAGGTTTACCTGAGTCTGGAGGACAGTAGGGAAGAAGTTAGATTAAGGGAAATTTCCCAGGGAAGTTTGAACTGAGTCTGAAAGCATTTGCCCAGGAGGTTGGGAGTTTCACGGGCAGGATGAGGAAGGGCATTGCACGGAAGGAACAGCATGCACAGAGGGGAAAGAGCATATGAAGAGTTGAGTAGGAGTAGAGTGGAGGGTGTTCTGGGTATGGAGGACAAGGAAGTGAGGCTTCAGAAGGTAGGCAGAGGCCTGTTGGGAAAAGGTCTGACATTTCCAGCGTGGGGGTTGGGCTTTACCCTGTGGGTGATGAGAGCTGTTGAAATGTAAAGCAGGGGATGGAGAGAGGAAAAGTAGAGAGTGCTTGGATATGCCAGGTCTAGCTTAAGAGCCTTAGCTCCTGAGTGCTATCACTCAGCAAAGCTGCACACACACTCTCGAATCCTCACCTGACAGGCCTGCAGGCCGGGCTCTGAGTGGGTAAGTGGTCAATGCAAGCTGATATGGCCATTAAGATGGCAGCTATGTTTCTGAGTGCTGGTGTGTCTGGCTGCCGAGGTGGGGTGGGAAGGCGCACTTCCCTGTCTCCTCTCCAGAGCCATCCCTTGTGGCCTTCCTGGACCCAGCCCTCCCTCCTGTCCTGGTGCCTGCCCCAGCCATAGCCTCTCCTGCCTCTTCCCATGGCTGGGGCAGAGTGTGTGGATAAGGGAAAATGCAACCAGAACTTGCTCTCTGGGCAGGCTCTTGGCCAAGCTTCACTTCTCATCAAAGCTCACCTACCTCTCAGATGCACGTGGCCTTGGATTCCCCACTCCTCCTTTTAAGGAGTTTTGCCCAGTCTGCCTCCAAACAGCCTATGTCTGGGGTAGGCACGGTGCTTCTTCCTATTGTCATGGCACTGATTTTCCCCCACGTTGGGTGGTCATCACGGCTCTGGGTAATGCATTTTAATGAATTGTTATTTGCTGGACTTGGACCCAAAGGACTTTTTATCATGAAGGGACTCATCCTGAAAACCTTAGTAACTCATTCGCTATTCAAAACCTACCTGCTGGTCCGACAGGGAAGGGTCTGTCTTCACTGAGTCATTGCCAATGAAGGTGACTCCTTTCTTGCAGTCAATATGGCTGGCACCTTTTATTCTTCATGGTTGGGCCGTCTGTCCTAACATCTAAATAAGCAAAACCTCCCTACTTTTCATGAGGAAGAGAAGTGGGGTTTCTTGATCTCAGAGCCCAAAGTGCTGATCAGCTGGGGCGGGTTTCTCTAGATGTCCTCCAGCCATGTGTGTGCCAGGACCCCTGGAGAGCTGGCAAAAATGCAGATTCCTGGCCCCACCCCAGGCCTCTGAGTGGAAGTCCCTGGGGATAGGGTCCTGAAATCTAGATTTTTAACAATCTCCAGAGGAGGTTCTTGTGAACATCAGAATTAGAAAACAGCTGCCCTGAAACCGTGTGACTTTAACATCCCCTATTTGTTTCCTTCGTTCTTTTTTAAGTGTGTGAGATGGCTGCATCCTTACTTTCCTGCATCCCAGCCTGAGCTGCATGGCTAGTGCCGCACACACCTCTGCACCCTTTTCTGGGAGGGAGCCCCGGGGAGTGGGTGCACACCCTAGTCAGCTGGGGATTTTCCTCAGAGCTTTCCAAAAGCATGACTCGTGCATCTGGATTATGGCTGCCCTGGAATAAAGGCCCCGTGGTGCAATCAAGCTCAGCATCGAGGGTGGAGTCTGGAACTCTCTGCAGCTGCTGAGAAGAGCAGGGAGACATCCTCAGACAAAGACAGTGGGGCCATGGAGAGATTTTGGGTTTTGCAACCACCAAGAGGAATGGGCAGGACACTGGACCTTTCAGCCCACAAGAGCAGATGTCCAGGCTGGCTGGGCTTGGGGCCTGGAGCTCTCCACTTGGGGCTGCCTGCAGCTTGTGTTTCTGCTTCAGTTTATCCCACTCCATTGTCACCCGTGACAATGCCCACAGCCCCCAAACATGCAGACCCCTCCCTCTAGCCCATGCCCCATTGTTCTGGATGTCCAGCCTCCTCTCATCTGAGATGCATTCCCCTGAACTGATCACTCCCTTTGTGGCTGCTGGGACTTCAAGAGGATGGCTCTGGAGACCCCTCAGATTAAGAGCTGTAAAGCCACCTCCCCAGCCTCCCTTAAGTCCCTCTCTTATCCTCCTCTACCTTATTTCACTCCTGTCCTCTCTGCCCCCGTCTCTCTTTTGCCCTTCCTGCCTTGATGGATTGAAACCAACATTGTGTTCCGGCTTCTTGTGGTCCCGGTAAAAAGCTCTAATGTGGCCGTGGTGGATGGTGAGAAGGGAATGATGAGAGTGTGTGTGCCGGAGTGGGGGCTGGGGGACTTTTGTCTTGTCTCTGGTGGGAGGAGGAGGGGCACGTGCTCCACAGATCCTGCTGCTATGCTGGGGTTTCAGCAGAGTCCTCATCAGGGCTGGACAGGCCTGGGATCAGCCTGGGTATTCTCAAAACCTCCCTTGGATAGGAAGAGGACAACTCAGCAAAGGTGCTGAGTGGCCTGGAGGGTGCAATCTGGGGCCAAGAGACATTTCCATTTGTAGTTAGCGAACAGGAGTTAATTAAACAATTTGCATCTGTTCGATTTTCTTACTATGCCTTAGTGGCTTGGCTATGATTGTTCCTGATGTTGTTGCTGCAAACAGGAGCCCACTTGGGGATAGATTACATGACAGAACAAGTTTAACATTGACATTTTCAAAATCGATGCTGAGTGGGGCTTGGCCACAGGGGCAAGGAAGGGCTGAGATATCAGGTAGTCAATTCTCTCTCCTGCCTGGGGGATGCCTTCATAGTTTTTCTGTTAGTCATGACTGAGATGCTGCAGGGGCCTATGTGCTTTCTGATTTGAATTTGCCCCCATGGCTCTCACTGTGGAACATGTCTAAGTGGGGAAGCCACTGGACACACCAGCCTTTGCTTTGCAGCTCCCCACTTCTCAGACCACATGAGCATGAACGTGGGGGATGAGGAGGCACAAAGGATGGAGGGGATCACTGGCCCAGGAGGGAAATTCTGGCACCTCACAGTGTAGGTGGCAGAGGGGGTGCCCTGGCTCAGGAGGGGGCCTGCAGCTTTCTAGGGACAGTGAGAAGGAAAGCCAGCTCTTCAGATTTCGGCCAACTTGTCCAAGGGGCCCCATCCTCAAGAGAACCACCCCAGAGCTATGAGTGCATCAGAGGCTCCTGTCTTCAGTGCTTTGCCCCCTAGAAACAGGCGGCTGGGGTCTCTTCTTTTTTTTTGAGATGGAGTCTTGCTCTGTCACCCAGGCTGGAGTGCAATGGTGCGATCTCGGCTCACTGCAACCTCTGCCTCCCAGGTTCAAGTGATTCTTCTGCCTCAGCCTCCCGAGTAGCTGGGATTACAGGCATGTGCTACCACGCCTGGCTAATTTTTTGTATTTTTAGTAGAGGTGGGGTTTCACCATTTTGGCCAGGCTGGTCTTCAACTCCTGACCTCAGGTGATCCACCTGCCTCAGCCTCCCAGAGTGCTGGGATTACAGGCATGAGTCACCATGCCAGGCTGAGGTCTCTTCTTTTATGTGTAGCAAGGAGCTCAGTTCTTTGGAGAGAGTGGGCATGAAGGTCAGCCTCCCTCATCCTACAGGGAGAGGACCCCTTTACGATGATAATAGGGGGTTGGAAGAGGCAGCTGTGCCTGGTCCTGCATCTTAGCAGCCTTTAGGGGTCTAGGCACAGGGCCAGGTTGGTGGAGATTCAGAATGTATTTTAGCCAAAACCCCTTTTCAGTTCAGACCAGCCCTGGGCCCTGGGCCCTGGGCTGCTGCAATACTTTGGTCCTGTGTTGTCTGGGGCTGGTGTTGGCTGAGGTCCCAAAGCCTTGGGGAAAACTGGGGGCAGAGGGGTGGATCTGGAGAGGTCAGTAAATGAGGAGGGCATCCAGTCCCTGGGGTGTGTGTGTGTGTGTGTGTGTGTGTGTGTGTGTAGAGGGATGCAAGTGCCTGGTGGAGCATCTTTGTGCCAGTTCTCTGTGTTGTAACATGGCTGGCCTGTGGTCTGTGTGTGTGTATGTTGATTGGGATGTTCCTGTTTTGTGGTTGTCTGATCACTTGTTTTTGGCCATGGGCTTCTGTCAGAGTGTTTATTTTTAGAGGCTGCCACTTCTGGCCTAAGGGCTGATCCTTGGGCATGGTAGGAACATTTGTATTTTCTGAAATATTTGTGGCTTTAAGTATTTATTTGGGGGTATTCCTGCCTGTTATGTGTTTATTCTAATTTGTGTGTATGTGTGTGTGTGTGTGTTTGTGATATGAGGGAGGTGTAGCATAATAAAAATTACATACTGTTTGAAGGAAATTAGCTCTGATTTTAAATCTTGGCTTTATCAGGTAGCATTGTTGGCACATAAATGGTTTCCCCTCTCAGAGGCTCAGTTTCTCCCTTACTGTGATGGGTGTAATACTGTCTGGCTCGGAGGCGATGGCTAGAGAGGATGTGCGTGTAGAGTGCCTGGCGAAGTGTTGGCGTTTGCGCTGTGCTCACTGCACGGTGGTCACTGTTGTTGGTATTTGTGTGTACATGTTCATGCCGGTGCTGTCTGACTGTGGTTCTTGGCATTGTGTGGCACCTAGTGTGTGCTCATGCCTGGGTGTTTCTGATTTGGGTGATCTCTTACTGTCTTTTTGTCTGGCTCGGTGTGTGACTGCTGGTGTCTGGCTGGAGCTGGTGCAGTCTTTGGGAGCTGGCTTTTTTCCTTGCTAACGGAGAGCCTGGATTAGAGTAAGGGGAGGTGCGTGCGTGCGTGTGTGTGTGTGTGTGTGTGTGTGTGTGTGTGTGTGTGTGTCTGTCGGGGCTGGTGGCTGGGCTGCTGACTGTACAGGGTGTGAAATCACTGAGTTCCTCTGGGCGGGGAAGTTCTTCATTCCTGAGTCAGCCCTTTGGCCCCGAGCCACCCAGCGCTCACTTTTTCCTTCCAGAGAAAGTGTTGCTCAGGGGGGTCCTCAGAGCTGTCTGCAGACAAGAGGACCCTCTCCCCCATGAAGACATCTTGTTTTTGTGTTCACGATCCCTAAGACGCTTCCCCTCCTGCCCTAGTCCCTGAACCCCCTGCATCAGCACCCTATATGCCCCCCATCCTCCAGCATAGGAAAAGCGTGTCCCCTCTGGCACAGGGACTGTTGGCTTGGCTGAGCCCCACCTTGGCCTGTTCTTCAGGGGCCCCCGGGCTGGCTCAGAGCAGTGGGATCAGGATGCTCGTCTTTGCAGACCTGCTGTGATCCTGCCCGGCATACCTTCCCAGGACCCGCGTCCCTTTCCTGGAGTCTTGAGTGGTATGGGCTGAGCTTGCTGGTGGAGGGGTAGGGGTCCATCAGGAGTGGGCAGTGCTGGGGAGGAGCTGGGAGGAGCCTCTGGAAATGTGGCAGTGGGCAGCATGAATGACATTGTATCTCTGAATGGTTCTATCACATCCTTTGCATTGAGCTGGAGACAAATCTAGCTGAGGGCAAGCTTGTCTTAGAGAGTCCCAGCTCTGCCTTCAGCCTCCCTGCCACCACCACCTTGGGCATGGTGGGGCCCTTTGCTGCACCCTACTGCCCTCCTGGGTTCTCCCCCTGCTTCCGTGGGCAAAGGCTATCCTCGGGGCGACTGGCCGTCCATGCTGATACCTCTATGGGCATTCAAGGCAATGGCTACTCTCCTGGCATTCTGCCTCTAATCCAGAGTGGGAACTCCAGACATCGAAGCAGGGGTGAGACTTTTTGAGATGGGGTGGCGGAGGGGACTGAGGATGCTTTGGAAATGGTCATTCAGGAATTAATGATACTCATAATGGTGATGGTTAGGGCTCCCAGCTGTTGAACTCCCATCACGTGCCAGGAACTGGTCTCAGCATGTCATGTGTCAACTCATTTAAACTCAAAGCACAGTGTATTTAATGAATATTGGCAATTTCAGATGGTTCAACCAGATTCTATTATTATCCCCATTTTATGGACCAGGAGGCTGGCTCAGAGAGTTATTCATGCCTCTGGTCAGGAAGCTGGTGAAATGCCAGAGCTAGGCTTGGGACTGGAGCGATTTGCCCCCAGCACTTCCTGCTCAGTGTTGGGCTCCACTGCCCGGCCCTGAAGCTGAGTGTTGGTGAGGCTCTGCCCCAAAGCCTGGGGTAGAGGTCTTTCTGTCAGCTCCCCTTTTCCCCACCTCAGGGTGGTGAGAGGAGGTTTTAGGATGCAGGGCATGGGAGCTCTTAGCTTCTTTCTCTGGCAGAGTGGATGATACCCCTGCCTCCCGCTAATGTCTGTTGTCTGTTGTCTCCCCTCCGGCTCTGTCCCTTGCAGAGGTGGTGGGACACACGCAGGGGCCACTAGATGGGAGCCTGTATGCTAAGGTGAAGAAGAAAGACTCCCTGCACGGCAGCACCGGGGCTGTTAATGCCACACGTCCTACACTGTCGGCCACCCCCAACCACGTGGAACACACGCTTTCTGTGAGCAGCGACTCGGGCAACTCCACAGCCTCCACCAAGACCGACAAGACCGACGAGCCTGTCCCCGGGGCCTCCAGTGCCACTGCTGCCTTGAGTCCCCAGGAGAAGCGGGAGCTGGACCGCCTGCTGAGTGGCTTTGGCTTAGAGCGAGAGAAGCAAGGCGCCATGTACCACACCCAGCACCTCAGGTCCCGCCCAGCAGGGGGCTCGGCTGTGCCCTCCTCTGGACGCCACGTTGTCCCAGCCCAGGTTCATGTCAATGGTGGGGCGTTAGCATCTGAGCGGGAGACAGACATCCTGGACGATGAATTGCCAAACCAGGATGGTCACAGTGCGGGCAGCATGGGCACACTCTCTTCTCTGGACGGGGTCACCAACACCAGTGAGGGGGGCTACCCAGAGGCCCTGTCCCCACTGACCAACGGTCTGGACAAGTCCTACCCCATGGAGCCTATGGTCAATGGAGGAGGCTACCCCTACGAGTCTGCCAGCCGGGCGGGGCCTGCCCATGCTGGCCACACGGCCCCCATGCGGCCCTCCTACTCTGCACAGGAGGGTTTAGCTGGCTACCAGAGGGAGGGGCCCCACCCAGCCTGGCCACAGCCAGTGACCACCTCCCACTATGCCCATGACCCCAGCGGTATGTTCCGCTCTCAATCCTTTTCGGAAGCTGAACCCCAGCTGCCCCCAGCTCCGGTCCGAGGGGGAAGCAGCCGGGAGGCTGTGCAAAGGGGACTGAATTCGTGGCAGCAGCAGCAGCAGCAGCAGCAGCAGCCTCGCCCACCTCCACGCCAGCAGGAAAGAGCCCACTTGGAGAGTCTTGTAGCCAGCAGGCCCAGCCCTCAGCCATTGGCAGAGACCCCCATCCCCAGTCTCCCTGAGTTCCCGCGAGCAGCCTCCCAGCAGGAGATTGAACAGTCCATCGAAACACTCAATATGCTGATGCTGGACCTGGAGCCAGCCTCCGCTGCTGCCCCACTACACAAGTCCCAGAGTGTCCCCGGGGCCTGGCCAGGGGCTTCTCCACTCTCCTCCCAGCCCCTCTCTGGATCCTCCCGTCAGTCCCATCCACTGACCCAGTCCAGATCTGGCTATATCCCCAGTGGGCATTCGTTGGGAACCCCTGAGCCAGCCCCACGGGCCTCTCTGGAGTCTGTCCCTCCTGGCAGGTCTTACTCACCTTATGACTATCAGCCATGTTTGGCTGGGCCTAACCAGGATTTCCATTCAAAGAGCCCAGCCTCTTCCTCCTTGCCTGCCTTCCTTCCGACCACCCACAGCCCTCCAGGGCCTCAGCAACCCCCAGCCTCTCTCCCTGGCCTCACTGCTCAGCCTCTGCTCTCACCAAAGGAAGCGACTTCAGACCCCTCCCGGACTCCAGAGGAGGAGCCATTGAATTTAGAAGGGCTGGTGGCCCACAGGGTAGCAGGTAAGAGGTATTCAGTCCTGACTCCTTCTACCCCTTCCTTATTTGGTCTTGCTGGGGGGAGGTGCAGGTCCAGCCATGACCCCTAAGCAGATGTTGCTTTCACTGGTGGGAGGAGGCTCTCAGGAGCCTATATGCTAGCCAGTTATCCCTTCCTGCATTCATTGTCTGATAGGCACCAAGCCAGACACCAAGTTTCAAAGTTCAATGTCAAGCAATTCCTGCCCTCAAGAAATTTACAGTCTAGTGAGCGGACAGATACACAGACAGATGATTTCATTAGAGAGTAATGTGTACGGTGACAGAGGTGGGACCAAGATCCCAGAGCCTGGGAAAGCAAAGCTTACCACCTAGGGCAGTCAGGGAAAGCTTCCAGGAGGTGGTGACTTTGGGGTTGGAGTACAGACTTTCTAGACACAGAGGAGACTCTGCAATTGCCTGTCGTGCTGTCTGTCCTCAGACTTTAGTTCCTTGGGGGAGACGTGGAGAAGGCTGGAGGGAGGCCTTTGTAGACTCAAATTCCCTCTTAGGTCCCGCTCCTAGAGGCCATGAAAGAGTCCGAGAGGGTATCCTCAAGCCCTTAGGCTCTATCTGCTGGGGCGGGGAGGCCAAGGTTCCCCTTCTAAGTCAGTTTTCCTGTTAGTCTTTGCTGAGGACCAGCCCTGTATGGGAAGTAGGTGCTGAGAGACAAAGCTCCTTTTCCTATCAGAGAGTGGGCTTCTCTTTTGGGAGAGAGGAAAGTGGGACACTCAGAAGAGCTTTTGGGGAGACAAAGGCAAGAAATGACAGCATGTCTGGGGCCATGTTGGGAGAGACAGCTGCGAGGTTCCCTTCCCACTGGTCTAAGCCTATGCCCATTCCACAAGGGTGGCTGAACTTGGCAGGAAAACCTGTTGGGTGACTTTATTCTGGAGGTGGAGCCCAGACAGGGGTGGACCAGAGACTGTGGATTTGGGTGGACCTTGTGCCAGCCCCTCAGCTGACAGGGTGGTGGGAGCTCAGCGAGGAGGAGAGGAGCCTGGGCAGCTGTCTCTGTCCTCCACCCCTTTTCCTAAATTTAGGGGAAGCTGAGTCACCATGCCAGCTGCAGGGAGGGAAGGAAACACCCTCCCTGGAGATGGACCGTGGGTTTAGGGAAGCAGCTTGGGGCAGGCCAGCTGGCTCAGGACCTGGTGTGGGGACACAGGCTCCCTGCTCCTATACTTCAGAGCAGAGCAGAGTCCCCAGCTCCACTATTGGTATAATAGCTTGAAATTGGCCATTGCAGGAGTATTTACACCATGGAAATTGGCAATCAGCCTCACCTCCCATAGAGAGCTGGCCTAGCAGTAACAATTCCTTTTACCTGAGCATCGGAACAAAGGATGGGCAGTTCTTAACCTCGGATGAAACGCTCCATGGGTGGTCCATATGGGCTTTGACTTCTGCCTTCTCCCACATCTGGGCCCCTGAGATAAAGATACCCCCCTGGCTTTGTCAGCAGAGATCCTTTTCTTCTTGGTTTTTTTGAGGTGAGAGGGATGGGGCTTTCTGAATTCCCTGGGAATTTAATTCCTCTCCCAATATTTTGCAAGGTTGGAGTGGTGGCCTAAAGATTAGTGACACGCTAGTCTAATGAGGGGCAGGATCCAGGAGCCTTCTCTCTGGGGGAGCAGAATACATTTCCTCCCCTACAAGAACCCTTCCATGCAGCTCTCCTGGAGCTTGCTCAAGAGGAGGCCATAACCCTAATGGCCCTGGGAGGATGCCCATCTTGTAGTGGACTGCCTTTTAGCCCTTTCTCTCCTACCAGCTTTCGAAGGCTTGACTGTCAACTTCCATATTCTGTAGCCTCTCAGGCTTTGGCTGCCATGAAGTCATAGATAGGGAAGGATACTGTTGGCACAATGTTCCCATTCCCTAACCCTGTTGCCATTTCCTCCATCAACTGGGAGTGACTCAAGAGAAGGGATGAAATGTATAGAGGGGACACTTATATTTGGCTCCCAGGTCTATGAAGTTGCCTCTTTGGTTCAAGCCCTGTCATTATGACAGAATTTATGTCAGCAGGTCCTGCATGAGTAACTTCCTTAGTAGCCTTTCAGGGTATCTGCAGTGCCTGTGTAGATAAAGGCAGACAGACAAGATCAATGTGTGGAAAAGTCTGGGAGGCAGGGAAGATAGATTTCAGCACTACTTCTTTCTGCTCTGTCTACATCTCTGCCGTAAGAAGCTGGAACATACACTTTGACATGAGTAACCTAGGAAGCTCAGATCTGTGGGAGAACCTCTTCATGGCCATGAACTTGATCTGGTTTCTCCTGGCTTTCCTCCCCCAGGTCTGCCTTTTCCCCATTGGCTGTCCTCCATACCTCAGTCTCAAGTCCCTGGTTTATTCCACTTTGATCCAATCACCCTTGTGCCTTATTCCAGCTTAAGTTGTAGAGGAGAAGGTAGGGGCAGTTTTCTAATTTGATAAAGGGTAGGGACCAGAAATTTATAGCATACATCACACTTTCCTGTGGAGCATTGGAAGCGTTCCTATTAGAGCCAGGGACAAAATAAGGATGTCTGTTATCACCACTTGCATCTAACATTGTATTGGATGTCCTAGCCAGTGCAATAAGACAAGAAAAAGAAATAAGAGTCAGAGTTGGAGAGTCCAACTGAGTTATCTTATGTCCCTGATTCTGTGGCTGGACTGATCTCAGATGTCTCTAGAGGTGGAGATTTCAATACATGTTGGAAATCAGATATGGATCTTATCCTTAAGGAGTCTAGAGTTTAATAGGGGGAAAAAAGAACTGGAACTTTAAAATAGTCTTTTGTAATAAGAGAGATAAGGAGAAAGCTCTGCAGGAGAGAGGTGAAGCGATTGCTGTCAGCTAGTGATGGGGAAGGCAGTGTTAAGTGTGGTTTTAAACTGAGCCTTGGAAGATGGAATAGGATTTTGAAAGTAAACGGGATCACTGGGCAGAGAGGGTTCACAGTGAAGACAGGAGAGCACAGAAAATGTTTGGAGAATGGCAAGTAGATTGAGAACATATGGTCTGTGTGAGTGACAGTCGGGATAGGTAGCCTGGGGTCTGTCTCTGGATGATCTTAAATACCGGACTAAGGAGCTTGCATCTTACCTGGCAGCAATGTAGGAAGCCATTCCTGTGGTTTCATGGGGGGAACATGCCATGACCAGAGCTGAGGTTCAGGATGATGTGTCTGGTGGGTCTGGGCAGGAAGGACAATAAATGGGAGAGACTTTGAGCCAGGAGATGATAGGAGCTTATTAGATAGCCTAAGTGGTGCGGGGCTGGATTAGGGTGCTGACCATAGGAATGCAAATGAAGAGATGATGCAGTGGATACTGTGGGGGTAGAACCAATGCACTTATGTGTTGATTGGCTGGAGCGGATGAGGGAGAAGGATCATCAAAAATGATTCTGAGCTCCATGAATAGAAATAGAATGATGGTTCTGTTAACAAGCAGGAAGGCAGGAGGAGGACGTTGGGTGGAAGATGAAGCCTTGGTGTTAGACATGTTGAGTTTGAGGGGAGAGTGGAGCCTCCAGGGAGAGACATATGGAAGGCAGCTGAACTTTGGAATTGAGTGTGAAAGAAAAGGAAGAGCTACAGGTTTTGGAATCATTCTCACAAAGGTGATGGTTAAAGCTTTGGGTGTATGTGAGATCTCAATGTCAGAGGGCTTGGAGAGAAAAGAACTTAGGATGGAATGGCCATGAAGGGAGGTAGAGGCTGTAAAGGGGCTGAGAGTGAGTGTTCGGGTGGTGGCAGGAGACCAGGACAGCATGTCATCATAGAAGTCAAGATGGTAAAGGGTTTCAAGGAGGAAGGGCAGGAGATTAGCAGTGTCAGCCTGAAGAGATCATGAGGAGGACTGAGAAAAATCCACTGGGCTTGCAAATTAGGCAGCCCTGTGTAAAACATCAAAGGCATATTTTTAGTGCGTGTTGGTGACAGAAACCAGACTGTGGGGGATTGAGGATGAGTGGAGAAGGAGTGAAGACAGCAAGCCAAGTACTCTTTTCAGTGGTTTTGTGATAAGAGAGGAGAGAGTGGTAGCTAAAGAGGATAGTGAGTGATTGGGAACTTTTTTGTAAATATAAGAGTCATGAGAATGTTTGTATGTAGAAGAGGAGGGGAGTAGGTTGGACATGGGGGGAGGAAGGATGAGAAAAAGAAGAGAAAGAAAGAAGTTGATAGAATAAGGTCTCTAAGGAGGTAAGAGGGGACAGGCCTAGGAGCCCATGTAGGTAAATTAGGCTCAACCAGGAGGTGAGATACCTCTTCATGAAATTAGAATAAAGGATAGATAAAGATAGAGGGAAATATTGATGTCAAGCTTTGGGAGCTTGAAGTGAAAACTCTTGTGTTTTTTTTTTTTTACATTTTGTTCTGAAAATAGGAGATGAGTTGAAGGCTCATTCAATCATTCGATTCAACATGAACTTCTAATGGGTGCTGCTTGCCAGTCTAGGCTTTGTGAAAATGGTGGCAAATAAAGATCCTTGCCCTTACAGCAGAGATGGATACTGAGCAAATAAGCACATATACATAGGATATGTCAGATAGGTGATACGTGCCATTGAGATAAAGCAGTGAGAGGTAGGGGGTGGCTGGCTGCACTTTACATGGGATGATCAGGGCTGGGCAGCGAGAGATGAGCCCCATGGAGCAACAAGTGCAGAGGCCCCGAGGCAGGAGTGTGCCTGGCATGGCTGGAGTAGAGTGATCAAGGGAGGCATAGCAGGACACAAGTTCAGAGAGGAAATGGGAACAGGGACAGCTTACAGAGGGTCTTTGAGGTGATTGTAAGAATGGTGGCTTTTACTCCGTGTGGCATGAGAAGCCTTAGGAAGGATTTGGGCCCAAGAGTGACATCATCTGACTTGTTCTGAATTGACCAGGGTGGGCAGGATGGAAGGAGGGAGAGCAGTTAGGTGGCTGCTGCTATTGATCTGGGCAGTGGCCATGGAAAGGGGAGAAGTGCTCGGATTTTAGACATATTTTGGAGGTAGAGCCAACAAGATTACTGATAGATTACACATGGAATGAGAGAGAAAGAGAAAAGTCAGAGACAACGCTTAGGTCTGGGGCCTGAGCAACTAAAGAATGGAGTTGCTCTTTATTGAGATGGGTAACAATTTATGAAGAGCAGTTTCAGGGGAACACTAGAAACATGACTTTTGGACACATTAAGTTTGAGATGACCATGAAACATCTGCAGTGGTTGGATAAATGAGTCAGGAGTTTAAGGAGAAGAGGCTGGAACTTAGAGATATGGGAATTGTTGACGTGTACATACCAGATTAAGCATAGCACTGGGCAATGTCACCGAGGGGTTGAGGACAGGTAAGGAGAGGTCCCAAGGATGGAGTCCTGGAACCTCCCACATTCCAAGGCTACAGACAGGAGGAGGGAACCAGCATAGGAACTGGCATGGAGCAGCTTGTGAAGGAGAGGAAAGGTAACATAGCTTGAACTCTGGGGGCCAGGGCAGGGGCAATGTTGGCCACTCCTGTGGCCCCTGTGGTGTGAAGGTGGGTTAGAAGTCAACAAGGGGCAAGGAAAGGATAACATAGCAGGTCCTTCTAGTGCATCTGAGAAGGTTCATCTTAAGGACTTTTCTGGTGATGACCAGAAGCTGGGGGCCAGAGCAGAAAAGCACAAGGGGTTCCCCAGGAAAGAGGATCACTCAGATGGCTGTGGTAAGGAGCCAGGGTGTGAGAGAGGGTGACCCTTGGGCTCAGGCTGGGTGTGTTACCTGGGTCCAGGGAGAGGCAGGTGCCCAGGAAAAGATGGGTGGTCCAGGGACAGGCCTGCTGCCTATGGGAGCAGGTGAGGGATGCGTGAATTCTCCTGGTCCCACGATGGCACCTCTGCTTCCACCCTGGGGTTAGAAGAGAGGGAAACGCTGTGGTGCTGGCCAGCAGGAGGTCCATCTGCCTCTTGGAGAAGCAGGACCTTGGATCCCCCTCTCTTCCTGTCTGATACCTTCCCCACCTCCCTCCAGTGTGTGCCCAGATACCAGAGTCAGAACACCAACTAATCTTGATTTTCTCTTTGTTTTTGTTGTGTTTTGTCCTGTTTAATGCCCCGTCCCCTGCACTCTCTGTGTTTCCCATGTCCATCTGTTCCCTGTGCTGTTGGTGGGGTGCCTGCCTTGCCCCATATCCTCCCTTCCTTCCTGCCTCCCACTCCCTGCTGGCTCCCCTGGGGTGGGGGGTGGGCAGCGTACAACGCCAGGCTGCAGGGCATCGGACACAGTGGCAGCTTCCCGCCCCCTCCTCTCCACCGGCTCCAATCTTCCTCCCTCTCTGGTGGGTGGCTCTCCTTCCCCCTTCTCCCTTTCCAGCTCTTTGGCCCACTTTTGAGCATCAGTTTCTTTTCACTCCTTCTTCATGTGCTATTCCTTCCAAATCTTTCCCACCTTCTTCCTTCTCTCCTCTGTCTTTTCCTCTCCCTCTTCTGTTGTTCTCTGGTTTCCATCTGTTTCTCCTTCTCCTTCCCCATTTCTCACTATCCTCTCTTCTGTCTCCTCACTTACTTCTCCATCCCTCCTCTCTCCAGCCCTCTCTCCCTCCTGTCTGCATGAGCCAGAGCTCACTTCTGCATGAACATGGGCCTCATGCTAGCCTTGGCCTTGCCTGCTGGGAACAATGCCTGGAATAACTAGACTAACATTCAGGGTCCCCTGAGGAGATGCAGGCCTTTGCAATGAGGGTGCTCAGGAGGGCTCTGGACAGTCCAGCACTCCGGCCACCCTGGCCAGACTGCCTGGGCTGCAGGGCTAGGTCTCGGCAGGAGCCAGGCTGAGCTTTGCATGGGGCCACCAGACACAACACAGAGTGGTGCCCCAGCCCCTGCTGCTCTGTCCACTCTAGAGCATGGCACACCCTGGGGACAGCGTACCCCCTCTGGTCCCACTCCTAATCTCTGATCCCATGGCCAAGAGTCAGAAGCCCTGGGTTGGGGTCCTGGCCCTGCCTGAGACCACCTCTGTGACCTTGGGCAAGTTTCTTAACTGTTTAGAGCTCAATTTCCCAGTCTGAGAAGTGGACAGATGATAGTCCTGTCCTGTTGTGTATTTTGCACGGTGGTTTGACATGCCCTGGACCTTGTGGATGCTTCACTGGGGTCACAGTAATTCATTTGAGAATGATGCCGTCCACTAACATCTACCCCTGGCCTCTGGGACACGCAGGCCCTTAGGCGTTGAGCCCTGGCCAGGGAATCACCTCTTCCTTCCCCTGCTCCTCTGACACTGGAGGCTGGGTCAGGGAAGATGCCATGCTCAGGCCTGCCCTACACCATGCCCCTGAGCAGCTCCAGGAAAAGGCCTAGGGGAAATGGGAACTGTTGATTCCCAATGTCAGTTATCTGGTGCCTCCATGGTCCCTTCTTCTCCCAGTCCAGGGATGATCAGGAGATGGCTCTAGCAGACTGCTCCCTTCAACCGCCCCTCCCTCCTTTCTTCTTCCTCTGCCCTTCTCTCAGCCCAGTGGTGGGGAGTGTAGTGTTCAGCTGGGCCTGGGTAGGGGCAGGTTCTGGGATGGTGGGCCTGCCTCAAGGGGAGCTGGCATGGCTTGCCCTAGGGCTGCTAGTGTGATCGCCGTGTGGCTTTCTGGCACCCTGGCCCAGCAGGTGGCCTCCCGGATCCCCTCGCTTCTGGAGCCCCAGGCATGCTGTCGGACACCCAGCCCTGCTACCTGGACCTGAGGAATCCAGTCTTTTGGAAATCGGAAGACTGGAAAGAAGAGCTGGGTCTGTGAGGGTGGCAGTGGCCAGTCTGGGGGGTGCAGAGGAGGCACATCATGAAGCCTGACACCAGGGTACTCGTCACGTGATCCAGGGGTGGTGGGCAGCAGTGCTTTGCCAAAGTACATGTATCGGTCTGTGTCAGGGCTACAGCTCCCAGAATTGCAGGGTGTGCGAGTGTGCGTGTGAGTGTGTGTGCGTGTGTGTGTCAGATGAAGGGGATTAATTGCCTCCAGTCTGGCTCATGCTAGGGGAGCCTTGGAGTGAGCTGTTGTCCAGCACAGCACTGTCCTGGCAGAAGAGTGACGCCTCCCTGGGAAGGGGGCTGCTCTGGTGCCCTGCTCCTCAGGTCTGGGGGCCTGTGTGGAACCCTGGGGCTGGGATAACTGCTCATCCTGGCAGGGCTGTGGGGAAGGCCTGATGCCCGTGTATGAAGCAGCCCTTAGAGAACGCCCAGGGCTCCTTGAACATAGGGTGTTAGGGTCCTAAAGATACTTTGTTGTCATAAGGGTACCCCAGCCTTCTCAGCCTCCTGGGAGCTTCTCTTCCTTTCTTCCTCTGGCCACACGGCCTCCTGCTGGGGTAGGGGCTGGCCCTAGAGGTTCTGAGGGTGACCCAGTGGCCCCACTATGTACCCCCATCATCCCAGTGTCCTGCTGCCATTTCTGTTAGGCTGTGTGTGTGTGTGTGTGTATGTACATGCAAGCATGCACATGTGTGTCTGTGCAAGGCACCTGCCTCTGCCTAGGTGGGTGTAGGAGACAGAGGCCCTGAGAGAGAGAATGGGGCCAAAGACTGAGAAAGTCCTGGGGTGGAGGGTGGTGGCGGGAGGGAGGGAGGTGGGGAGAGCAGGCCTATTTTTATTATCAGTCAGACTCTGGGACGTGAGAGAGGGTGTTCTCTCCATGACACTGGTTGTCAGCTTGTGTCCAGACACCCTAGCTTGGCTAAGGAACAATGGGGCTCTCTTCTCTCCCCTCTGCCACGCCAGTCTCCCCTCCCATAGAGCAAGACAAGAGAGAGGGAACATGTCTCTCCAGGCACTCCAGGCGGATCTGGGCTTGCCAAGGGGGACAACAGTGGGACACTGTGTTCAAAGAATGTGAGTGGCCCTGACTGGCCATTGGTGCCATGGGGCCATTGGTGCTCTGCAGGGGAGGGGCTGGCCCCGTGGGAGTGGAATGCAGGGTCTTACCCTTCCGCAGAGGGAGGCACTGCCCTGCAGCTCCTTAGCTCTTTGGAGGTCATTCCCTCCATTTCCCTGCCTCTGGTCAGAACATGCTCCCACGTGCCATTCTGGTGGTGATGGAGAGAGGATTGGGAAGGTGCAGCTCACCCTCAGATGGCTGACTGCCTCATGCCAGGATCTCACATTCTCTACGGATGTCAGGTGCCCCCTGCACCCCAAGCTGCTGCAGGCATCTGTGGCCCCTGAACATGGAGAAAGCTTTGGGAAGGTTGGGCAGAATGTTCTTTGTTTGTCCAGGAGATTCGGTGCCTCAAATGCAAACAGATCTATTTTTTAATGGCAAACGTCAGATCCCCAAGCAGGGAAACTGGCCACCCCTTGAAAAGGCAGAGGGATCTGCCAGAAAGAGCTGCTGGGGGCAGAGGAGCCCGGAACTGAGACCAGCCCTAATGCATTTATTTTAACCTTGGGGCTGAACTGAGTTCCAAACCCCAAGAGCGTCTCCCAAATGGGCTTCTTCTGTCACAATTATTGTTAGAAAATCAATGGCTATGTCTGTTTCTCTCTAATGTTTTTGCCAGGAATGAAATCAGTGGCAGTGTTGGTCCAAGCTGCCCAGGAGACCTGAGTGGGATGGGGGCTCCGGGGAGCTAAGGCCTGGGAGCCTGGGGTTGCTGCAGGGTTGCAGCAAGCTGCCCACCCTTCCCAAAACCACGCCCTTCTTTCCTTCAGGTAGATGCTCCTGGCAGCCCCTGGCTGGGTCTAATGGGACTCCTATTTTTCTGTTCTGCGAATAAGGGCTCTTCAAGGTGTGGGGCTTGTTTGCTTTAAGTGGAACAGTTTGTAAGTGGCAGAGTGAGGTCAGAGTCTAGTTTACTGTCCCCATCCTGGGCGCTATTTTCTTAGCTGAGATGGCAGCAGGGCTGCCCCTGATTAATAAAAAGCCCAAAGCGGAGACTCAGGGCACCACTCGGTACCTTCTGCATTTAATGTGCAAATGCCAGTCCTGCTGCTCTCCTGATGCGCCCCCCACCCCCGATTATGGGAGCCCCTGATTATGGGAGAGTATGAGGGCGTGTCTCAGAGTGGCTGTGCCTATGTGAGTGTAAGTGTGTGTCTGCCCGTAGGCTTGGCAGCCGGCAGCCTGCTGTTCATGACAAGTAGGAAGGCTTCCCAGGTGGCGCTGTTTATGGCAGCCTTTGTGGCTGTGCCAGACTGGGGGTGCTGGGGGGCGTGGCTGGGGACATGCAGTCCTCACTGTGGATGGCAGAAGATGTTTCTGTCTGAATGAGGGTGATTTCTGCTTGGCTGTACTGGCACATTCCTAGGGGCTGGCAGTGTGTGTGCAGTGTGTGTGCACACACGCTGACCCATGTGACCTGAGGCCTTTGTTAAGTCCTAGTGGTGGTGAAAGCAGGGCGGGGAATCTCTTCCCAGAAGAGAGTCAAGACCAGAAGCCCACGCTTCAGGCTGGGTCTTGGCCTCTGGGACCCAGGAAGTGAGTTTTCTAGGATTCTGGGAGCCAGCTCAATGAGGCAATGGATTCCGTGCCTCAGCCCAGCTGTGGGAAGAGGGAGTGGGAAGGAAGGAGGGTGAGATTAACAGCATCCCCAGGCCTGTGGAATGGGATTGGGATGGGAAGTACAGAAAAGCAGATGGAGCACACGACTTCTCTCTGTCTGCTCTTCAGCTGGGAGGGACATGGTGGGATCCGCCGCTATCTTTGGGGCAGGGAAAAGGGGGCGGGGAGCTAAGAGGCCAGTATAAGGGGAGTTGGTAAGAGGTTCAGCGGTACACCGGATGAAGTTGGGGAACCCCAGAGAAAGCCAAAAATATCCCAGAGGCCAACTGGGGCTGGGGACTTCGTAACAAGGCTTAGTCATGTCTTTGTTTCTCCTTGGGAGCACCATTTGCAAGATGATGCAATTTAGCCCTTTCCAAGAGTTCTTCCCCACAGGCTTGATGTTGCTGGTTGGTTGATGCAGTTGCCTTGGAGACTGTCTTTTCCCTCCACCTCCCCTCCCTTGTCTGGAAGCTCTGGCCCTCCGCCTCCAGGGGTTGGAAGTAGTTGACATCTGTTTCTTGTATCAGTCCTTTGTGTTCTTGGTCTCAGCTCTGTGTGGAGAGATTCCTGGTGAAGTCTGAGCCAATCTAAGCAGATCCCCTCTCCTGCAGAGAAAACCTGGGGTGTGAACAGAGTTGGACCCAGGAGGGCTGAGGGGAAGACAATGGGGGATGACAGGCGAGCCCCAGCATGGCCTCTGAGCTAGGAGGCACTGCCTTCTCTGATGGGATTAGGCCGATTGATCATTTCTTACACAAAAATGCTCATTGTCCTCTACACCCTGCTTTCCTCCCAGGGGTACAGGCTCGGGAGAAGCAGCCTGCAGAGCCCCCAGCCCCTCTGCGGAGGCGGGCGGCCAGTGATGGACAGTATGAGAACCAGTCTCCAGAAGCCACATCCCCTCGTAGCCCTGGGGTTCGCTCCCCTGTCCAGTGTGTCTCCCCGGAGCTGGCTCTTACCATCGCTCTCAATCCTGGAGGGCGGCCCAAAGAGGTGAGTCCTTAAGCTGTATCTTGGGGCTATGGAGGGTAGTGGTGCCCACTTTAAATCTCCAGAAACCTGATGGTCAACTTGGCACTGATATCAGTATACTCAGTGATTTGTCTCCCCCTACGTCCTCACCCAAACTCTCTTCTCTGACATGTGGAGTCTGGGGCCCATTAAATAGCTCTATGTTCCCACTTCTTGCATTAATATTGAGATTGAAGTTTCCTTTTTGATTCCTAGAGAGAGTGCCTTAATAAGGTGGTAAGAATCCTGGGGATGATATAGGTGAACACAATTTCAAAACTCCAAACTAGATCCTGGAGAGTGGCAAAATTATTTTTGAGCCCTTTGCAGATATAAGGTTTTTCTCAGGAGATTTAATTTTCATTCCAAAAGATTTGCATTTCTAAGACATTTCAGTAGTTGGAGGCAGTGAGTCTCAAACTTCATCATGAGTAACAACCAATGGGGAGCTTGTTAAAACTGTAGCTTCCCAAATCCACCTCCAGAGATTTCAGGGTAGTAGATCTGGATGGGACCCAGGAATCTGCATTTTAAATGTGTGCCCTGGAAGATTCAGATGTAGGTGGTCCATGGGCCACATTGAGGGAGCGAGTGTACTGGCCTATAAAAGCCAGGCTAATGAGTCATTCTGGATAGAAGTGGCTTGTGGATATCTTTTCTCTCCTGCCTGTGGCAGGACCTGTCTCCTGCCCTGAGCACCAGTGAGGAGCCAGGCTGACGAGGGGATGTGGGGGCTGGTTAACTCACTGTCCTCATACCTCAGGTCATCTGAAGGGGAAATCTCTCCTTCTCATGGTTTCCCTCTTTTTCTCCCCTGTGTTCTCCCACAGCCCCATTTGCACAGCTACAAGGAGGCCTTCGAGGAGATGGAGGGAACCTCCCCGAGCAGCCCACCACCCAGTGGGGGTAAGAATTCCCTGTGAAGCTCGTCTTCCCTGTGTACCCTCCAGCCCCTCAGCTCAACCCTGCCTGTGGGAGTGCCCCAGGCCTGAGGGTTGGGGGTGACAGTGCCCCAGGTGGGGCCAGAACGTGCTGCTCCTCACTCCCATGGCCCCTTCTCTTCCATTGCTTGTGGCCATTGTCTTCTCCGTCGTCCACACTCACACATCTAAGGGTGCAGCCGCCCCAGTTTTAGGGTCCAGACTGAGTGACCATGGGACTCTGGGCTCCCACATTATGGAGTTTTCTTACTTGTTTTGAGTCTTTTTACCGTCCACACTCAAAAGACCCTACCATCTTAGCGTGACTCTTTGTGACTTGACTTTGACTTTGTTTCTGACCTCCATTTCTGCCTGCATCCAGACACCTCTTCCATTCCAGGCAACCTATTTAGCTTCTACCAAGGAGAGAGGGACCCAGGACCCTCAGGCTGACAGAGCCCCCAGCTCATCCATCCTTGGCCTCCAGGCAGAGGCATTTAGCCCCCAGCCCCTATACACTTACTGGGGAGGCAGATCCCCAAAGGACAGAGACACATCCACCTAAGGCCAAGACCCAAATGAGCCAAGGCATGGGGCAGTGTTCCTTTTTATAGAAGAAGAGACATGAAGAGGAACTGGAGGAGGTGGTTGTGGGGAAGGAAGTGATGGATTAATACCAGGCCACGAGGGACTCAGTGTACTCAGGAGAGGCCTGGGTCAGCACAAAAAGGAGACACTGGTGCTGTTCAGGGATCAGGTTGGCTGGGCCTGGCTCAAGCTATCCACTGGCCCTGGTGAGAGGAGGGAGAACTGGAGCTGGCTGTGCATTCCCCTAGGGGCTGGCTGTCCTGTACTGGAGAGGAATGTGGCAATGTACGTGGCCCCTGTGCCAACAGAACTTGTGTTGGCTGCCATCTTGGGCATGAGGAGGCTGAAGCTGTGACTGATTGGTGGCCCCAGGAAGCCGTGGCTCTCCCTTGAGCAGTACTGTCCAATGGAAATATACTATGAGCACATTTATAATTTAAAATTCTCTAGTAGTCACATTAAAAAGCATAACAGGAAACTGGTTACATTAATTTTAATAACATTTTTGTTAAATCCAAAATATCCTTTCAATAGGCAAATAAGTCAATAAAAATATTGAGCTATTTTACAATCTCTTATAAAATTTAAGAAGAAACTGGTGAAATTCATTTTAATATGTTTTATTTAACCCCAGTCTAAAATATTAGCATTTCAACGTATAATCAATGTAAAAAAGAACGGGATGTTTTGTGTTCTTTTTCATACTTTAAAACCCTGTGTGTGTTTCACACTTATGGCATGTCTCTGTTCACACTGGTCACCCTGCAACGGCTCTGCGGCCATGTGTGGCTCGTGACTGCTGTGCTGGACAGGGTGAGCCTAGAGCAGGTTACGTGAGAGCCAGCTCTGCAGCCTCTTGTGACTGCGGGGAACCTCTCTCACTTTCCATGGTGACATCTGCTTCCATTCACTGTTAGCTGTAAATGGCCAGGGAAAGGACATCACCTTGCCTTGGGTGGAAGCCACCTGGGCTGTGCTAGAACTGGGTTTTGCCTTCTTCTCTCCCTCCTCTTGGCCAGCCATGGGTACCTCGGTGAGAAGTCAGAGGTTCCATAGACACACAGGGTTAGGGAGAGAAGACAGAAGGTGGAGAAACGTGTGGAATTTTTCTCTCAGGAAGCAAAAGACTTGCCTGGCTTTAGCGTCGCCCACTCATCTGCCTCAGCAGAAGGGCCCAATTGCCCAGGAACTGGGGGAACGAGGAATTCAGGAGCTGGAGGTGAACAAGGGAGGAACCAAGAGAGAGCTCCTGCCCTGTCTGGTCCTCTCGTCCGCTTCACCTCCTCACGGGCCCACCTGCGCCTCCGCTGCACCAGTTGGTTAAACATGCGCGTACCTGTGGGCTGGGGCTGCTTCGTGGTTATTCCATGAATGACCGTCTCTGAGGCCAGGCATATTATTTCGTAATTAATTTCATTCAACCGCCATTGGTTTGACAAACATTAATAAGTGTTTGATAAGCGTCTATGAGCAAGACACCATGACAGGGAAGAGGGGGTGTGGCGGTGGTAGAAACAGAATCTGTGTGTGTCTATGTGTGTGTGTGTGTGTTTGTGTGTGTGTCTATGTAAAGACAGAGGGAGGATAGACAGAGACATGAGGCCTAGAGCTATCCCATACCTGGAGGTGTATGTTTGTACCCATTTGTCCCCTATGCTGTGTTTGTTCTTTGGACATCCAAGGACAGAGTGAGGGTGAAGGGCAGGGGTGTGCCACTCATCCGGACCCCTGTGATATCTTCCTGTTCCCACGTGCATGTGGGTGTTCACCTGCACAAACGAGTTATGTATGTTGCTTGCATGGAGAGAGAGTGTATTTTTTCATTGTTGTAAGATTCCTGTAGGTCTGACTGTCTTTTGGGGAAAGCAGCAGGGGCAGGGAGGGTCGTGGAGCATTTGCTGCTGGTGGTTCCTGGGCATCTGAGGGCCACAGCTAATCTGTTGAGGCCATTCGGCAGGCAGAGTATCCTTGGGGCTGTGGTCTCTGCAGGCTCCCAATGTCGTTGATAGGAGACACAGAGTTCATTTTTTAACTTCTTCTCAGAGCTGTGTCAGGAGACATGGCAGCTGCCACCCAGGTATCTCGTGACTGGGCATAACAGCCACCCTGCAGATCAGCTCTGAATCTGGCCAGGTTCTTGGCTAATGGGAAAAAGCCAGCAGCCCTTTCTGACCTTGTGTGTTACATGACACTTGTAACCCAGATGGGCGGCCTGGGAGGAGCCCAGGCTTCGCATAGGGAGTGGGTGCTCTTGGCCACAGACTATAGGCTTCTCCTCCTTCCAGGACACTGAGGTTTGGGGGGACAGAGCCCCACATTGAGAAGTTCTCTCCTCCTGGGCTTTTCAAGGGACATGCTTGGCCGAGGGCTGGCCTGAGGTCTCAGGGTTGGCGTGGCTCTGGCCCATTATCTCCTTCTGTCTCTGTCCTTTGCAGGGTGTGCCATCCTGAGGCCCAATTTTCTTCTGTTCTCTTCTGAATCCATCCAAGTACATGTTTTAAATGGACTGTGTGTGTCTGTGTGTGTGTGTGTGTGTGTGTGTGTGTTGGGTGAGGGTAGGAAGAGGGATGAGAGAGTATTATAGAGAAGGTCAGAGACAGCTGCAAAAGCCTGCGTGTGTGGTATAAGCCATTGCAAAGTAAAGGGACTGCAGCGAGAAGCTAAGGGCCTAGGGGTGGAAATGATTCTCTCAAGGTTGGGGCCAGAGCCAGGGCAAGGTTGCCATTTCCTGAGTCTTTCCCTTTATCCTTTAAACTGTTCAAATGTAGAGAAATACGGAGGCGGGAAAGGGCAGTGGAGCCAAAGCGCTGGGCCTCAGGGTGGTTCCTCGGCACCGTCTCCAGCCCCCCAGCCCTCACTAAGCGTGCCCTCACGTGCCTGGCGTGTCTGCCCTCCTGCCCACCTCTCACTCCCTGTGTCTCCCCTCTTCTTCCTGGCACAGTGCGGTCCCCCCCGGGTCTGGCCAAGACACCCCTGTCTGCTCTGGGCCTGAAACCTCACAACCCAGCGGACATCCTGTTGCACCCCACAGGAGGTGAGTTGGGAAGAGGGAAGATGGGGAGGGGGGCCAGGGGGAGGAGGACTCCTGTGGTTCTGGACAGAAACCCGGGTCTCAGAATCTGGTCAGCAGCCAGCTTTGTGCCCACACTGAGGTCAGGCCTGGGTTGGGGCTCTCTGTGTAGGGGTTGGGGGTGACAGATTTCCTTGCAGCCTTCCTGTCTGTTGACTTGTGGAGTTTGCACAACTCCCAGCCTCCTCTAGCTTGAGGCTTTGGAGGCCTGGTCTCAGTTTCCTTGGTGGTGTTGAGATCTCTGCTGGAAGCCACACATTCTAGGTGTTCAGGCCCTCGGGTACACGTACATGGGCGCACATACATGCACACATGGGTACACACACATGTACACACACACACATAGAGTCAGAGAAGCATGCCCCTGCTGCTGTGTGCCAGGGCCTCTGCTGGCAGCCCAGCTGGCTCTGCTCTGAGCATCCACGAAGCATCACAGGCATTCACCTGGCATCCACAAGGCATCACCTGGCATTCAGAGTGGTCTCTAGGTCTGCCTCTTCAGGCCCAGAGAACCCTACCAGAGAAACCCATGACTAGCAGTGGCCATCATTGCCTGCCGTTTCCTCGATCCCCTTGCCCTCAGCCCAGGTCTTCTCCTGACTGTCAAAGGACCTGCCACCTCCGGGCTTCTGACTCTCCCTGGCCTGTGCTCATCCCCCATCCCTACTCCCGATGCTGGCTGCATCTTACTCTGCTGCTGAGGAGAGCAGCCCAAGCTCTGAGGAAGGAAGGAGGATGGCTGCTCGGCCTCCCTGGGGTCAAACAGCCTGTCCTGTTGGCACGGTAGAGGGCAGGGCCCTGGGCCTGTCTGGGAGAAGGTGCTCCTCTGAGCAGACACCACCCCAGGTTCACACCTCCTACCTCCTCCTCCCATTTCCCAGCTCCTCTCCTTCTTATGGTGGAGGGAGACAGGGCTCCCTGGGCCCTTGGTGGCCATGTGGGGCCACTGAACTCAGAAAGCTGCTCCCTGGACTCTGGTTTTAGGGCTGGGTGGGGGCTATTGGGGTCAACTTTACTTTTTTCCTTAGTTACCAGAAGACGGATCCAGCCAGGTAGGTGGGCAGTGGCATGCATTTGTGACCCATGAAGCCACGCAGCTGGGCATAGCCTCCCACTCAGAGTGTCGGCATGGCCAGGGACACTGAGCCACGGGGGATCAGTAGAAGGGGGCTGGGGGCTGCCTCTCACCAGCCAGCACACTCCTGCTTGACACTTGGCCCACAGAGCCCTGGGCACAGGGGCTGCGAGGGGCTCAGGCTCCTGAGAGCCGGGGACTCAACTATGCCTCGGAGCCTTGGGGTCCTTTGCAGGGTGGGCCTCGGCCTTCCCCTTGGAGTCCTTCTGTGGACAGCGCAAATCGGCCCTGGCCTCACCCCAGCTTTCCCATCTCCGTTTTCTCCACAGATTCTCTTTCTCAAGAAATAATCCCTGTTAATCTCTTTCTCTCTTTTTCCTTTTTTGCTCTTCCTCATCTTCACCACCTGCCCTTCTTTCCTGCCTCTCCTTCCTCCCACCTCTCTTCTCGTCTTCCCTCAGAGGAAGATGAGGGGAAGGTGGTGGTCAGGCTGTCAGAAGGTAAGTAGCATTTGCTGTGACTTCCTGCTCTCTGGGTCTGGAAATGGCTTTTCAAAGCAGGGCTTGAAGAGGCTGGCTGGAGGCAGCTCTCTTTCCTCACTGGGACTCAGGCGACCAGGCACATGGCCTTCCTGTCCCCCAACGCTTGGTGATGAGATACCACCCTGGACACCTCCTGAGTCCTGATGGGGGAGCTTGTAGCTGCCAGGCGCTGGCTCAGGCACAGCCAGTGTCTGGGGGCTCCTGCAGTGTCACCTTGTTGACCAAAACGCTCCTCTTGCACCTTCCTCTCCCAGCGCCATTTGCACCAGCCTGCCTGGTGTGCAGCAGCTCATAGAGGTAGACAGGGAGGGACTCAGATCCCCTTTCCCGGGACGTGCTCCACAGGCATTTCTCAGAGAAGAGATTCTCCACGTTGGCACCACTGACGTTTTGGCCTGAATGACGCCTTTTTTTTTGAGATGGAGTTTTGCTCTTGTTGTCCAGGCTGGAGTGCAGTGGCACGATCTCGGCTCACTGCAACCTCTGCCTCCCAGGTTCAAGCAATTCTCCTGCCTCAGCCCCCTGAGTAGCTGGGATTACAGGCATGCACCACCACGCCCAGCAATTTTTTTTTTTTTTTGTATTTTTAGTAGAGATGGGGTTTCACCATGTTGGCCAGGCTGGTCTTGAGCTCCTGACCTTAGGCGATCCACCCACCTTGGCCTCCCAAAGTGCTGGGATTACAGGTGTGAGCCACTGTGCCTGGCCCTGAATGACTCTTTGTTGTGGGTGCTGCCCTGTGCACTGTAGGAGGATTAGCAGTGTCCCTGGATTCTACCTGCTAGATGCCAGTAGCTCTCACTCAGTCATGACAATCGAAAATGTCTCCAACATTGCCAGTGTCCCCTGGGGGGATAATTCTCCTGGCGCAGAGCCCCCATCTTACAGCCACGATTTGCCCTCTGGAAGCCCTGCCTGGTTTCCTATCAACACAGAAAGTACTAAGTCTGTCTTTCGGGGATCTCAGACAACTTCGCGTGTTTCAGGAAATCTATGGACTCACCGTGTATACAATAATGCATTGGGATTCCCATGCACGTAATTCTGAAAAGCAGTTTCAAGGAGTTGGCATGTCTATGGGTCCCAGAGGAACCCCTGATTTAGATGAGCCCTGCACTGGGCACCAGGGAAGCAGAGAGGGGGCATAATCAGGTGGGAGGCCTTGGACACACCAGGAGCAGAACTCGAGTGAGGACTCAAACCAGCAGGTGAAACAAAGTGGGTGCCAGCCTGGGCGGGAGGCCAGGGTGTGGTTCTGGGCACTGGCATCCCCCCCTCAGGAAGATGGGGCAAGATGGGTGCTGTGATCACTTCCAGTTCTGATGGGTTAGGTGTTCTGACTTCCCACCTGGGCCCTGGGCCGATTGGCTGGTTTTCTCAGGCCTATTTCCCATTTTCCTTTGACCACACCACCTTGATTTTCCACCCCCTAAGCGGGGATGGCCTGTGCTCCTCTAAATCTGCTGTCACCCAGGTAGGATGATTGGAGTTTCCCAGAAGACTTTGCCCTCTCCTGACCAGCTGGGGTTTGGGCAACAACATCAGGCTGCTCAGGGGCTGCAGAACAGGGCAGCTTCCAGAGACAGAACAGGTGGGCCACAGCATGCTTCCCTCTGCTGGGAACGGCCCCTCCTTGCTCCCCCGCAGCCTCATGCTTGGGGAAAGGGCTTTCTCCCAAGCTGGAGGCTGACTGCTGGTCCTGGCAAGGCAGGAGCTGGGAGAGAGAGTCTAGAATTAGCTGGAGCTCAGAGCCAACGTTTCTGTGCTTCAGATGCCGGACCACGCAATAGGCTCTCAGCTCTCCTCGCAGCTGGTTGACTTTAACAGACCAGTGGTATCTCAAACACTCTCCAGTGGGAAGGGCCATGGGGTGGATTATCCAGCAAGCTGGCAGAGCCTGGTGATTGTGTCTCTCACTTTGGGGTGACTTCAGGGGCGTGGGCCTCGACAGGACTGAACTATCTGCCAATTGCACCTGCTGAGTTACTCTCATCTTACAGGGCCCCAAGTGCTCTGGCCAGAGCCACAGAGTTTGGAGGGGAAGGTTCTTAGGGGTTAACTCAGCCACACCCATCGTTGTCACAGATATGCAGCTGACATCAGCACTGTGGGTGGTGTTGGGGGATCTGCCCAAGGTCACAGTTAGGAGGTAATGGAGCCAGACTGGAGTTATTGGTCTCCTGTCTCTTCCTCAAGTGGCCATTTCAAAGTCCTTCTCCTGCCTGCAGGCACCGTGCCCTGGGATTCCAGCGTGGGAGTTGGAATTGCTGCCCGTGGCCTGGGGAGTGGAGCGGGGAAGGGGCAGGGAGCAAAGCTGTGGGCAGCCAGTTCCTTATTTCCTGACTCATGTGCCACTGCCCGGGTCAGACTAAAGCTCATTCTTTGCTGACCCTCTGAGGCTCTGCTTGATTTCCTTGCTGATACTTTGATGGGAAATTCAGAAAAAAATGCCAGTGAGGCAAAAATGGCCAGAGGCAGGATTATTCGGCTTGGGGAAAAGAATAATTTGAGGGATGTCTGCTATGTCCCAGGCGCTGTGCGAAACACTTTACATTCATTCATTCTTTCATGCATTGATTCATTTATTCATAATACTTTGTGCGCTGACTGTTTGCCAGGCTTTGGGAATATAAGGATGTGTTAAGGCAGCTGGTGAGGAGAGTGATGCCAACAGACATTTCAATATTAGGCAAAAGTGCTGAGCTGAGGTAGGAATAGGATGTCATGGGGGCTGGGAGGAGGGGGCATGTGGCTCAATCTAAAATGTTTGGAATTCTAACTTTTGAGCTTCTAGATCTGGGACCTGGGGGTTTCCATATTCCCTTCTTTCTTTCCCACCCACATGTCTTGATTTTAGTTAGGGTGGGTGTGCCCCTTCTCTCCAAGCAAAGAGCCTCTTTGGGAGACAGAAAATGCACTTCAGGGTGTGGACAAGGAGCTGACAGTGCCAGACCGGAGGAGCCCAAGTCACCCTGTGCTGCAGCTGCTCTTCACCGCCAGCAGCCACTTGGCAGGGTTTGGGCTCCTGGAATGTTCTACATGAAGCACCCTCCCTGTCCCCACCTCTCCCGCCCTGCCCAACTCCCTGTAGCCTCTGATGCAGCTGCTCCAGGATTGGAGGGAAGGAGGAAAACAGCAGGAGAGGTGGTGCGAGTGAGGAGTGGAGGAAGGCAGGGATGGGCGGCTAGGAGCAGCGGAGGCAGCAGCAGGGCTGGTTCTGAACACTGGGCCTGGAATTGGCAGGAAAGAATTAGGAAGAACTTTCTTTCCTGCCTCTTCTCACCTGATCCTAGCTGGGCAGGTGGGTATCCTCATTCCCACTTTGCAGATGAGGAAACGGAGTCCCAGAAAGTCTCTAGTAAGTGCACGGGTGGTGGGTGAGGGGAGAGCTTGCAAGTAGAAGTATATTGTCCTGGGGTGGGAGAGAGAGAAAGAGCCAGGGAATAAACAGAAAAAGGAAGCATTTTCACTACGGAGATCTGCATCTGAAAACTTGGGAAAACTAATGTTTAGCCCTGAAGATGGGTTTTAAACAGTTCTGGAGATGAACTCAGGAAATCAAATAACTTCTCAAAGGTCCTTCCCGCTCTGGGTTCATGAGGAGTAGAGATTGTATGGAAGGGCTTCGTTCATCTCCACCCCATGATCTGGGACTGGAAGGGCAGGTAGGGGTGGCAGTGGGAGGGCAGACCAGCTGACCAAGGAAGAGGATGCACTGGGAAGGAGAAAGGAGGTGGGGGCCCGGTGAGGGCAGGGCCAGGTGGGGCTGGGTCTGAGTGGCCTTGGCTAGGTTGGCCACCCAATGCACAAGGGCTGTTTCCAACATTGTGGTCAGAATGGATGCTGCTGCTTCTCCCTGGGCGAGCCATCCTGTTCCCCAAGTTCAGACTCCCAGTGTCTTGAGAACTCCTCTGGTGTTCTGCAGTTTAGGAGCTGAAGGGGCCAATGGGACTGTTGCCTTAAGAACTTGGCCATGCTATCGAGCCATCTCAGGGTTTCTAATACACTGTCCCATGGGCCCTCCATGCAATCTTGCCATCAGACTCCCAGGCTGCAGCTCAGGTGCCTGTGTTTAGGCCAGAAGCAGTTAGTAGACCCAGCCTTGCCTAATGGCAAGTAAGCACCCGCAAGCCACAGGCTTGGCTGTGTCCTGACCACAGGACGGGGTGGTGTGGCCCACTTTATCTCAGTTTTACTGTTGCTAGCAGGGGTACCTGTACTTCTTTAAAAGGGTGGGGCGTAGGGCAATGTGAATTGCTTACCTAATGTGTGGGTCAGGGGCCTGGTGGGAAACTGATGGTTCATTCCAATGGAGCAACCTAGGACAGTTGATGGACTCTTAAAAGGTCTGGGCAGAGCAGTGAGGGATGGTAAAGCACCCCGAGTGCTCCCTATCAGGAGCAGGGAGCCATCCTCCCAGGCCTTAAGGAACCAGGAGGGAGCTGGAGGGCAGGGCTGCTGACTGGAGTGTGGCTAGAGGGAGGTGGGTAGGGGATGTAGCCACTGGCACCTTGCCCTTCTCTCTCCCTCCCTCTCATACCCTGCCAGTCCCTCCTTACTAGCCAAAGGCCAAAGCTATCCTGAGCCAGAGACTAAGGGGGTCTGGATGACATAGTAAATAAAAGTCTGCCTTCAGGGATGCAGATCAGGGTAGAGAGTAGATCAGGAGCGACGTCAGTGAATTGGGGAAGAGCACACACCTTCACAGTGTCATTCACATAGGTTTCAACTTGAACTTCAGGGAATGAGAAAAATGGATGTGTGCCTCTGAGGTCTTACTATGTGTCTCTGGATGGGGCTGGAGGGTAAGGATCATGCTTCTGTGACTTTGTGGAGCACATGCAGATTGAGGGCCTGCTGTGTGCCAGGTGCTGTGTGAGGGCTCGGCACACAGATCAGCTAGGCAGGCTCTGGGAGCCCACGGGCAGCCAAAGAGTGGCTTTCTCTCCCTGGCTGGGAGAGAGGTGGTGCCGAGAGCCGTGGGGACCTGGGTGTAGCCATGATGAGTGCCTGGAAGGGTCTGGGAAGAGTTTTCAGAGAGTGACCTAGGGTGGCAAGAGACGGGAGGGGAGAGTGGACTCTGATCTTGGGTGTCATTTGCATGGCTGTGGGTGAGACTCCCTCTGATGTTCTCTTCTCCCAAGTTGGGTTACCAGTTGCCCAAGACTAAAGACACTCACTGAAACTATTGGCTTCCCGACTTGCAGAGGGTTGTATGTGCAGTGGGTAAGGGCAGGTTGGGGCCAGACTGCCTGGGTTCCTTGGCTGACTGTGCCCCTTGCCAGCTGTGACCTGGGCAAGGTACTTACATCCCCCGAATCCTACTTTTCCTGTATAATTGTTTGCTCTTTTTATCACTAGGAATAGCCCTATGGAGTTGGCTTTTCTCTGCCTGATGGGCTGAAGTGCTGGATAGAGCCAGCTCTGGGTGTCCTGTGAGCCTATGGGCCCTGTCTAGGTCACCCAGAGCCAGCTTGTGAGTCTGGAGACTTTGGTGCTAGTGTTCACTGCCACTAATTATCCATGTGTCCTGGCGCACGGCTCCACCTCTCTGGGCTGAGGAGATAGGTTAGATCAGGGGTCAGCACACTGTGGCAGCTGGTCAGATCCTGTCCACTGACTATTTTGGTAAAGAAAGTTTGATTGCAACCCAACCATGCCCATTCACTGTCCTGTTGTCTATGTAAGCTGTCACACCACAACAGCAGAGTTGTGTAGTTGCAACAGTGACAGCCTTACCCACCAGCCTAAGATATTTACTATTAAGTCTTTACAAAAAAGTGTACTGGGCCTGGTCAGGGGATATCTGCATTGTCTTCTAGTTCCAGCAGAGCCTCGTGCTTGGGTGGCACAGAATCCATGCCTTTGGTATGAATTTGGCCTGGGCCTTCTGCGAGGAGGTGGGTGGCCTGGGCTGGTTGAGGGAGGATTTCGAGGAGGCCTTGCTGGCACTGCCTACATGGATTCCAGCTTTGGGTGCCGAGGTGCCTGGTTCTACATCACCTTGTGCCTGCTACCTAGAATAGACCTCCCGTGCCTGCCTCTTTGCAGACAAACTGCCCCAGCCTTGTCCACTGTCTTGCTGTTGGGTGGAGGGGGTTCTGTATGGGGACAAAAGACAGACGGGCAGGCTGTGGCTGGAGCTGTGTGCAGACTCCATTGCAGCCTCTGGGTCCTGCTCTGTAAAGGGTCCTGTGCTGAGGGACCATCCTCTTCCGGGGTCTAGAGAGGCCTCTGGCCTGGGTGTAGGATGTCAGACCTGAGGGCCACCCCAGAAGCCACTCCACGGAGGCCATGCCCCTATGCAGCAAAGGCTGGAAGCACCCTGCTAGCACCCTGGTGACTAGGCTCCTTCCAAATTAAGGTTTTCTTTGGGCTAAGGGGAGGAAGGTTGCATTTCAGCTAGCTGGACCCCAGGCCTGTCACCCATGAGGGACCTGGAGGAGGGACCTGGAGGACCTGACTATTTTGGTAAAGAAAGTTTGATGGCAACCCAGCCATGCCCATACACTGTCCTATTGTCTATGTAAGCTCTCACACCACAACAGCAGAGTTGTATAGTTGCAACAGTGACAGCCTGACCCAACAGCCTAAGATATTTACTATTAAGTCTTTACAAAAAAGTGTACTGGCCCTGGTTAGGGGATCTCTGCATTGTCTTCTGGAGGAGACCTGGAGGAGGGGGCTCTTCTCCAACTCTGACCATTGCAGTCTTGGCCAGCAGGGGCTGCAGGGGCCTGGCCTCCTGAGGGATGCACAGACTCTGGTTCTTCAGTTTCTCAGGCTGATTTCAGTGGATGCCTTAGTTGTGGGCAGTATGGCTCTGTACTCAGGCCAGGTTCCTCCTGGGTAAGACAGGGACAGGGTGGGATTTGGAGGTGGTAGGAATGACATTCCTCCCGGATCATGGCCCGGGGTAAACAAGAGCGTTCTGTTGCTTCTTCCTCTTTCAAGCGGAGTTCGTTTGGGAGCTGGCCTCAGAGGCCGTAGAGGAGTTGGGCAGGTGCCGGTCTGGGAGTCGGGCCATCTGGGGACCTAGTCATTTCCCTTGTCGGGCCTCAGCATCCATCCTTATCTGTAAAATGGCCTTTTCTAGCGTGTGTCCCCCACCCCCTCTTAGGCTGTTTTGAACACCAGGTAGTGCCGTGTATAATGAGGTCCTCTGTAAACTAAACTGCTCAGTGCTACAGGAATGCCAGAGGTGGGCGATGGAATGTTGAGTTCCGCCTGGGAATGGGGTTCCCTGATGCCAGTCTCTAGAGGAATGCTGAGTGTGTCAGGCAGAGAGGGGTGGGTGTGTCTTGGCATCAAAGGGGCTGGTGAGTCTACAGCAGCCCCACAGGGCAAGACTCACCAGTGCAGGCCTGTTGCTAGGTGGCCAAGGCTGTTTCTGGATTCTGGGCAGGGGGTGGAGCTCACATGAACTCTGGCACTATCCTGGGATACAGGCAAGGCAGGGATGGACCTCTGGGCCCACTGTAGGGCCCCAGACTCTAGTGGCACGAGGAGAACCTGGAAGGGCCTGGGTGCTGAGCAAGATCATTGAAGAAAGAGAGCAGCCAAAGGGGGTGCCAGCTATGGACAGCCTCCTAGTCCTTGGAGGGAAGAGTCTCTGATGGCCATGTTCTGAGGCGGGGCCTGGGATCCATTTCAGGGCCCCCTCCTCTGAGCAAGGCCCTGGTGAAAGGTCACTGCAGGGCAGGGTGGGTCTGGGCAGGCAGGAGCCCTGCCTGTCCTTTGGGGGCTATTCCTATGTTCCCAGGCAGGAGTCCAGGAAGCTGTGTTCCAGGGGAGGTTGGGGGGGACCTGCACTGCACCCCTGTGCATCTGTGCTCAGTGTCTCTGTCCTCTTGCCCCTTCCAGAGCCCCGGAGCTATGTGGAGTCTGTGGCACGGACAGCGGTGGCTGGACCCCGAGCTCAGGACTCTGAGCCCAAGAGCTTTAGTGCTCCAGCCACCCAGGCCTATGGCCATGAGATACCCCTGAGGAACGGGACCCTGGGTGGCTCCTTTGTCTCCCCCAGCCCCCTCTCCACCAGCAGCCCCATCCTCAGTGCTGACAGGTAAGCCGGGAAGGGGCAGTGGGTGGGGGATGGGAATCCGGGCCTGGGACTGGGACGGGATGGGTGAGGCCTCCTGGATCTGTTGCCTATGGCGTGGACAGGCAGAAAGCATACCCAGATGGCGGTACCTTGCAAACCAGTTCATCAAGGTGCATTGAGGGCACATGTCCTGCGCGCTGAATCCTGTGGGGAGCCCAGTGACCTATAATTCCCAGGCCGCATTCAATTCCGCCCATCCAAAACTGTGCTGGAAGGAGTGAAGGGTACCACGGTGAATGTGGCAAAGTCCTTCCCCAAGTTGAAAATCTACCAACAGTAATGACTTATGTAGTGGGCTCATCCTAGGTACCTGGCACTTTGCTAAGTGCTTTATGCAGTTATTTAATCCTCGCAGCAATCCTAGGAGGTGAGCACTATTATTGTTCCCACTTTTCAGAAGAGGAACCTGAGGCATAAAGGTGCCACAGCTAAGCAGTGGCAGAAATCAGATTCAGGTGGAAGCGTGTGATTCCAGAGCCCGCATCTCTATCCTCTGCCCCAGACCTGCATCATGGCGCCCTCCCTGCACAGGATGAGAGTCAGATGGGCCCAAAGCCCACACATGAGTGAAGGGCTTGGAGCTCAGAACAAGGGGCCATTATTTCTGGCTAGGGATGCAGCGAGGATTTCTGAGGGCTGGAGGCATTTGTGAAGGGTGTAGAGGAAGTAGCAGGATGTTGAAAGATGAAGAAAGAGAGACAGGGCATTCCAGAAGGACAGCCCAGCAGGGACAGAGGACTGGGCTGTGGCCATGTTGGGAGTGTGAGGCTGAGGGCATGTGGCCTGCCATTAGGGGATGCCTGGGTGGATGGATGGCTGGCATCCATATTTCTGAGTGCATCACACAGAGATGAAAGCCCAGAGGTGGGTGACAGTCCCTGCTGACAGGCTTAGTGGAGGGGTGCAGCAAGGAGCTGCTTGACTGGGGTAGTGGGGGTGAAGGTGGAGGGGACAAAGAGATGGGATGACGGCATAGGAAAGGAGGGTTGCAATCAGCTCAGGCAAGGCATCGAGTGCCAGGCAAAGGAGGAGGACCTAGGAGGTGTCGCCCCCAGGAGGGGAGACTCTGCCCTGACCATCCCTTCTTCGCCGTGCCCACTGCCCTCCCTAGCCTGGGATGTCACAGAGCCTGCAAATTCCCCTGCCAGGCCCAGTGGGTCCAGTTTGCTGCACAGTCTACATTGGCTCAATGCTGAGCCTCCCCTGCAAGTGGGGGCACCATGGGATGACTAGGGGAGCAGATGAGCAGAGGCAACTGTCTTCTGGATTCTAAGCCAAGCATTCCCCTTCCCCAGCCTCTTAACAGGCAGCAGCCTGCGTTGCTCAGGAGGCCTGACTCTGGCCGAGGGTTGCATTTCCTATTTTAAAGGAAAGGGGATTTTCCTAAGTTGTCCCAGCCACCCATTGTTGATGTTCAGTGAGCCCTGGCATTAGGAAGTTGTTCATTGTTTCTCACTCAAATCCCTCCTGCTGAAGTGTTGGCCCTTTCCAGGAAGCTAGCCTTTCTCCCCTGGGATTAGCCTTCCAGAACTCCATTTTAGTGTCTCCTTCTCTCACCCTGCTCAGCCTGGCTCTGTCTCCCACTCCTCAGAATCCAGTTTATTCTGGATTATACCAGGAGGTGGCCTTCTGCTTTGGCCCCTTCTGGGATGCAAGGTAGACTTTGCCCTAGCCTGGCCCCTGACCTTCTCCTTGCCCTTGGCTCTTGCCTGGCCCAAGAGCACACCCCCAACCAAAACCTCATATCACCCCGTGAACCTGAGCTTATCCAGCCTGGCCCAGGGAGGGCCAGCCCACAACAAGATCCTTCCAGCCTGCAGCTCCAGGTTTTGGCCCATTGGCTAAGTAAGGACCTCTCCCCATGGGGGGTTCCTGGTGCACAGCCTGCCTGCTCCCTCCCTACATACTAGTTTATGTAAGGCCCCTGTCAACCTTTGTTTCTCTCACCATAGTTGGATAGAAATTTGGGTCTAGAAGGAGTCAGGGTCACCTAATCCAGTCCTGTCATTTTCCACATGGAAAAACTTTAATAAGCAAAAAAACTCACTGGCCATCACATTGTACTGCTGTGCTTTCATCTGTCACTCCATGCAGACCTAGACTTAACTTTACAAGGGAACCTTTGACTGTGGCAATTACCCCAGGTATAGTCTCCTCTGAACTGAGTTGTTTCAGAGTCAGAATTGGTAGTGACCTCTGAGCTCATCTCATCTAACCTCCCAATGCAGGAAATTCCCTCTACAGCATTCAGGCCAATAGGTCTGTCAGCCTCTGCTTAAATGCTCCTAATGACAGGAGCCTCATTACCATGCAAGACAGCTTTCTCCATTGGTGGCCACATCCCCAGTGGCTGGAGAGCAGACCTTACAATGACCTCAAATCCCCTGATGTGAAACCTTCCCCTGTGATTCCTTGTCTTTGCTTTTTTGGAGCCATCTAGGAGTGAAAGCCCAATTCTAGCACTCTCTGTCAATGTTTAAGGATGATGATATCACACTTGAGGAAACTGAGTCAAGACAGGGCTACTCCCAGTAGGAACAGGAGCCAGGAAACTCCATTAGGAATTTCTGTGATGCTGGAGGCTATAACATGACAGCCACCTCCAGTTTCGATAGGAGAGGGCTCTTCACTTTGACATGGCTCAGGAGTGAGCATGGTGCAGTGGGGAAGACGTGGGCTTTGGAATCAGACACAGCTAAGTTGAAACCCTGGTCTTTTATAAGCAGTGTGGTACTAAGCCTACTGCTTAACCTCCCTGAGCCTCAGTTTCTTCTTCTGATGGTTCTGTAAGGTAACGTATAAAACCCTGATGTCCTTCCGCACTGCCAGTGGGACCATTCTTACTGTTGTTCATGGTTGGAGGGAGGGCAGACAGCCTGCTGTAAATCCACCCTTCATTCAGTTCTGTCCACTGACATCGCAACCTGCCATCTCTCTGCAGCACTTCAGTGGGGAGTTTCCCGTCGGGAGAGAGCAGTGACCAGGGTCCCCGGACGCCCACCCAGCCTCTGTTGGAGTCTGGCTTCCGCTCAGGCAGCCTGGGACAGCCCAGCCCGTCTGCCCAGAGAAACTACCAGAGCTCTTCTCCTCTCCCGACTGTGGGCAGTAGCTACAGCAGCCCCGACTACTCACTTCAGCATTTCAGCTCCTCTCCGGAAAGCCAGGCTCGAGCTCAGTTCAGTGTGGCTGGCGTCCACACGGTGCCTGGGAGCCCTCAGGCGCGCCACAGAACAGTGGGCACCAACACTCCCCCTAGTCCTGGCTTCGGCTGGCGGGCCATCAATCCCAGCATGGCTGCCCCCAGCAGTCCCAGTTTGAGCCATCACCAGATGATGGGTCCACCAGGCACTGGCTTCCATGGTAGCACTGTCTCCAGCCCCCAGAGCAGTGCAGCGACCACCCCGGGGAGCCCCAGCCTGTGTCGGCACCCAGCAGGGGTCTACCAGGTTTCTGGCCTCCACAACAAAGTGGCCACCACCCCGGGGAGTCCCAGCCTGGGCCGGCACCCTGGGGCTCACCAAGGCAACCTGGCCTCCGGTCTTCATAGCAATGCAATAGCCAGCCCTGGAAGCCCCAGCCTGGGCCGTCACCTCGGAGGGTCTGGATCTGTGGTTCCCGGCAGCCCCTGCTTGGACCGGCATGTGGCCTATGGTGGCTATTCTACCCCGGAGGATCGGAGACCCACACTGTCCCGGCAGAGCAGTGCCTCTGGCTACCAGGCTCCTTCCACGCCCTCCTTCCCTGTCTCCCCTGCCTACTACCCTGGCCTGAGCAGCCCTGCCACCTCCCCGTCACCAGACTCCGCAGCCTTCCGGCAAGGGAGCCCAACACCAGCCTTGCCAGAGAAGCGAAGGATGTCAGTGGGAGACCGGGCAGGCAGCCTCCCCAACTATGCCACCATCAATGGGAAGGTGTCTTCGCCTGTCGCCAGCGGCATGTCCAGTCCCAGTGGGGGCAGCACCGTCTCCTTCTCCCACACTCTGCCCGACTTCTCCAAGTACTCCATGCCAGGTGGGCCTCTCCCCCTTCCATTTTCACCTCTCCTGCTGATGAAGTAAGTAGAAGAGTGAAATATCTATCCCAGTGTCTATTCTGACATTCTCTTGGCAGACGACCCTGGGTGAATCACTGACTTCTGGGACTTAGTTTCTTTATCCGTATAAAGAGAGTTGGAGGTATCCTTACGATACGTGTGCTGTGGTTGTGGATGCTGAGATGAGGATGTGGATACAGATGAGGATGATAAAAATCATAATGAATAGTATTACTGTTATGATTATCATCGTCCTCATAGCCATTACCACTCATTGAGCACATGCTGTGTGCCAGGCTCTGAGCTGAGTACTGTGTCATTTAAGCTTCTTGGCCACTTAGTAAAGTAGGTATTAATATTATTAACCCCAGTTTACAAACTGAGGCTTAGAGGCTCTGTCACTTGTCTAGTATCATACAGTCAAGAAATGGCAGAGCCAAGGCTTCCAATCCAGGCCACGCCACCCCAAAACTAATGGTCTTCAAGCATCACTGGAGTTGTCTTTATCATGTGTCCATATCTTGGGGGTCATATTTAGCATGACCTTGAAAACCTGCCTTCCAAACCTGGATCTCCATACCTTTGCCAGCCCCACAGTGCCACATCACTCCTCGTAGACCCAACTTCATCGAAACTCATGCAGGTTTGTGCAGTGAATTCTTCACTTATCGCCAGAACTTGCCACCTTTGCCTCTACTTAGAAAGCTCATTGTCTAAACACAAAGGCCAACTTTGAACTTGACTGTGTGCACAGTGGCCCTGGATGTTTGAGGCAGATTTAGAATGTTTTGGGCAGCCTCAGATGGGCCCCAGCTCCCTAGATTCTCCCGGCGTCACTCTCAGGTCCTGCCCTGAGCCTGCCAAGCCAGGACACCTAGAATGACCCTGCACTGCCTGTTTCCTGCCGCCCACCGGGGACATCTGGTTCCCAGCCCCTCTCCTTGAAGGATGCAAAACTTCTAGTAGCTGGGACACTTCCTGTTTCCCACCATCTTCCCTGCTTAAAATAGCCTTTGGAGTCAACACAGGAAGGCACGTGGGACTGCAGCCGCCTCTGACAGCTCGTTAAACAGGCCACGGCAGCAGTGGGGCCTGGGGCTTCAGACAGAGAAAGGCAGCCTGCAGCAGTTGCATGGCCCAGCTGCCTAACCCAGAGACCTTCCTTAGCACACGGCTGCCAGGAAAGGGAGCTGACCTCTCCCCTCACACTCGCCCGGAGACAGATCCCAGAAGCATAAGGGAGTGTAAATCATAGGTTGAAATTGACTAAGCACTGGAGACACAACTTGTGTCTCCTGATCTGCTCTCTTAACTTTGCAGTGTCTTTCATGCCAACTTCTGTCTCTGAAGACAGGAGAGGAAAAATGTGGAATCCTCATCTTTTTCTGTTCTCCCTCCCTTTTTGTGTTTTCTTTGGTGCCAAAAGCTGAAGGAAGAGGTTGAGAGTGAGGGCCGCACATCCTGATGCTTAGACAGGAAGATACAGTTTAGCTGGTCCTAAACTGACTGCTAGGGCCTCTTACCAAGGTCACCATCTGTGTGACTTGGGCAAGTCACTTCTCATCCCTGAATTCCTCCTTTTATGTAAAATTAGGCAGTTGGACTGTGTCCTGTCTGAGCTCCCTCCAGAATCTAATGTTCTATGACAAATTCCCAAGGTCTGCAGAGTCTGGGCATGGGTGTGTGTGGGGGTGCTGTCTGCCTGAGAAGTGGGGTGCCTGACATGCAGTAGATGGCCTCTAGATTCTAGGCCAGCCATCACCTGTTTGATCCAAAGAGAAGTGATTTTTTTTTTGTTCTATGTGATGCAGAACATAGGCCTTCCCTGTGGAAAGTGAGGAGAGGCCTGGGGAAAAGGGGGAAGAAATGGATCTTTCTGCCCTCATCTTCATGGTGGGTATGCTGAAGTTGAGAAACTGAACCTGTGGAGAAAGGTTCTAGAAGCAAGTGTTTTAGGCCATGGGAGAAAAGCTGTAGGAAGGCTTTAGTCACAGTCTTCTAGGGAAAGGGGGACACGGGGTGGAGGAAGGCTTTCAGTGGGCTCTGTGGGAATGCAGTGCCAGGCCCTCCACCAGGAGGTGGCTCAGCCACCCAGATGGCGGGCAGGGGATAGGGGATGGATGAGGAGGCCGAAGGTCCCTTCCACTGTGTTCGCATGGTGTTCGAGGACATCAGCTTTTGATGTCAGTTTCCTGGGGCTGCCATAACAAAGGACCATGTGCTTAGTGGCTTATAAATGACAGAAATATGTTCTCTCACAGTTCTGGAGGCTAGAAGTCCAAAATCAAGGTGTTGGCAAGGTTGGCTCCTTCCTGATGTTCTAGGGGAGAATCTGTCCCAGGCCTCTCTCCCAGTTTCTTGTGGCTGCCAGCATCCTTGGTGTCCCTTGGCATGTAGACGCATCACCCCAGTCTCTGCCTGCACCTTCCATGGTGCTCTCCCCTGTGTGTATCTCTGTCTCCTCTCCTTGTAAGGACACCAGGCATACAGGCATACTGGATTAAGGCTCACCCTAATCCTGTGTGACCTCATCTTAATTTGTCTACATCTGCAAAGACCCTATTTCCAAATAAGGTCAAATTCACAAGCACTGGGGGCCAGGACTTTGATGTATGTTTTGGGTGAACACAATTTAACCCATAACACTTTCTTCCCTTCTCCTGCTTTAGACAACAGCCCGGAGACGCGGGCTAAAGTGAAGTTTGTCCAGGACACTTCTAAGTATTGGTACAAGCCTGAGATCTCCAGGGAGCAGGGTGAGTGCTGGGCTCTGTGGTGCATCAGAGGCCATAGCTGGCTGAGGCCTGCTGTGTCTTCCCTGGGCAAGGAACAGAGGCAAATTCAGTCCTCTTTGTAGCAGGGGGTCATCACAGAGGGGGCTGGGGTTGAAGCTGGACAGTAGGAAGCACTTCCTGCAGTGAAGTGTGGGAACACAGAAGCAGTAGTTGTAGACACCTCTTGGAAGGGTTCTTAAAAACAGCAAAGCCTTGGTTTTCCTGGGCAAAGTAAAAGGTCTGCTAAGATAATATGAAACCTTAGCTCTCTGTCTGCCTGATGTGGGAGGTTTTTGCATTTTACAGGGAGAGAGAACAAAGTTGGGAATAGGGGAATGATTCTCAGGGGAAGGCTGGGTGTGGGACAGGGGTCAGCAACGGCAGCCCATGGGTCAAATCTGGATGCTGCCTGCTTTTGTAAATGAAGTTTTACTGGGGCGCCCCCACACCTGCTGGCTTGCATCCTCCCTGTGCTGCTGTCCTGCTGCAGTGGCAGAGTGGAGTAGTTGTAGCAGAGGCTGCATGGCCTGCGAAGCCTGAAATATTTACTCTCCGGCCATTTACAGAGTAAGTTTGCCAGCCAGGTGTGGTGGTGCACACCTATAATCCCAGCACTTCAGGAGGCCAAGGCAGGGGGATCACTTGGGGCCAGGAGTTCGAGACCAGCCAGGGCAACATAGTGAGATCCTGAATCTACAAAAAACAAAAAGAAAATGAGCCAGGCAAAATGGCACACACTGAATAGTGGCCTGTGGTCCCAGCTACTGGAGAGGCTGAGGTGGGAGGATCACTTGAGCCCAGGAGGTTGAGGCTGCAGTGAGCCATGATTGTGCCACTGCATGCCAGCCTGAGTGACAGAGTGAGGCCCGGTCTCACAAAAACAAACATAAAAACCCAACAGAATAAGTTTGCCAACCTGAGTACAGGAAGACCCGTAGGAGTAGTTAAATTTTAACTTTAAAGAAAATTTGTCTCACCTAAGAAAGAACGAAGGTCGGTAGGCTCAATGAGACTTAAGTAAAACTAGCGCCACCGAGGTCTTGCTTCCTCCTCTCTCCTTGTCCCTTCCCCATGCAGCCATCGCGCTCCTCAAGGACCAGGAGCCGGGGGCCTTCATCATCCGCGACAGTCACTCCTTCCGAGGCGCGTACGGGCTGGCCATGAAGGTGTCTTCGCCACCTCCAACCATCATGCAGCAGAATAAAAAAGGTAACCTCATCTCCCAGAATGGGGCTCAGGACCAGGTGAGCTTTACAGTCGCTAAACCTGGAGGTGCTGGAGGGACCCAGGGTGCTGGGCAGGACCTTAACTCCCATCAGGCTCTTCGGAAGAGGGTGTCTTGGGCTTGGTGATGGTTGAGGTCAGAGATTGGGAAAGCAGGACGATTGGGTGCCTGCCATGTGTTTCCTGAGGGGTGGGAGAGCAGCAGTGGGCTCTGCAGTCCATGGGGCTCCAGCCACGTTCTCTCTTCAGTCATTTCTCCCATCTTGGCCCCGCACACTGCGGAAGTTTTGAAGCAGTCTTGGGAGGTGGTGGGAGGAAGCCATGGGCAGGGACTGAGCCTTATTTCTTTCTCTTTGTCCCAGGAGACATGACCCATGAGCTGGTCAGGCATTTTCTGATAGAGACTGGCCCCAGAGGAGTCAAGCTCAAGGGCTGCCCCAATGAGCCAAACTTCGGTGAGCTGTCCCCCTGCCCCCATCTCTACAGTCTGGCCTGAGTCTTGGTCCTGTCCTGGGTTCCTCCAGGGGTCTGACCCCAAGTTCTTTCTGACAGGCTCTGCCAGTCACCCTTGTCATAAATTCAGCAGAGAAAATGAATGAAAGCTTCTCTCCCTCCGCAGTGCGGCTCCTAACTCTGCCAAACTGCAGTCTGTGTTTGTCCGACCCAGCTGGGACTTGTTATCATTATAACTGGAGTAACAATGGTAAAATCAGCTGCCTTAATTGACCACCTACCATGTGAATGTCACAGTCTCAGCACCTTCTATCACATCTGGCCTCACAACCATCCTGTTTGGTAGGGGTCATCCTCCCTAATAGGGAGGAATTGACACATGAAAAAACGAGAGTCATCAAAGTTACATTTACCTGAGAACCAACAGGTGAGAAGTGACTGAGCTGGGATTGGATCCCACAATTCTCTGATCCTTCTGCCCTGTTCTCAGAGGAGCCCCAGTAACTGGGGTGCATTAGGAGCGATGTTAGGAGGAACTTTCTGCAAAGGAAAGTTGTTAGGTAACTTTATGACTGCGAGAGTGAACCTTGGGAATCTTCTCTGTTGGATCTTGTTCAACAAGAGGGTGTGAATTTTCAGCTTTGGTGGTGGGTTGAGGTAGAGGTAATAAAGAAGTGGAAGATTGTGTGTATCGGTGTAAGGGTAGAGGTGGAGGTTTCCCTTCTGGCTTCCAGTATCACTGCCCATGACATGCCGTCTGCCTCCCTACAGGATCGCTGTCTGCCCTGGTCTACCAGCACTCCATCATCCCATTGGCCCTGCCTTGCAAGCTGGTCATTCCAAACCGAGGTAGGAACGTGAGACTCCTGGCTCACCACCCACACCCTTGAGCTGGCCCTTGTCATGTCTTGATCCTGCCAGCCACTCCGGACATGGGCCAGGGCTGGAGGACACATGTCATTTTGCCAGTCTGGAGAAACTCAAAACTACTCTCCTTTTCTTCCTATTAAAAAAGAAGAAAAAATTTATGAAAAAGCTTGACTCCAGGAGCATACATAAATGGACTTGCCAGATTGTTCAGGAAAACTCTCCGTATGAAGAAATTCATATGGAATCCTCAGACCACGTCGTCCCAGGGATGACAGGAGACAGAAGTAGGGGACAGGAGACATGTCCTGGAGGATGAGATGGGCATCTGGGGAAGAGAGTGGGGAGGCAGACTGAGGTGTTGAGGGGTTGGTCTGGATGGAGAGGAGAGAGCAGCCTCAGGAAAGAGAAGGCGGTGCCTAAATGTCGCCAGACTTTCTAATCTGTGTGCTGGGAGGGTGTTCCCTGACTAAGGGGATGCTGAGCTGTTAGGGAAGAGCAAGTCCTGTTTTGATTGTGGGAAGTTGGAATGGACTCCAAGAGCATGAGGACATGCAGGATGAGAATTTGAGTGAGACGGCAGGGCTAGGGAAGGAGTGTTTAGCTTCTCTCATGGAGGCGCATCAGCCCTGGAGCGTGGCAGGTGGGCACCTAGAACTCCTCCCAGCATAGGCCTCTACTGCCCAGCCCTCAGCAACACAGGGCCCACCTGAGGGTCACTGGCCTCACCCGCAGTGCAAGGTCTCGGAACGGTCTGGGCTGCCTTCTCCCCACTCTGTCTGTTCAACAATAGGACCTTCAGAAGCGCTCCTAGGCTGTGGCCCTAGGATTTTTTTCTAGTCTTTCTTGGAGCTCCTGGGGCTATGCCCACACATAACACCGCCAGTATTTTTGGACAATTTCTACTTATCCAATTCAGTTCATTGAATTATTAATGGTAATGGACCAATATTATTAGCTTATAAGTTCAAATACAACTTAAATAGCACTATTAACCAATGACACAATTCAGACATGAATTGAATTATATTCCTATGGAATTCACCATTGTAGTTCAGCAATTAAAAAACTGTTTAATATTTAGATTGTATAAACCTGTTGTTTTCAAAGTATGGGCCTAGACCGGCAGTGTCAGCATATCCCAGGGACTTGTTAAAAAATGCAAATATTGGCTGGGCATGGTGGTTCATGCCTATAATTTCAGAATTTTGGGAGGCTGAGGTGGAAGGATTGCTCGAAGTGAGGCATTCAAGACCAGCCTGTAGAATATCAGAAGACCCTGTTTTTACAAAACAGTAAAAAAATTATCCAGGCATGGTGGCTCATGCCTGTAGTCCCAGCTACGCTGGAGGCTAATGTGGGATAATCTGCTAGAGCATGGGAGTTTGAGGCTGCAGTGAGCTGTGATCATGCCACTGCACTCCAGCCTGGGTGACAGAGCAGGATTCTGTTTCAAAAAAAAAAAAAAAATTATGTACCATGTACAATGTGATGTTTTGATAAATGCATACATTGTGGGTTACATCAATATGCTAATATATCCATCACTCAATTCTTATTAATATTGAAATTAGAGTTATGCTGGATCAATGGTTTAATGAATTAGGGGAATTAGGGGATTTATTGACCTACACAAAGATATATCAATGCAAAACAATAACAGCAATGCCAATTGTCACTTGAAGGCTTGCTTTATGTTAAGCACTGGCTAAGCTGTACATGGAGTCGCTCAAAAACCCAGTGACGTGGGTACCATGATCATCGTCTTTGTTTTATAGATACTTAGTAAGTGCTGGGGTGAGGGTTTGAGCCCAGTTCTGCTGGACTCCAGAGCTCACAACCAGTGTGCTGGCTGCTTAGAGCAATCATCAAACGTTCAGACTGAGCCTAACTCAGGGCTGACTGCCAGGGTCTGGTATGAAAAGCAGCGTTCCTTCTGCCAAAGAGTTGCAGAGCTCACCTTCAGCCCAGCCAAACTTGTGCTTCTTTCCAGCTCTAGGGTTTTAATTCCTACTGAATTTTTGTCTTAGACCCCACAGATGAATCGAAAGATAGCTCCGGCCCTGCCAACTCAACTGCAGACCTGCTGAAACAAGGGGCAGGTGAGTGGTCACCTGAAACTGTACCCATGCCCAGGCCTCTCTTTCTGCCTTCCTGCCCTGACCCCTCCTGCACGTGCAGGCTGGAGGTCTCTCCAGGCCCAAATGTCTCTGGGAAGATCACATTTCTATGTGCAGATGCCTTGGCTCAAGGCTAGCCTGAAATTTATCTGCTACCTTCTCCCTGAAGAATGGATCTGGGTTAATGTCCTCACCCACGCCAGCTCCCATGACTCCCCCTTGGGTTGGTTTCTTCCAGCCTGCAATGTGCTCTTCGTCAACTCTGTGGACATGGAGTCACTCACTGGGCCACAGGCCATCTCTAAAGCCACATCTGAGACGTTGGCTGCAGACCCCACGCCAGCTGCCACCATCGTTCACTTCAAAGTCTCTGCCCAGGGAATCACTCTGACTGACAACCAGAGAAAGTAAGACTCCCCTGCCTGCTCCTCGGTGGGGTTCTCCTTCCTGTGACTCATCTATTCATCCGTGTACCCACACATTTACCACTTGATTGATTCCTTGCACCCAACTGCTCATCTACCTTCTCATCCATCTATCTTGCATCTACCTCCCATCTACCCAGCTACTTATCCATCCATCCATCCATGCACCCATCCATGCACCCATCCATGCACCCATCCATCCATCCATCCATCCATCCATGCACCTATCCATCCATCCATCCATCCATCCATCCATCCATCCATGCATCCATCCATGCACCTATCCATCCATCCATCCATGCATCCATCCATGCATCCATCCATCCATCCATCCATCCATCCATGCATCCATCCATCCATCCATCCATCCATCCATCCATCCATCCATGCATCCATCCATCCATCCATCCATCCATCCATCCATCCATGCATCCATCCATCCATCCATCCATCCATGCATCCATCCATCCATCCATCCATCCATCCATGCATCCATCCATGCACCTATCCATCCATCCATCCATGCATCCATCCATCCATCCATCCATCCATGCATCCATCCATCCATCCATCCATCCATCCATCCATGCATCCATCCATCCATCCATCCATCCATCCATCCATGCCTCCATCCCTGCATTTATTCATCCCTCATCTATCCCTTACCACCCGTTTTTCCCTTCATCCATCTGTATCTCCATTCATCTATCCATCCACCCATTCATCCATCCTTCTATGAGAATTTGCCAGCATTGGGTATACGGCTGTAAATACAACTGATAAAAAGGACCTGCTTTCTAGGAGCAGAGCCCGTCCACTTGGACTCTCTCCTAACAGTGTCCCTGGCCTCTTTGCTTCTTCTTCCAGCCCCTCCCCACATTTCCTATTCCTCAGTGCCAGTTTCTTCCTTCCCCAGCCCCTAGCATTTGGGATGATTCTATGGCACATCTGTCTCTGTACATTGCTTGGGTCACCAGTGTCAACAGCTCAGGCCATCTTGCTCATAAGAGAGAAGTTGTGTGGACCTGCGATAGCCACAGATGGTGGAAAGGTGGCCTGACCTGCTGGTGGAAGGAGGGGAAAAGCAGCCCCTTCAGCACTCATTCTCTGTTTATCTGATGTCTGTGCTGCAGGCTCTTTTTCAGACGCCACTACCCTCTCAACACTGTCACCTTCTGTGACCTGGATCCACAGGAAAGAAAGTAAGTCTCTTGTACACAGCTTCTCTCCCACACAGCTTTCTAACACTGACGTCTGTGTGGGTGCATGCATGTGCATGTGTGTGTGTGTGTGTGTGCATGTGCATACATTCTCCATTCAGCTGGAAGGTCTGCCCATGTGTGAGTAATCGTGTTGGGCATCTTTTGAGTCTTTCCCACTATAGATATGGAGACCCTCCCAGGGACTCAGTGCCCACTGCTACCCCCTCTGCCATGCCCTGACCTTGAATCTGCTTCTCCTCTCCATGATGGGGAGAGCCCCTCAGGAGGCAGGCTGCAGTGTTCTCTCGACCTTGAATGCATCTGTGTGATCTTGGGCAGCTCCTGTCCCTGGGGAATGGGGGAATGGGGGAATGAGGGGGGAATGGGGGGCAGCTCCTCTCCCCAGACCTTCCTGCAGAGGGTCTGGGCATGGGTGGGGCTGGGCTCTAGGGAGAAAGTACGATGATTTACCCTGAGCCCACTTTCTCTCCACAGGTGGATGAAAACAGAGGGTGGTGCCCCTGCTAAGTAAGTGTGACTTCTTACCCCTGCCCAGCAGGCTGGCCTTTGTACTTCACAGTGAGGGAAGCACGGGGCACATTTAGAAACCAGGGCTGGGGGTAGGGAAAGAGCAGCAAAAACCTTTGTGCCAAGGTCACTCAGCTTCCGAGTGAAGCTTGACCAGGCTTCCAGGCCTTTTGCCTTGTCCTGCCTCGAGGCCAGAGGCCCAGCGTCTGGTCCAGCTGCCTTCACTCTCCCAGGGTTAGAAGCAGCAGGGATGGCAGGAAGTGGACAGAAAACAGTCTTATTAGAAGCAATGGAAATGGGTCAGAGATTGCTTACATGATCTTTTCTGCCCCAATTCTAGCTGCCTTTATTTCTGCTCTTGCTTTTTTGGTGGGCTTTCCTGTGAGTCTTGTGGCCGAGCAAATCAGCCTTATCAGAATGTGGGAGCCCAGAAAGTCTGAATTCTGGGGATGGCCCTGGGACCTTCGGGTGGATTCCTCCATCCAGCAGACATGTCCTAGGGGCCTCCAAGGGACTCAGATCCTGCCTGGGTCTCTGACCCTGCCCTCAGGAGGCCCATTGGCACAGCAGATAAGACAGATGTCTAAATAGCACTAAGATGCTTCTGTGATTTTCAAACTGTATTCCAAGGATCCTAGCATCCTTGGATTGTACCTGATGTACAGAAGAGAGGGAAAGCTCTGCTGCTCCTTGCAGTTGTCTATCAGCAGTAACTAGGGTTTTTTCACAATCACAAAACCAAACAAAATATAGGCATAACCTGGGGTCTGAAGCTGACATGAGACTATCACCATGATCTGTCATCTACTTTTCACTTTGTCAGGATTATTCCAACAGCCCTATTATCCTCACTGATTGACTTTATAATAGGTAAATGTCGTGCTTTTGGATTGCTGTTTATAGCTGTAAAATACTGCTTTCACCTTTATATATGCAGACTTCATATAAGGTTGCTTTAGAAAAACAAAACGTTCAGTGTTAAAAAAATGACAGTTGCAAGGGAGGGAGAGGCAGCAAGAGAGTTCAGCTTACGTCTGGGGAGCTCATGCAGGAGAACACATCAGCACCTCAGAGAGGTGGAAAGAGCAGATATTTAAGGACGGGTCTTCAAAGACAGGTTCAATTTGGACAGGTCAAAATGAGAATGGGAGTAGGAGGGGCTATTTCAGGGGAGGGGCCTCATGGCCACCAGCCTGCAAGCTCCCCAAGGGAAGGGCCATGTCTGACACATGGGGAGGTGGTATATATTTGTTGAGTGAAGAAATGAGAGAATGGAGGCTGGAAGAGCAGAGGCAGGAGGAGGCTAGTGAGAATGCCTCAGTCCGAATGAATGGACTGACTAGTCTATCACATGGTCAGTGATGGTAGCTTAGGAGAGGCCATGTGGGATGGTGGGGTTCAGCCTTGTCCAGGCTTCATAGGGTCATCAGTGCTTTGAGTTCCTGCATTTCCCGTGTCTCTGCTGGCCAAGGCAGCAGGCTGGAACTTCCTGTTTGAAGGGGCTTGTGCTCACTCACCACAGGGCCCTGCGAGGGAAGAAGGTCAGGGACAGAAGGGAACTGGGCCCCCAAGCCTGGAAATCCCTCTTTTCCTCCTTCAGGAGCTGGTTTTGAGTTGAGCCTCCTGCTGAAGAAGCTTTGATGGGTGGGGCAGAGGCCACAGGGAGAGGCCAAGCAGGGCAGTGGGCTAACAGGGAATCATGACAGGGACGAGGTGAGGCCAGCCAGGGATCTCATGTGCAAAATTCAAGGAGATGTTAGATCTTGGGATCTTGCAAGCGCTTCCTCCTGCCCTTGCGGGCTGAGGCTTCTTGCCTGGATCTATTCCTTGTGGCAGATGACAGGACTGGGCTATTGCGGGAGCCTGGAAGCCACAGCTGAAAGAAATATCAGGGGAGGGCAGGCTCGGTGCTCCAGTCAGGTGCAGTTGCCGGGTCTCCATCCTGGTAGACACCCGCAGCCAGGGCTGGCATGCTTCCTCCCTCTGCCAGGATCACCCCCACCCCTGCTCATGGTCTGAGCCAGCTGGGAAAGGGAGGTGCTGGGGGATGCCCTGTGGACCCCAGCTCCCCCACCACCTGGGCATTACCCCAGGCCTTTGGCCCTGTTGCTCCTGGCCCCTGAAACAAGACTGGAGGAGCAGAGCTGTAGGAAATGCTGGATTATGTGTGTGTGTGTGTGTGTGTGTGTGGTGTGTGTATATGTTGTGTTTGCGTGTTGTGTGTGGTGTGTATATGTTGTGTATGTGTGTGGTCTGTATATGTATGTATGCATGGTTTGTGTGTGTGTGGTGTATGTGTGTGTGGTGGTGTGTGGTGTGTATGTGTGGTGGTATGTGTGGTGTGTGCAGTGGTGTGTGTGTGGTGTATGCATGTGGTGATGTGTGTGATGGTGTGTATGTGTGTGGTGATATGTGTGTTGTGTGTGTGTGATGTGTGTGGGTGTGATGGTGTGTATGTGTGTGGTGTGTGTGGTGTGTGGTGGTGTGTGTTGTGTGTGTGGTGTGTGTGGTGGTGTGTGTGGTGTGTGGTGGTGTGTGTGGTGTGTGTGGTGTGTGTGGTGTGTGTGGTGGTGTGTGTGGTGTGTGTGTGGTGTGTGTGGTGTGTGTGGTGGTGTGTGTGATGGTGTGTATGTGTGTGGTGCATGTGTGTGGTGGTTTGTACACACAGGCACACAGGGACCAGCAGAATCCCCCTTTGCTAACTTCAGCTGCCGTGGTCCTGCGGTAGGGAGAGGGGTTTTCATAGGAATCTCCAGCTGTCCTCATTTCCCCATCTCGCTCTAATTAGCAACATGCTGGCTGGGAGGGGACCTGAGCTCACATTCTGTTCTCTGCCCTCATATTTTTAACTCTGTTTTGCGAAGAGAATGCTGGGTCACTCCAGTCCTGCGGGTGGGGGTGGGGAACGGGTGTGGGGTCCACCTTCCCTTTTATTTTCTGGCTTCCAAGGTTCTTGAGCCCAGGAAGAATAAGTGTGTGTGTGTGGAGGGGTGTGAGCTACTTGACCTTTGTCTCCCTGACCTTGTGGTGTCTGAGGAGGCTGAGCCGTTTGCAGGCAGACAGCACTTTCCTGATTGGCATATGTGTTGTGTGTAAGAACAGTCAGTAGGGGTAGGGCTGGGATGGGCGGGGAGAGGCCTGTCTAGGAATGTTCCCATTTTATTTTGGTCTCCTCCCCACCCCTCACTATCCAGCCTTGTCAATCCTCTGCAGCTCCCCTCGCACCCCTTCAAAGGGGATTTCTGCCCACCCTTAAACAAGGTGGGACACTGTCTCTAGGACTTGGCTTGTGGTCAGGGGAGTGCACAGAGGATTCTCTTCTGCACCTCTCTGAGTCCCTGATGCTGAGGCCTGCTGGAGGGATGGGGAAGAGAGGTTGGCCTGAGACCAGCTTGCTCACCTGGGCTGCTGTCCACCTCCTGGGGTTCCACTTGCCCTTCCCTCATGCCCGTTGCCCTCTCCCGCCTGCAGGCTCTTCGGCTTCGTGGCCCGGAAGCAGGGCAGCACCACGGACAACGCCTGCCACCTCTTTGCTGAGCTTGACCCCAACCAGCCGGCCTCTGCCATCGTCAACTTCGTCTCCAAGGTCATGCTGAATGCCGGCCAAAAGAGATGAACCCTGCCCCTTGCCCAGGGCCAGTGCCATGGGGAAGGGGCTTGTGGGGAGGGGACCCATGAATCCTGACCACTCTTGAACCCAGAAGGAGGACTTTGGGCCAATTTCGGAGGAGAGAAGAAAGTGCAACGTGGGGAGAGGGAAGTGAATTGCAGAGGGGAGGGGGAAAAGAGAGAGAGAGAGAGAGAGAGAGAGAGAGAGAAAGATGGAGGAGAAGAACTTGGATTCCCCTGGGTAGATGGAAACTGCAAAAACCCAAAGCCTCCAAAACTAACCAGGTCCACCTAACACCCCCTCCCTCCCCTAAGAAGATGGATGTCCTCAAAAGAGAAGGAACAAACCTCCTTGGGAATCCACATTTTTTGGGGGAATGGAAAAGCTCTGTCTCCCTAACTCAACTGCTTTGCAAGGGGAAATCAAGCTGGGAGAATCTTTTTCTGGCCACCTGTGGGGTAGGTTGTCAAACCAAACAGAGCCACCGTGGGACATCAAGTGGAAGAACTTGTTTGCTTGAAAGTATCTCAGACCCAAGGCACCTCAGGTCTCTTTGCTGTGCCTCCACTATATTGTCGTGTGGGTGTGTGTCTGCACCCACATCCTCACACATTGATCTAGATCTGCCTTTATCCACTCGAATTATAAACAGCTCGGCTTGTCCTTGTCCCATGTGTTTGTAGACACACATGCATACTGTCCAAAGATTAGGGTTGGTGGTGGCAGTGCAGCAGGGGAGGGACAAACAACCAAGCTATGGGTGACAGAGGCTCTCTCCTGGTGCCTGCACCTGCACTCTAGTGACCCTGGGTGCCGCCAGACCCTTCTCTTCTACAAAGACCCCAGCAGGAGTGGGAGGGTCTGCAATGGCATCGCCCTGTCCTGCCTTGGCCAGAAGCCTGGAGCTTTGGTTTGAGGAGGTAGAGATATGTGTATCCATAGGAAGAGATCTGTCAGAACAGGCAGCTGTTGAGCTCGGGGTGTCTTCCCCAAGGCATGTGGCTCAGCAGCAAGAAAGGCAAGTTGCTCCTGCTGGGGCCCTGGACTCTGCCTTAGCTCCCACCTCTCAGCCTTGTTATTGGGTTTCATGCCCCTGGACCAGCCTTATCTCAGACCTGCTTACCTGCATGATGCCTTTTTGGGGGCTGGGGATTGAGTCTTGCTGCTCTGCCCAGCCCTGTTCTATTCTGCAGGGTCCCTGTGTTGGAATTCTCCCTGGGGAACCTACTTTCTGCTCAGTGAGGCTCCGGCCAGAAACCTGGAGTCCTTATCCTCCCCTCTGTAAGTGTTTTAGGGTCTGGCTTTTGCAGGCACCCTCTGACCTCAGCAGAGCTCCTGGGCCTGCTGCCTGCACACCACATCGCCTACCTACAATGCCAAAGCCTCACTGTCACCCTTTCTGCCTTGGTTTCCCTAGCTGAGCCACGCTGCCCATGCAGCAGAGGGCAGAAGGCTTGCACTTGGGCCAAAGGGCCTAAGGTCCACTGGACAGTTGGGAAAACACCTGACCACCATTTAAGGACTCTAAGCCAGAATGGAAAATTCACCAGGACTCCATTCTTAAGCCTATGCGAGTCCCCTAGAGAGAGGCATTGTACTGATATATAAATATTATATAATATATACATGAGACATACTGACAGAATCTGTAAGCTAATAAAATGTAAGAAAAGGTTAAAAAAAGAATAGGTAAATTGACAAGAAGTATTTATTGTTTTTCCATATTGCTTTATTGCCTTCCTTGGGGATAAACCAATTCCTATCCTTTTTTATATGTGTAAGTAAAGCCTGAAGTGTAGGGGGCCTTTGTTCTTGAAGCAGCCAGGGTCTCCTTGCCCTGGCCTTGGCCTTCCCTAGACTGTGTGGGGCTCAGCATTGGGAGGGGTTGCACATGTCCCAGCCTTTGGCCCCCTTACTTTTCAGCAAGCCAGGGGCCCAGCAGTCAGCTCCCAGGATGTGTGGGGAGCTGTCCCTGACTCTGCAGGCCTGAGCGAGTGTGTGAGCATGCGGGGACATGGGTGTGTATGGCACACATAGGTGCGTGTGTGTCTTTTGTATTTTTTCTCCTCCAAGGAGCTGTGTCAGTGTGGACGTTCTGTTTCAGGGAGTTGGAAAGGAGGGTGTCTGCAGAAGGTGGAGAGCAGGGGCAGAGGCCCCACTGGCCACCCCCTGCTTCCCAGAGTGAAACCTTGTGCCTGGTGACCAAAGTCCCTCCAAAGTGCTCTTCCTTCTGGGTTATTCAAGCCAAATATCTGGGTTTCCCCCTCTCCTCATTCCCTAGCAAACCCCAATTATCTTCCAAGATAGGAGATATTTCCCATCCCCTTCCTTTGTAAATATCTCATCTCCCACTGGAGAGCCCAGGAGCCTATTCCTGGCATGGATGTTCTGTCCACACTTGAGGCTGGGCGGTGTATCAGACCCTTCAAGCAGCCTGGCTGGGGCCCAGGACTGAGTCTGGGGTCAGCTTTCACGGTCGCTTTTCCCTTCCTCACCACCCACCACAGCCCACCTTGCATGCATGGCCAGCCCCTCCACTCCAGCCTGAGCCATGTGTGCCCCTGCGGGAGGACCCATTCATGCCAGAAAGCTGGTAACTCCCTCCCAGCATCCCTGCGGAAGGAGTCAGTTTCTGAGAGTGTGACTTTTCAAGGCGAATGATGGGGAAGGGTTCCCCAGTCCCCACAGTGGCCCCACCTCTGGGCCCTGCACCAGAGCCCTTCTGTGTCACGGCGGGCTGTGCACCCATGCACACACCTACGCACACACAACACTCCGCACTGCAGTATATTCTTGCCAAAGATTTCCTTTAAAAGCAAGCACTTTTACTAATTATTATTTTGTAAATGTTTATCTTCTTCTGTCTTCTCCCTCCCTGAATCTATTTTACTGTTGTTTATTGTTGAATCTGTGTGTCAGCCAGGAGAGCGCTGTCTGGCCTTGAACATGGGCTGGGATGGGAAAGGGTCTGGGAGAAGATGGGCAACAAAGAGCCAGGGAGTCATGGACATCGCAGCGACGCAGACCCCAGCAGGTTCAGTCCCGTGCTGCCACCAGCTGTCCAGCTGGGTGTCTGGAGGGAAGAGGGCAGAGGAGGGTCATGTCCCTTCAGCTGGGGGAGGGGCCCAGTGAGCTCCACGTGGCTTTTTCCCAAAGGGAGCAAGAGGGAAGGATTGGGCGAGAAAACAATGGAGAGGGGACCTGCGAAGGAAAACAGGGAGGAAGTGAGCGGTTTGATCAGCCTGCTATCACGGTGTTCTGGCTCTCTTATTTAGCCAGGCGCTTAAGGGACAGATACATCACATCCTAAGTTTGGGAAAGGCCTTTGACCCATGTCATCTGAGCGTCTCCTCCAGTAGCTCTGAAAGCTGTGGACACCAATGGCCAGGATTCCTTCTCCCCTGGTTTTTGAGGATCCCTGGGTCTTCTGAGACTGGCCAGGAGAGGGATGGTGGGGCCAGTGGTTGTGTGAAAGCAGGAGGGGCAGCCCTCCTGGACAAGTGTGATCCCCCTATAAACGGCTCTCAGGAGGTTAGTGAGTAGGAGATTCTGCCTTGTTCTGATGAGCCTGTGCAGGGGCTCCAGGGGAGCATGCTGTCCAGGGGGCACAGAAGGGTGGTGAGTGTGATCAAATCTAGTCTCACTCCCACTTTTTAGTCTCACTCCTACTTTTGTCCACCACCCCTGCCTCCTGGATCTTCTCCCACTTTTTTTTTCAGCTTTAGGACCTGGGGAGATCCTGTGAGTCAAGGCAGACACCCAATCCTGCCCCCACACTCGGGGTCCTCCAAGAGGTTGGGGGGCAGAGTCCCAGAGCAGCCCTTTACCCCAGGTCCAGGCCCTGGAATCCTGAGACTCGCGTTTCCTTGGCCAGTGGTAACACAGGACGTGTGTGCGCATGTGCAAGTGTGGATGTATGTGTGTGCGTGTGTTTTGCTCATTTCTTTAGGGAACTTGGGAGTCGGGGTTGGAGGTGCTGGGCAATGGAACTTCAAATTCAATGTCGCCCAGCAGTGAGGGGAGTCGGGAGGTGAGGCCTGTAGGCCAACCAATTGGTGGAGTCTCAGCGATAGCCCAGGTGAGAAGTGGTTCACCCAGAGGGGCAGGGTGGGGGCCTCGGGCAGATCTGTCCCTCTTGGCACCTCTGTCCTCAAATGTCCAAAATGTTGGAGGACCTCTGTTCATATCCCACGCCTGGGCTCTTGCCAGCAGTGGAGTTACTGTAGAGGGATGTCCCAAGCTTGTTTTCCAATCAGTGTTAAGCTGTTTGAAACTCTCCTGTGTCTGTGTTTTGTTTGTGCGTGTGTGTGAGAGCACATCAGTGTGTGCAGGCTGTGTTTCCCCATTTCTCTCCTCCCTTCAGACCCATCATTGAGAACAAATGTAAGAAATCCCTTCCCACCACCCTCCCTGCCTCCCAGGCCCTCTGCGGGGGAAACAAGATCACCCAGCATCCTTCCCCACCCCAGCTGTGTATTTATATAGATGGAAATATACTTTATATTTTGTATCATCGTGCCTATAGCCGCTGCCACCGTGTATAAATCCTGGTGTATGCTCCTTATCCTGGACATGAATGTATTGTACACTGACGCGTCCCCACTCCTGTACAGCTGCTTTGTTTCTTTGCAATGCATTGTATGGCTTTATAAATGATAAAGTTAAAGAAAACTCTGTGCCGTTATCTATCTGTGTTGTTCGGACAGGGGTCTGCCATGTCTCTGGTGGGCAAAAAGGGGCCTCTCCAGAGATCCAGGTGGGCTTCAGCGATGCCTCTAGTGGACAGCTCAAATCCTCCCAGCGGCCTCCCCACCATCTGCGTGGTGGTTCTGGTTCCCTGTGTTTATTCATTTGGACTCTTTCAGCTGCAAGAGAAACTCAACTCAAACTTGTTTAAGAAAAAGATAAGTTTCTTGGCCCGAGTGACTGAGAAGGCCAGGCCTAGCTGCATTTAAGGGCTCAAATGGTAGAATCTGGAATTCATCCCCATCACTTGGTTCTGAGTTGGCTTAACTTTCAGGTAAGCTGTATCTGAGTGGCGGTGCCCCCAGATGCTCTGGGCTTCCATCCCACCAGCTCGGTAGCTCTAGGAGAAAGGGGGGCTCTTTTCTCCCAATGTTCTCAGCAAGAAACTGGGACATGCGATCATTGGCTGTGATCTGGATCCTGCCTGGCTCATATGATTAACTCGAAACCAATCATTCTATCCGGATCTGGGTCACGCAACTGCCTCTGGAGCCTTCTGAAACTACGGGGACTGAGAATGGGGAAGTGGTTGATCCCGGAAGGAGTGAGGTCTGTCAGAGACAGGGGGAACACGGGTTGTCAGGCAACATCTATTGGGGCCTGTGCCCATCAAGTGGCAAATGTGTGGTTCACTCGTGCACTAGGCCCAGGGCTCCTGGGCAAATTCTTTGGAATTCAGAAAGTTTGGGGGTGGGACCTATTGAGACATGCCTAGCACAGCACAGGGGTCTCTGGGAGATCCAAAATACTCAGTGACGTGGTGCTAGCTCTCCACTGAGCTCACCATGTGGCTGGAGGAGGCTCAGATCAGCTTATTTGAGCAGGTTTGTGCTGAGCCCCCTCAGTGACCCTCACGGTCCTCGTGTGGGCAGCCTTCTCAAGCTTTTGGGTCTTGGGATTCCTTTACATTCTTAAAATTATTCAGGACCCCAAAGGGCTTTTGTTTAGAAGGATTATATCTTTTGATCTTTTACCATAGTATAAATTAAAACTGAGAACATTAAAAATACTTAATTCACTTCCATAGTGATAAATTCATCACATGTTAATATAGAGAGCATTTTTGTGAGAAATAATATTTTCTAAAACAAAAAGCACTGGGTGAGAAGGTGACTTTGCTTTGCATTATTATTATTATTATTTTTGAGACGGGGTCTTGCTCTGTCGCCCAGGCTGGAGTGTAGTGGCACAATCATAGCTCGCTATGACTAGCCTCCACCTCCTGGGTTCAAGTGATCCTCCCACCTCAGCCCCCAAGGAGCTGGGACCACAGGTGTGCGCCACCACACCTGGCTAATTTTTTAATTTTTTTTTTTGTACAAAAGAGGTTTCACTATGCTGCTCAGGCTGGTCTCGAACTCCCGGGCTCAAGCAATCCTCTCTCCTTGGCCTCCCAAAGTGCTGGGATAACAGGCGTGAGCCACCATGTGCTTTGCAGTTTTTAAAGGCCTAATCATGTCTGGCTTAGCAGGAGATAGCTGGATTCTTATATAAGCTTCTGCATACAATCTGTTGCAATATCACCCATCATGGGCCTCTGGAAAACACTGTATACTTGTGGGAAAATGAGCAAAAAAAAGTCAAATAATGGCTTAATAGCATTATGAAAATGGTTTTGACCTCAACACTCCTGAAAGGGTCTCAGGGACCCCTGGGGTCCCCGGATCATACTTTGAAATCTGTTGCTATGAGGGATACAAGACACAGGAAACTCAGACCCTGTCCAAGGTGGAGACTGAACATGTCTTGCACCCTGCTCTCTGTTAGGTATCGTCATGCTGAGTCATCCCAACAAACCCATGAGGTAGGCGCTGTTATACACAGGGACAAGTAAGGAAACCGAGGCTCTGAGAGGTCACACAGTTTCTAGCTGGCAGAACTTGTACTCAGCATCACCACCACCGGTGAAGGCTGGCACTCAGCCAACACCTGCTACGTGCCAGAGAGCCTGTGCTAAGCACTTGGGTATCATTTCTCACGCACGTGCACCTGAGAGGTAAGGGCTATCCTTGTCCTCATTTCACAGTTGAAGAAACTGGAGTTCAAAGAGGTGAAGACACTTACTCAAAATCACAGAGTTGGGGTAAGTGGCCCAGCCAGGCTACGAACCCAGGTGAGCTGACTTCTCAGCCAGGCTCTTCCTAGCTCTTGCCTCTTTCTCTGCTCTCAGGGCTGGCTTCTGAGGGGAGAGACAGACTCTGATGAGCCATGGGCAAGTGGGAAGCCAAACTGATGTCACTGGTCAGATAGGGGGTCACGGGCTAGACTGTAGGCTGGCTTCCCAGGGTGTGGACCAGGGCTCCTGGGTGTGTGATGGGGGAGGTCAGGAGGTCATCCCCTGACACTGGCCAGCTGCAGAGGGATGTAGGTACCTCAGGGGTGGGCCTGGTACAGGGGAGGAGTGTCTGATGAGAGAGACAAGCTACGGCCTGTGAGCCGAGCTGATGCAGCTGGCCTTTCAGGGGACTCAGCAGTGAGGTGGCTGTGCTCTTGGTGCCTCAAGGAGGAGGAAGTGGATGGGGCAGCAGTGGAGGGCTCTGGTTGAGGAAGGGCAGCTCTTCTGACACACATTATCACACAGAATACCCAAAGGACCTTTGCATTTTCTTTCTTTCTTTTTTTCTTTTCTTTTCTTTCTTTCTTTTCTTTTTTTCTTTCGAGACAGAATCTCACTCCGTCACCCAGGAGGCTGGAGTGCAGTGGTGCGATCTCGGTTCACTGCAACCTCCGCCTCCCGGGTTCAAGTGATTCTTTTGCCTCAGCCTTCTGAGTAGCTGGTATTACAGGCACACGCCACCACTCCCGGCTAATTTTTGTATTTTTAGTAGAGATGGGGTTTCACCACGTTGGCCAGGCTGGTCTCGAACTCCAGACCTCAGGTGATCCACCCGTCTCAGTCTCCTAAAGTCCTGGGGTTACAGGCGTGAGCCACCGCTCCCAGTCGCCTTTGCATTTTCTATGCAGAGTGTGGCCCCTGTACCATCGGCATCGACATCACTTGGTGCTTACAGGAAAGACAGGACCTTTGGCCTCACCCTAGGCCTGCAGATCAGAATCTTCATGTTAGCCACATCCCCAGGAAATCTGCGTAAGTGCTGAAGTTTGAGCTGCTTGTGTGTGTATCTCATGCTGGGACTAGGCCAGGCTGACATGCTCAGCCCCGGGCTCTGCCTCAACACCACCTGAAACGTGAGGACCCAGTTTGGGTCTCCATGGGAGAGAAGCAGTCCTAGACCTCACCTTGGGGGCCTGCCTTATTGATGAGATTCTGGAATCTCTGCTGCCTGGGGCTGGCCGAGGCCAGGTAGGGACCAGTGCTGGTCCTGATGAGCAGGATAACTCTGGTTGCACCAGGCGTGCAGGGTGTGAAGAGAGTCCAGCCTTGGAAGAGGCAGGAACATCAACGGGGGCACAGGAGGGGCAGAGGGATGGCGGCTATCAGGCTCTCTCTTGTCCTCAAGCTCTGCTGGAAAGTGCTGAAGCCTGGGCCCCACCCCAGAGATTCGGAGTGGGTCAGTCTGAGGTCCAGCCTAGGCAGTGGGAATTTTAATCACTCCTGGGCAACTCTATGTGCAGCCCAGGCTGAAAGCCACTAGGAGCCCTCTCCTCAGATTGGCTTCTTCTAGATCAGGGGTGTGTGTGTAGGCCCATGGGCACCTGTGCTTGGACTGGTGGGGAGCTGAGGAGCGGAGGAAGTCACAGTGGGAAGAAGTCCCCTCTGGACTGGCTTAGATCCCGCCTCGCTTTTTTGGGGTGGGAGGATGCCATCCCCTCCCATCTGGAGTGGAGGCCACTGGTATTTTAAAAATTCCAGGCCTCAAATGTCCCTCCTCCTGCATCCTGTGGGCTAAGAGGGGAGGAGCCGTGGCCATATCTTCATGGGACTCACCTCCAGGGCCTGCGGAGCTGGGTGGGAGGGGACGCCTGGAAGAGGCTTTGCAGGCTGCTTCATTTCAGCTCCACAGGCTTCACAATACCTCCTGGGTGGTGGGGGTGGTGAAATGAAAGTCTGCCGTCCTCTTTTAAGAAACTGGTTTTACTGGGATTTTCCCTGTTAGTTGGTGAAAATGCCTATTTATTAGTGCTTAGTAATTTACAAGCAGTCAGAACATGGGAAGGATATGGCCCATTCTAAAAACACTGACAGTAGGTATAGGACTAAAGACACATCCCCTCACACACACAGAAGCACACGCAAGACATGCAGACACACATACGTGCACAGAGACACACAGACACACGTGCATACACATGCCCACACAGATGCACACAGACACACAGATGCACACACACAAGACATGCAGACACACATATGTACACACAGAGACACAGACACACATGCGCACACAGAGACACAAAGACACACGTGCAAACGCATGCCCACAGACACAGATGCACACACATAGACACACAGATGCACACACACAAGCACACATGCAGACACACAGATGCACACACATACAACATGCAGACTCACACATGGACACACAGAGACACGCAGACACACATATACCCAGGCACACACATAGACACATGTACACACACATGAACACATGCACACAGACACACAGATGCACACACATACAAGACATGCAGACACACACGGACACACAGAGACACCAGACACACATATACACATGCACACACAGATGCACACACATGAACACACATGCACAGAGACACACAGATGCACACACACACGATATGCAGACATACAGGCCCATACATACACACACAGACACACGTACACAAGAGACCTAGTCCCTCGGAATATGCTGCGTCTCCATGCAGGCATCTGCTTTCCTACCTCCTTCTCTCCAAGCATTCTGGTGTTCAGCTAACTGATGAGTCAGTCCCAGGGGTCATGGGGTCATCAGTGGGGCAGGGAGCTTCTCCCACAGTGAGCTGACCCCTGCCACACTAGTTAGCAGAAGGGCGTGATCAAAGGAGGGGAATGTCTCCATGAACTCTGCAGATCAGATCAGCTGCGGGGCCTGGTGCACACTGGATGTGGATGTGGGCAAGCTGGGGTGTGGTAGAAAAGGGTCAGGGCCTCAAGGAGCACCTGAAGGAGCTGAGACCTCGGCCTGGAGAAGAAGAGCTTCAGGGAGGTTGAGATGGGATGCTGGCCTCCGATGTTTGATGGCCTCCTCTCTGGAACAGTCAGCATTCTCTGGGCTCCCCATGTAATAGACGAGGGCCACAGGGAGGCCAGAGCGGGGAGGAGATGCTTGAAATGGAAAGGGGTGCTTTGGGAGGGGTGAGCTCCTGTACCTGGAAATGTTGGGCCCAGAGACTGCAAAAGGCCCTTTCGAGGCTCTGTCCTGGGTATGGCTGCTGGCACATGCCAGGAGACCACCTCATCCAGGTCAAGCCAAGAGGATAGGCATGGCTGGGCCCAAGTTTCCTTATCCGTCAAATGGGGTCACACCTATCCTGGAGGGCTGCATGACCACACAGCACCTAGCATGGTGCTCAGCTTACTGCTGGCCCTGCAGGGCATCGAGAAACATGAGCTTCCTTTCCTTTTCTGGTGGCTCTTGCCTTCTCCGCCATTTCCTTAGGCCTCTGGGGACACTTGGCAGCAGAAAAGGCTGGAGCAGAAAGCCTCTCACATGATATTGATCTGGCCGGCTCTGGACTCCAGACCACAGCGTGTGGGATGGTGGTACAACCGCCTCCATGGCTCCAGCTTTTATGGGGTTTGAAAGATCATTTCTGGCCATCGAGACAGGATGTCCATCTTCTGGGCCCCTCCTCTTAACCTCTGCTCCATTTCCTGACTCCCAGATCGGTTCTGGGAAACCCCCTTCCCAGGTCTGGCCCTGGGAAACCAAGGGGTGCCTGTAAGGTTGTCATTTCCCCACCCCGGCCCTCCCTCAGCCCCTCTTGCATTTGCAGAATCTGACCTGGCTGAACCATCACCCCTCCCTCCCTCAGGGGATTCTGGCTGGTTTAGGGTATCAGGAGCCAAGGCCACTGGGGCATGGGTAGGAGTCCTTGAGGAGAGCAAGAGACCACCAGGAGAAACGGAGCTTTAGCGCTCTGGAGACAGCAGGCCCAGCTTGGGGTAAGTCAATCAACCAATTAATTAACTGATTTGAAAGACACATACTGAGCACCTACTATGTACAGGCACTGTACTTGGCCCTGAGCACCAACAATGTGTTTGTTTGTCTCATGGCACTCCGGGTCTCGTGGGATCAGGAAAAACATATAAAGAATCAGCAAATATATAATCACAGTGTGATCGTGCACTGGAGCAAGGGTGCTTTATAGAGCAAGAGTTTCTAAATGGATCTGGATGCTCTGGGGAGAGCAGAGAAGGTGTCCCTTAGGAAGTGACATGTGCTGAATGTCAGAATCCAAAGGGTGAACAGGAGTTGGTCAGGCAAAGAGGGAAGAAAGGGTGTTTCAGGCAGAGGGAACAGCACATGCCGAGGCCCAGGGGCAGGAGAGTCTTCATGCCTCTGAACCCCACGTACACTCCCTTGATAGCACATTTCACAGTTGTAATTTGACATGAATTTGAAGGCAGGACAGACTCGTGGTTGAATGCACAGGCTATGATGTCAGACTACATGAGTTCAAATTCTGGCTCCATGCCTACTAGCTGTGTGACCTTGGGCAAGTTGCTTGACCCTGCTGTGCTTGTTTCCACATCTGTAAAATGTGGGGTGATAACAGTAACACCTAACTCAGAGGGTTGTAGGAGTTGATAATTTATGTAGGCAAAAACAGCTCAGACAGCACCTGGCAGGTAGTAAGTGCTCAGTAAATGTTAGCTATGCTTATTTATTTATGTGAACTTCTTTTTTTCTTTCTCCCTCACTAGACTGTAAAGTCTGCAAGAGCAAGGCTCCAGGTCTGTATGTGTGAAGTCCCAGCACAGTGTCTGGCCTGTGGAAGACCCTTGATCAATGTTTGTAGAGGGAGTGAGGGGACTGCAAGGTCAGTGTGGGCAAAGGGAGCCAGGGGGAGGTGGGGAGGGTTTGGGGAGGTGGGAGGGTTGGGGGAGGTGGGGAGGGTTGGGCTAGAGAGGCTGGGTAAGCTAGGCAGGGCTTTGCAGGCCACAGGAAGGGTTTGGTGTTTGTAGTTAGAGCAGTGGGAATGTTTGAAGATTCTGAATCAAGGGGGCAGGGGATCTGGTTGGTATTTTGTAAAGATGACTGGGCTGTCAGTTTCAACATCAACTGAACCCCAAGTATATGTCAATGTTATATTAGGTGCTTTGTTAAATGCTATTTCATTCATTTTATAAAATGATTGTGGGAAATAGGCAGACAGCTAAGAAAATGAAAGCTCAGAAGGATTAAGTAGTTTGCTCCAAATCTCATAGCTGGAAAGTGCTATAGAAATGGACTGAAGATCTCTTGTTTTTGTTTTTTATAGAGACAGGGTCTTGCTCCATTGCCCAGGCTGGAGTGCAGTGGTGCAATCATAGCTCACTGCAGCTTTGTCCTCCTGGGCTCAAGAAATTGTCCCACCTCAGCCCCCTGAATAGCTGGGACTTACAGGTGTGTGTCACGATGCCCAGCTAATTTTTTCAATTTTTTTTTTTTTGTAGCAGAGATGAGGTCTTGCTAGGTTGCCCAGGCTGGTCTTGAACTCCCAAGCTCAAGTGATCCTCCTGCCTCAGCCTCCCAAAGTGTTGAGATTACAGGCGTGAGCCACTGTACCTGGCTTGAAGATCTCTTTAGCTCTGTATCAGTTAGAATATTAGTGCAGCTTCTATAACAAAGACTTTGAATTACCAAACACTTAAATGTGGCCATTTGTTTTTGTCTTACTTGTATTATAGCTCTCCCCTATGAAATTAGTCAGGACCCCAGGGCCCTTCAATTTGATCGCCCTGCCATCCTCAATATGTGGTCCATTATGGTTGCTCCAGCTCCTGCCATTACAACTGCATTCTAGTCAGTGAAAAGCAGGAAAAGAGGAAGGAGAGGGCGTGCCCTTCTCTTTAAGGATGTGGTACATTTACAGTATATACATTGTTTCTGCTCAGATCACAATAGCCAGAACTGTCACATGGCCTCAACTAGCTGCTGGGAAATGCCATTTTTATACCTTGCAGCCATGAGTACAGCCATACTTCTGGGGAGTTATTAGTAAAGGAGGAGAGGAGAGTGGGTATTGGGAACAACTGGAAATTTCTGATTCATACTCCAACATGTGCTGGAGGGAAAGATTTAAGAGTTATATTAGATACCATATGGGGAGGGGGTAGCTGAACAGCTTGAGTCCCCCTCTTTCATGGGAAGGGGGGGATGTGTAGGGATGGGTACCAGGGGCCATGTCAGTGTATTGAGATATCTTGACCACTTCCTCCAGTCATACTGCAGACTGGTCCAGGGATGAGTTCGTGACTCAAGTTGGGTCAGTTCAAATGCCCCCCTTGGACTGGAGAAAGAGAATGAGAAAGGGTCTGGGGTTGGGGTGGGTGGCTGCATGGAGTTCTCAACATTATCTCCAGGGAGGTGACTGCCTCTCTGCATGGCCTCTGTCCTCGTGCTTACTCCTCTGCAAGGTCAATCTGTCCATTCCCCTGTATCTCGGGCACAGAGGACAAGGCCTGAGGCTGCAGGGCAGAGCTTTCTATGCTCCATGTGTGGAGTCTAGAGACTGCAGAAAGAGCAGCTTAACTCACAGGGCCACCCAGACTAGACGGTGGACATCTCTGAGGACAACAGACTGGATGACCAGGTGGGCCTGTCTCCAGGCCTTGGTGCTATCTAAGCTCCAAGTGTTAGATACAACCTAAAGTTTCTTGCTAGTGCTGCAGAGAGGGTTGTGTGATGTAGAAAATAGAGACATAGGAATATTGCTGTGCCTTTGCAGGCTGTGAGTCATCCTGACACAGAGGTACTGTAGACAGAGGAGAGTCGTGGGTGGAAGCAGGGGAACATTGCTGTGTAAGGAGAAGGGAAGGAGAGGAGGAGAAGGTCCTGTGAAGAAGACAGAGGTCTCAGAGAGGAAGGAGGAGGACCTAGAAGGGGTGGTGTTTTGATGGGGAAAGGAGCTTTTCTTCTTTTCTAGAAGGAAAGAATGGCTGGTCAACAGTCCAGCCACCACCTTAGGATCAAAGTTAGTGAGCCCCAGAAGAAGGACACTGAATTTGGCCACAAAGAAATCATCCTTGTCCTTTTCTTTGGGAAAAGAGCGACAGCATCAGTAGGGGGCAGGAGGCTGAGGAAGTGGCTTAGCACAGCGTCAGGCTCATGAAAGTCTCACGAGATTTGTAGAGTTGGTGAACTGATGAGTGAATAGGAAGTAGAGACACAGCAAGTATAGACAGCTCGGAAGACCTTGACCCCCACCCACCCCAATCGACGTGTTTTCCTGGGCTTTACTCTTTGCTTCCGTTAGTCACTTTGGCCAAGGTTTCTCCTGCGTAGACGTCAGGATGGCGAGGACAGAGGCCAGGAAGGAAGGAGATGTGTCCCAGAAAGCTGAAGCCCCCTCCTGGGGCAGCCTTTTGGAAGGAGCTTCTGATACCTAACCTGGATCATTCCTGCTGCAGTATCAGCAGGTGTCAGCCGGGGAAGGAGAAGCCTTCTGTGAATGACAGTCCTTCAGATGACTAAAAACAGCTGAACTCTATCCCAAGCAGATATAAGAGAGGTGGAGATCAGGTGAGAGCCGCAGCTGGGTGGAATTCAGGGCAGCGTCAGCGTTCTGTGTGTGCCTGGTGCTGGGTTACAGCCGTCTCACTGCGCTTCCTCTTCTCCGATTCCTGCTCCAGGATCTCACCCTCCCCAGCCTCTAATAACCCCAAATCCTGGATTGGTGTTTGGGAGACCGTGGCTGGCCAGGTAAACAGGGCAGGCCGGGAGCAACAGCAGACACTGGAGGGAGGGAGTCGGGCCCTCCTCTGGATGAGTATTTGGGACCGGCAGGAAGGGCAGGTGGGGGAGGCTGAGTTCGAGGTTTCCCCCTTGGGGTCTCCTCTCTCCTGTTTCCAGTCTCCCCCGTCTCCCTTTTCAGCGCCTCCTCCCTTCCAGCCCATCCTGTCTGCATTTGCCCTCTGCCTTCCCTCCTCTCTGTCCCTCCGTTTCCCATCTCATCTGCCTTCTGTCTCCCAGGCAGCCTCCCCCAAGGCCCCACCCCGCTGAGGCACCTGTAGGCAGGGTTTCGGCAGGAGCTGCTGCCAGTGGTCCTCAGGGGAGGATGGACCTCCCTTTTCAAGAACTTCTGAAAACAGGAGGGGCCTAAACTTGGACTGGGGAGAGCTAAGGGAGGACTTTGGGATGTCCATACAGGCAGGGATTCTGTGACCCTTTGGTTTTCTTCTCCCCCGCCAGTTAAGGCAGAGCTGCCACGGGCTACGGCTCCCTCTAGTGGCCAACTTGGGAACCGCAGCCACTCATTGCCTTTCCTGGAAGCGGTCACAGTGGGCAGTAGGCTGAATCAACTGTCCAAGGGCCTGAGAGGCACAATTAATAGACAGCTGGAAGCCGAGAGTCTTCAGGTACTTAGAGACAGGCTGATTATTAAAAGCTTCAGTACAGCGGTGAGGACGGAGACCCACAGTCTCTGTTCCCATTATCAATCATCCCTCGTGGCGGATTGGACCTGGCCCAGATTTTCTCAATCATTTCTCAATGACCACCACTCAGGCAGTCAGCAGTGGCAGGAGCCAGAGAGCTCCAGGGCTCCAGGGTGTGGCTCAGCAGAAGGGGCACTGGACACAACGGGGCCTAGGCAAGATCCTTCCCCTCTCAAAACCCCCATGTCCCGTTCTTTGGGCCTTTGGGACCTGGGTGTCTCTGGGCTGCCCTCTCACAGCCCTGCATAGCCCATGCCCTAGTGCTTGCTCGCTGAGTCTGCAAGGCCAACCTGTCCATTCCCCTGCAGCCGGCCTGCTGCTTGGCAGGGCAGGTGAGCGCCTCTCCTGTGGCAGACGGTGCAGTGTTCAGCTCCACTGGACCTTTCGGGTGATTTGACCTCTGGAAGTTCTATTCCACTCACTCTTGCTTCTCCCCTTCCAAGTGACTACATTCCTAGAGGTTCTAGCACCTGCGGAGATGGAAACAGCTGCTCCCCATCCTCCGGGATCTGGGTCAGAGAACCTGAAATGCAGGCATCTTTATTTCCCAGACTCAGTTATTAGACTTCCCTCTTTTTCAGAGTCAATGACCCCCACAAAAAGAGTGAGCATGAACATCAACCTTTCTCCAAGGACACCCAGGCTCTGATTTCACTGAACTACCCCAAGTCTCTATGAACGTGGAACTGAATCTGACTGATTGAAAGTAAAATTAAAAAGTAAATAGTCCTCTTTTCCCTAAAAGGAGTGGTAGTGGGTGCTTCTGCAGAGGTAGGATCAAAGCACTGAGAAGCCTATTAGAAAACAAGGACAGTAAAACACTCTCTTTTACCTGCAGGCAGAACATGGGGGCAGAGTGCCCAGGCAGAGCAGGATTTGCCTTCACATCCATCCAATATGGGCCCAAGTGTCAGCTTTGCTAGTTTCTCACTTATGTGATCCCGGACAAATTATTTGACCTCTTGTTGCCTCAGTTTCTTCGTCTATAAAATGGGCCAGTAATAACTAGCTGACAAAGTTATGTGGATATTCACAATTCTGTGTATAGAATGCCGAGCACAGTGCTCATGTGACATGGTGGGAGGCAAGTAACATTTACTGGCTGTCTATGATACTGTTGGGCCCTGCATGAGATGCACAGGATGTCACTTACAAAAAACTCAAAATGGTGGCCGTGATCACTCCCATTTCACAGATTAGAAAACCAAGGCTCGGAGAAGGTAAGTAACAACTCTGTTAGTAAGTGCTGCATAAGGATTCAAATCCATCTCTATCTGCTTCCAAAGACTTTGGGCTTATCCAGAATGGTGTAGATAGTGTGGGGGTAGGAGCATGCTGGGGTCCAGGTCTTGAGATGGTGAGAGGTGACAACGTGCTAGCAGCCCTCGCTCCCTCTCAGCACCTCCTTGGCCTCGGCGCCCACTCTGGCCGCGCTTGAGGAGCCCTTCAGCCTGCCCCTGCACTGTGGGAGCCCCACTCTGGGCTGGCCAAGGCTGCAGCCGGCTCCCTCTGCTTGTGGGGAGGTGTGGAGAGAGAGGCGCGGGCAGGAACCAGGGCTGCGCGCTGTGCTTGCGAGCCAGCGTGAGTTCTGGGTGGGCGGGGGCCCGCACTCGGAGCGACCAGCCAGTGCCGCTGGCCCTGGGCAGTGGGGGGCTTAGCACCTGGGCCAGCAGCTGCAGAGGGTGCGCTGGGTCCCCCAGCACTGCTGGCCTGCCCGTGTTGTGCTCCAATTCTCGCGGGGTCTCAGCTGCCTCCCCGAGGGGCAGGGCTCGGGACCTGCAGCCCACCATGCCTGAGCCTCCCCCGTCCTCCCTGCGCTCCCACCGGGCCCAAGCCTCCCCGACGGGCACCGCCCCCTGCTCCGTGGTGCCCGGTCCCATCGACCGCCCAAGGACTGAGGCGTGCAGGTGTGGGGCACGGGACTGGCAGGCAGCTTTGCCCACAGGCACGGCATTCACTAGGGGAAGCCAGCTGGGCTTCTGAGTCAGGTGGGGACTTGGAGAACTTTTATGTCTAGCTGGAGGATTGTATATGCACCAATCAGCACTCTGTGCCTTGCTCAGGGTTTGTGGATGCACCAATCAGCACTCTGTATCTAGCTTATCTGGTGGGGACTTGGAGAACTTTTATGTCTAGCTAAAGGATTATAAATACACCAATCAGTACTCTGTCTAGCTCAAGGTTTGTAAACACACCAATCAGCACTCTGTGTCTAGCTCAAGGTTTGTAAAGGCACCAATCAGTGCTGTGTCTAGCTAATCTAGTGGGGACTTGGAGAACTTTTACTTCTAGCTAGAGGATTGTAAATGCACCAATCAGCACTCTGTGTCTAGCTCAGGGATTGTAAATGCACCAATCAGCACCCTGTCAAAATGGACCAATCAGCTCTCTGTAAAATGGGCCAATCAGCAGGATGTAGGTGAGGGGTGGTCAGATAAGGGAATAAAAACAGGCTGCCCTAGCCAGCAGCAGCAACCCGCTCTCTGCTTCCACACTGTGGAAGCTTTGTTCTTTCGCTCTTTGCACTAAATCTTGCTGCTGCTCACTCTTTGAGTCCGCACCGCGTTTATAAGCTGTAACACCCACTGTGAAGGTCTGCAGCTTCACTCCTGAAGCCAGCGAGACCATGAACCCATCGGGAGGGAGGAACAACTCCAGATGCGCCGCCTTTAAGAACTGTAACACTCACTGCAAAAGTCTGCAGCTTCACTTCTGAAGCCAGTGAGACCACGAACCCACCAGTTGGAAGAAACTCAGGACACATCTGAACATCAGAAGGAACAAACTCTGGACACACCATGTTTAAGAAGTGTAACACTCACCGCTAGGGTCTGCGGCTTCAAGTGTACCAAGAACCCACCAATTTTGTACACAATGGCAGAAGTCATTGAGATCAGAGAAGAGTGGGACAAGAGGAGGGGTAGCAAGGACAGGCCTTAGAGAGAAGAGGCTCAGGGCCCGTGACATCCTGGTGACCAGCTGTCTCACTGTGCCCTTAGCAGGTGAGGCAACTGATAGTATTGGCTGGTCCAAAGATCCAGTGACAGAGAGTCTAGGACAGTCCCCCAAGAGGCAGACGAAGCTGGACAAGGGCTGCATTGGGAGGAATCCAGGCTGCACAGGGAAGCAGGACCTGAGAGGTAGCAGCACCACTTAGAAGTGGGGATGGTGGGAAGCTGAGGGCCAGCATGGGGCCTTCCTGATCAGCCCAGGGCTGGTGGAGCCCCCAGGATAGCACCAGGGAGTGGTCACCTCACTGGCTCTGGAGAGGCTGGGGATGTCCCTAGCTCAATAGGAGAGAACCTCGAGGGGACGGGTTGGGGGAAGGAGAAGCCTAGAACTTGAGTCAGCCAGATGCCCAGCTGTGGCCCATGAGGCCAATCACCTAGTGCAGGGCCCCCTCCTTCCTTTAGAAAGGGGAGTAGGGGGTCCACCTCCTTCGTATGTCCGCTCTGGTCCTGGGTCGAGCTGTTGGTTTTAGGGATGGCGGCTGTAGAGGCATTGGAAGGGGGATGTCGCCCTCTTGTGGTCGGATGGCTGTGGTGCAGAGGAAGTGCCCATTGCTGCCGCAGGCCTTCCCAGTTGATAGAACATTTGAACTTCTTTCACGTATCAGGCTCCCTTGGTGAGCGATGTCCCTGAGCCGGGGACACAGGAGGCAGAGGGATGGCTTTCTCCGGAGATACTGTGGGGCTCTAAGGGTCCCAGGCACACTGCAATAGCAGCAATGGTGGGGACTAGAAGAATGAAAGGACATGTAGTGAACTCCCAGCTCAAGCCAGGCCCTGGACCAGCCCTGGGGATGCAGGGATGAACAGGACACAGTCCATACCCTCCATGTCCATGCAGGAGACAGACAAGAGGCCAGGAACAATGATGTCCCCAATGCTGTGACGGAGGCACGGTGTTAGGGCCATCGTCATTTTTTCCCTCTGGAAGGATTCTTGAGTAATCCCCCGGCCTCTCTCCTCACCCGGCACCATCTTTTTCATGTCGGGCTGGGGAGTTGGAAGGAAAAATCCAGCAAATCGGCTAGCTCCTTCCATCTGCCCCTTCCCTCAGCCAGCCCCTACCCAGGACGTTGGCATCCCAGTCTCCTCTCTGCCACCCCCGAGGGGCCTGCCTGTGTGGGGGCCCTTGGTCATCCTGCACCGTTTGTCTCCGGGATGGGAGGGTAGAGCCACATTCTCCACTCAGCTCTATCACTAACGTTTTGATTTTCATCTCCCTGACTTTTGGCTGATATCTCAATTGTTTCTGAACTCAGGCACAGGAAGCCTCCTCCAAAGCCCCAGAACAGTGCTTCTCAACCAGAGGTGGTTTTGCTGCTCAGAGACCATTTGTCACAGTGTGGGGTGGGGAGGGGGCATAATATGGGCATCTACTGAGTAGAAGGTGAGAATGCAAAAAAAAATTCCTAAAAATGCACAAGACAGCCCCTCACATCAAGAATTATCTGACCCCAAAATGTCAAAAGTGATGAGGTTGATAAACTCTGACCTAAAGCATAGGGTGTTATGAGGAATTAAGTTAGAAGTACCTAATGCAGCCTTGTTGGGGGAAGGTTGTATGGAGTGGGAGTTCAACGAAGGCATCTGGAAAGAGATAATATCTGATTTAGGCTTTGAAGTGAAGATGAAGATTGCTACGTAGAGGAAGACGATTTTCAAAGTTGGACACATGGCAGACTATCCAGATAGTGTGAACAGAATGTGCCAAGGCGTGGAGAATGAGGGAGGGGCTATGGTCTGTCTGAATGAGACTGTATAGGACAGGAAATTAGGCTGTGGAGGTGGGCAGGGGCCAAGCATGAAAGGCGTTGCATACTTAACTATGGAATACGTTTTTATAAAGTATAAAACAAGCACAAAATGTGTTTAGAAAAGTGCATACGACACTAGTATATAGAAATGTAGAGTGCATTGAATTATCAATTATATGCGACTGTTTCCAGTTTTTGGCTATGATGAATCAGGGCTTATAAACAGTTTTGTACTTGTCTCTTGGCATTCATTTTTGTGAATTTTGCTTTGGGTATAATCCTAGTAAGGGAATGGCGGGGTCATGGGGCGTGCATATGTTCAATTTTAGTTGATATTGTCAAATAATTTCCCAAAGTTCTCGTAGGAATCTACAATCCTCCAATAGTGTAAGAGGATTCTCATTGTTCTATATCTTCACAACACTTAGTGTGGCCAGTTTAAAAAATTTATCTCTTCTGGAGTATGTGTAATGGCAGGGCTTTATTTTATTTTTATCATTTTATTTTTTTCAAAATAAGGTTTGTTGACATGTAATTTGCATACAGTAAAATTTCACCATTTTAAGTGTACAGTCTATAAATTTTTATTAGTATATACATTTGTTTAATAAAAATATATATTTTACCACCCCAAAGTTCCCTTATTCCTGTTTGTAGCCAATCCACTCCTGCCTCCTTTAGTAACTAGTAACTAGTGATATGTTTTCTGTCTTTATAGTTTTGCCTTTTCCAGAATGTCATGTGAATGAAATCATTAAGTATGTAGTATTTCCAGTTTGGCTTACTTTCACTTAGCAATATGTTTTTGAAATTAATCCACTTTGTTTCATGGATAATCAGATGGGTAATTTCAAAAGAGAGATGGAAACTACTAGAAAAATCAAATAAAAATGCTAGAAATAGAAAACACAGTAACAGAAATGAAGAATGCCTTTGATGGGCTTGTCAGTAGACTCAACATAGCTGAGAGAAGAATCAGTAAACTTGATGACAGTGTAGTAGAAATTATTCAAACTGAAACACAAAGGGCAATAAATTGTGAAAAAACAGAACAAAGCATCTAAGAACTGTAGGATAATATCAGTGGGCTAACATATGTGTAATTGGAATCCCAGAAGATGAGAGAGAGGGAAAGGGGAGGGGAGGGAAGAGAAAAGGAGGGAGAACTTGGACAAATTATAGTCAAGAATTTCCCCAAATTAGCAACAGATAGCACACCACAGGTTCCAGAAGCTCAGAGAACACCAAGTAGTAAAAAAACCAACCCCCTCCCCTAAAAGAAAAAATATGCTCAGCTTCTCAGTCCACCACTTCTGTCTCCCAGAATGGGCTGATGCATCTGGAGAAAATCAGATCCAAATGCCAGGCTCACCTCTTTGATCCCCTCCTGGATCTTGGTGTCCTCATTTTTCACTGTTTTGATAGCAACCTAAATATCTTCAAGTTGATGAAAAATGTTATATAGCTTTTCTTATTCTATTAAGCAGGAGAGCCAATTCAAATACTTAGTCTGCTGAAAGTACTGAAAATAAAAATCAAGGCAATCTTTTTTAGTTTTTTTTTTCTGGTTTTAGTTCATTGGGAATTACTGGTCTAATCTAACTAATAGGCTAAGACACATACATGATATGTCTTAGCTAAGATATATGTAATTTATATATAAAATTAGCTTTTGAACCCTTGTAGTAAAAGAAAATAATTTAGCTTCCTTATATTACTTTAACTCTTCCTCCTAATTTAAAGAATAAAAATATGAAAGTCTTTTTTTTTTTTTTTTTTGAGACAGGGTCTTGCTCTATCATCAAGACTGGAGTGCAGTAGTGTGATCATAGTTCACTGCAGCCTCAAACTCCTGGGCTCAAGCGATCCTCCCGACTCACAACCTCCTGGAATTTTTTGATGGTAAGAATAGTTGGCTATTTTTTTCATTTGAAATTTTGCATGTGGACCTCTATTTCTTGTTCATTCAACTCTATATACTCTTTCTTGATTTCTTTTGAAATTATGTATCAAAAACCAGGCATTGATTTTTCCTTTTACCTCTTTTTATCCCCTCCACCTGCATTCTTGAATTGGCTTTATTTTATTTTGTTTATTTATTTTGAGATAGACAATTGCTCTGTCACCCAGGCTGAAGTGCAGTGGCACAATCTCGGCTCACTGCAATCTCTGCCTCCCAGGTTCAAGCGATTCTTCTGCCTCAGCCTCCCAAGCAGCTGGGACTACAGGCACGTGCCACCATGCCTGGCTAATTTTTGTATTTTTAGTAGAGATGAGGTTTCATCATGTTGGCCAGGCTGGTCTCGAACTGCTGACCTCAAGTGATCCGGCTATCTTGGCCTCCCAAAGTGGTAGGATTACAGGCATGAGCACTGTGCCTGGCCTATTTATTTTTAAGTTAAACTTTTTATTTTGAGATATCGTAGATTCACATGTAGCTGCAATAAATAATACAGAGAAATCTCATGTATCCTTTACTCAGTTTTCCCCAGTGGTAGCATCTTGCAAAACTGTAGTACAATAACACAACCAGGATAATTACATTGATACAGCTGAGGTATAGAATAGTTCCATCACCACGAGTATCCTTTTTGTTGCTCTTTTATAACTTTGCCCACTTTTCTCCTACTTCTACACCCTCCTTAATCTATGGCCACTACTAATTTGTTCTCCATTTCTACAATTTTGTCATTTCAAGAACATTATATAACTGGAATCATACGGTAATCTTTCAGGATTGGTTGAATTGTGGTAGTTTGTGTTTTTCAAGGAATTGGCCCATTTGATGTAAGTTGTCAAATTTATATGTGTAGAGTTCATAGTATTTCCTTATTATCTTTTTGATGTCTGCAGAGTCTCTGATGATATTCCCTGTTTAATTTCTGATATTGATAATTCATGTCTTCTCTCTCTTTTTGTCAGTCCTGCTAGAATTTTGTCAATCGTATTGATCTTTTCAAATAATTTAATATTTATTTCATTGATTTTCTGTTTTTTGCTTCATTGATTTCTGCTGACATCTTTTTTTTAATTTTGATTATTTTGGGTTTATTTTGCTCTTTTTCTTCCTGGATTCTCAAGGTAGGTGCTTAGATTATTATCTGAGACTTTTCCTGTTTTCTAATGTATGTTTTTAGTGCTGTAAATTTTCCTCTCAGCAGTCTTTTAGTTGTTTCCACAAAATTTGACATTATATTTTCATTTTAATTTAGTTAAATATATATTTTAATTTCCCTTGATACTTTTTCTTTGACTCATGGGCTGTTTAGAAGAATGTTGTTTAGTTTTCAAGTGTTTGGACATTTTCCTGTTGTCTTTATGTTATTGATTTCTGGTTTGATTCCATCGTGGCTAGAAAATACACTCTGTATAATTTCAAGTCTTAAAAATCTATTGAAGTTTTTTTTTTTTTTTTTTAATGGTCCAGGATGTGGTCTACCTTGTTTTGTGAACATTTGAAAACAAAAGAGTATTTTGCTGTTGTTGCGTGCAGTGTTCCATAAATGTTGATTAGATCTTCTTGGTGAATATGCAGTTGCGTTATTCTATATTCTTGCTTATTTGCTGTCTAGTTTTTCTATTAATCGTTGAGAGAGGAGCATTAAAGTTTCCAACTATAATTGTGGACTTTTCTATTTATTTTTAATTCTATGAGTTTTTGCTTTACATATTTTGCAAGTCTGTTGTTTGGTGCTTGTACACTTAGGATTGCTAGGTCTTTTTGGTAGATTGACTTTTTTATCACTGTATAATGTCTCTTCCAGTTTCTGGTAATTTTCTTTGTTCTGGAGTCTGTTTTATATTATATAGCCACTACTTTTTCTGATTAATATTTATATGTATGATATATATGTTTTCATCCATTTACTTTCAATCTGACTGTATAATTATATTTGAAGTGAGTTTCTGGCAGCGTATAGTTGGGTCAGCATTTTTATTTCTCTTTGCCAATCTTCCTCTCTTAATTGGTGTATTTAGATCATTTACATTTTATTTATTTATTTTTTTGAGGTGGAGTCTCACTCTGTCACCAAGGCTGGGGTGCAATGGTGCAATCTCAGCTCACTGCAACCTCCGCCTCCTGGGTTGAAGTGATTCTCCTGCCTCAGCCTCCCAAGTAGTTGGGACTACAGGCACGTGCCACCACACCTGACTAATTTCTCGTATTTTTAGTAGAGACGGGGTTTCACCATGTTAGCCAGGATGGTCTCGATCTCCTGACCTCATAATCTGCCTGCCTCAGCCTCTCAAAGTGCTGGGATTACAGGCGTGAGCCTTCGTGCCCAGCCGACGGTTTACATTTATGTAATTATTGATATGTTAGGGCTTAAGTCTGTCATTTTAATTTTTGTTTTCTCTTTGTTTCTCTTCCTCTGTTTCTTTTTTCTGCCTTCCTGTGGGTTACTTAACATTTTTTAGAATTACATTTTTATTTCTCTACAGTGTTTTCGAGTGCACCTATTTGTATAGCTTTTTAAGTGATTGCCGTAGATATTATGTTATTGATGTGTGCCTTATAAAAGTATACTGGTGTCAACATTTTACCAGTCTGAGTGAAACGTAGAAACTTTTCCTCTCTTTATGTCCCTTTACCTTCCCACATTTAGAAGATAATTGTTTTAAATATTTCCTCCAGATACACTGAGAATTAAATTAGACAGCGGTATAATTTTTGCTTCAACTATGGAAAACTCAAGAGGAGAAGGAAGGTCTATTGTATTTAAGTATAATTTTTACTCCTGTTGTTTTTTCTTCCTTCTTGATGCTCCAAGAATTCTTTTATGATATCCGGTCTAGACAAGTTTCTTTAGCTATCCTTTCGGAGTAGATCTCCTGAGGCAAATTAGCTTTCCCCCAGCACCTTCATTCGGGAATGTCTTGGTTTCTTCTTCATTTCTGAATGATATTGTCATTAGGTACATGGTTTAGGGCTGTTAGTTCTTTTCTTTCAGCACTTGAAAAATATTGTGGCACTTCCTTCTGGTCTGTGTGGTTTCTAATGAGAAATCTGCTGTCACTCAAATAGTTTTACCCATGTAATATTTTTTGTTTGTTTTTAGCTTTCAGAAATTTGATTATGATGTGTCTTGGTGTAGAGTTTTTGGAGTTTATTACATTTGAAGTTTTCACAGCTTCTTGAATCTGTAGGTTTATGTTTTTGCTAAAAATTAGGAAGTTGTCAGCCATTATTTCTTTAAGTACTTTTTTGGCCTCACCCTCTTTCACCTCTTCTTTTGAACCTCTGATGACATAAATGTCGTGAATGTCAGATAGTTTATTATAGTCTCACAGGTCCCTGGAAGCTCTGTTAATTTTTTGTTTCTTTGAGACAGTGTCTCACTCTGTTGCCCAGGCTGGAGTGCAGTCGTGCAATTTCAGTTCACAGCAACCTCCGCCTCCCGGGTTCAAGTGACTCTGGTGCCTCAACCTCCCCAGTAGCTGGGATTACAGGTGCTCACCACCACACCCGACTAATTTTTGTATTTTTAGTAGAGACAGTGTTTCACCATGTTGACGAGGCTGGTCTCGAACCCCTGACCTCAAGTGATCTGCCTGCCTTGGCCTCCCAAAGTGCTGGGATTACAGGTGTGAGCCACTGTGCCCGGCCTTCATTTTTGTTTGCCGGGGGTGGGGTGGGGTGGGGAGGTCTATTTTCCCTCTATTATTCACACTGGGTAATTTTTATTATCCTATCTTCCAGTTCACTGATTTTTTTCCCCTCTGTCCCCTCTGTTCTGCTGCTGAGCCCATCTATTGAGTTTTAAAATGTTTGTTATTATATTTTTCAGTTCTAAAATTTCAATTTGTCTATTTCTCACATCTTCTATTTATTTACTGAGATGTTCTATTTTTTATATGTTCATAATTGCTCATTGAAGCATTTTTATAAAGGCTACTCTAAAACCTTTATCAGATAATTCTAACATCTTTTGGTGTTGGCATCTATGGATTATGTTTTTCATTCAGTTTGAGATTTTCCTGGTTTTTGGTATGATGAGTGATTTTTTAAATTGAAATCAAGACATTTTGGGTATTATGAGACTCTGGATCTTATTTAAATTGTATGTTTTAGCTGGCTTTTCCTGACATTGTCCCAGCAGAAGAAAGAGGGGTTGTCATTCAGTTATTGCCAGATAGGGCTAGAAATGCAGGGTTCCCATGCAGCTTCTGTTGACACCTAGGGGGGTGACTCCTCATTACCACTGGGTGGCATTGGGAATTCTTCCTCCCCACTGGGCCTCTGCACACACCTCCTGGGAGAGAAAGGGGTGCTTTATTACTGCTTCTCACAAGGCCTCCTCTGATACTGTGGGGGTGGAGCTTGTTAAGGTGGGGATGAAAGTTCCATCTCCCTATTTGTCCTTCTCTGACTAAACCCTAGGGGGGAGTAGTTTGGGGTGGTGAGGCTCCCCATTCAGTCCTTGCTGGTGTGTGGGAGAGTGGAGCCATAGATTTTTCTGTGGTGTGTGGCTACAGTAAAGCAGTTATCATCAAGGATTTTTTTTTGTCTTTCTAGACTGCCCATTTATTAATCATTTGGCTAAAGAAAGCAGAGGTTTGTTGGGACTTTTATTTGTGTCGACACCAGTTGGCGTTTCTGGTTGCTGGCTTCTTAAGCTCCAAGTCTGGGAATATGAGGCAAAAAGAAAATCCAGGGACGTCACCACTGTGTCATTCCTAGGGTCTAAAGTCCCTACTGGGTCTGCCCTCTTCTCACCTTTCGGAGTTTCTTATTTGGTGTGTGTATATATTCATTCCAGAGTTTTAGTCATAATTAATAGGGGAAATAGGGAAAAGTGCATCTGCTCTATTTTCTCAGAAGCAGAAAAGTCTAGCTTTATTTTTATTTTTAAAAACTTGCACATATATTTTGAAAAATAATTAAAGTGATACGAGCACATGCTGAATAAAAGTGCTGTAATGAAAGTCAAAAAGCTCTGAAGAACAGGTTACCTAATTTGCGGGTCCCAGTGCAAAATGAATAGGCAGGGCCCCTTGTGTAAAATGCCAGGAGAAAAAAATGCCATTAAAGATACTAAAATATAAAGCATTTTCCTTTCTTTCCTAGTTGTCATGGCATTTTAAAATTGGTATTCAATTTCATTCTAAGTACAAATAAAAAAATTATTTGTATGATAACATTCGTCTTTATATTGTGCAATGCCAGTTTTAAATGTAAATATAAGAATATTTAACTCACAAGTAAAATCACTTAAATTACACAATTATTTATAGCTCATACATTCAGTGGAAATGCTAACCCAAACAAATTCAACTGTTTTTATTTTATTTTATTTTATTTTATTTTTTATTTTTAACTGGTACAAAGTAATTGTACATATGAGGGGACTTCAAAAACTTCATGGAAAATGTGTATTATGAAAAAATGATGCATGAATTTCCAACTTTTTTGTACCAAAATGAACTCATACTAATTAGTTACAGCATGTCTAAACAGGATCTAGCTTGAGGCACTAAGAAGGATAAGGCCTCAGATTGACAAGAGCCCCTATCAGGGCAACATGAATTCTGCTACAATTAAAGCAAGAACAAACATATGTTTCTGGTGAAGCTTTGGTGAAAGAATGGTGAAGTCACTGATGCTTTACAAAAAGTTTATGGGGAAAATGCCCCAAAGAAATTGGCACTTTATAAATGGATAACTTGTTTTAAGAAGGGATAAGAAAATGTTGAAGATGAAGCCTGTAGAGGCAGACCATTCACATCAATTTGTGAGGAAAAAATTCATCTTGTTTGTGCCCTAATTGAAGAGGACTGATGATTAACAGCACAAACAATAGCCAACACCATTGCCATCTCAACTGGTTCAGCTTATGTAATTCTGACTAAAAAATTAAAGTCGAGCAAACTTTCTACTTGATGGGTGCCAAAACTTTTGTGCCCAGATTATCTGCAGATAAGAACACAACATTCAATGGAAATTTTAAACAAGTGGGATCATGATCCTGAAGCATTTCTTTGAAGACTTGTAACAGGAGATGAAACAGGGCTTTACCAGTATGATCCTGGTAGATGGCTTTACCAGTATGATCCTGAAGACAAAGCACAGTCAAAGCAATGGCTATCAAGAGGTGGAAGTGGTCCAGTCAAAGCGAAAGCAGACTGGTGGAGAGCAAAGGTAACGACAACAGGTTTTGGGAATGCTCAAGACATTTTGCTTGTTGACATTCTAGAGGGCCAAGGAGTGATAACATCTGCTTATTATGAGAATGTTTTGAGAAAGTTAGCCAAAGTTTTAGCAGAAAACCCCTGGGAAGGCTTCACTAGAGAGTTCTTCTCCACCGTGACATTTTTCTTATTACACAAGTGCAATTTTGCAAGTGTTTTGATGAGAAATCATTAGGCATCCACATTACAGTCCCGATTTGGCCCCTTCTGACTTCTTTTTGTTTCCTAATCTTAAAAATCTGTAGAGGGCATCCATTTTTCTCTGTTTAATAATGTAAAAAGACTGCATTGACATGGTTAAATTTCCAGGACCCTCAGTTCTTTAGAAATGTATTAAATGGCTGGTGTCATAGCTTACAAAAGTGTCTTGACTTTGGTAAAGTTTATGTGGAGAAATAAAGTGTATATTTTGATTCCATGTTTTCTCATAAGCTTTTTGGAGTCCCATTGTATTTATGGGGTACATGTGATATTTTGATACCTGCATACAGTGTGTAATGATTAAGTCGGGGTATTTAGGATATCCAACACCCCAAACATTTATTTCTTTTGTTGGGAACATTTCAAATCTTCTCTTCTAGCTGTTTTGAAATATGCAATAAATTATTATTAACTATAGTTAGCTGTCTGTGCCATCAAATTATAACCTATTTCTTCCATGTAATGATATGTTTGTACCCATTAAATAACATCTTTTCTTCTTCTACTCCCACCTTTCCCAGCCTCTGGTAACTATCATTCTACTTCCTACTTCCATGAGATCAATGTTTTAGCTTCCACATATCAGTAAGAACATGCAATATTTGTCTTTCTGTGTCTGGCTTTTTTCACTTAACATAATGACCTCCATTCTATCCACGTTGCTGAAAATGACACTATTTCATCATTTTTAATGACTGAATAGTATTCCATTGTGTATACAGACACCACATTTTCTTTATCTGTGCATCCTTTGAAGAATACTTAGGATGATTCCATATCTTGGCTCTTTGAATAGTGCTGCAATAAACATGGGGGTCCATGTATCCCTTTGATATACTGATTTCCTCTCTTTTGGTTAAATACCCAGTAGTGGGATTGCTGTTTTGTGTCACTGTTCTATTTTCAATTTTTTGAAAAACCTTCAAACTGTTTTCCATAATGGCTGTACTAATTTACATCCCCACCCACCAAAATGGATGAGTTCCATTTTCCCTGCATTCTTGCCAGCATTTGTTATTTCTTGTCTTTTTTGTAATAGCCATTCTAACTGGAGTGAGATGATACCTTATTGTGGTTTTGGTTTGCATTTTCCTAATGATAGTGGTGTTAGTTTAGTTCTTGATATGCACACATTCTACCAACGATGTCTATCTTAAGCTTACTAATGAGTAAGGAAGGACTAAAAGGAAAAAGAACAATGGATTTTCCTACTTCTCCCTTTCCTTCTATGCCATCATTTTTAGCCCAAATGGTTGGCTCACAAAGGAAAATAACATGAGTAAAAAAGAATATGATAGGATTCCTTGGTTGTTTGTGTCATTTGGAACACCATTTCCCTTTTTCTGAGTTCACAGCAGGTTCTGGTTCAAATAGAAAGCCTGGCCTACAAGGGCTATCAGTGCCCTGTTTGCCTAGTCATGGATGTTATACACTTACCTGCACTCCCTTTGATTCTCAAGTATTGTGCATCCACTGGATTATGTGCTCATGTGGCATTGCCAACAGCTCCATGTGCATAAAGCAGCAAGGATTAGCCAACAAGCTTATTTAGCATATCTGCTCACAAGCAGGCTCTATTGGTCCACTGGATTTCATTTAGACAACACAAGTTCAAAGGCAAAGTCATTAAGAATTTCACAACGTCGATAGCAGAACATTGAACTAGACATGGAGCCCTTTAAGTTCAGGGCCCTATGCAGCAGCACAGATCTCATGCCCACTAAGCTGATCTGGAGCTTCCTCATCCCAGGCGCATTATTCAGATGGAATTTTAACTTTCTATTTTAAAGTCTTGTTTGCTTGTGATTCTCTTTTCTATGATACATTTCTGTTCCTTAATGATCAGTTTTAGAGATTATCCAGCCATTTCCTGCTGTGACAGATGAGAATTAACTCACTTAAGCTCTTCCTTTCACCTACTGCTTTAGGAACTTTATATAAACATATTTTTATTTCTTGCACACAAATTATAAAAATATATCTTGAGTCCCCATTTTGTACATTTGAGGCTATTCAGGTTCATTTCCTTTACCTATTCTCTCCCTGTTCATATTCATGTTTTTTAATGTGTGCTTTTACTTAAACTGTATTCATTAGGCTATTAATAGGTGCTGAAACAAGTTTCAAACACAATAAAACTTTACTGATTGCTCACAAAACAGCACTGGCAAGCCATTCATTGATTTAGTCTGATGGAAGCTTTATGAATACAACCAAAAATCAATGCAGTTTCCATGGTAAGCATCTGCCTTTTGCCAAGCTGGAAAGGGCAAAGAGCATGGACCAGGGTACATGGGAGAGGTTTATGGACCAGGCCTGGAAGTGGCACTTGTCACTTCTCTCTCATTTCATTGGCTAGAACTGAGTTACATGGATACATTTTATTGCAAGGGAGTTTGGGAAATATAGTCCACTCAAGTGCCCAGGAAAAAGAGGAAAATAATTTTGGTTAAAAACTAGCAGTCTTTATCACTCTTATACTGTCAAATTAATAGCCTTTATATTCTCTTTGGTGATTTATTTATAGGTTGATTCTAAAAGCTGAAAATCAATATCCAGGTTCACATGAACAAAACTGCATGGTCCAGATTTTGGTACAGAGCAAAACCCACTCTAGCTAGTTTGAGAAGAAAGATGTTACGGTCCGAATGTGTCTTCCCAATATACCTAGGTTGCAATCTAATCCCCAGTGGGATGATACTAGGAGGAGAGGGCTTTGGGTGGTGTATTAGTCAGTTCTTGCACTGCTATAAAGAAATACCTGAAACTAGATAATTTATAATGAAAAGAGGCTTAATTGATTCAGTTCCACAGGCTGTACAGAAAGCATGGCTGGGGAGGCCTCAGGAAACTTACAAATGGTGGAAGGTGAAGGGGAGCAGGCATGTCTTATGTGGCTGGAGCAGGAGGAAGACAGCAAAGAGGGAGGTGCTACACACTTTTAAAAAAACAGATCTCATAAGAACTCACTCACTATCAAAGAGAATAGCAAGGGGGAAATCTGCCCCCATGATCCAATCAACTCCCACGAGGTTCCTCCTTCAACATTGGGGATTATAATTTGACATGAGATTTGGGTGGGAATACAACCCAAACCATATCAGGTGGTGACTAGGTCATGAGGGTAGAGCCCTCATTAATGGGTTTAGCACCCTTACAAAAAGAGGCCCCAGAGAGCTACCTTGCCCCTTTCACCATGTGAGGACACAGGAAGAAGGCACTGTCTGTGAACCAAGAAGTGGGCCCTCCCCATACACTGAATCTACTGGTGCCTTGATCTTGAACTTCCTAGCCTCCAGAGCTGTGAGAAATAAATTTCTGTTGTTATAAGCTACCCAGTCTATGGTATTTCATTATAGCACACCCAACTGACCAAGACAGAGGAATTTATTAAGTAGATTTCAACATTATCAGGAGGACTGAAAAAAGAGACTCTAGGTTGAGATTTTAGAAACCATTTCAGAAATAGTCCCTGTGACTCTTCCGCAGTCAGGGAGCTGCTATCTCAAAAATCACAATGCCAATCTGTGAATAGGGAGTTATTTTGACGAGGAAGTCATCATGGCTACTGTCTCTGGAATCATGCAGAGCTGCTCTGAAATGACCAGCAGGATGGGTGCTCCAATCCCTGCCTCAGCAGTCCTGAAGCTTGTGGCTAGATACTTGGACCTCTGTTAATGTTGCCACAGAAAAGCCAGCAATTCCACAGGATGCCAGCAGGAAACAGCACAAGCAGTAGAAACGTCACCTCCACCTTTGCCTCACGTTAGACTTCAAAAACCTTGAATGAATCTAGTTGGCAGCATATAAATTACATCTAAAACTCTAGCTACAATGGAATCTGGAAAATGTAGTTCTTAGTTTTCTAGGTTCTTCCATTCAGAAAAGCATACTAGAGAGAAGATGGGATGGAGACTGAGTGTCAACCCACCATAATGATTAAACTCCATTCCTTGGACTAACCATATTCTTTTATCCATGCTTAAACTGACAAACAACATTGATAACAACAAAAACATTTTCCCTTTTAATATAATACAATACTCTCTTATAGAGAAAAAACAAACTCACTATCTTCCCCAAAACAGATGAGACACCTGAAGTCCCATCAGTAATTACAACTATCACTTGGTGATGAGCCTTCCCTCTCTAGTTTCTATATAATTCCAACTGATATTTTGTAGCTCATGGATTACATTATAAAGTTATCCACCAAAACACATTCTATGAAAATGGTGGGGAAATGGAAAAAAAAAAAAACAAACAGAAAAGTAATTTTGTTTTGTTTTTTAAAAATAACGCAGGTTAAGAGTATAGGTGGCTGTTACATTCCTCATTTCTCTAACTGGTCACGAGATTGTAGTAATCATTTTGGTATTTATCTGGTGAAGTGACCAAAAACTTTATTCCTGAGGGTTTTGAATACTGTCTCTATTGGGTCACTGTATGTTCTATTCATTTTGCTAATAACTGAAGATGCTCCAAAGGATCCTTTGGGTTCTTGACACATTTTCCCCTGCTGCCACCCAAGATATAGCAACCTTAGTCCCCCTTTGCCTTTATCTGTTGATTAGTGGCATAAAAAGAAACAGGTTCCTAGTTCTTTGTTTAGTGGAACCATTTTTAGTTACCTAGGGGAAGAATTTCTCTTTTGGGCACTTATGTCTTGATGTCAGCTGAGCCCAGTGAATGGGAAAAAAAGTTTATAAGGGACCATTAGGTTTAATAGTGAGGGGCACCTCTCCTATTTCTCTCCCTTAGTTACTGAATACACACATTTTCGGCTATGAGAGCAAAAGAACCATATTATTAGTCTCCAGTTCTGAGTATATACTGCATGCTGCAAATGACACCCAACTCTCATAAGGTGTTGAGTGAGTCCAAATTGGAGCTGTGATTGAGCCTTCAACAGGTTTGTTCACTGTTCTATTACTCCACCTGCTTTGGGATGATGAGGTTCCATGATAAGACAAGTGTATGCTGTAGAAATAAGCCTATCATCCATTGCTTTAAAATTATTTTTCCTGGACAGAAACAATGTTGCAAGGGATTGGGAGGGTAATTCAAGTATTCGGAAAGTCCATAGATGCTGCTTTTAGTCAAACTACAACAGGCAGAGAAGACAAATGCATATTCCAGGAAATGTCTATTCCAGCAAGGGTAAATTGCTTCCTCCTCCATGATGGAAGGTGTCTAATAGGGTGGCTACATACTGTACTGGGCACTCAGTATTGGTCTCTGCAGCTGAGTACTCAGCAATAGTGGAAGCTGGATCAAGCTTAAAGGGAAATCCAAGCCCTTGTGTAACCTCCATCCCTGCTATTGTGGCCACGTTGTTAGTGAGCCCATTGAGCAAATACTGGGGTGTCTGGGTAAAGAGGTCAATGGAGATCCATTGAATAGGCCATCTTGTCTACCTGATTATTGGCCGCATTTGCACTTGGTAAGTGTGGTAGGCAGAATAATGGCCACCCCAAAGACGTCCATGTCCTAATCTTTGGAACCTGTGAATGTGTTAACTTACATGGCAAAGGAACTTTGCAGATGTGATTGAGTTAAGGACCCTGAGATGGGAAGATTATCACAAGAGTCCTTGTAAGAGGCAGGTAGGAGAGTAAGAGTCAGAGAAGGAGATGCAATGTTAGAAGCCAAGGTCAGAATGATGCAAATGCTGGCTTTGAAGATGGAAGAGAGCCATGAACCAAGGAATGCAGATAGCCTTTAGTAAGCTGAAAAAGGTAAGTGTATCAATTTTCTCCTAGAGCCTCCAGAAAGAAATGCAGCCCTGCTGGCACCTTGATTTTAACTCAGTGTGACCATTTAGACTCTGACTTCCAGAACTGTAAGAGAATACATTTGTGTTGTTTTAGGCTATTAAATTTGTGGTGGCAGCAATAGGAAGTGAATATAGTAATCATTGTCTTATTTCTGACTTTAACATCAATAGCTTCTGTAGTTCTCTATTCAAAACATTTTATCATGTCAAGGAAATATCCACACATTTCTATTTTATTTGCTTTTAAATTTAAATATCAAGAATGAGTGCAGAATCTGATCAAATGCTCCCCCAGAATGTATGGAGATAATCACGTTTTATTGTTTCTTAACATAATAAACTGTATTAATGGATTTTAAGGAGTTATCCTGGTATTCCTAGAATAATCCCACTTGATCCCATTTTTAATTTTTTGTGCTGAAATTTAAAAATATCATCTTTGAGGTGTAAATAACACCCAATAAGTTGAATTCACTTAAAGGGCACACTATTTTGTCAGTTGTATATAGCCACGAAACTACGACCATAATCAAGAGGCAAAACTTTTCCATCCGCCCCAAAAGATTCCTTATGTCCCATTACAGTACACCCTTCCCTCTACTCCGAGTCCCAGGTAACCACTGATTCTATTCCTTTACATGCTTCATTTTTTAAAGATTTTATATAAATGGAGTAATACTAGATATATGTCTGTGTGTATGTCTATCTATCCATCCATCCATCCATCCATATATACATTTCTGCCTTCTTTTCCTCTGCCTGATTTTGAGATTCTTCCATGCTTTTGTGTTTATCAGTAGTTTGTTCTGTTTTCTTGCTGAGTAGTATTCCTTTGTATAAATATACTATATTTTTTGCTTATTCATTCAGTTAAATGATGGATATTTAAGTTGGTTCCAGTGTTTTGGCTATTAAGAATAAAACTTCTGTGAACGTTTACATACAGAGCTTATTGTGGACAAATGCGTGGATTTCTCATGGGTAAATACCTAGAAATGGGCTGGTGGGGTCATATGGTAGGTGTATGTTAAAATTTTAGTGAAAGGTAAAAGATTTATGCAATCTGAAGAAAAACCAGAGTATGCTGTTTAACTTAAAAAAAAAATCCTGTCACTTCTTGGAAGTGGTTGTATCATTTCTCATTTCCACCAACAATGCATGAAGGTTCCAGTTGCTCCATATCCTCACTAACATTTGGTATTGTCAGTCTTTTTAATTTTAAACATTCTGCTGAGTGTGTTAAGAATCTTATCACAAGCTTTGGGTTTTTCTGCCTATCTTACTTTTATTTGTTTCTAATTTAATTTGGTTGTGGTTAGAGAAATATTCTGTATGATTTTAATTCTTTTAAATTTATTGAGACTTGTTTTGTGCCCAGACTATGGTAAATCTCAGCAAACACATAGTGCACACTTGAAATAAATGTGTATTCTGCAGTTGTTAGGTAGTGTTTTGTAACTATTAGTTAGGTCAACATGGCGAATATTATTATTCAGATTCCTGAATAATACCATTATTTTTATAGATCTTTACTGATGTTTCTGTCTAGTTGCTCTATCGCTTGCTGAGAGAGAGGTGTTAAAAACCTATTGTGATTATGGAATTTTCTATTTCTCCTTTTAATCCTGTCAATTTTCGTTTCATGTATTTTGAGGCTCTGTTGATAGATCTATACTCATTTACGGTTATTAAGTCTCATTGATAAATTGATCCTTTTGTCACTATAAAATTTCCCTCTTCATTTTTTGGTACTATTCTATCTTGAATTCTATTTTATCAGATATTTATATACCTAATCTAGCTCTCTTATGGTTTGCATAATATATCTTTTTGCATTCATTTAATTTGAACTTATTCCTATCTTTATATTTAAAGTGTGTTGGGTTATGTTTTTTATTGTTTATTTTTAAATGCATTTCTCTAACCTCTGTGTTTCCATTTGGATGTTGAGACCGTTAATAATTAATATAATTATTGATATGCTTAAACTTAGGTCTGCCATTTTGTTATTTGTTTTATGTTTGTGTCACTTATTTTTTGTTTCTCTTTTCCTGTTTTTCTGCTTTCTTCTGGATTGCTCAAGCATTTTTAAATTCATTTTATGTATTTATTAGTTTTTAATCTATACCTCTTTGTTTTTTTAAATTTTATTTTTGTCATTGTTCTAAGCATTACAACATATCCTTAACTTTTCTCAGTCTATTTAAGATTGCTATTGTACCACTTTACATAAAATATAGGCACCTTGTGACCATATAGATTAATTTATAACCTCACCTGCATTTATGTTACAGTTGTATTATATACATTATAAACTGGACAAGAGAATTTCACAATTTTTCCTTATTCATGTTTATTTGAAAGAAGTTATTAGAAAAATAGACTTTTATATTTACTCAGATTTATTCAGATATTCACTATTTCTGTTGGTCTCCATTCATTCCTAAAGATCTGGGTTTGCCTCTGTTATCATCTCTCATAAGCCAGAATTAATGGCTAGAACAAATTCATTTGCTTTTCTTTTATCTGCAAATGTATTTTGCTCTTACTTTTCAAGTTTAACTAGATATAAAATTCCATGTTGATAGTTTTCTTATTTCAGCACTTTAATGATGTTGTTCTCCAGTCTTCTGACCCCTGTGACATCTGAGGAGAAGTCTATGGTCATTTAAACTGTTGTTGTCCAAATAAAAATGTAACTTTTCATTTTTGTCTGGCTGCTTTCAAGATTCTCTCTTTTTCCTTGGGTCCAGTGGGTTGACCATGATGTAACCAATGAAGTTTTTATTTAAATATTTCCTGTTTGATATTTGCTGAGCTTCTTAATTTTTCACATTCCCATCTTTTATCAAACGTAGAGAGTTTCCAGACCTTTCCCTTTAAATGTTTTTTCTGCTCCATTCTCTTCCTCCTCTACTTTTGAAGTTATTCCACATGTCCTTGAGGTGCTCTTTTCCCCTTTTCTTCAGATTGGTTGATTTCCTTAAGTTCATTGATTCTTTCCTCTGTCATCTCCATTTTGCAAATAGGCCCATCCAGTGAATTTTATTTTAGATATTAAATTTTTCAGATAAAATCTCTTTTTGGTTATTTTATTTTTTTATTTCTCTGCTGAGATTTCTGATCTTTTCATTTATTTTGAGAAGGTTCCATTTACCCCATTGAGCATAGGTGACTGCTTTTAAAGTCTTTATCTGATCATTCCAACACCTGGTTCTTCTCAGGACTGAATCCCAGTTGGTTGCTTTTTCCCTTGAGAATGGTTCACACTTTTCTGGTTCTTTGTATGTCAATTATTTTGAATTGTATTCCAGACATTTTGAATGTTATGTTGTGGAGGCTCTGGAGTTTGTTATATTGTTCCAAATAGTGTTGATGTGTTGTTTTATGAAGCAATTAACTTGGGAGAGTCATACTTCAAAGTCTCTCTTGCCTGTAGTGTGTGGCAATTCAGACCTCAGTTCAGACTGCCTCCAGTCTGCCCTGTGCATACGTGTTTCAGGGGAGCCAGACTGGGCAGAGTTTATACACAGATTTTGGGATTCTTCCTCTTTGGTTTTCTCTTTTCTAGGGTATCCTCTCTCTTTGGCAGCTCTGGTTTCCCCAGTATCCTTTCTTTAGTTCCTTCAGGAAGAATGATGATATGCTTTTCTATGGGAGTTTCTGTTGCCAAGTACAACCACGACAGCTGCTGCTACTCACAGAGTCAAGTCACAAAACATGAAATTCACCCCACATCTGCCACTGCCTCCTCTCATTGATCGCTTTTCAATGACAGGGTAGTTGGCTTATTTTTTACTTTTAAATTTTTTCCCCAGAGATTGTAGTTGTCATTTACGGAAAGGTTGATTTGTTAGGTGTTTTACTCCTTCATATCAGAGGTAGAAATAGTGATGTTTTATTCTTAATGTGCTCATGATTTTTGCTAATTTTTCATTTCATATTTTGACATATATCTCCCTAAATGAGATTGATACAGAATTTTCTTTTGTGTGTGTTTGTGTGTGTGTTCACGTGCAGTCCTTGTCAAGTTATTTTTTTCTTTCTTTTTTTTTTTTTTCTTTTGCGACAGTTTTACTCTGTTTCCCAGGCTGGAGTGCAGTGGTATGATCACAGCTCACTGCAGCCTCAATCTCCCTGGGCTCAGTTAATCCTCCCATCTCAGCCTCCTGAGTAGCTGGGACTACAGGCGTGCATCACCATGCATGGCTAATTTTTCTATTTTTTGTAGAGATGGGGTTTCGCCATGTTGCCCAGGCTGGTCTAGAACTCCTAGGCTCAAGCGATCTGCCTGCCCTGGCCTCCCAAAGTGTTGGGATGACAGGCATGAGCCACCATGCCTGGACTCTTTCTCAAGTTTTGTTGTCAATATTATACAAACATCATAAAAAGAATTTGAAGGTTTTCCTTCTCTTTCCAATGCTCTGGAATAGTTTAAATAAACAGTATTAGAATCATCTGCTCTTTAAAACTTGGATATAATGTCTCTGTAACACTATGTAGGCTGTGAATTTTTACAGGGGAACTATTTTACTACTTCATTTCCTTTCTGAAAATTTGTTTATTTTGACTTTCACTTCTGAGGTTAATTGTAATAACTTATGAATTTTTAAAAAAATATTCATTTCTTCTAGGTTTGAAATCTGCTTGAGTTTTCAAATAACTCCTTATATTAATAGTTGTTTATGAGTTTTTTTCATGTTGATTTGAGTTCTCTGCAGAATCTAGACATTAATCCTTTATCAGAGGTATAGTTTGCAAATATTTTCTCCCATTCTTTAGGTTGTCTGTTTATTCTGTTGATTATTTCTTTTGCTGTGCAAAAGCTTTTTAGTTTAATTAGGTTCCATTTATTTATTTTTGTTTTTGTTGCATTTGCTCTTGGGATCTTTGTCATAAATTCTTTACCTAGGCCAATGTCCATAAGAGTTTTTCGTAGGGTTTCTGCTATAATTTTTATGTTTTCAAGTCTTAGATTTAAGTCTTTAATCCATCTTGAGATAATTTTTGTATGTGGTGAGAGATGGGGATCCAGTTTCACACTTCTATATGTGGCTATACAATTTTCCCAGGACTATTGAATAGAGTGTCCTTTCCTTAGTGTATGTTTTTGTCTTTGCTGAAGATCAAATAATTCCATTCAAAATGGGCAAATGACATGAACATACTTTTCTCAAAAGAAGATATACAAATGGCCAAGAAACGTGAAAAAATGCTCAACGTCACTAATCATTGGTGAAATGCAAATTAAAACCACAATGAGATACCATCTTACCCCAGCCATAATGTTTATTTTTAAAAAGTTAAAACTCGATAGATTTTGGTGTGGATGTGGTGAAAAGGGAACACTTACACACTGCTGGTGGGAATGTAAATTACTACAACCATTATGGAAAACAGTATGGTGATTTCTCAAATAACTAAAACTAGATCTACCATTCGATCCATTCCCGCTGGTGTAAATGCCTACATAACATAGCTGAATTTCTACCTGTCCTAACTCTGCTTATCTTTAAGAAACAGGACACCCGTGATAAAAAAGTTCCCTTTGTAACCACACCAGCTGAGATGGTTAGAACCAAGATAGACGACCAGTAACTTCAAAAATACCTCAGGCTTTATTATAATCACATTTCCATGCTAAACAATACTCCTACCAGGGCCATGATGGTTGACAGTCACCATGACAATAACCAGAAGAAGCCATAAAAGGGCAAAAACAAAGGCGGCATTCCACCTTTATGCTTTTTTTTTTTTTTTGACATGGAGTCTCCCTCTGTTGCCCAGGCTGGACTGCAGTGGCACGATCTGTATATATATCTGAAGTGTATATATATACATACACACACATACACCTCCACACCCCACCACACACACACCATGGAATACTATTCAGCCATAAAGAATGAAATAATGTCTTTTGCAGCAACTTGGATGGAATTGAAGGCCGTCATCCTAAGTGAAATAACTCAGGAACTGAAAAGCAAATACTGCATATTCTCACTTGTAAGTGGGAGCTAAGCTATGGGTACCCAATGGCATATAGAGTGGTATAATGGACATTGGAGACTCAGAAGTGGGGAGGTTGGGAGGGGGTAAGGGATGAAGAATTACCTATTGAGTACAATGTACACTCTTTGAGTGACGAGTACACCAGAAGCTCAGACTTTACCACTATATGATTCATCCATGTGACCAAAACCCACTTGTACCCCTAAAGCTATTGAAATTTAAAAAAAATTGTTTATGAAGTTCTTTCACGTTTGTCATTTTCTGGACCTGCACATGGTTTGTGTGAGTTTGAGTGTGTGTGTGTGTGTGTGTGTGTGTGTGTGTGTGTGTGTATGGGAAGAATTTTAACTCAAATTCAACTAGCTTAATAAGTATAGGGTTATCAGTATAAATATTATTTATTTCTTCATGAGTGAGACTTGGTAGCTCATGTCTTTCAAATAATTTGTCCATTCTATCTATGTTGTTCAATTTATTGGCCTAAAATTGTCCACAGTATCCCCTTTTTTCCTCATAGTATCTTTAGAAGCCATAGTCATGCCACTTTTCTCATTCCTGATATTGGTAATTTGTGTCCTCTGTTTCTTTTTTCTCTATTAGTCTGGCTAGAAATTTGTCAATTTTGCTGATATTATCAAAGAGCCAGCTTTTGGTTTCATAATTTTCTCTATTATTTTTCTGATTTCTATTTCATTGAATTCCACTTGATTCTTTGTTATTTTCTTTATTCCTGTTACATTGGGTTGAATTTAATCTTCTTTTCTAGTTTCTTAAGGTGGAAGATGAGGCCATTGACTTGAGACTTGTCCTCTTTACTAATATAGGCATTTAGTGCCATATATTTCTCCTTAATTTATGCTTCAGTAACATTCTACAGATTTTGCTCTGTTGTGTTTTCATTTTCATTCAGTGAAAAATGCTTTACAATTTCTTTTGATTTATTTCTTGACATATGGATTATTTAGACTTACAGTATTCAGTTTCTAAATAGAGATTTTCTAGTTATTTTTCTATTTTTGATTCGAATCTGATTCTATTGTGGTCAGATAAAAAACTTGGTATTTCTCGAATACTATTAAATTTATTGAGATTTTATAAGGTCTCATAAAAATAAAGCCTCATAAAAAATTTGGTCTATCTTGGTAAATTTTCTGTGCGTAAGTCGTTCCATTAGTGAGATAAATAACAATGATGTCCCACCTCAAGTGGTATAGCTCACTTTTGTGATATTTCTGCCAGTGATGCAAAAACTAAAATACACCATGGAGAAACTTAAGACAAATCTATATTGAGGGATGTATTATGAAATAACTGTCCTATAATCTTCAAAAAACTCATGATCATGAAATGCAAAGAAAGAAAGAAATTGTTATGGACTAAAGGAGACTAAAGAGACATGACATCTAAATCCATCATGAGTTTCTGGACTATAATATTTTACAGTAAAGAACATTATTAAGACAACTAAACATGAATGAGATCTGAAGATGAGATGATAGTAATATAGTAGCATTAATTTCCTGACCTTGATGATCTCATTAGGTTATATTGGAGAATATCCTTGTTGTAGGCAATACATACATACAAAAGTATTCAGTGGGCAAGGGCATCTTGTTGGAAATTGCCTCTCAAATAATTTAGAGAAAAAAGATTTTGCTTCACTTGGGCAACTTTCTTGAAAATTTGAGGTTTTTTCCAAAATAAAAAAAATGCAGATGAAGAAACAGGAAAACCTCAATTAGAAACAAGTCCATAGACAACCTAGGGCAGGGGTTCTCAACCCCAGGACTGCAGACTGGTACCAGCCCATGGCCTGTTAGGAACTGAGCTGCACAGCAGGAGATGAGCAGCAGGTGAGTGTACTGCCTGAGCTCCGCCTCCTGTCAGATCAGTGGCAGCATTAGATTCTCACAGGAGTGTAAACCCTATTGTGAACTGCACATGCGAGGGGTGTAGGTTGCATGCTCCTTATGAGAATCTAACTAATACCTGATGATCTAAAGTGAAACAGTTTCATCCTGAAACCATCCCCCACCCTTGTCCATGGAAAAATTATCTTCCATGAAACCAGTCCCTGCTGCCAAAAAGGTTGAGGACTGCTGACCTAGGGATTCAGATTTGCAAATAAGGATTTAAAAAACTTTAATAATGGCTCTTCCCACCAATTTTCCAAAAGTGGTCAAAATCAGTAAGTCACACATATAGAAAGCTCAGTGAATCTCAATCAAGATAAATACAGGGAACATCACACCCAGGCATTTTGATAGTCCAACTTCTGAAAGTTAAAACTGGGAAAAAAAGTTCTTAAACGTAACCAAATAAAAATGCACATTATATACAGGAAAACAATGATAAGAATTACAGCTGACTTCTCATCACAAAAATTGAAAGCCAGAAGACAATGGAATAACATCTTTAAATTGCAGAAAGAAATATATTATCAATGTTGGATTAAATATTCAGTGAAGATAGCTTTCAGAAATGAAGACAAATAAAGGCATATTAAGTTAAACATAAAAGCAGAGAGGATTTTCCAACAGCATACTTGTACTACATTAAATGCTAAAGGAAGTTCTTTAAGCTGAAGAGAGATGCTACTAGAGAGAATCTGGATCTACAGGAAGGATTGAAGAATATGGCACATGGGAAACGTGAATAAATATAACACTATGTTTTTATTTTCTTAAATTATTCAAAAGTTAACATTTTCATTTAAAAATAATATCATATTGTGGAGTTCATAATTCATGCAGAAATATGTATATGGCAATAATAACACAAAAGATGGATTGCGGGTAAATGAGATTATACTATTTTAAGAATCTCAAATTGTGTGTATGGTATATTATTTCAAGATAAAGTCTGATAAGAACACCTATTGTAACCTGTAAAGCAATTACTAAAATAAAAAGTGCAGGTAGTTGCAACACTAGAAAGATGGTGGAGCAAGAGGAAAGACAAATCCCTTTGGTTCCAGAAAATCTCCTGAAAAAGAGGAAGGCTTATCAAGCCCTCAAAGCCACCCAGGCAAAGCAGGCACTTTTGGCAAAGAAGGAGCAGAGGAAAGGAAAAGGGCTCAGGTTTAAGTGACTGGAATCATTTCTACATGATTCCTGGAGGCAGAAACGTGACAAGGTGTGTCTCAGATGACTAGAAGTAATCCTTGTGCCTTGGAATCACCAGATAAACATTCCTTGGCCTTTGTTGAATGCATTGAAGGATTGATGGCATGTTTACTGGTGCAGAGAACCACTGCAAGACTTCGCCTAAAGAAAATTTTTAGTGGTGTCTTTGTAAAAGTCACCCCCCAGAACCTAAAAATGCTGCGTATAGTGGAACCTTATGTGACTTGGGGATTTCCAAGTCTGAAATCTGTCTGGGAACTCATTTTGAAACGTGGACAAGCCAAGGTCAAGAATAAGACCATCCCTCTGACAGACAACACACTAATTGAGGAGCACCTAGGGAAGTTTGAAGTTTGGTGTCATTTGCTTGGAAGACCTCATTCATGAAATTGGCTTCCCAGGGTAGCATTTCCAGGAGATCTCATGGTTCTTGGACCCTTTCCACTTTCTCAGTGGCCTGTCACGCTACCAAAAATAGAGTGGGCTTCCTCAAGGAGATAGGCACACCTGGCTATCGGGGTGAACGCATCAATCAGCTCATCCGCCAGCTGAACTAGACCCAGGTGCCAAACTGCAGTCAATTTTTATCAGTGAAGTGGAAGCATGTGTTTTTGTTTTTTGGGGGGGAATTTTTATCAAGTATCTTCAGAGAAGATTATTTCCGGCTTTATCTTCAAAAACTGGAAAGGAAGGGTCAAAGAAAAGACAGTAGCTTATGTTCATGGCAAGCACCTCTCATCACAGTCCAGTTCCAAGGAAAAATTCCAGCATTTTCTACATTGGCTGCTGCCTTGTCTGAAATCAGCACTTTCCATGGAGGAAGGAAACCTGCTTTGTTGCATCTTCTATTCTCGGGTTTAATGTTGGTAAATGAGTAACTCTAGCATTTGTACAAGGCTCCCTAAGACTCCTGCAGCTGTCGACAAAGCCCAGGGACATAATTGAATCTGGAGATTCCTCAGGCCTTGTTTTGAAAAAGACTTGAAATACACATAGGAAGAAAGGTACAAAAATAAATGTTCACTTGTCTCTGCAAAAAAAAAAATAAAAATAAAAATAAAAAGTACAAAGAGGTATGATTAAAAAGCCAATAGAGAAAATAGAATACCAAAAATTACTCAATTAAGACAGGAAAGGGGAAACAAAAGAATGAAAAATAGAGGGAACAGATAAGAAAACAAGTAGCAAGATGGTAGAATTAAAGCAAACCATGTCAATAATTTAATTAATAAAAGACTAAGCACTCAAAATGCAGAGTTTGTCAGACAATTAAAAAGCAAGACACAGTAAAACACTGTTTAGAAGAGATGCGTGTTAAGTATTAACACACTGACAGAGGTAAGAGAATGAAAAAAGCTATTTATGCAAACATCAAACACAAAAAAGCTGGTATAGCTATATTAATATCTGACAAAATAGACAAGAAGATAAAGATGGTCATGGGTCACAATGGTACAGATTATTTTTTGAACTGAATTGTGTTTTCTCAAAATTAATATGTTGATGTCCTAACCATCAAAGTGTCTGTATTTGGAGATGGAGCCTTTACAAAAGTAATTAAAGTTAAAGGAGGCCATAAGGGTGGGGCCATTAGGACTGGTGTCCATATAAGAGGAGGAAGAGACACCAGAGATCTCTCTCTGCCTACATGGAAGAAATGCCATGTTAAGTGATATGGTCTGGCTGTGTCCCCACCCAAATCTCACCTTGAATTGTTATAATCCCCACATGTCAAAGGTGGGGCCAGGTGGAGATAATTGAATCATGGTGGCGGTTTCCCCATATTTTTCTCATGATAGTGAATAAGTCTTAGGAGATCTGATGGTTTTATTAATTGGAGATTCCCCACACAAGCTCTCTTGCCTGCCGCCACGTTTAAGATGTGACTCTGCTCCTCATTCGTCTTCCACCATGATTGTGTGATTGTGAGGCCTCCCCAGCCATGTGAAACTGTGAGTCCATTAAATCTCTTTCCTTTACAAATTACCCAGTCTCAGGTATGTCTTTATTAGCAATGTGAGAACAGACTAATACATGAAGACACAACAAGGTGGCCATCTATAAGCCAAGGAGAGAAGAGAGGCTTCACCAGAACCAACCCTGTTGCCACATTGATCATGGACTTTCCAGGCTTCAAAACAGTAATGAAGTAAACTTCTGTTGTTTAAGCCACTTGTTCTCTGGCATTTTGTTAGGCAGGCCAAGGTGACTAACCCAGATGGTAAAGGGGTCAATTCCTTGAGAAGAGATATCAATTCTAAATGTGTATGTATTTAATAATAGCACTTCAAGATACATGAAACAAAAAAATGATACAACTACAGGGAGAACTAGACAATCATAGTTGGATGTTGTAATAACTGTCACTGTCACTTAGTAATTGACAGTACTTCTTCAGCTCTGGTCTTAGAAGTGGCTATTTCTACAAGGAGCTCTGGTTTCTTTTAGCACAGAATGGTATTTAGAAACCAAGGAATGTGGTCATTGTTATTAGGGTGTTGCCATCCCTACATCTTCGCAGTAGAGATAGAGAATATATGCCTGTTCTCACTCATAGGTGGGAATTGAACAATGAGAACACATGGACACAGGAAGGGGAACATCACACTCTGGGGACTCTTGTGGGGTAGGGGGAGTGGGGGAGGGATAGCATTAGGAGATATACCTAATGCTAAATGACGAGTTAATGGGTGCAGCACACCAGCATGGCACATGTATACATATGTAACTAACCCGCACATTGTGCACATGTACCCTAAAACTTAAAGTATAATAATAATAAAAAAAAGAGAATATATGTATCTCTACATATATCCTCATATATCTACATATGTAGATATAGATATACATACATACAAGCAAACTATACACACACACATTCCAACTTTATATCTAGAGTCATTTTCTTAGTCAGTCTGGGCTTCTATAACAAGATACCGTAGACTAGGTGGCTTAAACAACAGAAATGCATTTCTTACAATTCTGGAGTCTGGGAAGTCCAAGATCAGGGTGCAGAGTCCATGTCTGGTGAAGGCCCACTTCCTGGTTTGCAGATGACCATCTTCTCACTGTATCCCCACATAGTAGAGACAACAAGCTCTAGTCTCTCTGTCTTATTAAAAGACACAGTCCAATCATGGGGATCTCTACCCTCATAACCTCATCTAAATCTAACTGCCTTCCAAATGCTCAACTTCCTAATATTATGCCGTTGGGGGTTAGGGTTTAAATATATGAATTTGGGAGAGGGATATAAATATGCAGTCCACAATAGTTCTACATACAAACATACAGTCCATATAGTCCTTCATGCATTTATATCTGTATTTTTATACCTCTACATATTGCAAACTGAGCTCACACCAATATCTCTAATTCCACTGGGTTTATTCTTCTTTTCTTTTTTCCATATTTCCTACTCTCATTTCCAGTAATGAGAAACGTGGCTCCTATTATCCCTAGTACAGTTGTCCCTCAGTATCCATGGGGGATTTGTTCCAGAACTCCCTCAGATGCCAAAATCCATGGATGCTCAAATACCTTATGTAAAACGGTATAGTATTTGCATGTAACTTACACACATCCTCCTGTAACCTACACACATCCTCCTGTAACCTCTAGGTTACTTGTAATACAAAACACAATGTAAATGCTACATAAATAATTGTCATACTATATTGTTTAGGAAATAATGACAAGAAAAAAAAGCCTGTACATGTTTGGTACAGTTGTAACCAGCCATTTTTCCCCCAATATTTTCAATCCACAGTTGGTTTAATCCACAGAAACCACGAATGTGGTGGGTGACTGTTTTACCTGTTTTGTTCCATCTCTCTATATGTAAGCAGTCTCCATCACCACAACCCCCCAACTCCCACCCTTTTGCACAGACACTCTCCTCTCCTTGCACGGAACATATTTATACAAAAAACTTTCACATGTATCTGAAATTCAAATTTAACTGGGCATCCTGTATTTTTGTTTGCTAAACCTGTTAGTCCCAGAGGGCCAACCTAACTTCCATGCTCCCGGCCTTCAGGTGACTGTGCTGCAGCCCACGTTCTCTGCCCAGCCCTGGTTGTGTCCCTTCCTTGGAAGAGGTGTTGATCTCTAGAAACCCCCCCCAAAAAACTTTCCTGTTGCTCATCTCCATTTCAATCAGCTTCCAGGAACTAAACTTGCAACATCAAGCCTCTGCTTTATTATTTTCCTGGTTCTAAGATCCCAGAGGTCCCCACCCACACCCGTGTAAGCCCAGTTCCCAGAGCAGCCTCGATCCTGGCCCCAGGGCCTGGGGGTGATTCCAGAGAAGCCCCTTTGAGGGATTACGGGCGCAGGACGCTGGGCCTGCGGGCCTCCCGAGGGCTCCCGCCCACCAGGGGGCAGTCTTCACCTGCGTGTGAGCAGCTCCGGAGGCCCGGGCAGGGGAAGGGGTGGGCGCAGGGATAGCTCGCTGGGGGAACCCATGCGGGGCATACGTGCGTGAGGGCACGTGAGGGCCGTGCCGGCCAGAGCCCAGCGTGCGCGGCCTTGCGTGCGTGCACACGCATATGTGTCCAGGTGCCTACGCAGGTGCCTGACCCTGGGCAAGTCGCTCCGTCATGCGGACCTCAGTTTTCTCATCTGTCCGACGAAGGTATCTTTCCATCTCTGACTGTCGGTGTTCTTTATCCAAGACTGCTCAGCACATTGGGTCCTCTCTTTAGAGCCATCTCTGTTTATTGAACAGAAGAGGCAGGGATTCCAGGCCATTGAATTGATGCGGGGGGTGAGTGGGAGGAGACAGTGAGGCACGGGGGGTTTTTGTCTTTTGCTCCCCAAAGCAATACTCTTTAATTGGTTTCTAAATATTTGTATTTTTATTTTTTACAAAACTGTATTTCAAAATAATGTGAGTCTTTAAGTCCTATGCAAAGCTACCAGAATCCTTGGTCGTGCTTCCCTACTCATTTGCAGGAATCCGGGCAGAACATGAATTCTCAGAACTGGTGGGACTTTCCAACCAGTTGCTTCTCATGCAGAGGCAGAAAAATGAGGGGATCAACAGCCCAGGCCTCAGGGGCACCCTTCTTGGCCCTTACAGGTAATTTAATTGCTGTGCCTCAGAGTCTCTTCTGTAAAATGGGAATGATAATAGTACCCTAAGTGATAGTATTATTATTAAATATTGGCTGAGTGTTCCCAGCTTTGTCATAATACAGCTCTGTGACCTTGGCCCCTCTCTCAGGACCTTTGTTTCCTCATCAATAACGGGGAATGAAGCACTCATTTTGCGTGGTTGTGATGAACAGGTAGGTTGTTTGTGAAATCACCTGGTGGTACCTAGTAGGTATTAAATACCCATTTCTTTCTTGGATAAGTATTGCTTCCCAGTCAACACTTATCTTCCCTGTTGCCCTGGCCTCAGCAAGGTGACAGTGATAAGTCAACTGATCCCTTTCAGCAGAGACCTCTTCAGGACATCTGCCTTAGATGAAGGAGAGTGTAGGTGTTCAGGAAGCTTGGGGGAGATTGATTTACTTCCTGGAGGGCTTTTTGTTAGTCCTGAAATGTCACTATGTGGTTTGCTGCTTCCTCTGCCTGCGGGTGATGGGGTAGGGGTAGAAGGTGGAGGGGGTGCAGGTGTCTTGTTGGGAGCCCCTGGAAGTCACCTCTTTAGAGGGGCCGTCTCTGAGATACGACGATTCATTTTCTGTTATCCTTATATTTTTGTCTCTACTGCCCCCAACTCCCCCCATGTAAACAGCCTGCTCCTTTGAGATCCCTGCTTTGGGAGACTTGCTGCTGCAGGCCAGGGAGTAGGAATTGCTTTCTTTTCTTTTTTCTTCCTTTCTGGGAGCCTGAGTTCTTTGAGATGTGAGTGCCTTTGAGGGAAGAGTCCCGGAGGCAGAGCACCCTTTTCCCTGTCAATGCCCAGGGTGGGCAGGACCTCAGAGTGGGCTGACAGTGTGATGTGTCTGTGACTAGCTTTCTCTGGCACTGTTTGGCACAGAAGCAGCAGAGCCCCTGGGCTCCTGGGTACTGTGTGGCCTTGCATCAGTTATCTCAGTGTAACCAGTGGGGACAAATGGCCAGTGACCACGCATGCACCCCTTCCAGTGATGCTGGTGAGAGAGAGGATGGGCGGGTTCCATTAATGACCAGGACAAAATTTGCTGTCTCAGGTGGGATGGGGGCTCAGAGATGGATTTAACTTGACTTAAATAATTTTTTTGAAAATTATATTTCTCATATACCTGAAATCGTGGAGTTTGATTTATAGTTGCTATTTCTGAATTTTCCTTAGCACCTGCACAGCGTCTTGTATGCAGCAAGCACTCACTAAGCCCTTCTCCTTACCCTGCCAGTCTACCTATTAGACTAGCCCTGGTGTTCAGGACTTAAAGTAATGGGCCAGCTAGGAGCCTCCAGGGCTGGGTCTCTAGACTGCAGGTGCCATGAGATGGGTACTCCCAACAGTCCAGCCTCAGACACATTGCTCTGCTTGACAAAGCTTTGCAATTCCCATGAGTGACAGCACCAAGAGCTACCATGTCTTGAGAGCTTCTGATCTGCTGGCATGGTGTGAAGCCCTTAGCATGGTATCTCATTAGTTTTCACAGCAGCTCTATAAAGTCCAGACTACATTGTCTCTATTTTGCAGATGAGAAAACTGAGGCTTGGAAAGATGGCAGAGCCAGAATACTATCCCAGGTGGTTGGACACCAGAGTCACTCATTTTAAGCACTTAGGACAAGTGACTGATGGACTGACTGAATAAAGAAGGACAGGAATAATAAAGTTGTCAAATTGGGGAATGGCAAGACAGGATGTATTTATTTCCTGCCTTTGGCACCTGTCTTCAGTGACCCTTTCCCTCCCTTTTCCCCTTAGGCCCCACCCAGAGAGGCTGATTTCCAGTCTGTGGGGTCCAAGGGGGATTGAGGGTCCCCTGTCTGTGCCTTCTGGACCCTCTGGGAGCTCTTGGCTCTTGACTCTGGGCTGGGAGGCTGGAGCCCTATTGCCTTTTCTATCAGGGATGGACAGAGACATTCTTTTTCATTTTCTTTCCCCAATGCCATTTTGTTAAATCAGAAATCCTTGAGGAGTGAAGTCACATTTTCCATGCCCCTGAAAGCTCTGGAGAGCTGATGAGTGTTATTGTAACCAGAGGAGACTGGGGACAAAGGAAGCTTATAATTTTGTAAACGAGGCTTGGGAGTGCCCTGCCTGCAATGGCTTTCCAGAGGGAGAGGCAGAATTCGGAAAAACCAGAGGCAAGAAGAATGGCAGGACTGGCCAGCCTTGAGCCTTGCACCCAGGCAGAGACCCTCCTGCCCCCTTCTCCAGTTACTGTTTCCCAGCCTTCCCTGGGGAAGGAAGTTGGCTTGCTGAAGCGGCAAGATCTCTATGCTTAGAATGAAGCACGTGGGGTCACAGTGCCGGCTCATTCACCTCAGTTTCCTCATCTGCAAAATGGGCTGGTGAAGGATCTGCCCCAAAGAGTCTGCACTCAGCCTGGCGATGGGGCTGTGTTTCATAGAGAAGGAAACTGAGGCATGTGTTTTTCAGATAGGAAGTGGCAGAACCGGGATTTAGATCCCGGCAGTCTTACTCCTGAGTGGGAACTCCCACCCCTTGCTCCACAGCGCTTAGGCTCACCAGAGGCCAAATCATGTGAATCAAATGTGACCCGCGTGCTGCCACCTGGGGTCAGCCCTCTTTGCCCCAGCCTGGAGGGACAGAGGCTTCCGCTGGAAGGTTAGGCTCTTAGGTCTCTTCAAACCTTAACATTCTCGGACCTTCTCCTAGTGGCCAGACTCTGTGACCTACTGCGTGGGAGGGAAGCCTGGGAACAGGTGGCCTATTTCAGCCCCTCTCAAATGAGTTCCAAGCAGGTGGCTGTTGCTTCCTCTTGCTGGCCATGGCTTCTCACTAGGCTTGCACAAAAATGGAGAGAAGACCAAATAAAGCTCCTTTGAGGACAAATGTCTTGGACAGGGCTGGGGGTGGGGATCCAAAGATGGACAGAGCCAACCCCCAACCCTTGCAGGGCTCCGAGCCTGCCTGCTTCCAGGCTGCAGGTCTTCTGTGCAGGCTGGGGTTGGGTGTTCAGGGCTGATGGGGGCAGGCATGTGAGTGATTTGGGGAAAAGGGCTGTGTGGAGGGGATTGGGTCGTTCACACTCAGCCTGGGTCTGTCACTGAGCATGCGCTCCCTTCTCCCTACAATCCTGGCCCTAGTTATCCTACTTCTTTAGCCCTGAAGCCCTAAAGCTGCCCCCTCCAGCAGGTGGCCGAGATTTCCCAGGTGGACTCGGGGGTCCTCCTCACTCAGGCCAAGCTGCCCATGAGGAGCTGCCCATGAGGAGCTGCCCATGAGGAGCTGCCCATGAGGAGCTGCCCATGAGGAGCTGCCCATGAGGAGCTGAAGGGTGATGAGGATCTGCCTGTTTCCTCCGTGAGAGTTCCTCTTTCACTGGCGCAGGCATTGCCCTCCTCAACTTGTGAATGGAAACCCATTCCAAGGGGGGTCTGGCTTTGCCCAGGTGGGTTTGAGATCCCCTAACCCAAGCCGCCTTCATCTCCCCTCCAAAAGCACAGGCTCACTCACAAAGCTCATCTCAGCAGGTTCTCCTCACAACCATGGCTACACTCCTCTCCCTGCTGCCTTCTCTCTGTGTGTATGTCTCAGTGTCTCTGTGTCTCAGAGTCTCTGTCTCTCAGTGTCTCTGTATCTCAGTGTCCCTGGCTCTCAGTGTCTCTGTCTCTCCGTGTCTCTGTGTCTCAGTGTCCCTGGGTCTCAGTGTCTCTCTCATGTTGTCTCTGTCTCTCAGTGTTTCTGTGTCTCAGTGTTTCTGTCTCTCAGTGTTTCTGTCTCTCAGTGTCTCTCTCATGTCTCTGTCTCTCAGTGTCTCTCTCTGTCTCAGTCTCTGTTCCTCTCAGTCTCCCTCTCAGCATGTCTCTGTATGTGTCTCTCAGTGTCTCTCTGCATCACTCTCTGTGTCTCTCTCTCTATGTCTGTGTGTCTCTCTTGATGTGTGTCTCTCTTGCTCTGTTTCTCTCTCGGTCTCTCTCTCTCTCTTCCCCTCCCCTCCCTCTCTAATTTCATGGGACTTGTCTCAGTGTGAGGAAAGCATCTAATTAGTCTTAGAGGTCCTCCTGTCCAGAATTTCTAAAGCCGTGCTCATGACAAATGTCCCAGGCTTGAACGGGACATTTGAGAAACTCTGGGCCAAGAGGAGCAGCACAGAGCCACCCAGAGGATGGCTCTATAAAATGGGGTTACAATAGTGCCTTACCCAGAGGATTTGAGATAAACCACTTAGAACAGAATTCATGTGTGGAGGCCAATACAAAACATCACCAAAGTTAAGCTGCTTTCCCTCTCCTCTTCACTGTAGGGTGCTCAAAGCCTCTACTATGCTAAGGAGAACAGAGAGCTCCAAGAGGGTTGGTAGAGTTGCAGCATTTCCCAGGATTATTTGTCCAGTGAAACCTCTTGCCATGGAGCATCTAGTGGGGTCAGAGTTCCTCAAATCATAGTTGGGAAATATTGCTAATCCAAGCCCCTTATTACAAAGGGAAGTGGAAGCCTCCCTCCCCAAGTCCCTAGAGCCAACTGGGGCACACGGTCAGGAGGCTGGGCTCCTGCTGGGGGAGCAGCTGAACTTGGCTCCAGGATAGCACCCACGGGCCTCCTGTGGTGCTCCCAGGAGCCTTGGCAGTGTCCCTCTAGGGAGTGTCAAAAGCCCTGGGAGGCATGGGGTGTGCGCACCTTGTAAAAATGACCCTGCTGTGGATGCCGGGGCTTGCGCCCACAAAGATGGGTTGCCAGAAGCCCGTGAGAGTGGATGTTGGGGGAAGGGGTGGCTAGACCCTCCCTTCCTTGTGTTTCTGTAGGTGAATCCTCTCGGCTTCAGGGAAGGACTGATAGGGCTCTCAGAATTATGTACCCTCCTGGCCCCCAGTCTGGAATCTGGAAGCTGGACTCTCTCCCTCCTAGGTCTGTATCGTAATCTTTTTGGTGTTGATCTGTAGGAAAGATGATGCCTGCTCCCCACCCCCTCTTAAATTCCTCTTCAGCCTTCTTTGGAAGGTCCTGGTAATACTCTAGCTGCCATCACCTCAGTTGTAACTTCTGAATACCATTAACCCCCTCTCCTGGCAGCTATGACCTGGTTAGAGTCTTATTAGGTTCCCAAGGGTAATGAGGTTATCACCATTTTTTTGCCCCTTTTCTTCTCCCAGAATAGCGGGTCTTCTAAAGATGCTGTTCTCGGCTGGGCGCGGTGGCTCACGCCTGTAATCCCAGCACTTTGGGAGGCCGAGATGGGCGGATCATGAGGTTAGGAGATCGAGACCATCCTGGCTAACACAGTGAAACCCCGTCTCTACTAAAAATACAAAAAATTGGCCGGGCGTGGTGGTGGGCGCCTGTAGTCCCAGCTACTCGGGAGGCTGAGGCAGGAGCATGGTGTGAACCTGGGAGGCGGAGCTTGCAGTGAGCCGAGATCGCACCACTGCACTCCAGCCTGGGACAGAGCGAGACTCCGTCTCAGAAAAAAAAAAAAAAAAAAAAAAGTTGCTGTTCTCTTCTTTGCTGCTGCTGCTTTTTCTTCTACTACTACTACTACTACTTTTCTTCTTCTTCTTCTTCTTCTTCTTCTTCTTCTTCTTCTTCTTCTTCTTCTTCTTCTTCTTCTCCTCCTTCTTCTTCTTCCTCCTCCTCCTCTTCCTCCTTCTCCTCTTCCTCTTCTTTTTCTTTCTCCTCCTCCCCCCCTCTTCTTCCTCCTCCTCCTCCTTCTCCTCCTTCTCTTCTTCTTTCTTCTCTCTTCTTGACAGAGTCTTGTTCTGTCGCTTAGGCTGGAGTACAATGGCATGATCATAGCTCACTGCAGCCTCAAACTCCTGACCTCTAATGATCCTCCTGCCTTGACCTCCCAAATTGCTGGGATTACAGGTGTGAGCTACTGCCTTCTTAGCTTCTGTTTCTGGGTCACTATAGCTTAGAGCTGGTTTGCTTCAGAACTAGCCCCTGTTGTTGACTTCAAAACTCTTCTAACCAGGGAAAAAGAAACCTGGTGAGGGAGGATATAATTCTCCTATAGTCCATCTTCCAAAGGGGTGGAGTTCCACTGCCCCAGTGTCAGATATCCACTTAGATTTCTGTAGCAGCCCTTCTTTGTCTTGACCAAATGTGCTGACTTGCAGGGTGCTCTCTGTGCCTGACTGGGAGAGCGACTCCCTTCTCATCGCAGCCTGTCCTCTTCACTCACGTGGGGTCTCAGCCCAATGGAGAGGGTGGCTGGGTGCTAGTGATAGCCCAAAATTAGGTCTGGAGGGCCCCCAGCATAATGAAGGGGCCTAAGAATGCCCAGACTCTGGTGAAGCTGGCAGGTAGGGCAGGCTGGTACGAGCCTCCACTCACCTGTGAGCTGGTATCTGCCTAGTTGCTTGGTCTAGGAGAATGGATGACTCTCATTTTGAGTGCTTTTTGGGGGCAAAAGAAGGGAGGTAGGCTATTTCTTATTGTCTATGCCAGGGCCATAGGAACCTGAGGGGCCAGGCCATACAGAATAGTTCCTTGTATGGGAGGTAAGAGGCAATGGTACCATGGCATTGCAGGTCCCTGTCCCTGTCCCACCTTCAGAGCCCTTGGGAGTTCTTTGGCTGCTCTGTGACTCAGGGGTCCTGAAGGCCCAGGCTGGCTCTGCCCCATGTTCTGGGTGGTTATGCACCAGAACCACCGCACATATGTCAGATCTGCTCCTATGGCAAGGGCCAGGCCTTTGCCCTGTGGAGGCTGCAGGGCACACACAGTCCTGTTTACCACCCATATGTCCTTTCCGGAGTGGATGCCAGCAGCCTGCGGAGGCTGTGGGATCTCACTGGAAAGCCAGGGCTGGGTCCAGGAAAGTTGATTTTCCTCTCCTGAGATGCCTGCATGGGCCTCAGGCCAAGCTCTGCTGAGGGCTGGCGACTGACTGGGAAATGTTCAGCTCCCCTGTCATTGTGGACTCCAGTGGCAGCCTCTGGGGAGGAGAAAATCTGCATGGAGGGCAGTGCAGGCTCGCCTTGCTGATGAGACAGAACAAAAGGGAGGGGGGTGGGTTACTGGAGAGGGGACAGAGGATGTTCCTCAGGGGTAAAAGTGCTGACTAGTGAATCTGACCCAGGAAGAGGAGGAGGCAGCAGGAAGGGGGAAGGAAAAGCAGTGGAGATATTGGAGGAGCCAAAGGGGGCACAATTGTTCCTCCCCCGAAGGGGAAACCATGGGGAGCAACAGCTGGAACAGGAGTGGAGCTTGGAGGGAGACAATAATGGAGCTCGATGCTTTGAGATTCAAGATGGCAGTACCAGAAAGGTTGACTCCACTTGGTAAGTGGAGAGGCCTCAGGACAGGCAGAGGAAATTCTCTTTTTGGAGTTTGACTCCATGTCTTGTGGGCTTTCACTGAAGTGCAAACCCATGAGGGCAGAGATTCCTCTCTGTTTTGTTCATTGCTTCAACCCCAGTGCATAAAATAGAAGCCAGCACAGATTAGATTCTTAAAAAAAAGTTTGTTGAATGATAAATAGTTTGAACACAGGGATATAAGAAAAGGAACATTATATCTTAGGGCAAGAGCTAAAAGTCTCTTTCAGATCTACTCTGGGGCCCTAGAAATGCTTGACAAGGAGTAGTTTGGGGAATATTTAGGATCATCCCACTGCAGGGAGCAAACTGAGGGAGACTTTTAACTAGGGGAGAGGCAGGCAAGGTAGACTGTGCTGGGGGTGATCCAGGCCAGAAGACAAGGGATAGGAGGTCTTGGCCAAGGTGAGTGGATAGAGGAACAGGGTATGGAGTCAGGTGTCACACCGGGTGGGCTTAGCCTGCCTTCTGAGGCTCTGGAGAAGGTGATCTTCAGGAGTTTAGGTGGCCCGGGGATGTCTGTACCCCAGCAGCAGGGCCTCAGAGCAAATCAGGAACAAGAGCAAGACAAGGGGGCTGGGCATTTGGAGTTGGGTCTCAAAGCAGATTACCAAGACAGGGCCTCAGGATGGGCCCAAGGCAGGAGGAGGCCAGTGACCATGCACGTAGGCCTCGGGGCCTCAGGGCTGCAAGGCCAAAGGGAGCTGTGTCCCAAGGTGGGGGATGAAACTCCTTTCTTTGGCTTCCTGTAAGGATTCACACTGGGATTTGTGACCTGGTGAGCTGCAGGTGGAGGTCTGGGGGACCTGTGACTCTATGGTAGGAACAGGAGAGCCTCAGACATTGGGAAGCAGACAGGGTCCTCACATTGGGCACATCAGCAGCAGGCATGGCGTGAACAGACACAAAATAAAGAAGTTAGCTGAGTGGACAAGAAAGGCCAAGGAGGGTGACCGTGGAGGTCACAGGCAAAACGGAGGCCTTTGTGTGATGTGAGAAGCAGGCTCTCTTTTCTCTGTGGGACAGACTTGGATTTCTGTGCTCAGCGCAGAACCAGTGCACAATCTTTCCAGGGATGAATAGTCCTTTCTGTGTGACAGAGAGTGCCACCTGCATCAGAGAGTGGCTGGGGAAAGAGATGAAAGAAAGAGGTGACTTGGAGATAATTGCAGACATGGAGTATTGAACACTTGCAGGAGGAAGCAGGCAGATGTCGTGTTATACTAGGAAAAGAAAGTAAATTTCCTAAGGCCACAAGCATGTTGGTGGCACAGCTGGTCAAGACTTAGGTGGGATGTGCTCTCTGCCACCCCCCACTGCCTCCCAGGGGCCCACGCAGAAGTTTGGAGAAAAAGAGTCCCTGAAAGGTGGCTGAAGTCAGTGAATAAATAAATTAATGGAAAGGGAATGTGTTTTCTGACCCCGATTTCAGGGAGGGCAGCTGGGGAGAAGGCCAGGGGTTTGTACTCAGGAAATGCAGCCTCCAGAAGCCGGGCAAATCTGAGCCTTTCCCCGGCATCTGAGGAAGCCATGGATAAAGTCATCCATCATTTTCTCAGTGGTGTGGAGAGCTCTGGCAGTCCCAGAGTGAGGCAGGAAGCCCCACTTCATGGCACTTCCAGAGGGGTCTGATATTTGTTTATGCGAGACATGGTCCAGCTAAGAGTGACTTGATGATTCAGCATCTCCAGGGTGGGTGAGGTGGGAGGAGGCCAGCCTGGAGGGTGGGTCCTTTTCTGTTGGCCAGTCCCTGACTCTTGGAACTCTCCCTGCAATATCTGAGAGAGCAGGAGCACTTAATTATTCATTCCACAAACACTTCCTGGAAACTGACCTTGTGCCACGCATGGGCTAGGAGCTGAGCAAAGAATGGTGAGCAATGGCAGGTGTGGTCTCTGCTCATGTGGAGCTTTGTGTCCAGTGGGAGAGAGAGGGTTACTCAAATAATCACAGACTGGGATGTGCGTTCTAAGGAGATTTTGAAGTCAGGGAGGATTTCTTTGCACAATAACACCTGTGTTGAGATAGGAAAGGCGATTAGACTCTTTCTAGGTGAGGTAAGGTGGTGTGAGGGAAGACATGAGTTTTCCTCTAGGGGAGCAGCATGGGCTAAGGCCCTGTGGCAGATAGAAGCATGGTGTGTTTGACAAAAATCTGAAGAGCAGGGAGACTTATCAGGAGGTGGCTGGATACTTGGGCCAAGGGCCCAGGTTGTGCGGAGTGAGAGGAAGGCTTTATCTTCATCCTAAGGAGCAATGGGAAACCTTTGAGGGCTTTTAAACGATGGTAGTGGAGGGTGGATGTTTAACATAATTAAATATGCACTTTGCAAAGCTCCCTTTGGCTGCTCTATGGACAACATATTTGAGAACAGAGTGGATTTAAGGAGACCAAATAGGAGGCTGTGTAAGTCATCTAGGTGAAGGATGACAATTGCTGAGACCTGTGCAGATGGACAGAGGTGCAAATTTGAGAAATACGATAGCAAGTATTTATTTAGTATTTACTATGTGCCAGGCACTGTCCTGTGGGTTTTACATGGTGTATTTAATCCTCACAATATGGTAGATACTATTCTCCTCATTTAAAGATGAGGAAACAGGCATGTGGAGGTTTAGTAATTGGTTGAGCCAGGGTTCAGTCTGGGAGCCCATATTCTTTTTAAAATTTATTTATAAATTTCTTTTAGTAGAGACAGGGTCTCACTATGTTGCCCAGGCTGGTCTTGAACTCCTGGTCTCAAGCAGTCCTCCTGCCTTGACCTCTCAAAGTGCTGAGATTACAGGTGTGAGTCACTGCACCCGGCCAGGAAGCCCATACTCTTAACCATCATCTTTGCTACCTAGTGGCTAGGATGTTAGGAGATGAGAATGAGAGGACTTGGTGGTTGATTAGACTTGAGGGGTGTAAGCATGAGAAAAGAGATGGCCTAGGCTCCTGGCTACCTTAAGTGGGTATTGTTTACTGTAATAGGCACCAGCTGAATGAGACTGGGTTTGGGGGAGGAGTTCATAAGTCTGCCCTTGGACAGTGTAGTGGTTTTAAAATAGTCCACAAATTCTTTGATACTCCTCCATTTAAGAGGTGGAGCTTGATTCCTCTCCCCTTCATTGTGGGCTGGATTCAGTAACTTGCTTCTAATAAATGAATTATGGTAATAGTGATCACGTCTGGTTTTCAAGGCAGGTCATAAAAAGCACTGTGGCTTCCATGTTGGTTACTCTCCCTTGGAACACTCACTATAGGGGAAATCAGTTGCCACATTGTGAGAGGGCCATGTGGCAAGGACCTGAGGCCTCCTGCCACCAGCCAGCACCAACTTGCCAGTATGAGAGTGGGGTGAGCCCTCTTGGAAGCAGATCCTCAAGCCCCAGTCAAGCCTTCAGATGATACAGCCCTAGCTAACATCTTGACTGCGCCCTGTGAGAGAACTTGGGCCAGAACCGCTGGCTAAGCTGCTCCTAGATTACCGATCCTAAGAAATTGTGTGAGATGAGAAGTGTTTGCTGCTAAATTTGGTTATAAGTTGTTATACAGCAGTAGATAACTAATACAGACAACCAAGGGTAGGTGTTGGGTAGGCATTTGTTGTGACTTGGAATTATAATTTGGAAGTTGACAGCATTTCAGTGGTGGCTGAGCATGTAGAAGAGAGTGCAGGCCCACATCGGGATTTGAGAAGTTTTGTCCTTAAGTGGCTCTGTAGAGAAGGATGAAGGCCCTGAAGGGGACTGGGAAATTGGATGGTTTGCAAGTTGGGCTCCGTGTTGACTTTGGTCCTGTGGAGGGGCCTCAGGGGGTGGATGGAAATTTGATGAGAATCTAGCCCTGCCAAGTTTCTACTCTGATTCATCTGGAGTGGCCCTCCTTTTTCTCTTTTTAGCAAGGGGTCTAGTAAGATTCACCGGGAAAAAGCAAGGATCTGATGCTGAAATATTGGAAACTACTAATCTAGTGCAACCACTACTTTTACAAATGTGGAAACCGACTTGCCCAAGGGCAGGCAGCTTTGGACACAGGTCTCCTGGGTCTAGTGTTCTTCCCACTGGGCCTCCTTGCCTCCAGCACCTTCCAGTGGGTCTGGGGGAAGAGAATTAGGGACTGTGCAGAGGACAAGATGGGGTTCCTGCCTTTGACATTCTGTCCCCCCAACCAGGCACACACTGGGGAACAATGACACCCCTCCATGCTCCGCGTGGTGCCTTCTTCTCGAACAAGGCAGGACATGAGCTCATTCCTGGCTCTGCTAGGCATGTGGCTTACCAAGACCGGTCTTCTCTAGACTTCAGTTTCCTTATCTGTAAAATGGGAATGAGGATTCATCCTTCTTCACCAGGCTGCTGTGAGGGCCAAATGAGGTCCTAGTAGGCCAGAGGACTTTTCACCAGTGAAGTGCAGTGTAGTTGGAACAGGTAGGTCACTGCTGGCCAGGGAATCTCAACCTCTTCAGGCTGCCTCAGGCAGAGTGGGGCCCTTGGGGCCCTGGAGACCTGGCAGTCCCCACATGGTGTGAATCTTTTGCTAGAGCAAATCCAGGCCAGCTGCTCTGAATGTTGGTGCTGCCAAACTTTCAATAACCTGGGACCCTTGCCAGTCAGGATGTTCTCCCTGGGTCTGATTTGCAGTGCAAATTGACTCTTAGCTGTTCCAAATTCTCTTGGCTCTCGAGTACCCATCCTCAGGCCCCAGTACTCATCCTCTAGTCCCATCCCCCATTCTGTAACTCTGTCCCCCCAGTTATCTCCTCATCTAATTTGGAATTATCAGTGGTAGAAATCAAATAGTGTACCCCCATTGTTTATATGGGAGACTCAGCGGGGTCCAGGAAAGTGACGTTATTTGTTCACAATTACACTGTCCTTTACCATTTTTTCTTTGATGAGTTCCTTTGAATGATGCCTGTGATCTGCAGCTTTCCACTTAATTTTCCTGTTTTTGGGCCCCGGCCCCTAATCCACCTACTCTTCCCTGACTACCCAGCTGATGACAATGGGACCATTGCTTTCATCTTTACCTACCTGCACCACCTCTGGTGGCTGACTTATACAATCCCTTGGCTGTCAAACCCAGTCTGGTCTTATGGCTGTGCTTCCAGAGTTTCTCCTCCTCTGGTCCTCTGAGGGTGAGCAAGCAGCTCTTAGAAGAGGAGACAGGAAGCCCCTGACTCTGGGCACCTCACTCCCCAGCCCTCCCCGTCTCTCCCACTCTCTCAAGCCTCCAGGCTGTTTCTGAGGTTTGGAATCAGTAGAGAGTTTTCCCCTGACCCTATATTTTATTCTCCCACTTCTCTTTACTTGAACCCATTTGTAAGCAAAAAACCATTTGGGGTGTTGTGTTTATTTTTTCCTTGTTCCACGGGAAATTACTCAGAATGTATAAGTATGTGTTTTCCTTAGAAAATAGATTCCTTTACATTTTGGCTTTGTGGTTCCCAAAGCAAGTGGACCCGCAGAGACCTAGGCTGCCAAGAGGGCTTCCCATCCGGGAGCCCTCTTGGCTTCAGAATTACACCCTTTCTCCTCTCAGGACCAGTCACCCCCTCCAGCCCCTTTTGGGGCCCACAGCTTCTTAAACCCCACAAGACTTCAGCCAGAGTGGGCCTGACATCTCTCAGGAAGACCAATTCTTCCTGAATCTTTACTTTCAATTCCTCTTTCTCTCTGCTGGTGGAAGACACTGTGATGGATCATGGCATGAGAACATTTCCCCTCCTCCACCCTCCGGGGCTGGAGTTAAACATAGACTTGAAGTTCTAAGTTCGAATCCTGGCTCTGCCTCTTGCTGGCTGGTGACTTGAGCAGTCGACTTCATCTCTTTGTGCCCTGTTTTCCTCTCCTGTAAAATACGGCCATTGACAGTATTTGTGCAGAAGGCCATTGGGAGGGTTAAGAGAATTAATGGGTGTAAGGTGGTTAGGACATTGTCTGGCATGGAATAAGTCTCATCTTATGTTTTCTTTTGTTCCTATGCATGTGCTTCTCCCTGATATGTACTCATTTTAGTTTTAGCCTTAGTTACAGCCCATTCCCAGTAAGGTGCAAAGGCAGGTGGAGACAGGATGGGGTCAGTGTGGCTTCTTCTCATCACCTTCCCCCAAGTTGAGGGATCTCAGTGCTCTTTTCCTTGGCTTGGCCCCTAACCCAGAGCTCCTTTCCCTCCCTTCCAAAAATCGCCTTTCTGTTTGCTCACCCGTGTTCGTAGCAGCATAATTCACCAGAGCCAAAAGGTGGAAGCAGCCCAACTGTCCATCAATGGATGAATGACTCAACAAAACGTGGCATTTCCATGCAAATAGAATATTATCCAGCCTCAAAAAGGAAGGAAATTCTGATCTCTGCTCCAACATGGATGGACCTTGAAGACATTATGCTAAATGAAGTAAGCTGAACACAAAAGGACAAATATTATATGATTCCACATGTAGGAGGTATCCAGAGTTGTCAAATTCAGAGACAGAAAATAGAACAGTGACTATTGGGCCTAGGAGGAGGGGGAGGATGGGAGGCTGTTATCTAATGGGTAGAAAGTTTCATTTTGAGATAATTAGAACATTTCTGGAAAAGGAGGATGGTGATGGTTGTACAACAATGTAAATGTCCTTAATGCCACTGAACTGTACACTTAAAAATGGCTAACATGGGAAATGTAATGTTATATATATTTACCAGAATATAAAGGACAGAAGTAAATAAAAATATATCAATAATAAAAAAATCCATTTTGCCTCTTGAGACTCTGAGAGGGGTACTCATAGTACAGTATTCATGCCCTGTGGGGGGTATGAGGGTGAATCAGTCTTCCAGGGATTGGGCTTGCCGGTGAACTCCTAATTGGCCCACCTTATTGCTTTCAACCCTTGAGGGAAGCTCTTTCCTGGGCATCCTCCCTGGGGGATCCTCAAGTTCACGGGGTCACAGCCTTGACAGGGAGCAGCCTCCATGTTACAGAGATATCTCCTATACTGTCCTGGAGCCGGGGACTGGCTACTGGTCGTGGGTGTGTGGCTGGGTCCCCCAGCACTTCACTTGCTGTCAATGCATGCATGTGCATTCATCTAGGATTAATTAGGCACCACTGTGTGCCAGGTAGAGTGCCAGGCTCTGGGATACAGAGCCAGCTGGTGCCCTGCTTCAATGGGCTTTTGTTCTAGTGGTCAATGGTCCATTTTGAGCACCAGGCTCTGAGCCATTATTTCATTTCACTCTGACAGCCACCTAGCAGGTGCTGTTGGACTCTCAGCCTTCTTTGGAGCAGCATTCTTTCTGTGGTGAAATGCCTAGGTCCATTTGGAGACGCGAATGGGAGGTTTGGTGGTCCCAGTAAGAAGAGATTTCTCTCCAGTCTCTATCTGTCCCACTTGCTTGAAAGACTGAGTCATTCGAGGGCCTCCTCTGGGGCTAGCAAGGGACCCCGTAGGTGCCTTGGTACCTCTTCCTGCAGCCCCCAGTGGCCCCCATAGCAGGCCAGGCATAGTCAAACCCCTGGGAAAGCCCAGCTCAGAGCCATCAGTGATATCTCTGAGAGAAGTGATGAGTGTCTAGTCACAGAGCGAAAAGGGCAGAGACTACATTACCAAGGCCCTAGGTATAGAAGACCAGTGCCCTCCTGCCAGGGCTGTGCATATGCCCAGAGCTGCAGCAGCCTTTGGGGGGAAATTGCAGATTAGACCAGGCATGGTGCTGGGCCTCCACGAGACAGCTGTGCGGAAGCTGTGATGCCCTTCTCTTGCCTAATTCCACCCTTCTGTTTTCACTTGCTGTGCGTCCTGCTAAATTCCCTTCTCAGGCTAAAAGTTTCCATCTCTGGGCTTGGCCCCAAAGTGAAATTCTCTGGAAACTTTCAGCTGAGTTCACTTAGCTATTGTTGAGTGAAAGGTAGGTGGGGGAGGAGACGATTTGGGTTCAGCTTAGTTTTGATACTGCAAATGCAAGTGCGGCGAGACCTAGAACTTTCCCCTTGGCTGCTGGGGTTTCAGTTGGGGTCAGGGAGGCAAATGGGGTCATGAAGACAGCTTTGGGCTGGGATTGGGACCCCTTGGGTCCTAGTCCTGACAAGGTAGGTCCTGCCTCAAAGCCCTGCTGGTCAAGTTGCTTTATCTCTCCAGGACCTATTTGCTAATTTTCAAAGCCAAATCTTTTGAAGAAATTATCTCTAAGGTTCTTTGCGCATAGCCCTGATGTTTGCTGATTGATGCCTTAATCTCATGATATGATTTTTGTTTGAAACAAACCCTGCTTTTCTCTGTGTGTGGGCAGCCATCAGAAGGTTCTAGCTTCTGTAGATGCCTGTGCGGTGCTGTCAGCCTCCAAATCATAATCAACCATGTGGCTGGGCCACAAAAGTCTCAGACTTGGCCTGATGGAAATCAGGCAGCTGTCCTGGAAGGAATGAGCTTTGCTCTGCCCGCTCTTCCTCTCCTGTTTGTTTGGTTTTACTCTTGTTCTGCGTCAGGGATGAGTTGGTTGGGAGAAGGGTACAAAACTTAGAGCCTAGATCTGCACATGTTGTTTGGTTTGGGAAATTAAAATATTTGGTTGATTTTAGTCCAATAATGTAATGTTTTTAGAAAGACAGGTTATTGGTCTGGATTCAGCTGATTTTTTTTTCTATCCTAGCATAAAAAGATTTTTAAAAATCCAGCAATTACAAAAAAAATTTGCAAAATGCCCTCTGTGAATTGGTTCCTCCTAAGTGGGTCTTCTGTAGGTGGGAGCTCTGAGGTGCAACTAAGATGAGCAGAAAGGGCAGGAGAAGAAGGGGAGACAGAGGCTGATGTAGGATTTTTATATCACTAGAAAGTTTTGTGGCTTCCATGCCATTTCTGGGACATAATTGGAAACTGCCTAAAATGTGCAGGGAAAGAGGAGGAAGGGGCTGTGAAGCTCCCCTTCCCTAGAGACCCTAAAAGCAAGTAGGTCCACCGGTATCCCTTGGGTTTCTTAGTCATCCTGTCTGGAGGCAGAGGGAAGGATGAAATGACCTCTGGAGGGCATATTAATGCAAATGGGAAGATGAACCAACCCATCTGGCTGAGTAGTAAGATCACCTGTGAGAGTGGAAACGTTTGCAAGTTGCCTCTCCCTGGCTGGTAGCCCATCTCTTTCCTTCAATCTCTCTCTTTTTTTTTTTCTAGTCCTGGATCAAGAATCTGTCATTCAGATTATTCCAGAGCCCCTGCCCCAGTTCTACTTATGCCTCCTGGATGCTGAGCTGACAGGCGTGGTGAGGCTCTGGCAAGCTTCTGCCTTCACACCCATTCCCCCAAGCTCACTGTCTTACTTTGCTCTTGGGAATCTTGTCTACATTTTAACAAACATCAGTTCACATAGCAGATTTGAAGCAATGAGGGACAGGCTGGGGAGGGGAGATGTTCTGGGATGGGAGATGCTTCTCATTTACCCTGTGGGTACCTGCCTTTTGGCTGGTCCTGAAACTGTCAGTATTCATCGTTACCATTCATTGAGCAGCTATTATGTGTGGGGCTCTGTACTGTCCTCTGAGGGTATTATCCACATTTTCCAGCTGGAGAAACTGAGATTCTTGCCTAAAGTCACAGCTTTGGTGAGATGCAAAACAGGGATGGAAACCTAGATTTGTCTGGCTTCAAAGCCTGTGCTCTTACCCAGCATACTCAACCATTTATTGGTGGCCAATGGTCATGAGCAGTTACCAGGATACCCTGTACTTATTGCTGTGTTCCTGGACTGGTGCTAAGTGCTTTAACTGGATTCCTACATTCAATTGGCCGCTGTTACACTCACAGCTTTGGTGGAGTTAGTCCTCAGATCTGAGCTGCGTCTTCCCCATGGGGCTGCAGCCCTCAGAAGGCCTCTTGCTGCCCAGGGCCACAGCGTGACTTCTGTGGGCACTTCGCCCTCATGAGTCCTACCCCTGGAGAAAAATATTAAAATTTATACTTTATGACTACATTGGCATAAAAACAAATGTAATTCCGGCTGGATTCATGATTGTATACTCATTTGTATTCTATTCATTTTTTCTTCTGATTTTTGAAAGACAACTAAAATAAAAACATTTTTGAGGGCCCCTAGAAATATTGTGGCTTCTAGGCACTGCACTGTGCCTCATGGAGAAGTACGCCCTGCGTGCTGGAAGTGATGGGCAGTCCTAAGAGTCTTGTCCTGGGAACTCCTCTGGACCCAGCAACCTCTGCTGCCACCTGACCTAGAGCCCAACCCCACTCCTTCAGCCGAGCAGCCCTAAGGTAAGGGAAAACCAGGATTGCCTCTGCCCTCTTACTCCACCCCTTCCACCTTCTCTCAAAGTCCTTCCAAGCCTCGTAGACAATCAGCAAAAGAAAGTCACCCCTCTAGGCCCTTTTAAAGACCATTTAGGCCCCCTCTGCCTCCCCAGCACAAGCTCTTTGATTTCATCTCCTTCTCTTCCCTGTTTGGAAACAGCTGACTTTTAGGAACTGCAGTGACCAGGGCAACTCACCCCACTTCCCAGGAAAGTCCCTCTTTCCTTCTCTCAGAGAAAGATTGGAGGCTGCTCTGGGATTAGTGCTGCCGGCTCCCTCCCCGAAGGCTTTGTACCCTGCAGCAGTGGGCTCCCAGGGCCTCCATAGGGAGAAGTGCCTTCTCTGCTCAGCCTTGACTTCAGAGGGGCCCAGGGTGGGAGTGGGAATGGAGGGCTCCATTTCTTACTTCATTCCTCCATAGTATATGGCTAAGTATTCAAGAATTATAAGCAAAGCTGCAAACTTGTATGTTCTTTCTTTCATCCTTGACAAAATACTGTTAACCAAACTGAAATGAAGCCAGGTAAGATGTAAGATATTGGCATTTATTTGGGGGGTCTTAGGAATTGTAATTTGGGAGACATAATACCTTTTATGACAACCTAGAAAATCAGCTTCTAAATTTAGAACTTCAGACTCTGCAGATACCTGAGCTGGAATATACTGGAGCAGGGAGGACTGTCCCTCGCCCCCGCCCACCCCTCTGCTCCTCCTACCCAAGCCCCCAATTTGAATCTAGAGTGTCTGTGTGCACACAAGGGTAGGAGTGGTGGTGGTGCCAGCTCTTGCAGCCCAGCCTTGCTGCCCCTTCAGTCTAGGGGTGTGTGTGTGTGTGTGTGTGTGTGTGTGTGTGTGTGTGTGTGCGCGCGCTAGAGGGGTGGTTGGCTCCAATCTTGCAGGGGGACACCCTGGGCAGAGGCCCAGACAGGAACCCAGAGTGTGTGGTTCAGAAGGAAGCCCTGAGCTTTGGTCTGGTATCTTCTCTTGGGCCTGTGAAATCCTTGCCCTGTGAAGAGCCCCAAGGCCAGAGGAAGGCCAGAGTGGGGCCTCTAAAGAATGGCCCAGTCCAGGAACCCCTGTTGTTTGGCTTTGAGGGAGGCGCTGTCCTCAGCCTCTGCTGTCTGGCTATCAATTTAGATCTGCTGACTCAGCTTATGAGGGGTTTGTTCATGTCTTAGGGCATGTGGCAGTGGTGGCCTTTTGTTACACATGATTGACTCCCACATCCTGGAATGGAATAGAACACATTGTTAAAACTATTGATGAGTGAAGTTGTAAAAAGCAAGTTGAAAAAGAGGCAAACTCCTAAGTACAATAAAGTAGCCTTTTCCCTAATATTGTTGGCAGATGGAAAATTGGTAATTTCATAATCAAAGCTTTATTAGGACATTTCTTGTGACATGTCCACTTAAGTTAAACCCTACAAGGATATGAATAACTCTCAAGTTTCATGCCAACTCTTATTACTTTGTAAATTGAGGAAAACACCATGAGTGCTGAGTGACGAAAGTTGTTGCTTTTTAATCCATACCAAGTTACTGGAACCAGAAAAATCCCTTAGTTTGTCATTCTAACACTCCCATCATCATTCTAAAATCTAAGCCTCCCTGCATCTTCCTCCCATACGGATGCAAAATGGAGAGAATACCAAGTTTCATGCTCAACTTTTTTCTTCTGGAAGAATTACTTTCTAGTTTCCTTAACCAGTTAATTCAACCATAATGACTGGGTACCTACCATGTGTCCAGCACCTGGCCGGTACTTAGAATGCAGTGGTGAATAAGACAGGTGTCCTTGCCCTCATGATGTTTACAGAACCATTTTTTAAATAACAGCAGTAAAATCCTTACTTTTCTGACAAACCACACATTTGAATTTAAACACAGAGAGGCTTTCTCTAGTAGCCAGGTTTCACTTTAGCAATATACTGGCATAAAAGGTTCTCAGAGGCTGCTGTCTGAAAGGATAAGTATCCCTGGGACCAAATCCTCTAGGCACTCGAGAAGCCAAGAGTGTCTATGCATCCCAGACAGGGGAGCAGACTTGACCACCAACTCACCCTGTCACTTGGAAAAAGTCATTTTCTGTCTCTGAGATGCAGTTTTCTGACCCGTGCAGCAGGATAGCTGGCCTAGATGATTCCCAAACTCCCCTTCCACCATGACATTTCAATGACAAACATTTTTAAAAATAGAAAATAAACAGTATTTTAAGCACAGGCCCTAAGTGACTTCATTGAGCTCACCTTGAACTGCCCCGCACCAGAAGCAGTTTGGCTCTTCCCTATCAGCCAACTCTGTCTGATCAGAATCTCCTGTTGTTTTTGAACTGGTTTGGAAACTGCAAGCAGGATGAATCCCAGCTGCTCATGCCCTTTGGGACTTCCCAGACCCCTCTGGCTGGAGAATGTAACCCAAGACTCTTGTTCTTGTATCTATGCCAGCCCTTGTCATACCGTAGTGGCCAATCTGTCTCCCACCAGATTAATCCATTTATTGCACCAATATTTATTGAGAGCTCGGTGGTGTCAGGCATTATTCTAGCTACAGTAGGGAATATAACAAAGCCCCTTTCTGCATGCAGCTTACATTCTAAAAGGAAGGGAGAAGAGGGAGAAATAAACCTGCACCCCCCCACCCATAATTTGATGTCATGAATGGTAAGTAGTATTATAAGGACTAGAGAAACAGAGTAAGGGGAACAGCATGAAGCAGAGTGCTGTTTTAGCTTGGATGATCAGGGAGGCCTTTTTGAGGAGCTGACTTTGGACATAGCCCTGAAAGAAACAAGGGCACGAGCCACGCTGCTCTCTGGAGGAAGAGTGGTTTAAGGAGGGAAAACAGCAGGAGCAAAGGCCCTGAGGTGGGAGCATGCTGCCTGGGCTCTAGAACAGCAAGATGGCCAGTGCAGTTGAAACTGGGAGCAGTGAAGGGGAGAATGGCGGGCAGGAGGCTGGAGGTCAGATCATGCCGGGGGAACAATGAGCATGGATTTTGTCTGAGGTGTGATGGGAAGTCTTTGGAGGATTTGAGGAAGGGAATAAATATGATCTGATTTGGGTTTTAAAAGGATCACCTGGTTGCTGTGTATAGAAGACACTGAAGTGAAACAAAGATGGAAAAGCAGGGGACCAGTTAGGACAGGGGACCCCAGTTCCCAAGCCATAGAGGTATCAGTCCATGGCCTATTAGGAACCAGGCCACAGAGCAGGAGGTGAGTGGGGGAGGGGGTGAGCAAACATTACCACCTGAGCACCACATCCTGTCAGATCAGTGGTGTCATTAGATTCTCATAGGAGCACAAACCCTACTGTGAACTGTGCATGTAAGGGACCTAGGTTTGTGCTCCTTATGAGAACCTAATGCCTGATGATGTGAGATGGAACAGTTTCTCCCCCTACCCCCACACCTGGTCCACCATGAAACTGGTCCCTGGTGCCACAAAGATTGGTGATATGGTTTGGCTGTGTCCCCACCCAAATATCATCTTGAATTGTAGTTCCCATAATCCCCATGTGTCACAAGAGGGACCCAGTAGGAGGTAATTGAATCACGGGGGAGGTTTCCCCCATGCTATTTTTGTGATAGTAAGTTGTCTTGAGATCTGATGGTTTTATAAGGGGCTTCCCCCTTTGCTCGGCTCTCATTCTTCTCTCTCCTGCTGCCTTCTGAAGAAAGATGTGTTTGCTTTCTCTTCTGCCATGATTTTAAGTTTCCTGAGGCCTCCTCAGCCCTGCAGAACTGTGAGTCAGTTAAATCTCTTTTCTTTATAAATTACCCAGTCTTGGGTATGTCCTTGTAGCAGCATGAAAAAGGATTAATACAGTTGGGGACCACTGAGTTAGGAGAGGATCATGGAGACTGGTGGGAGATGATGGCTTGGTTGAGGAGAAGGTGAGACGTACTTGGAATCAGGTATACGAATGCAGGCACAGACCATGCATTATTTGCCTGAGATGGGCTCTGGCCCAGAACAGATGCTCAGAAGAAGGGAAGATGAAAGTGGAGAGCTGTGGTCAGGGTTGAGAGAGGGAGAAAAGTGGAGAACACTGATACAGCTCTGGCAAGCCCACCTCTGAGGCTCTGTCTGCATTGCCTATACCTGTTTGTTTGCCCTTGATGTCTACATTCTACAAATACCTTGTTTTGGTTGAATCTTTTGTTGTTCAACCTGGCAGGCTTCTATTCCTGAACCTATTGTTTTGTCCCTATATGACCCCTTCCTGCTAAGAACAGCGCTGTCCTTTTGGGGCCTGCCCCTCCCACCCCATTGCTTTAATGTCTGCATCACCTCGGATTTGCTGGACCTTTCTTTTCTCTTAGGACCTCACTGCTTGCTCATGGAGACTGATCCTCTGTGTCTGCTGCCACAGTCACGCTGCTGCCCATGGGTTCCCTCCTGTGGGATGAGTTTTGAGCTCCAACATCACCTCTACTGCTTCTGCTGTGGCCAACCTGATCCAACCTGATCCTCAGATGCCTCCCCATTCTAGTCTCTGCTGAAGTGCCACACTGCTTTCCTTGCTTCTTTGATGCCTTTGGTAGGGACTGCCCCAAGATGCCAAGCAAGGCTACAGCCCAGCAACATGGGGAGATAGTGCCTCATGTAGAAAACTTTGACCTATGAAAGACAGGAGATGCGAGGGATCCAGCAGACAATTTTTTCTCTTTTCTTCTATGGGATGGAAGATTCTCAGGGGCAGTGATTATGCCTCGGATGTGTGAAGACATCCTCTGTGAATCAGAAACTGGCTGTGTCCCTTTGTGGAGCTGTGGGTAGCTTGGAAATGCATTCCTTGCATTCACCCCTTTCCTTTCTCTCTTGAGAGAGTGAGAAGTCTTTGCCTTGAGATTGTGCCTCCTAATAAGCCTTATCACTTAAGTGGTGACTCTGGCACCGTTTTCTTGGACACTCCCCAACCATGTGACTCTAGTAGGTTTTGTCAACCAGTTCCCTGGTCCCTTGGCCATGGAGGTGGACACTGACCCAAGCTAGACTGATAGAAGCCCTTACCTTTTGTCTTTTAAATTGGATTAGAAGAAAAACAGTTGTTCCCTTCTGGCATTGAGCCCAAAGATGCGAGTCTAAGAGCTGCTCAGGACAATTTCCCAAGGAATGTGGAGGAAGCCTGTCTGGGGGAAGGAAGCTGGCTTGTAGAGAGGAGCAGAGATGAGCAACACAGACAGTTCTGGATCCAATTGCTCTGAGACCCAGCTGCGCCCTGCCCTTCCCACAGTTTCCTTCTGTGAAGAACAAATTCTTTCTCCTTCCTGGCTAGTTTGATTGAATTTCTGTCATTTGCTCTATTAGTCAGGGTTCAGGCAGAAAACAGAAACCACTCTGAGTGTGTTACATAGCAAGAGTTGAACACAAGGAATTGGTTATGCAGAGACGGGAGAGCTGAGAAACCAAATGGGAATTAATGACATGGAAGCTTCCAAGACTCCTCCCTAGGGCTGAGGAATAAGGGGGAGGTGGTTTTACTGGCCACCAGGATGGGGCCACCTGCAGAAGCTAAGACCATGGCTGGCCTGTGTGGTGGGAGCTAGGGCCATGGAGCAAGGCTGACACTCCCTGAGATGCTGCCCAGAGCAGAAAGAGAGTGGCAGAAACAGCGTGGCCTCCCTCTTCCTTCAGCCTTCTGTCATGCCTCCCATTGGTCAAAGCTATCCTGAAGTCAGCAAGCAAGAAAGCCTAAGAAATATAGTATTCTGCAGTGCAGAACAGGGCAGAAATGAACTAGCATGCAGACCAAACAGGCAAATGACCAACACAGTGGCAGTCTAAGAGTCAGTTTATTCTGCAGTGCCTGCTTTTAACTGTGAACCAGAGAGCCAAGACTCAGTCTGAAGCCCTGTCTGTAGCTCGACACTGTGTCATAGCTCACAAGTTCATCACAAAGTTCTGGTGATGACAGCAATTATGGTGATGGTCCCTAAGAAGTCCTGCTCCTTTGGAGGTATGAATTGATTCCCCAGCGCATATTTTAAAGCCTTTACTCCTACATAGGGTATCCACAGGAAGTTGAGTTCATTACTTAGATATTCAGTTGAGCCACAGAGAGAACCAGGTGTAGCTTCAGAATTTCCATAACCAATAATCTCCTACCAGCACGGCCGCAGGAAGTCTCCTGAATTTCAACCCAGGGGTTGATCAGAGCTGCTTGAGTGGCCAAGACAGAGGTACTAAGCTTGCTAAGCTATGCTGGGTGCATTTGGAGTTCTCCCTAGCCTCCAATCTAAATTCCTTCCCCTGTATTGTCAGGTCACCCATGGGAGACCTAGGATAGGATTATCCAGAAGATCATGCAGGATTTTGAAAAAAGGAAAGAGCATTATTTTTGAATTTGAACTGAGCATGGACTTAGAAAGCTCTGCTGATGTGGCCAAGGAGGGGCAGGAATGGGGGTCATGTGATGGATTTTCAGACTCTGGAGTGACCGGAATGACTCACTGGAGGCCATCCAGGCCATGGGGTTTGAGGTCCAGTAGTGGTCAGCAAAGAAGTTCCTGGGAACCTAATGGGGACAATTTGGGGTTTTGCAGATCATCTGAACCGAGGTTGTTTCACATATGTTGGAGAACATGCAGCTCTCTATATGTCTATATTTTAAAGTAAATAAAAGATTCCCTGAGCAAACCACATGGTATTGGATGGGCTCAGACTCCTGTTCCGAAGCCTCTGCTTTCTGGCTTTACAGGAGCCTGTGGTGACCACTCTGGGCTGGGAGTCCGTGTGCTGGGTCAGCTTCTGGCTCCTGCTGAGGATTCGCTATAGCACCAGTGGACAGGCAGCTTGTCATGCGTGGGCTTAGTTCTACCTTTCCGTGAAACAGGTGGAGCCGGGGATCATTGGGTGTTGTGAGAGTAGATGAAATTTTTGCTTAGTATTGTGGGTTGAATAGTGTCCCCTCAAATTCATATGTTGAAGTCATAACCCCCAGCACCCCAAAATGGGACTTGGAAATAGGGTCCTTACAGAGGTAATCAAGTTAAAGTGAGGTCATCAGGAGTGGGTCCTAGTCCAATATGACTAGTGTCCTTATAAAAAAGAGAAATCTGCACCCAGTGACACATGTAGAAGGAAGATGACATGAAGGTGGTCATCCACAAGCCAAGGAGAGAGGCCTGGAGCAGATTCTTCTCCCATGTCCCTCAGAAGGAACCAATCCTGCCAACCATTGATTATAGACTTCGAGTCTCCAGAACTGAGGGAACCAGGGGCTGCAGAAAGAAGCCAGAGTGGGAGAGAGGGATGAGGCAATAACTTCCAGTGAGAAGAGCGTGGGAGATGCCCTTGTATCAGGATCTTGGGACTTGAGAATCACCCCTTCCTCACTTTAATTTCTAAGACCAACTCCTTTTCTAGTTAGACGACAACTAACATCTACTCTCTTTTCCTAGCTATTGTGTTTTCAGCCCCTTTCTTCCTTGCCTACTTACATGATCATGGGTGTATTAGGCTGTTCTTGTATTACTATAAAGAAATACCTAAGAGTGGGTCATTTATAAGGAAAAGAGCTTTCATTGGCTCACTGTTCTCTAGGCTTTACAGGTGGTGTGGTGCTGACATTGCTTAGCTTCTGGGGAGGCCTCAGGAAGTTTACGATCATGGCAGAAGGGGAAGGGGGAGCAGGTACATCACCTGGTGAAAGCAGGAGCAAGAGAGGGAGGGGGAGGTGCCACACTCTTTTAAAAAACCAGCTTTCGAGAGGTCAGTCGCTATTGTGAGGACAGCACCAAGGGGATGGTGATAAACCATTAATAAGAAATCCATCCCCGTGATCCAATCACCTCCCACCAGGCCCCACCTCCAACACTGGGGATTATAATTCAACATGAGATTTGGGTGGTGACACAGATACAAATCATATTCATGGAAAAATCACCTTGAACCTTATTTCCAGTACCATCTTTCTCATTTCACTTGATAGCATGCTTATTAGAATGAAATTCACTGATGTTCATGCAAGTGCTTAGAAACTGTAAAAAGGCTGGGTGTGGTGGCTCACGCCTCTAATCCCAGCACTTTGGGAGGCCAAGGTGTGCAGATCACCCGAGGTCAGGAGTTCGAGACCAGCCTGGCCAACATGGTAAAACCCTGTCTCTACCAAAAATACAAAAATCAGCCACCAGGCGTGGTGGCGCGTCCCTGTAGTCCCACCTTGGGAGGCTGAGGCAGGAGAATCACTTGAATCCAGGAGGCGGAGGTTGCGGTGAGCTGAGATCACGCCAGTGCACTCTAGCCTGGGCGACAGAGTGAGACGTGAGAGTCCATCTCAAAAAAAAAAAAAAAAAAAAAGAAAAAACAGTAAAGGATTCAGTCTTACCTGTCCTTCAGTATCAAGGTTGAATATCATCTCTTGTCACACCACTCCATTGAGCAGGAATTAATCACATTACGTTTCCTTCTCTCAAGGATTACATCACAGTCTCCTTTAAATTGTAATTATTTGCTGTCAGACTGTGAGCCTCATAAAGACAGGATAAACGTTTCACTCAGGGTTGAATCTCTAATGCCTGCCACATCATGGGTGATTAGAAAATGTGTTTCACATTAACTAACAAAGACTTCAGGCAGAGCATGGCCCTGATCAGTCCCCAGTGGCTCAGGCTGCAGAGCTGTGCCCTGGAGCTGGTCCAGGCATGGGTGGAGAAAACACAACTCAGATTTCTAGACTCATGAGAGGCCCCCCTTTCCAGCTCAGCTTCGCCCAGCAGCATGGCCCCCTCCTACAACTTAATCCATTGTGACTTGAAGGCAGCAGGCTTGACTAGTGTGTCCATTTCGGCAGGCAAACATATAATTTCAGGTCATGTCCGGTGCCATTTGGAAGGAAGCTCAGGTTTCCCTAAGTGGAAACAGCATGCTCTGAAAGTAATTATGGGCCAGGAAGCATGTTCTGGAGTGAGACCCAGCATATCTAAACAAAGGTTACCCTTCCTGCCTGGTGACAGGACAACCCAGGGAGGACATAACCAGTCCCAGTTAATCCCAATATTATCCTAGGAGGGCATGCATCCTGCCGGGAGGAGCAGGCCAGACTGGCACTGGGATATCTGCCAGGATTCTGGATGCCCGTTATTTTTGGGTTTTGGTTTACTATGGGCTCCCTGGGGTCACTCTTTTCCATGCTAGGACCTCAGAAACAGAACATGATGAGCTCCTTCTTAGAAGTGGTGGGACCTTGGAAAATTGCTTCTCCTCTCTGTTTCTGTCATCATGAGGAAATTGAACTAGATAACCTCTGACCAATTAATTGTATGCTGGTAAAAGTTTAACACCAGCTCTTTGGAATAAAAAAGCTCTGGCTGGGTGCAGTGGCTCACACCTGTAATTCCAGCACTTTGGGAAGCCGAGGCAGGTGGATCACCTGAAGTCAGGAGTTTAAGACCAGCCTGGCCAACAAGGTGAAACCCCGTCTCTACTAAATATACAAAAAGAATTAGCTGGGTGTGGTGGCAGGTGCCCGTAATCCCAGCTACTTGGGAAGCTGAGGCAGGAGAATTGCTTGAACCTGGGAGGTGGAGGTTGCAGTGAGCCAGGATCACACCACAGCACTCCAGCCTGGGTGACAAGAGCGAGACTCTGTCTTAAAAAAAAAAAAAAAAAAAGCCCTGATTTGTGGTGTCTACTGATTTCTGCAATGTGAATACTTTCATCCTGGCCAGTTTCAAGCTACAACGTGATGTCATTGAATGCAAACTTGGGTGAGATGCACCCACTTGGCTGCTGAGAGCTGGTATGAATGGTAGGAGCCAGCCCCAGAATATTACTGCTTCTAACTCTGACATCTGCAAATTTCTTCCACTATTATCCAGATAAGTGTCATCCAGTATTCATCTGCTATATTACAGATGCAATACAGCATCTATATTACATATATAGATATTTATCTGTACCTGTATGGGTATAACCAGAGCTGGCTACATTATTTGCTGGCCCTAGTACAAAATAAAAATGTAGTCCCCTTCTTCAAACAGCAGGAAAAAAATGCCATTAAAGGTTTTAAAATTTAAAGTTTTTTCCTTTCTTTCATGGTTCCTCATGGTGTTTTAAAGTTGCTATTTAATGTAGTTCTACGTGAATAAACACTTAAAAATGAAATTATTACCATCAATTTTACTATTCTTTATATTGTAAAATGCCAGTTTTTGATGCAAATATAGTGTTTAATTAGTAGAATCACTGAAATGACATAATTATATTTCATAGCTCATTCATGACTATATGACAGTGGAAACTCACAAAACTAACTACTGTTTGCCATAATGGTAGGCATGCGTGGTCCCTTATCTCCTCTGCTCACGTGCATTCTCATGTCCCATTAGATTCCAGTTCCAAACACAGAGATAAAATTAGTACAAATTTCAGGATGGTCAGAGCAGAGTAGCAAACCAAATATAGACCCTTGTAAGTTCAGGGTCTATATTCAAGTGACTGTGGAGGTCACACCCAGGAAGCTGGATTTGGGAGTACCATGTTTATATATGGGGTCCATTCTGATTAGTCATTCCACTTCTTTTTTTTTTTCTCTTGAGACAGAGTCTCACTCTGTTGCCTAGGCTGGAGTAAGGGGCACGATCTCGGCTTACTGCAGCCTCCGCCTCCCGAGTTCAAGCGATTCTCCTGCCTCAGCCTCTCCAGTAGCTAGGACTACAGGCGTGCACCACCGTGCCCAGTTAGTTTTGTATTTTTAGTAGAGACGGGATTTCACCGCATTGGCCAGGCCGGTCTTGAACTCCTGACCTCAAGTGATCCACCTGCCTCGGACTCCCGAAGAGCCGGGATTACAGGAGTGAGCCACCATGCCTGGCCTTCACTTCTTGATATGCACATATCCTATCAACTCTCTCTCCCTTCAGTTTACTGATGAGTAAGAAAGGACTGAAAGGAAAAATATCTATGGATTGTGCTATCTTGTTTTTCCATCTATGTTATCATTTTCAGCATAAATAAATGGTTGGTTCATATAGGGAATCAAGACAAGAAAGAAAAGGATATGATAGGGACTCTTCATTGTTTATGTTTCTAAAAGTCATTTCAAAGCAGGTTGGTTTGAATGGGAAATGTAGACTTTTGGAGCTACGACTCCCATATTACTCAGTCATAGGTGTTACACACTTACCTTATACTTGCTTTGAATGTTGCTGAACTGCCAGGGATCCTGAGTCTACCGGGATTCTGTACTCATGGGGCACTGCAAATGCTATATGTCAATGGGTTGGCAAGCAATGGTAGGCACATGTGGTCCCTTATCTCCTCTGCTCGTGTGCATTCCCATGTCCCATTAGATTCCAGTTCCAAACATAGAGATAAATTAGTTCAAATTTCAGGATGGTCATAGCAGAGTATCAAACCAAATATAGACCCTTGTAAGTTCAGGGCCCCAAGTGACTACAGAGGTCACACCCAGGAAGCTGGATTTGGGAGTACCACTGTTTGTGTATGGGGTCCATTCTAACTAGTAATTGACAGTGCTCCCCCTGCCCCACCCACCATTCGTATATGGAAATCCTAACCCCCCAAGATGATGGTATTAAGACTGCTGATTCCTTCATCTTGGACTTCCCAGCCTGCAGAACTGTGAAGAAAAAATTTCTGTTGCTTATGGGCTGCCCAGTCTATGATATTTGTTATAGCAGCTTGAACAGACTAAGAAAGGTGTCCTAGGAGAGAAGATGAATGTGACTCAGCCCTGCCCTGCAGAAACATCAAATTCTGTTGCGTTGTCAAAAGTATGTTGTTCAAAAATGAGAAGCAACAACACAGGACAAAACTAGAGAAAACAGCTCTAAGTCAGTGGTTCTCAGATTTAAATGTTCATCAGATCCCCGAAGCATTGGATAAAAACCCATATTTACTGATGGGGCTCTGATTCACTTTGGAGTGAGAGTGAGGTAGCCTCGGAAACCCTTCTCCTGTAACCCCTCATGTTTCTGCAGCAGAGGGTCAACCCACCTCGGTTTGAGAAGCACTACTACAAAGAAAGTGAATTTTGAAAGGAGGGAGAGACCACAGGCTTAGCAGAGAGTAGGGCTCAATAACTGTTCAATAAATTGAGTGAAATAACTAAAGAAAGAAAGAAGAACCGAGAAGCCCGAGGTCTTCAGGGAGAAGTTTTAAGAAGTCGTGTAATTTTAGCTTCCTATTCAGGTCTATGCTTTATATGCAGGACCTATGCCAGGGCTGGGGAGTAGAGGGCCAAGTTCATGCTTGTTTAATGAGAGAGGCCCCCCAGAGTCCAAGGACTCATGGAGACTTGAGGGCAGAGAAGTTGAGATCTCAGATCCTCCATGCACCTTGCATGGGGTCAAAGCCCTCTCCTAGTTAGGCTGGCTCCAAAGTCACAAGGGGGTCTTGAGTAAGACTCCTTTCTGCAGGGAAATCCAGGCAGACCATGTTGGGAGCTCTCAGGTGTGGGGGAGGGTGGAGTGGGGAGTCTCAGAGCCTGACGATGCAGTAGGTTTAAGGAGGACGGCACACTTTTCAACTCTGACTCCCCTCCCAGGCCTTCAGGGAGGGAGCTCCTAGCTGCTCCATCACCTGTTCCTGCATCTCACCAGGGAAAGTCAGGAACTAAATCCACGTGGATTTGGCTGTCTGGGGCACAGAAATGTCACCTGGGTCAAATGCCTGCTCCCTGCTCTCCAGCCGGAAGGCTCCGTTCCCTTCTTGGAACTCCTAGAGCCTTTTATCTTTGCCTCTGCCTCTAAGACATTTGTTGCAGCCAACCTTGTGACTTGGGTGGCTTGTTTTCTGCTGGTAAGTAGGGCCTGGTGATTTATCTCCACTCACCTTTCTCCACTCATACCCCTTGTGCTTATTTAGCATAGAGCTGTTTGGGCAGGTATTGCAACTCACAGTTGTGGAATGAAGGCTGGAAAGCCTGTGCCCTGAGCTTCTGCCTCAGGCAGCAGGGCAGGCTGATGGGCTTTGCGGGGCTCTCTGTATGACAGGGCTTCATTTTTCAGGGTCTCATGGTACAGGCACCAATACATGACCACAGATGCCATGCAGCGGAGGTCAGGAATAGTCTCGAGCAGGTCAGCTGTTTGCTGAGCTGGAAGAGGGTTGTTGAAAGGCACATCCTGTCCCCAGTGGATCTCCAGATGGAAAGGGATCCAATCCCGACAAAGGATGGAGTGGAGACCATAGCAACAGGGGCTGTGATGAAACCAGAGCTGCTGTGGGGTCCTGCCATGCAACCAGCTGAGTCCCAATTTTTTCATCTGTCAAATGAGAACAATAATTGGAAAATAGAAGAAGCATGTAGAGGGCTTGGTGGCCTGCTATGTCCGCTTTTGGCATCTACCTGCTCTTTCCTGCCTCTCTTTGCCTCAGGGCATCTGGGGACTCATTGCATCCCCTTCCTGCACAAGGACACATCCAGCAAAACCCCCTCAGGCCAGACTTTCCCCTTCCCTTTGCTTTCTGTCCAATCAGAACTACAACAATAACAACTTGTATTTAATGAGCACTTACTGTGTACTCTGCATTTTACTAAGCCCTTGACGTATACAAACTCATTTAATCTTCATGGCAACCCAGTGAGGTAGGCATCCCTATTATCTCCATGCATTAAATGAGGAAACTGAGGCTGAGAGAGGGAAAGTAATTTGCCTGAGGTTGCACAGTTAGGAATAGTCTGAAGAATAGTCTGTGAAAGCAGGTTTGTTTGACATCATGGTTTGTGATATTAGCCACCACACTTCACCAGCTTCCTGAATTACTTCCCCATGTTGAGTTCTGGAGCTGTAGATCCCTGTTGGTTTCTGGCTGGTTTATTTTCAAGCTGTTTGGAGATAAGAGTCTGGCACTTAATGTGATAGTCTTTGGCATTTTAACTGACCCCTTGGGCTTGTGGCCCTACTGCAGTAGGAACAAGATGCTGTAATGCTGGAATGCAAAGCTGGGGGTGAGGTTCCTAGGGCTCATGCTTGAGATCAGCCCCTCACCATTCTCCCTCTTTACTCCTTGGGGCAGTCGTCTCCTCTTTGCCTCCATCTCTGAGCCCTATTCCCATGCAGTGGGTCTTGTGTTGATGGCATGTAGAATGCATGAAGTGGTTCCTGACCTTGGGCTTCTGGCACAGACGCTGGCTGAGACCTGTTTAAACTGCCTGTTGACCATAGGGACAGAGCTCAGTTGGACCAAAGGCTTCCACCTTGGCTTCCAGATCCATGGAATCTTCCGGCCTCTTTGGCCATTAGGTTCAGGCCGCCTTCCAGCTGAGTGAGTATAGGCAGGGGGTCGGCATCCCTGTGGCTGATAGAACTGGAGATGCTCCGACCTTGGGGCTTTCATATGAGGCTGATGTTGCAGAAGGTCATGGCTTCTGTGAGGCACTGATTGGAGACCATGATTCCTTCCATTCCCCTTGCTGGGGGCTGTGTGGTCGGACATGTGGCAGCGGTGCCGTCAGCTTGCACCTCCAACAGATGTCTGTGGACCTGCGATTTCATCTGGGGGACAAGCTATGTAATATCGGGCCTGAGTTTTCATTTGTGGGACAAGCTGTGTCATATTGGGCCTGTGATTTCATCTGGGGGACAAGCTGTGTTATATTGGGCCTGTGATTTCATCTGGGGGACAAGCTGTGTCATATTGGGCTTGCGATTTCATCTGGGGGAAAAGCTGTATCATATTGGGCCTGTGATTTCATCTGGGGGACTAGCTATGTAGTATTGGGCCTGAGTTTTCATCTGGGGGGCTAGCTATGTAATATCGGGCCTGATTTTACATCTGGGGGACTAGCTGTGTCATATTGGGCCTAAGTTTTCATCTGGGGGACTAGCTATGTAATATTGGGCCTGAGTTTTCATATGGGGGACTAGCTAATGTAATATTGGGCCTGTGATTTCATCTGGGGCACTAGTTGTGTCATATTTGGCCTAAGTTTTCATCTGGGGGACTAGCTATGTAATATTGGGCCTGAGTTTTCATCTGGGGGGCTAGCTGTGTCATATTGGATTTTCTTCTGGGGGATAAGCTGTGTCATATTGGGCCTGCGTTTTCATCTGGGGGACTAGCTCTGTTATATTGGGCCTGCATTTTCATCTGGGGGACTAGCTGTGTCATATCAGGCCTGTGATTTTATCTGGGGGACTAGCTGTGTCATATCGGGCAGATCCATTCACTGCTTTTTGCCTGGGTTTTCTTGTCTGTAAGGAGGGGATGATGTGTCTGCTCTACTCACTCCCACGGGCTGCTGTGAACATACTTGGGAGATGAGAAACACATGTCGATGAGTGGAAAATGCTTAAAATCTAAACGAAGATAAATGAGGTAGCCATTGGATACAGAGTCATGATTTAGACACTGAAGTCGTCGTTTGAGGGTTTCTACCCAGAGACCAATACAGTGTAATAGAGGTATATTGCACATTCATAGTTGGGTTATTAGTAAACACTGGTAAGATCATGATGCACAGCAGGTGAGAACAAACGGCTCACTCGTGGCTCATATTTGATCTACTGTATACTTATGCTTCTATTGTAAAGGATAGGTACTTTTTATAAAAGCTTAAGTAAGGCATTGTGCCTTGATAAAAGGCATACTTTTATATAGATTACACAAAGTAAAGAGTTGATGCAGCTCTTGTCCCTGCTGAAAATCCACATACATTCTCATTTTCTCATGGATATTAATTAAATGACCTTGGAGTAAATGTTCAGTCAACTGGAGGGCCTATGAAGGCGTGTGGAAAGGGAATGAATGAACCCTGGGCCATGGTAGGGCTGACCTGTGGGTTATGGTTCCCCTGCTTCCACGTCCAGGTTAAGAATGCTTCACCTTTTTTGACAATTTCTTTTTCTTTTTTAAACACATCATTGTTGATTGCCAGATCAATAAATAAGTATAATAAAGCTGTTTTTAAAATAGCTTTATCGAGGTATAATTGGCATGCAACAAACTGCACACATTTAAAGTGTACAATTTTATAAGTTTTGACACAGGTGTATACCCATGAACCCATCACTGGAATCAAGATGTTGAGCATATTTATTATCCCAAAAAGTTTCTCTGTGGCACTTTGTAACCTTTCTTTCTTGCTTCTCTCACCCACACAACCATGGATCTGCTTTACCTCTCTATAGGTTAGTTTGAGTTTCCTAGAATTTTATATAAATGGAATAATATACTATGTATGTTCTTTAGTCTGGCTTCTTTCACTCAGCATACTTATTCTGGGATTCATCCAGATTGTAGTATGTATTAGTAGTTCATTCCTTTTGATTGCTGAGTAGTATTCCATCATGTGAGTATATTATAATTTGCTTACCCATTCACCTGTTAAAGGACATCTGGGTTATTTCAAGTGTTTGGCTATTACAGATAAGGCTGCTATAAAAATTCAGTCAAGTCATTGTATGGACATATGCTTTTATTTCTTTTGGGTAAACATCCAGGAATGGAATGGCTGAATCATATGGTAGGTGTATATTTGACTTGTAAAATAACTGCCAAACTGCTTTCCGAAATGCTTGTCCTATTTTACAATCCCACCAACAGTGTTCCAGTTCCTCCACATCCTCACCACCACTTGATGTGGTCAGTCCTTTCCATTTTAGCTATGCTAATAATTATTTAGTGCTATGTCATTGTGGTTTTAATTTGCATTTCCCTAATGACTGATGAGGTTGAATGTCTTTTCATGTGCTTTTTTGCCATCCATGTGTCTTCTTTGGGAAAGTGTCTGTTTAGATATTTTTCCTGTTTTCTTTATTGGGTTGCTTATTTTCTTTATTGAATTTTGAGAGTTCCCTTTATAAATCTGGATACAAATCCATTATCAGATACATGATTTGTAAATATTTTTCTTGTAGTCTGTGCCTTGTCTTTTCATTCTGATTTTGAAGAGTAGATATTTTTACATTTGATGAAGTCCAATTTATCAATTAGTTCTACTATCACTTGTACTTTGGGTATTGTATGTATGAAGTCTTAAGAAACCATAAAGGTTTTTTTCTATATTTTCTATGTATATAGTTTTATATTTTATGTTTACATCTGCGATTCATTTTAGGTAAGTTTTTCATATAATGTAAGTTACTATTTTTGGTGTTCTTAATTCCTGGTGCACATTCATTCATATTTCCATCTGGTTTAATTTTTTTTTCCCAAAGGACTTTAATATTTCTTCTAATGTAGGTCTGCTGGTGTTAGATTCTTACAGTTTTTTATGCCTGAAAATTTCTTTATTTCGCTTTTTTTGGGGAAAGATATTTTCACTAGGTATAGAATTCCAGTTGATATTTTTTCTTTTGACACATTAAAGATATTGCCCTACAGCCTTCCCTCACATACTGTTTTAAGATGAGACATCTGCTGTCTTTACTTTGGCTCTTTTGTTCATAATGTACCTTTCTTTTGCTGTTTTTTAGATTTTCTCTTAATCACTGGTTTTGAGCAATTTGATTATGAGGTGTGATATTCCTCATATTCTTTTGCTTGGCATTCATTGTGTTTTCCGGGTTTGTGGGTATATAGTTTTCATTAAACTTGGAAAAAAATTTAACCAGTATTTCTTCAAATAATTTTTCTGTTCTCCCTTGCATCTCAAATTTGATGACTGCAATTACACATATATTTGGTTGCTTGAAGTTGTCCCATAGCTCAGTGATACTCTGTTAGTTTTTCTATAATGTCTTTTTATCTTTATGTATCCTCATGGCTAGCTCATATTGCTGAGTCTTCAAGTTTCTTCTGTAATGTCTGATCTCCCATTTATTCTAGTCAGTGTATTTTTCATCTCAGACATTTTAGTTTTCATCTGTAGAAGTCTGACTTGGATCTTTTAAAATATCTTCTACTTAACTTTTTGAACATATACAGATATAATTATAATAACTGTTTCTATTTCCTTGTCTGATAATTCTAACATCCGTGTAGGTTTCAAGTTGGTTTTGGTTAATTGATTTGTCATGATACCATGGGTCATGTTTCTGCCCTTTTCAATACTTGGTAGTTTTTGATTGGGTGGTGTTGGAAGTCACCTCCAATCATTTCTTCACTAGAATCTGAACCACCAATGCAGAGATTGAAATCTAGTAGTCGGAATATGAATCCCATCTGTGGATGTGTTCTGCTCAGCTTGAACAGTGTGTTAAAAAAGATCTCAGATGTTTTTCACACTTAAAAATGGAGAGATATGTGAAACCATGGATTCTGTTAAACATTTTTAAAAAGTCAGGCTATCTTGCAGTATGGCTGCCATTCCCACTGGGAGCGGCTGCTGTCTTTGGATGCCACTGTGAGTTGAATGTGTTCCCCAAGGGTTCATGTGCTGGAAACCTAATCCCCAGTGCAGCAGTGTTGAGAGGTGGGACTTTTAAGAGATGATTAGAGGCAGGGCCCTCATCAATTGATTGTTACCTTGGGAATGGGTTTCTTAAAAAAGGATGAATTTAGCTTCCTTCTCTCTGTCTCTCACACACATGTCATGCCTTCCATCATGTTATCATGCAGCAAGAAGGCCCTCATCAGATGTGGCTCCTTGACCTTGGACTTAGCCACAAGCTAAATAAATTTCTGTTCATTATAAATTACCCAGTGTATGGTATTGCTATAGAAGCATGAAACAAACTAAGATGGGTAGAGTGTGAGGTTTCTATACCTCCTCACAACAGACTCTAGTAGGCATTTTAGTTTGAGCACTCTGTTATTTAAGATCAGTTTTCCAGAAGTAGACCTTGAGATGACTATTAGTGCACAAGTGATTTTTTAACAAAATGATCCTAGGAGAAACTTGAAAGAGAGTGGGGCATGCAGGAAAGAAAAGGGGAAGAAGTCAAGCAAGCATGAAATTTCTGTTATAAACTCATGGAGGATAAACTTTACCTTGATCCTGCAGAGGCATGATAGAATGCAAATTATGCTTCAGAGTTTGTCCCAACTAGATGCAAAGGAGCTGAACTTTCATATTTCCTCCCCAGTCAGAAAGTGCCCTTACACCTGGCAAGGTAGACAAAATAAGAAGGACAAAAGCATTAGGCATCTGCATTACTGTTCCATGTGGGGTCACCTGGGAGCCTCTCATGGTCCTGGCTGAGATGAAGGACAAGAGAAGATGTTGTGCTATTGGATGAAAACTGTGAAAGAGTTGGAAATGCCTTCATCCTCATAACGTCACAGCTTCCTCATCTCCAATGCTTTATTGGTGGGAAGGTCAATTGAGATCATTAGTGGAGACTAATACACAAAGGAATTGGGTGCCACCAGGGGAGGGGACCTACTGGAGGATTGCTACTTCCTCCTGTTGGAGAGCCCTGCTGATGTCACCTTATGCATTCCCTTACTTTAAGGAGAGATCATCCAGATTTAGTATGATTTTCATTCCTAGGAATCTCTAGGAAAGGGAACGTAATTGCCTTCTAGTCATTCATTTATTCACTTATTTGTTTACTCACTCATTTATTCACCCATAAACATTGAGCCAAGCAACATGTTCTGAAGAACTATTTGAATGAGGATATTTTAAGCCATTTATAAAGCAGTGTCTTACCACTGTTTCCTGGCCCACTTCTCCTCTCAAGAGGAAATCACACAGTCTTCTGTCATTGCTCCAAATTCCTTCAAGTGCCACCCACAACTGGAGGCTTCAAACCCATGTTCTTCCATTCTGGGCCTACGGAGGAGAAGTTTTGTGCCTTAAGCTATGGAGGAGTCCTGCATTTGGGCACCTTTCCTTTGATGTATTGATGTAGAGTACTCCCGCTATCTTTGGATCTTCAGTTTCCCTCATGTGAGCTGAAGCCAGCAACGCAGAAAACAAGAGGCTGAGCGCTGGTTATCATGGGCGTCTATGAGGGGGCAAACAGAGGGGAACAAAAGAAACAAAAAGCTCATTGCTAAACCCCTCCAGCCTCCTCAAAGCCTTAGAGTTACGTATACATAACAAATGTTCCTGTTGGGACCCAGAACTGTGAAGGAATGGGCTGGATGGAGACCAAAGGGAGAGACTGGGCTGGGGTTGGGCTGGAGAAGGAGAAAGGCTACTGCTGGTGGTTGGGCAGGTGAAGGTGATGCTGGTCATTGTCCAGCTTTAGGTCTGCTGCTGTGAGCTTATGAACTAGGAGAGTGGCAGAGAGAGGAGAAGAAGGGAGGAAGAAAGAAGGGAGGAAGCAAGAAACGGATAGAGGGGAAGAGTGAAAGAGAGAGAAAAACCATAGAGTGAGGAGAAAGAGACAGAAAGAAAAATAAATCAGAGACAGACAGAATAGAGAAAGAAGAAGCATGACTCTGTGTGTGTGTGTGTGTGTGTGTGTGTGTGTGTGTGTTTGTGTGTGTGCATGTGTGTGTGTGTGTGGTGGGGGGATTGCTGCCCAGGGTCCCTGGTTTGGAAATTCAAGGGGGTTGCAATTCTGGAGTGTGGTGAAATGGCCTCAGGGTCTCAAGAAGCTAACGGCAGGCTCATGCCAGGCCATAATAACAGCCTCTCGGTGGCTCCAACCCACTCTGGCCTCTCAACTCCCAGGAACACTAAATTCACACAGGCGCAAAATGTAACCCTGCTTCAGGCCTCGCAGCCTAATAGCTACCGTTGTGTTTGCACTGCACCCGCAAGCATCACGGGCAATTAAGAAAGTCGTCCATTGCCATCGTGGGCTGCCATTTACGGGTTGGAGCCTGGAGCCCCTCCAGGCCAGTTAGCCCTCTGATGAGACACAAATGAGCAGGGAGGAGTGTTGTTTCCCTGGGAGAAGAACTCCTGCCATTAGCTGGCAGATCCCAAAGGGAGGCAAACAGAGGCTGCTGTGGGCTGATGGAGGGGGAGGTGGAGATGGAGATGGGGAGAGACCAGGAGCCCTGCTTGCACGGACAGACACGTGCACACACAGACACACCTTCTCACAGGCAGTTGTGTGCTAGCATGCACACTCATGCCACCCCATCTTGAACATAGACTGCAGACATGTTAGTGCATGCAACACATGTGGGGCATTCACACACTCATGTGCATGCACACACAAACACAACTTTATGCACATGCTGGCCAGCAAGTGTGCACATTCATGGGCTCACACAGGCATTCGTACCAAGTGTACATGTTATAGATATATTTATTTATGTAAATCATGCTCGCACACTAGCTGGCACTTTCAGAAACACAAATATGTGTACCCAGGCACATAGATAAAAGCCTGGATAAATCCAGGCTCATATACATAGGCACACACAGACAAACACATCCTAATCTTTTCATCTAAAATCCAAAAGCAAGACAGTTCCAAAGACCTTTAAAACATGCATACTCTAGACTTCCAACTTCTTTCCTGGCCATGAATAAGAATGGATTTGGGCACTGGGGCTGATTAATTTGTCCAGTAGAAGACAAAAAAGAGCTGGAAGAGAGTTGCCCTTTCTTTGTTCTGCTTTGAGCCATGGCCAAGGCCATGTATGTGGTTGAAAAATAATTGGTGGTGGACGGCATCTTTTCAGGACCCTACCACCAGCCATTTGACCTTGTTGCCATCCCAGGCGGATGATTTTTAGGCTCTCAGGAAAGAAAATTTCAAAATATTCTTGATCCCATGAAAGTAGAACTCACACCCCTCACATCCATGAAGTCTCTTCTCTTCGCTAGCCTGCTCAGCCATAAGGGGACTGGATTGAATGAGTAGAGGGCTGTGTATTGCGATTTGGTGATTTTGATTTTCTCATTTTTGAAATTGAGTTTAGAAGTGTTTTCATCCTTTTCTGAGGTTTGGGGTTTTTCCTCTCTCAACTGCCTTCCTCACCCCTATTTCCCGCACTGTTATTAGGGAAAGAAAATTGGAGACCGTGTCCATTTTGAGCACGTCTCCCAGAATAATTGTGCCGTGACACACGGGGAGCGCAAACGGAAAACAGGAAGCCAAGCTGCAAGGGCTCGTTTGAAACTGGCAAACTTTGCAGTCAAGTCTTCAGCCAGAAAATCCACAGATGGCAGCCATTTCCCACACCACTTCCCTCCACATCTGGTTCCAAATGGAGGCTGCCATAGGTCTGATCTGTCTCCTGTGGTGGGGGTGATGACCTTCCCCATCAGCCCCAAGACCAAGTTCAATGCATTTGCTGCTGGCTTCACATGGCCAATGCTGGAAGCAGCAGCCCCTGACCACCCTCAACTGCTGTGACCCATGGAGCTGGGGCTCCATGTGAAGCCTTCCATGGACATTTATTTTGGAGGCTTTTTGGCAGTTTTGGCAGATTTGGGTCAGAAGTGGCTTCAAGAAGCCTAATTTACTTAACTACTTTCATTGTACTTTAGTGTCCTCCTCATCTCAATCTTATAATTTCTCTTAATTTTCAATAAAATGTGCTGGAAAGATCAGATTATTGGGGTATGGGGCTGTCAGAGTGCTCTAATGAGTGAGTAAGATGTTGTAGAAGGATGCTGACAGCAACTGCAAGATGTTTGCAGCTCCTAGGTTGGCAGCTAGTGAAAAAGAAGTGGCAAAGGATGTCTTGGTGGGTGATTTTCCTCTAAAACAGGAGCTAGTAGCATGACCTCCCCAAGAGTCATTCTGTTGCTTAGAGGCAATGATAAGTATTTCACTATTTAAAGGGCTGTCCTCAGGGACAAGGAATCACGAGATTATTCTGTATAGCTGTAGAGGGCTATTATGGGCTGCACTGGTTTAGTTTTTCTGCATAACAAAACTCTACAAAACTTATTGACTTAAAACAACATTTATTTAACTCATAATTCTGAGAGCCAGCAATTTGGGCTGGGCTCAGCTGGGTGGTTCTGCTGACCTGGGCCAGGCTTGGCTGATCTCAGCTGGGGTTCATACATGCATCTGCAGTCAGCTGTCATGCTGGCTGTGGGTTGTCCCCAGGACTTGAGAGAGTAAGAGTCTAAGCTTAGGAAGGCCTAAGCTGGGATGACAGAGTTCTCCTCCATGTGTTAGTTCATCCTGTAGCAGACTATACTGATCTTGTTCTCATGCCAGTGACAGGGTTCAGAGTGAGAGAGCAGAAGTACGTGAGGTCTCTTGAAGTCTAAGTTCAGTAATGGCATGACATTACATTTGATCAAAGCAAGTCATAGATCAGTCCTGCAAAGTCACATGTTAAGGGCATGGATACAAGGAGGAGTGAAAAAGGGTGACCATTTTTACAACCTACCACTTGGGGGACACATTTTGACCTGATATTCAAAGCTCCTTCTAATGAGTTGAGCTGCTCAGCCGTGGGACAGATTGTCCTGCTGGCCATGGGCCTGCTGTAGAGGAAGGACTACCTCTCAGATGATCAGAATGGGACCACTGGGCTGCCAAAAGCCCTTCTGATTCCAAGTGTTTATTTACCAGGAAATTATTTTCACCTACCCAGAGTCGAAGATTTTCATAATTAAAGAATAGGAAAATTGGAATAATTTCCCAAATCCTTGACTGCCCCATTCATGGCCAAATTTCTTCACCCCCCACCCCCTGCCACCATTGCTGACCAGCCTCCTCTCTCTTCCATTCACTCATGTTGCACCCCCAAGTCCTGGCCTTGCCCACGTGTACCTCTGATCACATCCACCAACCTGTCTATGCTTAGTGTCTTGTTGGGGGTAGAGAGCAGAAGACAAAGGAGAAAGCATGCTCTTAAAGACAAAGGCTGCTGGACTCCGAATTTATATTATAGTCTCTAAAGAATGATGTGTGCTGGAGAAGAAAAAAGACACAGCACGTGCATATTTTTCAAAGAAATGCACACGTGCGGAGAGTGGAAAATTAAAGAAGCCAACAACCCAAACCGAAGTTGGTTCTGAAGGAGGGAGATATAAACTTGAGCTCCAGAGCTGGAGCCAAGACAGGAAGTGGGCTTGGCTTGCACGAGGTGCATATGCTGCATGGAAAACCACTCTACGCTGCTCAACTCCCTGTCTTCCTAATTCCCCTCAGCTTCCAGCCTCTGCTGACCCTGGGAACAATGCAGCACTGTGCTGAGACTGTGCCTTTTGTAATGGCCTGGGAGAGGAAGAAAGGAGAAACTGGTCTGGGCGTCTGCGTGTGTGAATCACCCGTGTCACATGGCCAGGCCGGCTGCAGCGTCTCCCCGGGTCTGCACAGGGCACACAGGGAGCATGGCCTGAGCCCATGCCTGGAGGCTGGTCAGCCAGCTGCAGAGTGCCCCACTCTGAACCACACAGCCAGGGAGAGGATGGAGAAGGGGGAAGGTCTGGTGCCATGAGGGCCTTGGAGGACATTCCTTGTTGCCGTGGGGGCAGGCTCTGGGCCCTGGATGTCCCCCGCAATCCCAGATCATTTGTGGAGATTGGGTCTGATGTTCGTGAAAGTCACAGACTTTTTGGTTCATCACTGAGACCTGCAGGACGCTGGCTTGTCTGTTGATTCAGGCAAGACACGTCTCCTTCAGTGTGGGGGCTTTCTCCAAGGACCAAAATATGTCCAGGGTATGGAGAAACCACCTTATTCTGGAGAAAAGAGGGTACAATGAGGTGGGCAGGAGCCAGGGCTGTTCTGTTTTCTAGAACCTTCTAAATCCTGGCTTTAGAGTCACAAGCAAGAGACGCTAAGGCAGGCTCCTCGGAGGGCAGGTTGGAAGATGGTTGGTGTCAGGACAAGAGGAAGATTCGGGCCAGACACCAAGAAAGGCCTGCGCTGTTTGAAGACAGAGCAGATTACTGAGGGTGGTTGCAGCACCCCCCCAATCCCTGTTTCTACTTGGAGAGGGCTTGCACTGCGTGGAGGCACGGGAATGGATCTGTGACCCTGGGCAGTCGGAATTAACCTGACCTGGCCAGCCGAGGTGCCTTCTCACAGACACCCTGCAGAGGGCAGTGTGGTACTGCGGGCAGGACTTTGTTGCCTCATCAACTTTTCTTTCCACCCTGCGGCCCTCCTAATCTTTTAAAATCAAAGCTGCTTAGACACAACCTGAGCGCTGCTTGAATGACATGGATTTAGCCTGGTGCTCTGGGCCCCCTTTGCTGAGGGAAGCCCTCCAGCCTTGGATGTGCTCAGAGAGCTTACCTAACTCTCCCCTCTGCCTGCTTCCAGGCCTTGGGGACAACAGCTAAAAGTGGCTGTGTAGATGGGCAGAATTTGGTTGTACATATGTAGAGCCTCAGGATTTTCAAAACACATTTTCATCTGCTCCTTGAACCCATTCTTAGAGGTGGATGGGATGCTCCGTTTTATAAGAGAGAATTGAGACCCAAAGAGAGGGGAAGTGACAGCTCACGGGGGCCCAGCTGATTCGAGGCAGAGACACGTGGGGGACCCTGGTCTTCTAACCCTCAGTCCAGTGCTCATTCTACCCCTTGCGAAGCCCCTGAAATGCAACCGGTGTCAGTCCCCTCCACCAGCCGACCTCCCCCTCTTTGTGGTTCTGTTTTCTCCCAGGTGAGGGGGGGTGAAGATGCCTCTGCTACTCCTAGATCCTTGAGCCACTCCCTGGCCAACTGTATGATCTCTGGTAAGTCCCCTCGCTGGGATTTGCTTTTCCTACCAGAACAATGAAGTTATTGGATCAGATGATCTCGAAGGTAGCTTGGAACCTTGACCTTTCCTGGTTCCATGTTTGGGCTGTGTCCCCAGTTACAAGTTATTTGGTCGAATTGAAGAATAGAACCTTGCAGGGTGGTGGGTGACAGATGCAAACTCCAGCTGTGAATCTGACCAGACTCTGTGCATTGAGCTGGTTGTTTTCATGTGGAGGGTGCAACCTTGTTCCCCAGGACTTGAGAGAGTCAGGTCAAACCACATGAGGACATTCTGCTTGCTGACAAATGGCATAGACGGTGGTGTCAGTGGATGTGAGTGACAGTCGTCAACTGTGCCCCACAGAGCTCCACACTGAGAGGCCGGTTGTCGGATGCTGGGGGGACAGTGCACTCTTCCAGGGCTGTGCTTCCTGCTCCATCTCCCTAGCAGCCCTTTGTATCCCCGGCAGTTGGGAGTCGGCACGAGCTCTGTTTCTGTGCTGGTTGCCTCAGCAGGTCTGCTGTTTTCCAGGAGGAGTGCATAGGAAAAAGAAAGAGCCAAACCCTTCAAGGCACACCCAGGGTCACAATTACAAGATATACTTTGGATGTGTGGGATGGGGAGGAGTGGAAGGACAGAGCAACATAGACAGAGCCTGAAAGTCAGAATTCCTTTTTGACATCATCAACCACCATTCATTGAGCACTGAGCATGTGCTAGGTACTATGTACCCACAACTGGGTACAACTCTTAATAATCTCATTTTACAGATGATGACATTGAGGCCCAGAGAAACTGTGTAACTAGTCCAAGATGGCACAGCTCAACAGAGGTAGAGTAGTGATGGCTAAGTGCACACCCTTAATTCCTCCTCTAGGCTCTATCCATCTCCCTGACTGAATTATCATCTTTATTATCTCACAAGAAATTAGGCATACCGCCTTAAAAGTAAGACTATGCTCATGAGTAAACTGAGGAAGAACATCTGCCATCTGTACTGTTCCCAGAAATCTGGGAGATGATCTGTTTTTCTTTCTATCTATCTATCTATCTATCTATCTATCTATCTATCTATCTATCTATCTATCTGCCATCTCTGAGTCTTCTCCAGGTATCCCACCAAGTAGGAAGTTGGCTATGATTTCCACATCCATACTCTTACATGTTCTTCTACGAAGTTCTGCAGAGTAGCAAGGGCTGGTGGTGTATTCCTGAGATGAGAAAGTAGAGACCCGGCAAAGGCTAGTGATTTACTCAAGGCCCCAGAGCTGGTTGGTGACTGGCCTAGAACAAGAACCCAGGTTTCCTGACTCCTGGTCATAGTGTCCTATTCACCATGAAAAGACTTCTGGGAAAAGAGATCTGACTTGGCCAGGGAGACCTGGGGATGCTGGCTTCCCAGCCATAGTGATCCTTGCCTGCAGGTGCTTTGAGTTCCTGGGGTTTCTGTGCTAATCTGTGCCCGGAGGCCCAGCCCTGCCAGGATCAGCCGAGGATTTGAGTCCTAATGCAGGTTCGGATGGGAGATTTTGTGGGATTCATCCTACATTTAAGGCCTGGTGTGGGTAGCCAGGGGCTTTCCCATAGAAACCACAGCTATGTACTGTGTCAGGGCTAACAGTCCAGGGGGAGTGCAAAGCTTTGTGCTGCAAACCAGATCTGCTCACCAAGCCATTGCTGCAGCCCTGCTGTCCTGGGGCAGCTGGAGACAGGGAGAGCCCATGGCAGGGAGCCTCTGGTGAAGGCTTAATGGCATTTGCATGGGGTTTCATACCACACAGGCATGGAGTGGCTTAGATTTCTGAGAAACCGTTCCACCCTGTCTGGATGGCTTAAGGGAAGCCTTTGCTGGAGGAAGGGACCTTGACACATGATTTTTAGAGAATTTTTTCTACTTAGGTTATTGCTTCCTCCCCCTAGTTTTGCTTTTCTGCTTAAAAAACTGGCATGGTTAAATGCCTGTAACGTAAAACTTCAACTCTTTACCTTGACAATAAGTTTACCTTCTTAGCTCATCTTTGCTACTCTCTTCCTCTGGCCCTGTCCTTTCTCTTGTTTCTATTTTCCTAACCCTATTGAACAATTGTGTAATCTTGTGTAAATCCCTTGTGTTACAGCCTGTAGTTGTTAGACAGAGCATAGATTTTCAACAGATCTGAGTTTGAATCTCAGCAGGCAGTCTCCAGCCTGATGTGTGAACTTGGCCAAGTCACTCAATCTTTCTGAACCTTGATTTATTGTTCTATAAAATGGGAGTAATGACATCTAACTCTCCTAGGTGTTATGGAGGTCTAAGGGGGACCTGTAAGTTCTTAGAAAAGTAGAGAGTCTCTGAATTTGTTGGAATGAGGAAGTTGAGTGAGGAAGAGTGAATCTATTGAATATGGAGAAGAGATTCTGAGCTTGACTTTAGTCACCAAGTAATTGAGTTCCTGTAATGTGATGTGTGAATCTGTGGATTAGGAGATGTGGCTTTGGGACATCTGTGGTCCATGCCTGTCCTGGAGTGTGAGTTTGAATGCATGGTGATGATGGCAGTTGGTGTAAATGTGTGGGATAAAAGGAGCTATCTGACAAGCTTCCCCAGAAGAAGGGATCTGGTGTGACTCAAGCACCTTAGGCAGCAGGAAGCTGGAGGGTGAGTGTGTGATGTGAGATGGCCTGAGAAAGGCCTGCTAGGCTGGAGAATGGATTGCATGGCATTTATCTTTGTGGGAGTAGAGATGGTGTTTCATGGTCTTTTAAATGAAATTTGAGAAGGTGGGGGATGCCGGGAGATGGAGTGCTTTGAAGCTCCACCAGTAGAAGGTCTCATTTAGGCTGAAAGAGGCTTTGGCTAAAGACAGAAAATTCAACATAGTATGGGGAGAGCAGGTTAGTGGGGAGGTATGTGAGATGACACCACTGTGGCACAGCCAGAACTTGAATCAGTGTCCAAAGGAATTTCCTCTACCAGAGTAGTTCTTCCAGTTTTTGCTTGTAAGAGCTCACCCACCTCGGAGAACATCTCAAATGGCATATTCGTTTAAGTTTTTCATTGCTTTGATGGTTCAGACAGCAGCCCTCAAGCCAACATTCCAGACTCTACTCAGCCTTAACAAACATTTAGTACTAGATGGTCTGTGTCTCCATGTCACACCCCTCTGATTCCTGCTGCCCAGGCAGATGGGCCACTGGAAGCAATGGAGAGGCCACTGTGGATGTGAGCACCACAGGGTTGTCAGAACACCATGGGTACAGCAGGGTGGAGGGAGGCTTCTGGCAAAGCCCAGCCAGGAACAAGTTTTCTTGTCCTCAGCAACATCTGGTGGCCATGACCTTCCCATAGCCTCCTGGTGGAAAGCTGCCATGGAAAGGAGGAGACCAAATGATCGGTGTCTTGCATTTGCATCCTGTGTCTCTACATGATCTTCATGATTTCTAAGCAACTTGCCTGAAGCCATATGGGCCTGGGATGGGTTTTTCCAGGAAGATGCAGAGTGGGTGTTATTTATTTAGATTTAATTTGCCTAATGGGGATTGATTTCTTAACATCTCTCAGAAGTCCTGTAAGCATTGGAGTCTGTTATCCTATGAAGGAAGGCACATGTAACACTTCTCTTATGCCCAGAACCCCAAAGGGAATTTAGGTATTGTCACCCAATTACTGTTTTCTTTCTTATCTGGTAAAGCAGGAAGAAATCTGGCCACCGCTGGGCTCTTGTTGGAGCCTCTGCTCTAACTGCAATAGAAGTGAGTAGTGTTACTGCAAACTCTACCAGGTGGTAATAGTGTAAAGGGCATGAATTAGATGACATGGATTCATGCTGTGGCTTTGCCATAGTGGTCTCAGCTCCAGCTCATCCATCTGTAGAGCGGGAAAAATAATAAAATCTACTTCAAACGTTTGCTGTGATAATTAAAAGAGATTACGCATGTAAATATAAAAGAAAGGAAACCAACAGCATGTGAGGAACACTTCAAAAGAGTCATCAGTTCTTTCACCTGGGCCCTAACAAGTCTCTAGTATTTGGGGCTGGGAGTTCTAGTTATGTTGTTAACAGTTGCTCATCAGTGGAAAGGCTTGAGGTCCTACACCAGGTGAGGGCTAAGCTCAGTTTCATACCTCTGAGAATCTCCAAAATTTTTCTTGGGTGGTCTTCTGCAGACCAAGCAAATCCAATTCTGCTCAAATGTATGCCATCTGTGTGTTATATATACACGTCACCTGACATCACCTGAATTGGAAGCCTCCAACTTAAAAATGGTGTGCAGGTCCTTGCACTATTTGGGATAGCACTGAAAGAGTTCTTGGTCCAACAGCATGGGAAATTGACCCAAAGTCGGTTTCTAATGCCTCCTTTTTCCCTGGGGTGGGGGCATGATGATATTTGTAGACAGTTACTTCTAATTCTTGTTTACTTACCTCAGTGGACTCTACCTTATCTCCTTCCCACTCTTCCTACTTTTTTTCCATTAACTGACAATGATTAAGTTTGACCTTATCTCACACATGCAATCAAAAGAAAAAGAATTCTCGTGATATTTTTATCAAAGCAAATAAAAACAATTATCAAGTAAACTTGGATACAGCTAAGAAATACAGAAAAGAATGACAGCACCCATAATAGTGAGTGCAGCAGAGAAAAGGCATTCATGGTTTGGGGAAGTGCAATTTGATCCGACCCTACTGGAAGGCAGTTTGGTATATATATCAACATTTAATAAATATGATATGGTAATTTCACATTGAGGAATATATCCTAAAGAAATGACCGGGCAATTCATATGCAAGATAGAGTGCCTATTAGAATGTTGTTTATAATACCCAAAATTGGAAACACAGTAAATATTCAGTAATAGAGATTTATTGACTAGATGATGGAATGCCAATATAATGATGCACTATATATCCATTTAGAATAACAATCTAAATTAGATGTTATTGATATAATCGAAAGGAAAAATGATTACAAAATATGTAGAATTCCATTTTTATAAAAACAAAGCATTAATGTATAAAAAAATCTGGAATGTATGCACATCTAATGGGAGGAGAAATTTTTAAAAATATTTTCCATTAATTGAATTTTGATTTTTTCCTACAATAAACAGATATTTCTTCTTTAATAAGGAAATCACACATATTTTAAATAGAACCAAGACCATTAACTTAGACTTTAAAAGTACCCAGAAGACATTTCCATCAGAATCTCAAAGTTTCTAACTTTCTCTCTCTTTAAACTAGATTTTCTTCCCAGGATTCTAGACATGTAAAAACCAAACAAACATTTCTTAAGCAATATTATTGATTAATTCTGTGCTGAATTACAAATATTGCCAATATGTTATTTTCTATCTTTTGACTGCATTTTCTACTTCAATTGGGCTGAAAGAAAGTTGAAGAAAGATTCTTAGTTCTGTTTTCATTTTTGCATGACTGTCCTCTCCAGCTGCAGCTTTGGAGAGGAAACAAACATTGAAACCCCATCAGGGAGGTAGCTGTGTGCATCCCATTCAGCCTGGCTGGAAGGAATCACTCCTGGAAACTAACCGAAGGGCAGAAGCTCATTTCCTGTCCTCTGGCACCCTCCCAGCCCTGCCACCCTGTCTCCACTTTCCCTGGCTCCCTCTGAGCCCTGTTCCTGGAGGGCTTTTGGAATTGGTCTTGGAGTACCTGTAGCTTAGCTCTTTCTCCCAAAGGGAGGTTTAACTTCTCCGTGAGGAATGAGTCACCATGCAGAGCCTGGAGCTGTGAGGCTGTTTTGTTCCAAGATCCGGAATCTTCTAGTCAGCCCTGAAAGACTTGTTTTGGCGGGTGCAGGCACAAGGCTCAGGATGGGGCATTTTGGCATTTGATTTCTGGCTACTAGGTATGTTAGCCAGAGTAGGCAGAGCTATCTAGTTAAAAACAGGAAGATTCATTGGTGTGGCATTTCCATGCTGGAATGAGAGTGGAGCCTGCTCTCCAGCTACCAAGGCCTTCATATTGTGTGACTCCATTATCGGACACTTGTTAAAGTTCTAGACTTCATTTGGATTTTGGCTGTGTGCTGGAGGGGAGAAACAGGATGGGGCAGCAACCTGAGAGACTGGGGTGAGGAACTTGAAGGATTAGGGCAGGTGAGCAGGATAGCATAAGATGAAGCTGGAGGTGGGGTGGGGTGGACCAGACTGAGTCTCTCCAAGCTGCCAAAGATTGAATAGGACCTGGTGAAAGGCTGCTGGTGGTGGGGAGGTTTCTAACCCTCAGTGTCCATCTGCTGAAGAGAACAGAGTAAGATGCCAAGAAGAAGTCTCTCTTTCTCTAAAAGTCATGAGACTATGTAATCAGTGTCCGATGGAATTTTCTCAACCAGATACTTCCCTTCCCCTTCCCCTTCCTCCTCCCCTTCCCCTTCCTCCTCCCCTTCCCCTTCCTCCTCCCCTTCCCCTTCCTCCTCCCCTTTCTCCTCCCCTTCCCCTTCCTCCTCCCCTTCCCCTTCCTCCTCCCCTCCTCTCCCCTCCCCTCCCCTCCAGATACGTTGCAGGGACACTAGTTGCCATGTTGTCTGCCTGTCATCTTAACCTCTTCTATGCTAGGAGAGTTCACCATTGTGTGAGTCCAGGTGGAAAGCAGGTCACCCCACCCTACAGAGTAAGCTCCAAGGGTCAGACTCCTATTCTCTGGTAATCTTGGAGGCAAAGTCATAGTCATGTGACTTAAAACAACTCTACCAGATACCTTCACTACAGGGCTTTGAGTCTCAAGAGGTATGACAAAAAGAATCAGGGATGCTGTAGGACTAGTTCTGCCAGTGGCAACAACCAGAATCCAGGGTCTAATGGTAGTGACACAGTGCTAGAAGAGGCAGTGTCTCAGGTCAAGTGGCAGCGAGAATGGCACCCTAAGTAGGTTTCTAGGGCATGACTGTGGCTGTTCTCCCTGAAGAGTAGGATTCTTCATCCTTCCTGTTGATTCTGTGGGCTACCCAATGTTGTTCCACTAAATTCCTTTTTTGAGCAAGAAATGAGCAGAATGACTTTCAGTTCATTTCCATTATTTGCAACCCTAAACCCTTACTGATACACCCCCAAAGGTCTTAATATTTTCAGGTTCATAAAGTTGACTTACTAAATGAGACTATATCTTAACCCTTTTCCTCCATCCTTCTAGATGTCCCTCTGGGGAGAACCTGTTATTAGAGGCTCTGATTATATCCTGTTTTCCTAATTTTAAGCTAGGCTTTAGATAGGCTAAGTGTTACAAGCATTTTAGAATCCCTGTGTTTTTTTTTTTCTTGAGGTAGAAAGAGTCTTTATGTAATGGAAATGAGCTCATCTTGACTCGTCACTGTTACTGACCCCTCACCAAATAGGAATTTATAGAAATTTGCTGTATGTCAATCAGAGTCCCAGATTCTACCCAGAGTGCAGCAAACAGGTGATTCAACCAAAAAGATACCTTAGCTTCCGCCTTGAATCATACCATCTTACATTTGTGCCGTGCTCTTACCTTTATAGACCTCTGTTTAGTCTGCTCTCTCATTCAATATGGGGGGGGGAAGTAGGCAGGAAATAGTCATTGCTATTAAAGTCTCTGAGCCCCAGTGGCCTCATCTATATAGTGGGACTAAGTGTAAGAGGCCAGGTCTTGAATTTGAGCTCTGTCCTTTATCTTGCAGAACTTGAACATGGTCAGTCCAAGGGCATACATACACTATATCTGCCAAGCTAGAAATCTGAGGAAATTTATCCTGGCAAAAATTAAATAGATGCACTCTCTCAGGAGGTAGTACCCTCAACTCTCCTGGTGCTAGGGAGGAGAGATGTCCATAACTAATGCCACAGAGCGTGGCTCTAGTGCCTGCTTTCTTCTACCTTCTTCCTCTCCCCCTTCAGTCCAGTCTTTTCACAAACCTGCTCCCTGCTCAGCCATGTCTTTTGCTGTCTTTCTCATCACTGTAATCCCAACGCCTAGAACAACTCTTGGCAGATTTCATTATTGAACAAAATTCTTTATTTTCCCTCTTGCCCTGATGAAGTTGCCAATGAACTTGGCATTGGAAAGAGGCACATGGAGAGCCACAGGAGAAGGGGAAAAAGCATGCCTTTGGATCAGACAGGTGTTGGTTAACAGGCCTGATGTGCTTCTTACTCAGTGTGACCTTGGGCAGATGACTTAGTGTATAGCTGGAGCTTTTGTGTTTGTAAGTGACAGAATCCCAACTCGAAGCAACTTAGCACCAAAGGGAATTTGTCAGATCATGTGTCCAGGAATGATGCAGAGCATGCCTTGGGTATCCCTGATTTGAGGGGCTCAATGCTCCCATTAGCCTGCTTCTTTCAGTTCTGTTTGGTTGGGTGGTTTGGTCTAAAAGGTCTTTCTGCATGGTCTGAGAGCTTGTCCACATATGTGACTCCCATGACTGAGACCTCTTTCAAGTGTTCTCCTACACTTTGCTTTCTACTGTCATCTTTCTTCCATCTTGAGGCTATCAGAGGATCTCAGAGGACCTGGGTCTCAATGAACCTGATCTTAGAACCATGAGACACAAAGAGATGGTATCCCCTGAGTTCTGCCTAACTCCTTTCTACCATCTTCCCTTTTTTTGCATGCAAAGTGTGCTATTCCACCTGGATCAACTCCAAATAACCCAACAAAAGAGCTGAGCTTGATTTTTAATATGGTGATTGAAAACAGAGATGGGGTGGAGAGTTAGGGCAGAGGGAGGTGGCTGGTTTGGGAGAAGCAGCCCGTGCTGCTGGGCCAGCTTGCTGACTGGGGTGGTATCTGAGGTTGCATCTGGAGACAGCTCTGCCTCCCATCCAGATTCCCATAGCAGGAACAAAGTGACCTGGGCCTTGTCTCTCCAAGCCCCCACGCAAGTGGTTTCTATCAAGTTTTGTAATATGAGAGCCTCTCTGGAGGCCAAGGCCTTCTTGCCTAACTGCAAGTCGTTGAGATGCCGTTTCCAATCTTTTTAGAAAATGGATTGGTTTCCAGATTGACAGCCTTGGAAACTGGACTCCTCTGTTTTTCCTGCAAACAGGTATCGCCTGTGAGCTGCAGGTGGAGGCAGAACATGGTGTTCAAGCCCAACTCCTGATTCTCCACGGCTTGGGGTAGGTGTGGGAGGGTGAGGGAACATTGGGAATGCCAGAGCAATGATGTCTATAACTATATGTTAATAATGATTATGGAAAATCAGCCACCTGCTTTAACTTCCCCCTTAAAAGATGTTTTTAAAGTTAAGTGGCCGGAAAAGTGACATTTGAATGATTTCAATTCTAACTTGTCTATCACTCCGAGGCTGCCCTCCGAGGATAGAGTTGAAAAGTAAAAAACCTGTCTATTCCCCTATCCAGACCACAGGAATAGAGGAGAGCCCATGCTCACGAGCCCAACTCTTCCCAAGCCCAACCCTTCTCCTCCCTCCCAGTTGTACAGACCTGAGAATCTGGTGAAATGGGTGCTAGAATTTCTAGTGGATTTTCTTATCTAATCCTTATAAAAAGAAGGAAGACAAGAATAATAAAAGTGGCTATGGTTTATTAAGTACCTAGTATGTGCCAGGTGCTTTTTATGTCTAATCTCTAATCCCCAAAATAATCTTTTGAAGGAGTGTTACTGCCTGCATTTCATAGACGAATGGTCTGTACACTGAGTGTAGGAGAAGTCACCACTTGCCCGAGTTTCCATGACCGGGACACAATGTGGCTGAGATCCAAGTCAGGTGTGCTCTCCTCCAGGTGCTCTGAGCAGATGCTCGCTCTCCCATCCATCCTCAGAACAGGTCAGGGCTGGGGAGGAGAGACGTCCACTGCTCACTCAGCTCTTGGCTCCTTCATGGCACAGTTCTGGGCTGGAAGCCATGATCCTGGTCTACTACATGGCTGGGAGAGTGACTGAATTACTTTGTCTCCCAAACCTAGGAAAGGTGAGAGTGGCTGGACAGAGAGATGAGATGGGAGGACCCAGGGGAAAAATGGGAGGTGGGAAATTAGCTGTGCTTGTTTAGAGAACTGTTTACAGACACTTCTTAAGGTGAGAGCATACTCATTTCGTTTTTTCCATTTTCTCAGAGATGATGAAGTCCTGGTCTAGAGAAATCTCTTTAAAAACAAAATCCATGGGTATTAACGGTTATTGATTTATCTGGCAAAGACTGGTTAATAGGGCTCAGTCCTATCTGCCCACTATCTCTGGGTTTTAAGAGTAAATCATCTTAGAACTGCTCAGTTACCTTTCTACTCAGTGCTGTTGGTACTAGTGTCCTCAAAGAGTTTAGGGTAAGTCTTTACCTAGAGTCCCAAAATAGCAGAGAGGAGTTGAGGTGCCCTGGGAGACAGACATGTGAATCCTTTAGCTAGAAATGTGTTCTAGGCCCAGAGCTCAGAGACGACATTGGGAATGGTTCCAGGTCTGGAATCTCAGACTGGCTTCACCATGCAGTACCAATCTTCTCCATGCTGCTGCTGGGTCACTTCCCCTGGGTCACCATGGCAGACGCTCCCCTACCTGGCTCTGCCTGTCACTTTTCTCACCCTAACCTGGACTCTGGATCCTGGCCTCAGCTCTATGTCTAGTGCTACTTCCCAGCACTATCCAGAGATGATCAAAGTCTCTTGTAATAGTAGTAGTAGTAGTAGTAGTAGTAGTAGTAGTAGTAGTAGTGAGCAAGAGGACAGTAAAAGCAAAAATAATGCTTCCCAGAGGTTGTATACTCTATGTAAGGTGCTTTACTTCTATGAATTCTAATCCTTTACAGGGAAGGCCCACTTTCCCAAGATTCAAAGAGGTTAAGTGACTTGCTCAGAGTCACACAGCTAGTAACACAGTCAGAATCCAAATTCAGACCTGTCAGCCTCCAGAACCCAGCACAATGGGGACAGAGTCTAAACCGTCTTCCTGGTCCTGATCACCTGCTTCACTGCTCAGTTATTTCTATTCTTGGGGTGCTCTGCAGTATTCCAGGGGCTGGGTGCTCTTATCCCAAGATGGAGAAGCTAGAGCAGAGAGCATTAGAGCAAACTATTTACAGCCCTGTACAGGTCAACAGTATGTGGGTGGGTCATTAATTTACTACCTCTTTGCAAAAACCGTTAAGAGATCCAATGGACTGCATAAAAAATATCAACTCACTGAAACACATCAGTCAAACTGACAAAGACGTCAAACACCGAGATGCACATTTGTCTAGTGAGCCAAGTGGTGAGAAATGTGGGAGGGTGGGGTCTACACTGCCAGCTAGGGTGACGTTCATATTCACAGCATCAGAGAAAACAGATTCGAAAGAGATCTGGAAGGCCAAACTGTCTGGTCCTTTATCACATCCCTGACTTGCAGTTGCCCAGCCCCTCCTAGGACAACCACAGGGACAGGAAAATCACTATTTCCAGAGGCTTCAAAATTCCATCTCTGGACATTTCTGACTTCCTGGGTGCTGGAGCAATAGAAATAGAACTTCAGCACTCTCAGATGGAGATCCTGTGAATGCCAGTGAGGCCACTGTAATAGACACAGTGGGAATGCCAAATGGGCCAGCCACTTTGGAAAATAGTTTGGCAGTTTCTTATAAAGTTAAATATATACTTACCATATGGTCCAGCAGTCCCATTCCTAGGTATTTACCCAGTGACAACATATTTCCATATTAAAACCTGTATACAAATACCTTTATAATCATTAAAAATTGGAAACAATCCAAATGTCCATCAGCTGGGGAATTCACAAACAGTGGTATGTCTATACTGTGGAATAATACTAGTACAGCAAGAAAAAGAACATGCTACTGACATATGCATTAGTGTAGATAAATCTCACATGCCTTATCAAAGCAAAAGAAACCAGACTCAGGTCAAAAGGCTATATAGGTTTTGATTTAATTTATATGACATTCTGGAAGAAATGACAAATGTGTACATGTGTGAGTGTGTATATGTATGTGTATATATATGTGTGTGTGTGTGTGTATACACATACATTTTTGTAAATATATACATATACTTACAAAGAAACTTGGTGGTAGCCAGGGGCTGGGAATGAAGGGAGCTTTTGAATACAAGGAGGTATGAATGGATGTTTTTGGGGTGATGGAAATGTTCTGTATCTTGATTGTAGGAGTTATTTTACAACTGTACAAGCTTGTGAGAATTAGTAAATTGTATCTCTAAAAGGGTACATTTTACTGTATGAAATTATTCCTTGGTAATTATGACCTTAGAAAAATATTAAAAATACGCAGACACAAAACTTGATAGTTTGGTGACTGTATTAGTCCATTTTCACCCTGCTATGAAGAAACATCCGAGACTGGGTAATTTATAAAGAAAAGAGGTTAAATTGGCTCGCAGTTCTGCATGGCTGGGGAGGCCTCAGGAAAGTTACAATCATGGTGGAAGGCACCTCTTCACAGGTGGCAGGAGAGAGAATGAGAGTAAGCAGGGGAAATATTAGATGCTTATAAAACCATCAGATCTCGTGGGACTCACTCATTATCACAAGAAAAGCATGGGGGAAACTGCCCTCATGATTCAGTTACCTCCACCTGGTCCTGCCCTTGACACATGGGGATTATGGGAATTACAATTCAAGGTGAGATCTGAGTGGGGACATAGTGAAACCATATCAGTGACCTTCCTCTGTGTGGCTTCAGGATTTTGGTCCTTGTGATAATGATGGTTATGAGAGGACTCTCCCCACTTCCTCTGTGAAAATCCATAAGGGCTACCTCACATGGATGTCTGAATCTGCCAAGCCACTGCTGGAGCTGGGGCCACTACTGTCTTCTGGGCCAGTAGTTCTGATGTCCCAGTGGCTGGGTCCCAGGCTCTGTCTATGAACTTGCACTTGTTCTGTATCTTGTGCCAGGGCCTTTCTGCCCTAGACAACTGACATACTCCCTGTTGCTCCAAGCTACTTGATGATAATTTTTTCCAGCCAGGATAGAAATGGTTTCCTTTTCCTGTTAGGCTACTCTTCTGTGGTTCTCTCTGAGGAATTGCTTGAGTCCTTAGCTATCATGGCTATTTTAATGTATACACAAGACCTGTTCCTTTCAATGGGATGCTCATGCCATTAGGGTCCCTGGGACTGGAGTGGATTAAAGCAAGTCCACCACCTTGCTTCTCCCAGAACTTCCACTCTCAGCCTTGATGCCTAGGTCTGGGGCTGTGTCCCGCAATCCAGTATTTTCCTGCCTCCATTACAGATTCTCCTTTTCTGCTGCCCTTGAAATAGAGCTTCTCTTAACATGTTCTATCTACACACTTCAAATTAATCATGCTTATTTCTGTGTCTGAACCCCAAGTTTGGCCATGGATCAAGTTATTTCTCCAGGACATTCTAATACCCCGTGCAAATCAATGCTATGAATCGATATTGAGGAGACCAAAGCTGAGATAATACCTAACTTCAGGTGTTCAGAATAGCTCAATTCTAGTTTTGGTTTAAAAGCCTTTTTTACACAATGACTATGTTTTTGCCTTCTAGCAGCCCCTATCGTTTTCATTCTTCTCTTCTGACATAGTGCTGGGTAAATTTAATACATCTTTTACATGACAGGTCTCTTTGAAGACAATAATCGTGTTTTTCTGGAATGTTCTATTTAGGATACCTTAGCAAGAATGCTTGTCTGCTGGAGAGACCACATCTGGAGTTCTGAATTGAGATGCAGATCCTGTGTATAAGAAGGACATAGGAAGAGCTGTATGTCAGAGGAGGAGAAGCAGAGACTCCCACACCACGTTGTGGGAAGAACCTGCTTCGTGCTCAGGGGTCTTCCTTCTCTTTCTAGGCAGAAATGTCTAAAGAAACAGCCTAGCATTGCCGTGTCACCACTGAGCAAGAGACCCCCTTCTCATTAAGGAATTTGGAGTGAAATGACACAGCGCATGAAAAAGTTCTCTGTGGAGTTATCAGCATTTTTTCAAATAAATTATTTATATTTTTTGGCACTAAAATAGATTTAGCATGTCCTAGGGGTATTGATTGGCTTGGGCTGGATTCTGTGTGGAGGCGCAGAGGGAGGAAAAGTCCTGGTTTTAATGGAAGAAACATCCCAGGCACATGGGGGGAAAACCCAAAAACAAAAACAGAGAAGCATGATGTACCCAGCCCTCCTCAAAGCACTTGGGAGTTGGCACTGTGCACAGTTCTGGTGCTCAATCAAGGTTGAAACATAACCCAAACATTGGCGAGCCCATGGGCCAACTCCCTACATTTCTGGAATGGTCTTGCTGAGAACAAGAAATCCACTGCATCCACCAGAATTCTCTTTATTATTTCCCACCCAGGCTGCCTCTTCTATCTTGTACCGGACAGGACCCATTCCATTCTGAGTGCAGCTCTGTGGTCTGAGCACAGATGGAGGCCCGCTTCCCTCCCTCTCCAGAACTTTTTTAGGGAGGGTCCTGTATTTATTTTGAAGAAAGATTTTGAGTCACTATGGGGGAGGGTGACACACAAGGGCATGCTCAGCTGAAGGCTGTGATAAAAGATGCCCTCAGAACTGCTATGTGTAGGATAAGTAGGGAAATTTGTGTTGCTTCTGAGAAAGGGGAGTAAGGAGAGGAAAAAAGAGAAAGAAGTGAAGGGCAGCCAAGAGGTAGAAGAGACTGGCAGGGTTGGGGGGGGGTGATCCTGTCTCCTGAAAGGCTTAATATAAGTTATTAAAAATAACCGAATGGTTTGTGGGCATGGCCATGGGGTAGATGTGCCAGAGAAGGGGCTGTGTGTTGTACCTGCAATAGAATGAGAGAGGCCAGAGCCTGTGGCTGGGCTGCAGGAACTGCGAGAGAAGGTCTGAGCATGAATTATACTTGTTTCCTTGTTTATTTCTCCTATTGAACTTGAACTCCTTCCTTGGTGGGCTCTATCTTACTTGTCTTGTGTATTTTCAGTGGCAGCATACTGCGTAAAACAGAGAAGGCCCTCGATCAACACTGTTCAAAGGAAAGAAAGACAGAAGGATAGGCCTTTGCAGTAGAATCTTTTAATTTTGCAGGTAATAAAGGATGAAAGATAATTGAGAATGCCTCAGAAACAGCAAAGTCCCAATATTGATTTCTTGTAGTCTACAGATTCATTCAAAGGAAAATGAAATCAATTAAACTTTTCTTTAAATCTTGTCTTCCTTATCTTTGCAAGTCTAGTCCAGATGGATTGGTCTAGCGCAGATGCACCTGCCCCATGAAGCCTTTTCTATGCTCCTAATTGGGCATCATGGTACATGATCTAGAATGATGGAAAATTAGAACTGAGAAGATACATTAGAAGTCATTTAGAGATATTCTGATCCCTGAACCTTAACATTAACCATAACTCTGACATTTAAGGGACCTTAAATGTCACTTAACATTTTGTGTCTTTAGGGTTTGTTTGTTTTATAAAATGTCTTTTACTTTAAAATGAAGCTTCCCTGGGCCTGTCAACATAGACGTGTGTTCCACACACATGAAACATGATCAGTATAAAATCCGTGCTAAAAATATTTTACAATAAATAAATATTACGATTTCAAACCACAGTGGCTTCCTGGTAAATCAAAGATCCTTTTGTTTAGTGGAACACCTTGAGTTAGGATACTCAAAGTAGACTTGGAGCTCAGTCTTGGAACAAGAGTTGGAGAAAGCCAAGTTGGAATTCTACTGGTAGGTGTGAAGGGCAATATGGGAGGGAGAAGAAAAGAGAAGATGGGAGGAGGAAATGCAAGAAAAGACTGGTGAGTTGGCAATAGGTTAGGGTGAGGGGTGATGTGGCCAGGGAAATTGTGCCAGAGCAATATCTGAGAGTCAAAGTGGAGGTTGTCTATGTTCTTATGATGTGACCCTGCCCCTACTTTCATTTCCTGCAAACTTTGAGCTGAATTTTTCAGCAAAGTAACCAATTTCCACAGGAATTCATAGAAATCTTGGGGAAGGAATTGTACCTTCAATAGCATGTAGAATGGAGGTTTGAGGAATCCTATCTAGACCTTCAGGTGTAGGAGGACCCCAGAAGATAACTGGGTTATGCAAGGCTATTTAGTATCATGGACTCTTATGAATGCATGAACATCATCACTTGAAATTCACATATTTTAAAACAGGAGATGGAGATCGACATAAAAGTTATAAATAGTCAAACCTCAGCTATAAAGTACAAAATGTCAATTGAGTACCTTTCATACAGTTTTTGTCTTCCCCTGGAATGAATTTTGATGATGTCCTTATTTGCACAAGAGATCTTGTAGCTAGCGACCAGATGAAAATCTTTATCAATGTGAATTTGGGGAACTTGGGAAAAAAGATGGTCTTAGTGGTATATTATCCCAACAGCTTCCACAGTAAAGCCTGATGAAAAGTTTTCATATCATTATACACCCAAATAAGAATGTCATGTGGCATTTCTACAAACCAATTTTGAGCATAGTGAAATTCAGGGCTTTGACACTCCCAGTGGGAGAGTATTAATGCTATGATAACCTGTAAGTCAATCTCTACCTCGATGGCTTTATTTCTGAAAAGACCTTGCTGGAAGATGAGATTGCTTGAGTTTTTCTGATGCCCTATTAGACTATTTGCTGGATCAGAATGCCACTGAGGGTGGCTGCGTAGTCTGTCCTTTTTTGGTATCTCCTCTGGCATCTTGCCCATTCTTGTCCATACTGTCTTCCTAGTCATTCATGCTGTTCTTTTCCCATTTGACCCAGAGGTCAATGAGAGCACTGGGTCTAAACTCTTCCTGGGCATAAATGGTGAGATACACAACAGAAGCTCCCAGGCCTCATGTGAAGCCAATGTGAAAGGAGAGTACATGGCAAGTGGCTTGTTCACCAGTCTGTCCTTCTTGTGGCACACTGGTTCATAAGGTCACTTTCAGCTTTCTTATAAGCTAAGGCAATGAGGGAATTATGTCTGTGTCCAAGTTGATGAACCAAGATGGTAATGGTGTCAGTGGGCAGGGTGAGCCCAACAATAATGTAGATTTAAAAACCCAGCAATGGCCGGCGCGGTGGCTCAGGCCTGTAATCCCAGCACTTTGGGAGGCTGAGGCCGGTGGATCATGAGGTCAGGAGATCGAGACCATCCTGTGAATGGTGAAACCCCATCTCTACTAAAAATACAAAAAATTAGCCAGGCCTGGTGGCCGTCGCCTGTAGTCCCAGCTACGCAGGAGGCTGAGGCAGGAGAATGGCGTGAACCCGGGAGGTGGAGCTTGCAGTGAGCCAAGATGGCACCCCTGCACTCCAGCCTGGGCAACAGAGCGAGACTCCATCTCAAACAACAACAACAACAACAACAACAACAACAACAACAACAACAAACCAGCAATGTTCTTGAAGTGTAAGCAGTAATCTGTAGGTTGTCAAAGAGTAGGTAACCTTCCTTCATCTTGTGACTGTAGATGCAAAGTTGTCACATTGTTGTTCATTAAGGCTGTGTACCCTGAATTCTTACTACGTCAGGACCTGCTTTTCTCATGGCAATCCTGATATCTACCTATTTAGAGCATTGACTCCATTCTCTGTCAAAGCATCCTGTCTCTGACAGCTCACCCAGTTTCTGTTGGTCAGAGGTCTGAGCAAAGATGGCTTCTGAGAGGATCTTTAACAGCTCACTCAGCTATTCCTGACTTATGTCCTTCGGCTGCACTTCACTGAGATCTCCAGGGACCCTTCATCACCATGAGAAAGCATTTATTATTGGGATCATCAGCTGATGTATGAGGAGCTGAAACTTGTTGGTAGAGTCAAAAGGGATTTCAGCCTGGCTACTTTGCAGTTTCATTTTCTAATTTCCATGACATCACCCAAAATGACTGCTGAGAATTTCCAAGGGCAGTTTCTGGGGCATCTTCAACCACAACTTTCTCCATGTTGAGAACACTTTCCTGTCCTGGTTTGAACTCAACATGGTTACACAATATTATCATGAATAAGGAGTCCCAGATTCCAGAGCCTCGGGCAAAGACTTGGGTTGACTGTTCTTCACGTGTGTCAGCCACATTAATCTGTTACACCATGGATGGATCCTGTTGTGAGTCAGAGTGCCAGTCTTGTCAGTGCAAATGATGGGGTGGAACTGGGGGTCTCCAGCACTTCCAGGTTCTTACCAGGCAGTTCTACTTGGCCATCCATTTTCTGTCAGTAACAGAGTGAAAGTGACAGTGACAAGGAGGCCCTTAGGTACATTGGCCACGTGACGCCAGTGAGGAAGATGGAAGGGTTCAATGCATGATACTTCATGGACACTGATGATGAAGAAAAGGATGCCTATGAATTCCTGCCACAATGCAAGCAAGGTGCTTGATCTCACTGGCAATGAGTATCTTCTCATTTCCAGCTTCTGAAGTCAGTGAGGCCATCTGTCCAATGATGGTGCCATTGCCTGTGTTGGCAACTGTGCCAGTTGCTGTGCCTTCTAAACAGGTTGTGGAAGAGAAGACAGTATTTTTTATTTCCAGGGGATTGTCATGAGACAAGTCACATGAGCAGGACTGTGGCTTGGACATCCCATTGATAGATGAGTTATCTACCCTACCTCTCTGAAAAGCCAGCAACCTGATATCTGTAGGAATTTAGTGTTATCCTTTAATCTTCACTGTATCCTGGTTACCAACTGTTATGCAGAAGTTGCATTCTTCTCTGTATCTCAGACAACAAGAGCTTGCTGAAGAATAATTTTACTGAAGGTGGCCATGATATTGGTGTTTTTCACCTCTTGGTAATAAGCAAAGATCCCCGCAACCAGAGTAAGCACAGAACTCACATACACATTGTCTAGGGACACAGACTTATCACAGGAGTACTGAATGCTAAATGCAACCCAGCACAGGAATGCCACAGAGGGATGAAGAATGCTGGCACCGAAACTTGACAATCTTTGATGTTTCTTTGAGAGGCCTAAATTAGGGTGATCCCAAGCCAGGAGCTCTGAAGCTCTCATGCTGGAGAGACCTGTATGTTTGCACCATATTTATCTTTCAATTCCTTATTGCTGAATTTGTGGTCATCCAGGTCAAGTTCTTTCCTGTGTTTCTCTTTCTGGTGATTGTTTTTGAGTTCCAAGCAATTGTTCTTCCGGCGCCTGTACTTTTCCTTGCCTCTCCCTTTGGCTCTTTTTTCTCTACATTTTTAGTTCCACTGAGCTACACCAAATAAATTTTTGGTGTTGTCTTGTCCATGAAGTGGATGACATGGGCCCTGGAGGATGAGGTTGGGTTGCATGAAGGTGCAACTCTAAGGTGTGGGTCATACTAAGGGCCTGGAGCCCAGGGATCTAGCTTTAGGAGCTCCAGACAGGGACACCAAAGGGCCAATGTCAGCCTGGAAATCAGGCTGGCATCCTGCAGCCCATTAAGTTCAGCACCTGTGATCTGTTTTCTATCTTATTTCCATGCATTTCTTATCTACCCTACCAGGTTGAAAGTATTCTGAGGGCAGAACCTATGTTTGTTTCATCATCATATTCTTATCACATGGGAATTCAAAAATAGATATTTGTTGAATGAATAAATGACCTCACAATTTAGGGTCTGCGGGTTTGTGTCCACCATTTGGCAGAGAAATGTAGCCACTGATGGAAGAGATAAAGAGATGAATGAACAAACTTCATAAAGCAAGAGGCTCAAACTAGCTCCTCAATTTTCAGCTGGGGCTCCTGGAAGTCTTTCTGAGGAAAAAGGTGCATAAGTCAATCTAAGCCTCAGTTTCTGCATTTGTAAAGTCAGGGTGAAAATAAGAGAATGACAACATATACCATGCAGGTTTGTTAGTATTAGATAATGCATGTGGAGCATTTAGAAGTATTTCTGGTATATCATGAGCACACAAATTTAGTTATTAAGATTATAATAAGTAACCGGAATATAAAAGCAATATGCCCACCAGCATCCTCATCACAGTCCCTGCAGATGGATGCTTATCTTAGCTAGTCATGACATTTTTGGTAGTTAGTGACTTTAGAAGGTTCATATAGTGGTCTTTCAGCCCTGTCTTCTCAAGAAATAATCCTATGCATCACCCTTTACAGAGCTCTTTGAAGGCAAGAAACATGTCATATTCATCTCATTATCCTGCATATCTAGCACAGTATATGACATACAAAGGTGCTAAATATGCCTTTTAAAGAAATAGATGAATAAATAAATGAATCCTATTCATAGAAGGCATTGACATTAGATATTGGTTCAAAAATCATCTAGGATCGGTGGTGACTTAGTAGTGATGAAACTGAACCCAAACGCTGCCTTGGAGATCTTTTCATGCCCAGAAGTTCTGATTATGTTATGGCTCATCCTGTAATCAACAACCCTCCCCTCCCTGAAACCCATTCCAGATTTGGATCTAGCAGTGGCCTCCACAGTGAGGGGAGTGTTAACTGCCAGGCCTATCAAAATTAGTAGTCATTCAATCTGGGCTTTGGAGGGATAGTCTGATGTAACTCTTATCAGCTCCATCAGCAATGCCATGATCAATTTTAAAGAGTTGAGCTGATGTGGCTTATCAAGGGACCTTAGCTGCTATGATGCTATGGCCTGGCTTGATGCCCTCAGCCAAAGCCAAGTGTTGGGTGGGTAGCTTGGCTCTCTCAAGAGCCTGCCTGGCCCACTCTCGTGGTATGTGTCAGGGCAGCAAGAATGCATTGCCTAAACTAGGAATGTGGACCGCCTCTGAGGGCTGGAGAAAGAGGGGAATGGAGGGAGGGAGTTTTGGCTCTGATGGTGGAGCAGGAGAACTGGTTGTTCAAAGGACATGTAAACAGTCCTTGGCTCAAGCGTTCCTGCTGTTATCCATAGTTACTCCCAATCAATGTATCCTGGGTGTTGTTCTGGGGCAGGGAAAAGGTGGAGTCCAACCAGGAGCAGACTGCAAGGCACATTGCAGGTCTAGTGTGCAGAGGTGCAAACTTGGCCTAGGAATAAAGTGGTTGTGGCTCGGTTGCCATGACGTCAAGGGTGGCCTCAGTGCTTAATCTTTGGAAAGGGCATGACTCATCCCAGGGACACCTGCAGAGCCCATGTTCTCAAAGAGATACATCTTGGTTTGATGGTTGGAAAGACAGTAGAAGTCCTGTTTTCTCATCGTACCCTTTTTCCATCCAGGCAAGAAGGGACTGATAATAATCTCATTCTCATTCTTCTTCCGGTTGTTAATGAGTTTTAGCACATGGAACATTTTTAATAAGAATAGGCTCACCTCACTATGTTGGAATTTGGATTTGGAAGGCAGGGCCTTAGGGCTTTGAAATGTTTTGTAGAAAAGGCAATGCCGTGTGGGGGCTTCTCTGTTACCATGTGCCCTTCCCACTGGATGGAACAAACCACTGCACTAGAGTGACTTCAGACCACAGCCGATAAAGACACTGTGGTATAAGCTTCTGGCAATGTGGGCTTGATAGAATGAAGACTATGTTATTTCTCCTCTTTGCTCAACCACATTAACCTTCTGACATCCCTAGAATATGGTAGGCTTTTTCCTGCCTAGAGCCTTCACTTCCCTGGCCTTTGCGTGACTGGCTGGTTTTCATTCTTCAGCTTCCTGTTCAATGTCAGCTTCTCAGAGAAGCCTTCCCTGACCACTGTATGTCTAAAGTAGGCGTTCTCTCTCTACCTCCCCCAATATGCTTGTGTTAGTCCAATGCATTGCTATAAAGCAATACTGAGACTGGATAATTTATAAAGAAAGAAGGTTGTATTGGTTTTATTGGTCCTGCAGGCTGTACAGGAAGCTTGGCACCAGAATCTGCTTGGCTTCTGGTGAGGCTTCGGGAAGCTTTTACTCAAGGTGGAAGGCGAAGCAGGAGCAATCATGTCACATGGTGAGTGAGGAAGCAAGAGATGGGGGAGGTGCCACACCCTTTTAAACAACCAGCTCTCATATGAATTACCAGAGTGAGAACTCACTTATCACCAAGGGGATGGTGCTAAGCCATTAATAAGGGATCCGCCCCCAAGATCCAATCACCTCTCACCAGGCCCCACTTCCAACATTAGGAATCACATTTCAACATGAGATTTGGAAGGGAAAGACATCCAAACAATATTAATGCTCTATGACAGCCCTCTGTTTCTTTCCTCTGTGGTCCTCTTCATAACTCTAACTGCATTGATTCACTGGTTTATTATCTTTAGAGTGTGAGCCCTGTGAGGGCTGGCCTGCCTTGTACTTGGTGTATTTTCAGGATATAGGACAGACCTAGCAAACTTAAAATATTTGAGACCCTATCACGTGTACTTCAGTACTTTGGGAATTTCTGGGCATGTGAGTTAGACCTAGCCTCTTAAAGCTTAACATCTAGCTGGGAAAATAGCAAATTTTTCACTAGCACTTACAATAAGTGCTTTGAGAGAGGAAGAACAGAGTGCTGTTAGGGGAACTCTAAACAGGTCTGCAGAAGCCAGAGGAGGTTTTCTCCTGGAAGATCTAAGAACTGTGATCTGAATCAAGTAGAAATTAGCTAAAGAAAAAGGGAACTAGTTCTAGGCAGAGGGGATAGTATGTGCAAAGGCCTGGAGGTGGGAGAGACGAGGGCATTTCTGAAAACTGTTTAGTCGACTACAAGATGACAAGTAGCAATAGATGAAGACAGAGAGACAGCAGGGGCCAGAGCACAGCATGCTGAAACCAGACTAGGTTTGGATTTTATTCTGTAGAAAATGCAGAGATGCTGAAGAGTTTTAAGTAGAGAGAGGCATGATCAGATGCTCGTTTTTGAATGGATCACTCTGCTTTGTGGGGAGAAAGGACTTGGAGGAGCAAGGCTAAAGGCAGGGTAACCATGTAAGGGGTTACTGTGGTGGTCCAGGAGAGCAACCATGGTGGCCTGGACTGGGGAGGTGGGTGTGGGGGTGGAGAGCAGGGAAATGGTACCCTCGGAGTTACGGGAGGAGGGTCTGAAGACACGTGATTCATTGTATAAGAAAGGAGTCAACGTCAGGGAGTATTTAGTGATGGTGGGTGGGCATAGGGATGAAGCCCCTTTGTCTTGGGCACCTGTGTGAAGGATGATGCTATCCATAGAGACAGGCAAGCTGGGGAGAGGAGAGGCACCAAGCACATCCTCTCTTTGGGCCATCCCTCCTGTTCTCTTCCCCTAGGGAAATTCTAGCTGCCGTAAAGACTCAGGACAAGTGCCATATCCTCTTCGAATCCTCCTCTGAACCTTCCTGTGAACTCCTGTAGCACCAGCCACTGGCCCACACCCTTTGTCACTAGTGTACATTGCTCTGCAGTGTTTCATCCAAGTTAGCCTCGTCTTTCCAACTAGGTTTTGTGCTGCATGGTAGCAGAATCATTTGTCTCAATGATCCCTGCAGGGCTGAGTACGCGGCAGGTACTCAGTTCTCGGGGGCCGTATTAGTCAGGGTTCTCCAGAGAAATAAGAACCAGTAGGATGTATATATAAGATGGTCCTCAACTTATGGTTTGACTTATGATTTTTAACTTTACAATGGCTTGAAAGCAGTACACCTTCAGCATGCTCCTGGATTTACGCAGGGGTTACATCTGGATAAACCCATCATAAGTTAAAAATAATATAAGTTGAAAATGCACTTTCTACTTATGATATTTTCAATTTATGATGAGTTCATCAGGATGTAACCCCATCATAAGTTGAGGAGCATCTGTATGTAGAAAGAGATTTATTATGAGGAATTGGCTCATGTGGTTATGGAGGCTGGTGAGTCCAAAATCAGCAATGTGATCCAGCAGACTGGAGACCCAGGAGAGCCAGTGATGCAGATGAAGTCTGAAGGCAGGCTGCTGGAGAGTCTCCCGTTGCTCAGGGAGACCAGTCTTCTTGTTCTATGCAGCCCTTCAACTGATGGTATGAGGCCCACCCACATTATGGAGGGAAATGTACTCTACTCAACCTCTGCATATTTCAATATTAATCTAATCCCCAAACACACTCCAAATTGACACAAAAAATTAGCAATCACAGGGGCAGAGTGGTGCTGTGGAAATCATAGTAATTTTCCCAAGGTCACCCAGCAAGGCTCTGTCAGAGCCCAGAGTGACACTCAGGTTTCTAGACTCCCAGGTTTTTGTTTTTCCCACTACATTTCACAATGGAAAACTTGAGTGTGTGTGTGTGTGTGTGTGTGTGTGTGTGTGTGTGTGTGTGTGTGTGTGTGTGTGTGTGGTGTTTCTCAATCAAGAGGCCAGATAATTAAACCTATGGTTTCTAGTTTTTAACTTGGGGATTATAAAACAAAGAAAGGAGATCTTTTTCCCCAGTTGTGTTTTCTTTGTCAGCAGGTTTCTGAAAACAGCAGTTTGGTCTGGACTACAGGAAGTTACAGAGTGGCCTCGGTCTTCAGCAAAAACAGCTTGTTCCAGGTCACTGAATTCAGGCAGCTTTGGGCCTGGGAGCTCTACTGTTCAGGGGTCCAGGCTGCAAATATCCAGCCAGCGCACCCCATAATACTAACATGGGAGGCCACCACCATCCCTCCCTCTGACCTCCTGCCAGTTCTCTAGCAGGGAACTTGGCTGCGGTGCTTTTCAAAATAATCTGTGCACACCTCTGGTTGAAATTTACAAGCAGTCCTGTTATATTTTTTCTTAAAATTTCAAATCCATAACATCTAAGGAACTCCTTCACCCAATATTGAGTAATTCTGTGGATGGAAAAAGAACAGTGGAAAAGAAGACCAACCCATCCTCTGTTCCCCCATTTAAGTTTCAATGTGGTTTTCTTTTTGGTTTGTCTGCAGCACTGGTCTGTTGGCTGGGTCTGCCTTTCTCCCCCCAGGCTTTTGCACTTTCCCTTTTGTGATCCCAGTTTTATTTTCCATGGGTGCTCTGGCACGTGTAGTAGAAAGGATCATGTTTGGATTAGAGATCCAAATCTTTACCACATTCTTGAAAATTAATGGCACCTCCAGGTTTCCATGCTCACCACCGTGCAGGGGCTTGGTGCCGAATGCGTTTATCCATTTGGTGGTCTTAGGCACTTAGGCATGGCCAATGTTGGTCACCAGAATTGGTGTGTATTAGGGGGTAAGCTGGCTGCATATTTGCAGCCTGGACCACTGAAAAGCAAAGCTTCAACCCTGCCTAACCTCCTCTCCAAGCCATTTGTGGATTCGGAATAGAATGTGCTGGTGGACAGCAACAAAAAGTCCAGGACAGAACGTTCCAGATTTAGAGATCCCTTCTTGGTGGGAAGAGACAGGAACTTAATTCCAGCCTGGAATCGCACAAACAAATACATCTGTAAGACAGGAATCCCAAGTACAAATATCTGAGCTGTAGGGTGAAAGCTGGAAAAAATTAGTGCTTAGAGAGACCTGGGGCAGAAGAGAGAATTGCAAATTTGTTCTGTACTTGCCCTGTAACTTACGGCTGGCTGATGGGATAAGGGGTGGGAGGGAGATGGGGCAGGGAGGCAATTGTTTAGAAGAAGCAGCCAGTGATATTAGGACTGCAAACAAATACAGCTGCAGGTCATGGGGAAGGGCAGTCAGTGACCTTCTTGTAGACACTGATGAGACTATTGCTATAAAGAACTTAGAAACTTAGCATTTTGTGTCCCTGGCATGTCAGACTCTGGAGAAGGTTCAAAGAGAAGGGGGTCTGAAGACCAGCTTGAGAACAATTGAGCATCACTGCTGAGCTCTTTCTGCATTGTAATCGATAACCATTTAGAATTTGCTGGTGGTCTGCTCAGCATAAAATGGGAAAACTGAAGGAAAGAGACAAGGTGGAGAAGAAAAGACTAATGTTGCCAGAGTAGAGGATAAAGAAGAGAGAATTAGAAGGCATCTCAGAGACCCTCTTGTCTACCCTTTCAGTGTTTGCATGTAGGGTGAAACAGGAGTGAAGATGAGGAGTGATTTTGACCTTCATACATTTCCTGGGTTTTATGATACAGAATGAAATATAGAGGAGGTTTATTTTAGCTTCAAGATTGTCCCCATTGCTATGGCACTAGCTTAACTAACATCTCATTTAGGGATGGAGAATAGGTGAAAACCAGAGTATGGGTAAATGCCAAATTGGTGTAAATGTTAGAAGGTGTAATTTTGGAACATGCATATGTGGGTCACTGGAGAAATCCTGAGTGATCTTTCATGATTCCATTTTTTTCCCTGCTCAGGAAGCCCACAGTGGACAATTTGGGAAGGGTGGGTGGGAGAAGATGTTGACACTATTGAAAGGAAGAAGGTGGGCTTATCTCCAGCATGAATATCTTTTGGAGTCTTGACTCAAGAAATGACTTCTTTGAGATATTTTCCTCTCCCTGGACATGTGGGGTTTCCTTCACCTAGCTCTCAAATGCATTATGGGGAATATTGCCTTCACAAAGATCTGGAGGTTGGTAGACGTTGTTCCATCCAGGAGACCCTGCTAACAACCCAGCTGCATAAGCTAGATTGTGAGTCCTAACTCTTACACATGCACCAGGGCTGAGATAGCTGCTGATGGTCACCTGGGAAAGGGTTAAAAGCAAAGATTCTAAGAACTCCCCAGCCCCTGAGATCTTGATTTGGAAATCTGTGGGTGGAGACTGAAGTCAACATTTCCTGATGAATCTAATGTGCATTTGGAGTTGGAAAATCTTTGTGACTGGGGTCATTGCTCAGCGGTAAAGTCCTTATCATCTAGACTTTTTTGGTGGAAAACAGGTAGCATCAACTTAATACCTGTAGTATTCCCAGACAATTATAAATAATGGCAGTAAATGTTGAACAAATCTGTAAGATTTATATAGACATGGAGTAGAACTCAAAGAAAAATATATTTGTGTAGTGGAATGTCACTGTCATTCTAGACAGTGACTAAATATGTAGATATTTAATTGAAACAAGGCTTTTCTTCCAGTCTGTGCAAGACAACTCCTTTCCCCACTGTTATCTTCTTGGTTTGCTCAATTTTCAAAGAATAAGTGTGTGTGTGTGTGTGTGTGTGTGTGTGTGTGTATGTGTGTATGTGTGTATGTGTGTGGGGGCTGGAGGGTAGAGGAGCGGTGGGTTTGGGAAGGAAGGTAAAGACCACATAGCATACTGTTAAGTAAAAGGGTTGCAGGCCATATTTTTCCAGGTCAGCTATCTCTATTGATCAGACAGTTAATTCCTATAGTCTCAACTCCCTTCAATTGAGCAAACCAAGAAGTTTCTCTGGACAGTTTCTCTGGCACAGAAACATAAGCTCTGTGCAGCATGTAAGGGCTTCTTCGGGGAAGTAGGACTTTAGAATTCTCTTTGAATAGGATTTTGCAGGTTGTGCTCGTGTGTGTGTTAGTGTGTTTATGCACACTTATGTGACATAGGATGAGTTTCCGTAAGTTTAAGTGCATTGCCCTTATGCCCAGCATGTAGTGTAAGAAATACAAATCAAATGGATGGGGCTGCCATCAACATGTAGACAAAACATGCAGGATCTTGTGATGGAATTAAATGGACAATATAGGCAATGACACTGAACCCAACAAAATAAATGGAAAAAGGGGTCTCCTTAGATGTGTCCTTCACTTGGGCTGGGGATGGATTGATTCATTCAGAAAGGCAAGGAGTGGGGAGTCTTGAGGAGACTCTTTTGCTTTTGTGGATTCCTACAGAGAAAGTTGATTTTGTCAGCTTCTCAAACAGGTTAGTGAGTCAACAGAGCAGCCTCCCTAAGCTAGAGACAGTCTGATGCAAGTTTGCTGGATAAACAGAGCAAATCCCTGGAGGTGTCGAAAGAGAGGGGTGTGGCTAATGCCTCGGGTTGACGGCACACTCAGAAGGGCTAAGAAAACAAGGGCATAAACGCTAAGCATCTCTTAGGTTTCATTTACTCAGGCCAAAGGGAGTTGGAACTATAGAAATTAACTCAGTCTGATGAATAGAGACAGCTGACCTGGAAAAATCTGGCCTGCAACCTTTTTACTTAACAGTATGCTATGTAGTCTTTACCTTCCTTCCCCAACCCACCCGTCGTCTACCCTCCAGCCCCCACACACATACACACACCACACACACACACACACACACACACACGTACACATACACATACATACACACACTTATTCTCTTTCTGCCTGTGAATACTTTACTTTCTTATCTCATTTATTTGTCTTCCAGCTCAGGGAGCTATATACATTGATTTTCATTGTTCTCCATGTATTTCATGTAGGAATATCTTATCTTTCTGAAGGATCAGTGCTGTATATTATGCTGTAGCTTCCTTTCTTCATTTTTTTTCCTTTCTCTCTTCCTCCCTCCTTCCCTTCCTTTCTGTCTTCCTTTTTCCTTTCTTCTTTTCTTCCTCTTTCCCTTCCTTCCTTCCCCTTCCTCCCCTCTCTGCCTTCCTTTCTTCCATCCTTCCTTCTTCCCCCTTTCTTCCTTCCTTTCTTCCATCCACCCAAGGTCTTCCTAGCTAGTGCTGGGTCTGTGTTGAGCTTTAATTCATTGTTTCATTCACCAAACTATCTTTGTTAAGCACTTACCATGTGCTAATCACCAGGCTAAGCTCTGGAGATACAGAGATAAAAGCCAGGCCCTCAGTCTTTAGGCTGTTCATAGTCCAGCAAAGAAGATCTCAGGTTCTCTAGGCAATCAAATTATATATACACAATTTGTTGAATGTCATTAAATCTTCACTTTTGAAATTTATGACTTTAGAAACAAGTAAATTGGAAAGATGTTTGAAAGCAGATTTTAAAACCACCAAAGGAACAAAAATGATGGAGCCAATCAAACGTGGCAAGGGAATCAGCATGTCCTGTTCAGCTCCCTAAAGCATTCCTACAAGGCACTCAGTTCTCAAGAGGATTGGTTTCCAAAGAGGCTGGGAGAGGTCTCCTGTTCTCCTGTGGTGGCTCAGATGTGGGAAACTCAGAGAAAAGGCAAGTGAAGCAAGCCTGGCCACTTAGTCCTAGCCACATGTCAGTCTTATCCTGGTGAAAATTCTCTGTAACTCTCACTGGGCTTGACATACCTTCCAAATCCAAAGAACTTTCCTCAGACTACCTAGTTTCTTTGGCCTCTGGGAATAACATTCTTTCTTTCAGCTCAGAAAATAGGTGGAGGGAAAGAAAAATTAAAGCAAATGGAGAAATATAGGAATACGTCAGTTTAATAACCCCTCAATAGAAAAGATGAGGAAAATCATCTGGGGACATGAACATGACTAAGTACAGAGGCTAGGCCTTTGGAAAAGGTGGCTGTTGCCATGGAGCAAAGTCCTTGGATAATGCAGAGAAGCTCAGAGGAGCCTTGGTATGAGTGACAGTAGATCCCTTTGGAGTAAATTGTTTAATTTGATCTGGGGATGGAATGTACCTTTTATACCTCCTTTTTCAAGGAACTAACGTATTTACAGCCTGTAAATCATTTACTTAAGATGAGGACAAAACAGATCTTGGCATTTCCAGAAAGTCATGGATGGCAGAATTTTCCCACTCACCCCCACAACCATGCATGCACACACACACACACAGACACACAAACACAAATTTGAAAGTCATTGAACATGTGTTCCACATGGGTGGTGAATCTGGCACCAAGCTCTAGCAATTTAGATTCCCAGATAGCCATTTGGCTGTTATTGCACAAAGAGAATTGGCTGCAGAATGAAATTAGCTGGTTGAATCTTGTCTGAAAAAGGGTAAAGGTTTTAAACACACAATGCTCACACTTGGTGTGCATTGCATCTTACCCTTCTTGAATAAGAATGCCTATTTTGTGGAACTGATTTTTCTGTCCCCTCTCATGGTAGAGGAAAAACAAGCTTCTGGGATCATTACCAACAATGGATTTGAGATGTTGAGGCCTCAGAAACACATTGGGCACAGCTGTGACCATTAAAAGGGATTAGGGGCCTCATCTCTCAAAATATGAGAAAAGAAAGAAGCAGTTTTAGAAAATTGGGCCTACAGACATTTTTCAGGTTATAGGCAATATAGTCTGAGAAATTTTGTAGGCAGGCCATGAATTGTTTTCAAGTCAGGAATTTTGGTGGGCTGTTCTGTTTACTAGGGAGCCCTCCCTCCTCCCTCAAAAGGAGGAATTGGGTTTATATGATGGCCAGAAGGTTTAAATTAGAAACAAGGAAAAATCTACTGACTTTATCTTTAAGAAAGGGATAAATGCACTTAGATGAGAGAGCAAGAGAGAGAACATTAATATGTCTCTCTCTTAAAGATAACTATCCTTCTTATTGTGAATCCCAAAAGAATGGGACTGGGGGTTCTCTTCCAAATATTCTAGTTTCCTGAACTGTGGGCTGGCCATTCCAGAATCTACCTGAGCATTTTCAGATTGTAAGATGAAATTCACTTTATGCTACTGGCTTATTGGACATGCTGGGCAGTGCTTTCCTTGGCTTTTCTCGACTTCCTCTCTTTTGAGAGCAGAGGGACTCCTGGTGAACAAGTTTCCGTTTCCCCAGCTGAAATGAGGAGGTGACAATGGGAAGTGGAGATAGAGTTGGGGTGGAGGAAGGGTTAGCAGGGACCCCACTGGTGCTTCTAAAGGTCTGTGCTGCTCAGGTATAGAAAGGGTCTGCTACTGATGGGGAGAACTTTGGGGGCTCCATCCTCTTCCCCCTCCTCGCCAGCTCCATGCCACTGAGCCCACTTTAGTATCCTGCCCCAGCCTCCATTCTGAGAGGCACAATTGGATATGAATAAAAGTGGGTGAAGCTTTGTGGGCAAAGCATTTTTTTTAGTGGCCCCAGTGGGCTTCCTAACCTCTTCATAAGACCAGAAAATGCCACTCAGTGTGCGAGGGACCTTAGAGATCATGACGGTAGGATCTAGTAACTAGTGAACAGTAATGATGTCTACACTGAGGCTTGAAGATGGAAGTGGCTTACCCTGGCCACTCTGGTTGTTAGTGGCTGAAGAAAGACCTCCTGCTTCCCAGCTGAGGGCTTCTCCTCCTGTACTACAAGACTGTGCCCTTCTGGAGTATCCTTTCTGGAGATTTTGGGTTGGGGTCATTCTGGCTCCTGGTCTCAATCCTGACCCCAAAACTTTCATCTTACTTTGCCCTTCTTAGTGAGATTCCTGAACTCACTCTCTTCCAATGCTCCAGCCATCTGCTCACCCACCCTGAAACTCAGAAAAGAAAAAAGAAATGTGTGACCAGTGGAAAATTTTATTGCAGACAAAAGCAGTCTCAACCCCTCCCTGCTTGGTTCCATCAGCAATCTTGGAATCAGTTTTCTTTAGCCTGTTGTCTGCAGGATTTTCACAACTTTGGAGGTACCCTGATCCTCTGCAGTCCTGCTGGGTCACCATGCCTCAGTTAGATTTTGAAATTTGCTATCCTTCCTTAAAATCATTTCTCTGGGAGTTTGCCATATCTGTGTGCTTTATCTTGAGCTCAATTAGTTTTTGGTGCTGATTTTTTTTTTTTTTTTTTTGAGACGGAGTCTTGCTCTGTCGCCCAGGCTGGAGTGCAGTGGCGGGATCTCGGCTCACTGCAAGCTCTGCCTCCCGGGTTCACGCCATTCTCCTGCCTCAGCCTCCCAAGTAGCTGGGACTACAGGCGCCCGCCACTACGCACGGCTAATTTTTTTTTGTATTTTTAGTAGAGACGGGGTTTCACCGTTTTAGCCGGGATGGTCTCGATCTCCTGACCTCGTGATCCGCCCGCCTCGGCCTCCCAAAGTGCTGGGATTACAGGCGTGAGCCACCGCGCCCGGCCTGGTGCTGATTTTTAAAAAATTAGTTTGAATTGGCTAACAGATGTGTTGGTTTAACCTATCATCAACCTGACATAAACTGGTTTTGGGTCTTAAGCACGGTCTGGCCCCAGGTAAAACTGTGGGATTGTTGAAATGAGTCTCTGGCACCCAGTGACCTTCCTCTTCAGCTCCCTCCTGTCTCATGCCCTTTCTTCTCTGGGTTTGCCCTGTGCTAGCTGTTTCTCCTAGGAAGTATTTGTCAATGACAATACTTGTATCTAATTAACCAATTCTATTTGTATGATAATAGCATTTCTAGGACAGTTTTAGGAATCTTCCCACCCCTCCCCTCTTCAGTTTGTGCCAGAAGTTAGTGGTCTCTAAACTTGGCTGATCATAGAATACCTGGAGATTTTTGTTCCAATTGTAAAATCCCAGGCCTCACCTTGGAAAAAAAGGAACAGAATCCTTGACTGGGGAATTCATATTTTTCAACAAGGTCTCCAGGCAATTCTGATAGTTAGCTGCTGAACTCCAGTTGGAAGTTTACTTCCAATCATCAGATTCTGTGACCATGTGATTTGATTTTATCCTTACTGCAGCCCTGGCAGGAATCATCATCATCATTATAATAACAGGTAACATATTAAGCATTCACTAGATATTAAGTTCAGAGTTAAGTACTTTATGTGAGTTATCCGAGGATTGAGGCCATTCTTTAACAATGGAAAAATTTAAGGCACATATTGTTCTAGGTCACCTGTTAGATAATTGACTAGAATGTCTTAAAATTCTTGTAACTACTAGAGGAGAAAACATTCTCCAAATTCTACACTCTGAATTCCAGGCTTCTTTGTGGGGATTGGGATCAGTGAAAGTGTTCTCAAATCATTAGACCTGCAACCCAGCTGTGAAGTCCTTAAGGGCAGGGAATGTGTCTTATTCCTTGGCCTCTCACCTCCCCCTGACACACCCCAAGCATCATGCCTGGCAAACAGAAGGTCCTCAGTGAATGGTGTGTTGAATTACAATGATCTGTAACTCAGGTCCTCTGACTTCCAGCGCAGGTCATTTCTGTTATCAGGGACTCAATGAATTCTAAGACCCAAAGGTATAAATAGAGAACAGGGCTTAATTTGTTATATTGTAGATAGATATTTGGGATTTTAAAGACCAAAATCATACAAATAATAAAGACAGTTATCTCTAATGATGAAATTTCAGGCACCCTGACAGCTAGGCCACTTTTGGAAAGGTGTAGAATGTAGACCCACCTATACATGGTCACTTGATTTTCAACAAAGACACCAATGCAGTTCAGTGGAGAAAGAAGGCTCTTTTCAATGAGTGGTACTGGAGCAACTGAATATCTGTAAGGGGGATAAAAAAAAAAAACCTCCTGGTTTCTACTTCACATTATACATACAAATTAATTTGAAATAAGTTATAAGCTTAAATGTGGAAGCTAAAACAATAAAACTCATAGAAAACATAGGAGAATCCCTTGTAACCTCAGAGTAGGCAAAGAATTCTTAGGTAGAACACAAAGCTACTAACTACAAAATAATTGATAAGTTGGATTTCATAAAAAACTAAACACAAATTAATTTCTGTTCATCATGAGACACAATTAAAAAAGTGAAAAGTTAGCTACAGTATAGGGGAAAATATTTGCCAAAAGACTAGCATCAAGAATATACAAAGAACTCTTATGACTCAATTATAACAAGTCAAACAACTGAGTTTTAAAACCCAGTTTTAAAAAATCTATAAGATTGAATAGGAAATTCACAAAGATATCTAAGTGGCCAATAAAATGCTCAGTATTATTAAATATCAGGGAAATGAAAATTAAACTAATAGAGATATTATTGCACACACATTAGAATGGCTAAAATTAAAATGATTAACAATAAGAAGTGTTGGTGGGGTGTGGAGCATCTGGAACTCTTATATGCTGCTTGTTGGAGCCTAAAATACTATAGCCAGTTTGGAAAACTGTTTGACATTTTCAAATAAATATCAAATATACCTAGTCTATGATGCAACAGTTTTACTCCCAGACATATACCCAGGAGAAATGAAAATTTATGTAGAAGAAAGACTTTTCTGGGAAAGCAGGTTTATTAGTAAAAGCCCCAAACTGGAAACACCCCAAATGTCTATCAACAGGAGATCAGATAAATAAGTTATAGTATATTAATAACATGGAGTACTATTCAGCAATAAAAAGTTACTGATACAACATAGATGACTCTCAAAAACATTCTATTGTGTGAAAGACGGTAGTCACAACAGTTCATGTTGGGTGATTCTGTTATATGAAGTTTGAGAGCAGGAAAAATTAGTCTATGGTGGTAAACATTAGAAATATCATAATTTCAGGGGAGGAGTTGGGATACTGTTGACTGGGAAAGGAAAAGTATGAACTGTTCCATTTATCTATTGTTATGTGACAAACTACCCTAAAACTTGGTGGCTAAAAACAACAACCAGCACATTCTACCCCTCAATTTTGTGAGTCAGGTGTTCAGACAGGGCTTGATTAAGTAAGTCTTCTTTTTTTTTAATGTGGCACTGATAGATAGACTGGTCTTGAGGGTCCAAGATGGCTTCCCTCATGTCTGACATCTTGGCAGGCTGGTTGGAAGGCTGGGTTCAACTGGAACTCTTGACTGGAGTGCCTACATGTGGCCTTTTCAACATGGCAACCTTGGATGATCAGGGTTCTTACTTGGTATTCAGGACACCAAGAGGGAGTGTCCCAGAGAATAAGGTAGAACCTGCATGGCCTTTACTGGTTTAGCCTTGGCAGTCACACAGTGTTGCTTCTGCTGTATTCTATTGGTCAAGGAAGTCACGATCCTGCTCAGATTCAGAGAGAGGGGACATAGTACCCACCTCTCAATGAAAGGAGTTTCAAAGACTTTGCAGCCACATTTTAAAACTTCCCTAGGAACTTCATGTGGCTGATGGAAATATTCTATATTTTGATTTGGCTACATAAGTTATATATAAAATTATTGAGAGTCATACTTAAGATTTGTATACTTTATGTAAATTTTTATTTTTTATTTTATTTTATTATTATTGTACTTTAAGTTTTAGGGTACATGTGCACAATGTGCAGGTTAGTTACAGATGTATACATGTGCCATGCTGGTGTGCTGCACCCATTAACTCGTCATTTAGCGTTAGGTATATCTCCTAATGTTATCCCTCCCCGCTCCCCCACCCCACAACAGCCCTCAGAGTGTGATGTTCCCCTTCCTGTGTCCATGTGTTCTCATTGTTCAATTCCCACCTATGAGTGATAACATGCGGTGTTTGGTTTTTAGTCCTTGCGATAGTTTACTGAGAATGATGATTTCCAATTTCATCCATGTCCCTACAAAGGACATGAACTCATCATTTTTTTATGGCTGCATAGTATTCCATGCTGTATATGTGCCACATTTTCTTAATCCAGTCTATCATTGTTGGACATTTGGGTTGGTTCCAAGTCTTTGCTATTGTGAATAGTGCCGCAATAAACATACGTGTGCATGTGTCTTTATAGAAGGCCATGACATAATGGTAAAGGGATCAATTCAACAAGAAGAGCTAACTATCCTAAATCTATATGCACCCAATACAGGAGCACCCAGATTCATAAAGCAAGTACTTAGTGACCTACAAAGAGACTTAGACTCCCACACAATAATAATGGGAGACTTTTAACACCCCACTGTCAACATTAGACAGATCAACGAGACAGAAAGTTAACAACGATACCCAGGAATTGAACTCAGCTCTGCACCAAGGGGATCCTAATAGACATCTACAGAACTCTCCACCCCAAATCAACAGAATATACATCTTTTTCAGCACCACACCACACCTATTCCAAAACTGACCACATATATATATATAGTTGGAAGTAAAGCTCTCCTCAGCAAATGTATAAGAACAGAAATTATATCAAACTGTCTCTCAGACCACAGTGCAATCAAACTAGAACTCAGGATTAAGAAACTCACTCAAAACCGCTCAACTACATGGAAACTGAACAACCTGCTCCTGAATGACTACTGGGTACATAATGAAATGAAGGCAGAAATAAAGATGTTCTTTGAAACCAACGAGAACAAAGACACAACATACCAGAATCTCTGGGACACATTCAAAGCAGTATGTAGAGGGAAATTTATAGCACTAAATGCCCACAAGAGAAAACAGGAAAGATCCAAAATTGACACCCTAACATCACAATTAAAAGAACTAGAAAAGCAAGAGCAAACACATTCAAAAGCTAGCAGAAGGCAAGAAATAACTAAAATCAGAGTAGAACTGAAGGAAATAGAGACACAAAAAACCCTTCAAAAAATTAATGAATCCAGGAGCTGGTTTTTTGAAAGGATCAACAAAATTGATAGACCGCTAGCAAGACTAATAAAGAAGAAAAGAGAGAAGAATCAAATAGACGCAATAAAAAATGATAAAGGGGATATCACCACCAATCCCGCAGAAATACAAACTACTATCAGAGAATACTACAAACACCTCTATGCAAATAAACTAGAAAATCTAGAAGAAATGGATAAATTCCTCGACATATACACCCTCCCAAGACTAAACCAGGAAGAAGTTGAATCTCTGAATAGACCAATAACAGGAGCTGAAATTGTGGCAATAATCAATAGCTTACCAACCAAAAAGAGTCCAGGACCAGATGGATTCACAACCGAATACTACCAGAGGTACAAGGAGGAACTGGTACCATTCCTTCTGAAACTATTCCAATCAATAGAAAAAGAGGGAATCCTCCCTAACTCATTTTATGAGGCCAGTATCATCCTGATACCAAAGCTGGGCAGAGACACAACAAAAAAAGAGAATTTTAGACCAATATCCTTGATGAACATTGATGCAAAAATCCTCAGTAAAATACTGGCAAACCGAATCCAGCAGCCCATCAAAAAGCTTATCCACCATGATCAAGTGGGCTTCATCCCTGGGATGCAAGGCTGGTTCAATATACGCAAATCAATAAATGTAATCCAGCATATAAACAGAACCAAAGACAAAAACCACATGATTATCTCAACAGATGCAGAAAAGGCCTTTGACAAAATTCAACAACACTTCATGCTAAAAACTCTCAATAAATTAGGTATTGATGGGACGTATCTCAAAATAATAAGAGCTGTTTATGACAAACCCACAGCCAATATCATACTGAATGGGCAAAAACTGGAAGCATTCCCTTTGAAAACGGGCACAAGACAGGGATGCCCTCTCTCACCACTCCTATTCAACATAGTGTTGGAAGTTCTGGCCAGGGCAATTAGGCAGGAGAAGGAAATAAAGGGTATTCAATTAGGAAAACAGGAAGTCAAATTGTCCCTGTTTACAGACGACATGATTGTATATCTAGAAAACTCCATTGTCTCAGCCCAAAATCTCCTTAAGCTGATAAGCAACTTCAGCAAAGTCTCAGGATACAAAATCAATGTACAAAAATCACAAGCATTCTTATACACCAATAGCAGACAAACAGAGAGCCAAATCATGAGTGAACTCCCATTCACAATTGCTTCAAAGAGAATAAAATACCTAGGAATCCAACTTACAAGGGACGTGAAGGACCTCTTCAAGGAGAACTACAAACCACTGCTCAATGAAATAAAAGAGGATGCAAACAAATGGAAGAACATTCCATGCTCATGGGTAGGAAGAATCAATATCATGAAAATGGCCATACTGCCCAAGGTAATTTACAGATTCAATGCTATCCCCATCAAGCTACCAATGACTTTCCTCACAGAATTGGAAAAAACTACTTTAAAGTTCATATGGAACCAAAAGAGAGCCCGCATCGCCAAGTCAATCCTAAGCCAAAAGAACAAAGCTGGAGGCATCACACTACCTGACTTCAAACTATACTGCAAGTCTACAGTAACCAAAACAGCATGGTACTGGTACCAAAACAGAGATATAGATCAATGGAACAGAACAGAGCCCTCAGAAATAACATCGCATATCTACAACTATCTGATCTTTGACAAACCTGAGAAAAACAAGCAATGGGGAAAGGATTCCCTATTTAATAAATGGTGCCGGGAAAACTGGCTAGCCACATGTAGAAAGCTGAAACTGGATCCCTTCCTTACACCTTATATAAAAATTAATTCGAGATGGATTAAAGACTTAAACGTTAGACCTAAAACCATAAAAACCCTAGAAGAAAACCTAGGCATTACCATTCAGGACATAGGCATGGGCAAGGACTTCATGTCTGAAACACCAAAAGCAATGGCAACAAAAGCCAAAATGGACAAATGGGATCTAATTAAACTAAAGAGCTTCTGCACAGCAAAAGAAACTACCATCAGAGTGAACAGGCAACCTACACAATGGGAGAAAATTTTCACAACCTACTCATCTGACAAAGTGCTAATATCCAGAATCTACAATGAACTCAAACAAATTTACAAGAAAAAAACACAACCCCATCAAAAAGTGGGCGAAGGACATGAACAGACACTTCTCAAAAGAAGACATGTATGCAGCCAAAAAACACATGAAAAAATGCTCCCCATCACTGGCCATCAGAGAAATGCAAATCAAAACCACAATGAGATACCATCTCACACCAGTTAGAATGGCAATCATTAAAAAGTCAGGAAACAACAGGTGCTGGAGAGGATGTGGAGAAATAGGAACAGTCCCACTGTTGGTGGGACCGTAAACTAGTTCAACCATTGTGGAAGTCAGTGTGGCCATTCCTCAGGGATCTAGAACTAGAAATACCATTTGACCCAGCCATCCAATTACTGGGTATATACCTAAAGGACTACTTTATGTAAATTATATTGCAATTTAAAAAATCTGCAGAATGCATAACATTCTTAACTGTCATTTCACAACAATGCTATGAGTCAGAAATTATCTTATTTTATAGATATTTTATTCAAGGTATTATTAACTTGGCCATTATAAGACAAAACCAGGGTTCAAACCCAGGTTTAGCTGATGCCAAAATGTCTTCTCTTTTCACTAATGTCATGTGACAGAGACAAACCAGTTTCTTCCTTCCTTCCTTCCTACTTTCCTTCCTCAATTAATATCTACCAAGACCCCACTCTATGTTGGATACTGGGCTAATAATTGAGGATAAAGATAAAAAAGTAACACATATCCTTGCCTACAAGAGGCTCATAGCTTGTAGAAGAAGACAGATCCATATATAAATGTCTCTTCTACAATGTTGAATATATTTTATATTATGTTGAACATATTTTATGAACTCTCAAATCAAGACTCTATGAAATGAATGGGCACAAAGGGCACAAAGAATATTTGAAATGAGAACTTGTTCCAGGAAACATATTGTCACAGTAGACTAGCACATTTACAAAGCTCTAGTGGGGTCCAGAAGAAGGAGCATGGGAAGCATTGCTGGAATAGAGTGTGATCATTGCTCAGCGTCACCCAAGTGCCTATCACTGTGCTTTACAGTCACGATCTCTCCCGATTCTGACAACATCCCTTCCTCAGTGTTATTTGCCTCATTTTGCACTTGAGGAAACTGAAACTAAGCGAGATTAAGGAATTTTCCCAGGTCTTGTTGCCAGTGGGTAGCAGAGTCTGGATCTGATCCTAGATTTGACTGTTTATTTTGGGGGAGAGCTTGAAAGGTCTTTGATCTCATTACTCCTTCCTTTGCTTCTTGTTGAGCACTTGGGGGTTGCATACCTACTATGCTCTTGCTTCTCTTTGTGCTTCCCAAGTTCAGCTTTCTTCCACTGGCAGTTTGTACTGGTTTTGCAAGAGCCTATTGTTAAATTTCTTCCCAACTCTGAGCTCAGTGATATTCATGTTTGTGGCTTAAAACTGGCTATGGTGGAAATGTTCACAGCGTGGAAATTAGCAAATACTGCAAATCAAGGGGACATTTTTGGTGGGGAGGGCATGGGTGAGACCAACTTTTCCAGCACACCACTGCTTTACTTCCACAGAGCTAGACCCTGAAGGTCTATGCTTAGTTACATCTTAGCCTTTTGACTTTGTATTTCAGAAGTGTGCTTTATCCAGTTAAATTCTTGCATGTAAATTTAATTTGCTTAGATTTTATTCTCTTAAAAGGTTTCTTGTTGTTGTTGCACTTGTTTTGTTTGGGGGCTCGAATTTGATTTTAGTTTATCCCTTACTTACCTATTCCTTCTGCTTTTCGTAATCTTAATGCAGTTGGGAGAGATTTGGTCCAGACTTTAGCTGCCACAACTTTGTGCTTTGACCTTGTTACCGGACTCCCCAGGTGAACTGCTACCTTCACCTCCCACCCAGTCCATGACTATACAGGCCATCTGCTCTGAGACCTCTGTCTCTGTCATTGCCTTCCATGATCCATCTTTCATGCCTTTTTTCCCCCCGCTTTTTTGGCATTCACAGGCTGCTAGAATTCAGTTAGCTTTGACTAACAGGTGTTGATGTGTTGATTTCTTTAAAAAAAGTCTATTTTTCTTTGTCAGCTACCCAATGTATCTCACCATTGTCACCAGCCAGCCTGAGATATAAGGGTCTTAGCTGGAGAATATAGAGGGCCAGCTCTCTGGAAAGTGTGTGGGGCTCTGTCAACTAGCAGGAGGCTTGGAGAGCCTGCAGCATTGTGCTGGCCTGGTTTAGAGAGGCCACTGGCCTGGTTGTTGGGACTGGGCGTACCCTGGGTTATTTCCTTCAGGAGTTGAGTGGGGCCTGATTTTCTAGTTTTTCTGGTCACATGGGTGGATTTACCTCATCCATCTTCTGCTCAAGCTCTCCCTGTACCTAAATAAAGATAACTGCGAGACAGCCCAGTGTGAACTAACCAGCTCATCCACAGCCCAACCCATGATACTGGCAGCCTGACTTTGGTCTTCCAGCACATTGATAGAGTGTTTACTGAATGCCAGGTGTTCTGCCAAAGGCTTCAGCAGCATTGTCTCATTTAATTCTGACAACGACTCCAATGAGGAAGCTAAGTCTCAGAGAGATTAAATACCTTCTGTGTGTGAGTCAGAATTTGAACTCAGGATTGCCTTTTTTTTTTTTCTTCAGTTGACACAATCTCCTAATCTCTCGGCTATACTCTTCTGGCTCTCTGGAGGCTATAACCATTTAACCATCAGTTAATACCACCTTAGTCTCCGGGTGAACAACACAAAGGCACAGAAGCAGCCATTCTGGCAGATGGAGGGGCACAGCCTGATCTGCTGCCCAAGAAGGGAACCAGCCCTCATTGCCACCAATACCAGCAGCATTGTCTCATTTAACTCTGACAATGACTCCGATGAGAAAGCTAAGTCTCAGAGAGATTAAATAGCATGTGAGTCAGAATTTGAACTCAGGATTGCCTTTTTTCCAGTTGACACAATCTCTTAATCTCTTGGTTATGCTCTCCTGGCCCTCTGGAGGCTATAACCCACTTAACCCTCAGTTAATACCACCTATCTATGTGTCAGACTCATGGCCAGAAGTACAGAGATAACTGAGACACAATTCTCGCCTTTGAGGAGTTCTCAATCTAGTGGGCAAGACAGATACTCTTGAACACAAATAATTCTAATCAGAGCATTAGTAGGAGCTCAGGTAGTTGATGTGGAATTGAAAAGGGCTTAGTCTCCTGTGTTTGGGGATGGAGTGAAACTGGGGATGGTTCCTGAAGGGCAGGGTTCTCTAAGCAGGTCTGAGAAGTGCAGGACTTGGCCTCCTCACAGTGAGTGCAGAGACCTGTCTTCACAGAGCCAGAGAGAGCAGATGAGCCACCCATCACCTCAAGGGACTATGATCTAATAGGAGATAGAGTCAATGCTGATGAAATGTCTTACAGATTTTTACATCCAAAGCCTAGACACCTGTATGTCTATATATAAAAGATCATTAGAATGCCTGCACTGGGATGGGGGTGGGGGTGGGGAGCTTCAGCAGGATGTCGGAGAAGGGTCTACAGAGAATTGGGAGGCCAGCTTTAAGACTCAGAATCACCCTGGCCACTCACTTGCTTTGTGACCTTGGGAAAGTTGTTTCTTCTGTCTAGAACTTAGTTTCTCAATTTGTAAAATGACTTTGTGCCAGAATGAACTTACAATGGCTTTTCACATCTGGGGTCCCAAGAGACTGTGCATTCTCTCTCAGTTGAAATGCAGAGGGAGATTCTGACCAGGGGCTGGTTCCCCTCTTGGGCAGTAGATCAGGCTGTGCTTTTCCATCTGCCAGACTGGCTGCTTCTGTGTCTCTGTGTTGTTCGCCCAGAGACTAAGGCCTTTCAACTCCCCAAATCCCCATTTAGGAGACACAGTGTTGTGTCTGTTCTTTGGCCTGACATGCTGTCCTAGAATGTGGTTTTGCTTTTACCCTTGTTCCCTCTCCTCCTCTACCTTAGGTTCAGGGAAGCACAGCTAGAACCTAAATACATTGGTGAAAAGACAGGCAACTACCAGGTGTGTGTTCTTTTTTCAACATCTTGTCTTCTCATTTTTTGGACTGCATTGAGCCTCTAGGCCTAATTGGAATCCTGTTTCCTCTGTGAATATGTTCCTGGTTTCTGAGGCCTACAGTTACCTCTCTTATCTCGAAACATCTGTGCTACTCTCAGTCCAAACACTTATATTGGGACATTAATATTTAGTTTAAGTGCCGCCATCAACCACCTGTGCTCTAGGTGTTGGACTAGAGCCGTGGTCAGCAAGCTATGATTCCTTGCCCATTGCCCATTTTTATAAATATAGTTTTATTAGAACTCACTCACGCCATTTACCTGTCATCCATGGTGGCTTTCATGGGACACAACAGAGTTGAGTAGTTGTGACAGACACTACATAGCCTTCAAAGGCTGAAATATTTGCTATCTGGCGCTTTGCAGAAAATGTTTGCCAGTCCCTGGACTAGAATATTGTTAAGCTTTCTATGGTTTTGAAAAGAGATGACCCGCATTCTCTTATTTACCTAATACATATATTCATCATTTACCTAATACATATATTCAATCTACTAGATGCCTGCTTGTGCAAGGTGTTGGGGATACATACAGTGATTGGCTTCCTTCATGACACTTAAATTCTGTTCTGCCACAATCATTCCAATATGCCATGACAATTTCTTCCCTCTGCTTGGAATGCCCTTCTTTACTTCGTGACTAATCCCAATCCATTCTTTAAGATTATTCAGAATCCCATCCTCACCCCTCCAGTCCAGGCTATGTGTACTTCTTTGTACTTCTGTAGAATCATATCTACTATTTATCTTGATGATGATACTTATATCATTACAGTGAAAATAGCTGTTCAGTGTTCCTTCATTTATTCACCATAAATTATATGCCAAGCACTTTGCTAGCTTCAGCGATTCCAAGTCAATGAATCATGGCCCAAGAGGCTTTTAAGAGTGTAGAAGAGAAAATATTGATTCTTCCTTGCTGTGGTTTGAACATGTCCCTCTAAAGTTGATGTGTTGGAAACTTGATCCCCAGTGCAACAGTGTTGAGAGGTGGGACCATCAAGAGGTTGATTAGGTCATGAGGGCTCTGCCACATGAATAAATTAATGCCATTATTATGGAACCAGGCATCTCATTAAAAAATGAGTTCAGCCGTCTCGTTACTCTTACTCTCTCTTGCTCTTCTGCCTTCCACTTGAGATGACACAGTAAGAGGGCCACCACCAGATGCTGGTGCCATGCATTTGAACTTCCTGGCTTTCAGAAACCAATAAATTCCCATTCTTTTTAAATACCCAGTCTTAGATATTCTGTTATAGCAGCACAGAATGAACTAAGACACCCTTCAGCAACATATGGCAAACACCATCATTAAGATTCTGTCCAAATTACTTAAGAGTGATTGTATGACCAGAATGGATTTTCCATTTTCTTCTTGCCTACACTGCCACTGAGCCTGGGCTAGCCAGCAGGTGGGTAGTAAGGTAGAGACAGTCCTAGCCTTAGACCTGGGTGAATGGCACCCCTGCCCTAGGTCTCACACTTAAGAAGGCCCTACACTGGCTGTTTTCTTCTTACATCCTTCTCAGGGGGCAACATCAAGGGATTTGCCTCCCTGAAACCTATGGTTTGCACCAGCTTCTAGACCATGTTCCTAGTACCCAACTCCTTGAAATCCTTGCTCAAATGGCCCTGAGCCTTCCCTGGGTCTATCCTCTCAGGGTGGACTACACTGCCAGTGTACAGATCCCTAGATCCCAGAGATGGCCAAGAAGAGGCTATTTGTGGGGTCTGGGGGTTGTGGACAGAGCTTGGGTGAACAGCCCATGGTAATCACATGTGTGTGTGTAAGGAACTAAGGAAGGGGGAAAAAGAGAGGTAAATCATTGGCCAGGGGGCAGGGGCTGTGGATGTGGGCAATGATGGACACTTCCAAATCCAAATCTAGCCATTGAGATCACTATGAAGTTTTTTTGTTGTTTTGTTTTGTTTTGTTTTGTTTTTGAGGAGATGCTAAAATAGTACAGAAAGCTCTTGCATATCCTTTACCCAGATTTCCCTAATTTTAACATCTTAAACAGTCATGGTGCCATTATAGAAATAAATGAACACTAGTATGATACTATTAAATAAATGATAGATTGAAAATTAGTAGCTAATGCCTAAGCCAGAAAGGCCCTCATCTTGAAGGGGATGACTTCCACAGCTAGAACTGGGGTCCTGGAGTTTGGGATTTCTAGGCACACAGAACTGACTCTTGTCAGTAAACCTATGATCATGGGAAGCCAGAAGCCCCTCCCCACCAGAGGGGTCCTTAGAGGTCCACTTAGTGGCGTTACATTAGCCCAGTAACATCCCGATATTCTCTTCAGCTCCCTGATTCCACCACGTGCGATTTGATGACAGAGAAAATAGCGTTCTCCAGGGCTTAGATACATTTCATGAGAAGCCCATGGGGTCTAAGAATCAAGAAACTTTGACTATTAGATTGTATTAGATTTTAGAATGGATTAGATTACACAATACAGGTGATTGAAGAAGCCAAGTGATGTATCCACATGTACACACATGCAAGTTCTCATCTTTTTCTTCTTAATTCCCCTGTCTCTTTGCCTTGCTTGCCACCTGCTCAAGAGTGAAGAGCGTTAGACAGCAGTGAGGAGGTCCTGGTCCTCTGTTCTGAGCTCAGTGACCTTGGGCATGCCGTCTGGTCTCGGGCAAATAACTTCACCCTTTGGCCTCCTACCTGACACCTGAGAGGAGACTGACCCAACACTCTTTAAGATTTCTTTCACCTCTGACTTTTTTTTTGTATTTTCCCTTCTCTATTTGTGATTTTTATTCTACTCACCCTTCTCATTCTCACGTTCTTCTCATTTTTCTCTCGCCTTTCCACTGTTATTTTTCTGCTTTTCTTGAACTTTCTCCTGTTTCTCCACCATTGCTCCTCTCACCCCATTCCTCTCTTCCTCCACCTCTTTTTAACTCCCACCTTCCTCTTTTCCCACTTTACATTTCTTTCTCTTCCTTATCCCTCCCCACATTTCTCGTCCCTCCATTTCAGTATAATCTTTCTTATATACAAGGCCTTTATGGCCCACCAAATTCTTGTGACAATTATTTCCAATGAGAGAGGAAAAAAAGAGGGAATTAAATCATAGTATTGGCAGCTGGCATTTTGCTTCCGTCACAGAAAAATGTCCCCGGCTTCCTTGAATATTGAAACACTGATGAAGAACAGATTTTCTCTGGCAGTGCAAATTCCCCTCTGTCCAAGTTTGGCAGAGGGACTGCCTTGCTTGATGTTATTATAGGCGTTTCAATTCATTCCTTGCTTAGTAGAGTTGGAACACATTTCAGCCAACCCCTGTATTGATGTAAAACTGTTTTTATTTGCAATGTGAGTGTATTAAAAATATATATACATTTCCACTGATTTCTGGCACTGGAGCAGCTGGGATCTGATGACTTCCAGCAGGAAGGCCTGGGTTTTCCACCCTACCTCCAAGGGGAGAGTGCTGGAATTTAGAAGCTCCCTTTGTCCCCACCTTCTTGTTAGACTTCACTGACTTTAATAAACATTTTCTTTTCTTTGGATTCCTCAGTGACATAGAATCAGATGGATGTCAATTGTCTGGGGTTTTCCAGAGGTCATCCTCTCTAGCCCCACATTGACAAGGGGTCTGAATTGGGCAGGGTCTGAGTGAGCTGTTAGGGATGATGCAAAGAAAAGGGGAGAAGTCAAACATGAAAAAATGTACAGATACCGAGATGTAGTGATTTCACTGTAATTCTGTTCATGTACAGGAGGACACAAGAGTGAATGGGTGATGAGTGAGGAGATACAGAGACCGGCTGGCAAGCTGGGTAGAAGAAGCTATGAAGGAGGCAGAGGTAGTTTGCTTGATGGGAGTGCTGGAATGTTTGGGAAGGCCAGAAGCAATGGCTAATGTCAGAGAGCTGCTCTTTTTTGGCAAGAACTGTATCCCTTCTGACAGGGTAGATTCATTCTTTTGTTGTCAAGTACTTCCTTCTCTAAACCTCCCCATCAGGCACACCTGGATGCAAGCTCTTTGGGTCAGAGCCACAGCTATCATGTTCATAGAATTCCAGAGTTGGCAGAGACCTTAGAAACCACCTAGTCCAAGGGTTTTAACCTGGAGCTCCTGAGAATTCTAAGAATGCCCTGAAATGAATAATGAAATTGCCTAGGTGCCCATCTTCCCAGGGCATGAAGGGAAGGCATAGCTTTCCTACAGGTCATTCCTGGAGGACACTGGGATTAAAAAAGGCTTCAAACCATTGGAATAATTCAGTCCCCACATTGAATATCTGGGGGAACTGAGGACTAGCAAGGTGATGTGGCTGCACTGAGGCCTTGTAGAGGGTTATTGTAATGCTTTCCATTTACAGATGATGAAACGGGTCTGGGGAATTTCAGTGACTCAGAAAGTTAGCAGAAGAGCTGGGCTAAAGCTGGTGTCCCAGCCCTCAGTCCAGGGGCCTCTTTCCTACATCACCATCTTTCCTCCTAGGCTACTGCTGCCTCCTTAGGTCTCCTCGTTTATATCAGGCAACAGCAATGGCTGCCTGTACCAGACTTCCACTACCCACTTCTGGGAGCTGACAATCCTAGAAAGGTGTTTGAGTGGTGCTGGCTTTCATGAGACAGGTGCTCGTGGTGATCTTGTTTATTACAGTCAGCATTCTAATCTGCAATGTAGTGGCTCAAATGTCTTCAGTTTAGGGGACCAATGAATGAAAACTTTAAGACTGAGGTTGATAGTACGTGATGCAGCCCCCATCTACCTGCACTTCCTATACCTATAACTCATGCTCCGAAATGAATGCAGATTCAGTCAAGTGAGGAGTGGACATAAGGGTCAAGAGGACTTGGCAACGATTTCGTTAATTCTTTCTGGCTTTGTCACTTCTCACTATGGGCTCTAAGTTCTAGTTAGTCTCATCAGTTTTCCATTCATTGAATGCACCATGTTATTCTACACTTTTGGTATAAGCTGCTCCTTTTGCCTGGAATACTCTTCCCTTGGAATGCCTTCTTCGTTTTAAGACTTGTTCCAAAAGCTGCCCCTTCTGTGAAGCCTTTTCTGACTCTCCTAGGCAGAGTTGGGGGCTCCTTCTTCCTCTCCATGTTCCTGATACAGAGTTTATCACAAGGTTCGATGAGGATTGGCACAGACGTCGATGTCCTATCTGTACTGAGAACTCCTGGAGGATGGGGGCTGTATAGCACACTATAGAGCAGTGATTCTCATTGGGGATTAGTTTGTCCCCTAGGAGTGGTGTTGTTATTAATGACATTTGGGAGGCAGAGTTCAGAGGTACTACTAAACAGTCTATAATGTATGGGACAGCCCCACCCACCAACCCTGCCCACAACAAATGATTGTCAGGTCCCAGATGTCAATGTACTGTAGAGAATCAATAATCCCTGGTTGAATTTCTCAAATTGCTGGCACAAGTGTGTCAAGGGTTAATATAGTCTTAGAACGGCACTGTGTTCATATCCTGGTGGATAAGCCAGGGAGTATGGCCTTTGAGTACAGTGGTACAGACCAACAAAATAAATTTTAAGAATGTTCCAAACACTTGGTTTGTGTCCTAAGAACTTTTTGTGAATCTGTCAGCTCCTGGAGAAAATGATATTGAAGGTTCCTTCCAACCTTGGTATTCTAGAATTCAGTGCACACCAAGCCTGTCATGAGCAGGCAAAGATAAAGGCTGCTGGCTGTTTGAACTGGAGACCTCATTCAGGAAGATCTCATTTTTTGGAAACTCTATCCATGCTCTCAAATGTACTAAAGTTCTTTAAATGAAGAATTTTTTCCCCCTTTGAGAACTTGTTGCAAGGTAAAATGCAGACCACTAGTAGAATTTTGAGCATATTCTACTAATCAACCATATTCTTGAGTGTTTATCTTGGAAAGAATACATCAACAAATTCTCCTTAAATAGTCAGCATAAATGCTAAGAAATTTTCTTTAGTTCAACCCAAGTCATTGTTGGCAAAGCGTGCTGCTTGGGAAGACTCAGGCAGAGACAGTGCCAACATGTGGGTCCACTCAGGAGGGGACTGGAACTGGGATGCTAAGGAGGGGAGGGTTGTTTACATTCATGGGAGGAAGAGAGGTAGCAGGAAGGAGGAATATAAGGAGGTTGTTTGGCAGACAGTGAAGTCTAGAGAAAAGCATGGGACAGGAGAACCGTGTGGGGTTCCACAGGAAGGCTGGTCTGATAAGAGTGGAGGATGTTTTTTTTTTTTTGGTTTTTTTTTTTTTTTTTTTTTTTTTTAGGGACAGAGTCTTGCTCTGTGGCCCAGGCTGGAGTGCAGTGGCATGATCTTGGCTCACTGCAAGCTCCGCCTCCCAGGCTGATGCCATTCTCTTGCCTCAGCCTCCCCCAGCACGAGTAGCTGGGATTACAGGCTCCCGCTACCACGCCCGGCTATTTTTTTTTTTTTTTTGTATTTTTTAGTAGAGATGGGGTTTCATCCTGTTAGCCAGGATGGTCTCGATCTCCTGACCTCGTGATCTGCCCGCCTGGGCCTCCCAAACTCCTGGGATTACAGGCGTGAGCCACCACACCCAGCCGGAGGATGGGTTTTACACATGGTCTTGGATGAGTTGACTCAGTTTCATTGGAGGTGGGTTCAGTCCAAAAGCACAAGAAAGTGCTTCTATATCTCTAAGAGTAGTGGTCCCCCAAACCAGCAGCTCATTAGAATCACCTGAGCACCTTTTAAAACATTTAGATTCCAAAGTCCCATCCTTGGAGGGTCTGATTGTGTGGGTTTGGGGTGAGGCCCAGGAATCTTTAATTTATAAAAGTTCTCCAGGTGATTTTTGACACTCATTCAGGTTTGGCAGTCAGTGCTTCAGATAGAGAAAACTAACTGTGGAGCTGCTGATGGCTAAGGGGTTGCAAAGGCATGGATCATCAGTCAAACAATTGAAGAGATGTGGGACTGTGTTAGGTGATGCGAAAGGTGCAAGACATGGAGTGGCCATTTTTAAAGAGCTTGTAAAGTGTTTCAGAAAAGGCAGTGGGTGCAAACCCAAGGAGAGTTGACTGTGCAAATAATACAAGAGGGCCTGGCAAGGGGCAAATTGGTGGTTGAAGTGACTGGGGTGGACAGAGAACTTCAGGGAAGGGTTGAGGTGGATGTGAGCCCTTCCTGGAATGATGGGTAGATGTCACTGGGCAGGGTAGATTCAGGCAAAGGCTTCAGGTTTATAAATTCAGGGAGACAAACGAGGAAGAGGTCATGGGGTGCAGTTGTGCGATATCCAGGGTTTGGAAAAAGGCTTTGGTCTTGGATTCAGGAAGGATGGGCATAGCAAGGAATCTTTTGGGAAATTCAGTGGATTTGTTGCCAGGGGACCTCTCTTCCCCTCCTTGTCTCAGGGCTGTGCCATTATGTTTCTCAAAGAGGGGCCTGCTTGAGTCCAGGGTGTGTGGCTACAACTACTCAGAGATCTGGCAGGTACATCTGTCGTCGAGGAAAGAACTTGGATGTGAGACTTTAAGAGCCTCTGAGGACACAGCTGATGTCCAGGCTGCAGTCATTCCCCACCTAGGGGTGTGAACATATCTGGCCACAGTCATTCCAGCCCTGTTTACAAGTGTTTCTCTTCCCCTCCAAATAAAACCAATTAGATGATTTTGCTCCTCAAGCAACAACCTTACTAAAAAAAAATAGCTTGTATTTATTGAGGGCTTACTCTAGACCTGATATATAGAAAAAGGGTTTCAGTTGCATTTTCTTAATGGATCTCAACATAAATTCTTGTGATAGTTACTATATGAGTCAGTTTTCCAGAGAAACAGAGCAAATAAAGACAGATTTGGCCCCAGTAATGATGGAGACTGGCAAGATCTGCAGAGCCAATGCTCTACAGACTATTGGGTAGGAGAATTTTTTCTTACTCAGGGGAGAGTCAGTCTCCTGTTATATTCCGGCCTTCAACTGGATAAGGTCCACCCACATTATGGAAGGCAACTTGCTTTACCTAGTCTACTAATTTAAATGTTAACTTCATGCAAACACCCTCACAGAAACAGTCAGAATAATGTTTGCCCAAATGTGTGGCCCAGTCAAGTTGACACATGAAATCAACCATCATAGGTACTATGAAGATCAACTTTCTTATTTTGTAGAGGAGGAAGGGAGGCACAGATAGGTGGAGTAAAGTGCCCAAGGTGACATGGCTAGTAGGCAGCGGAGCTGGGGTTTCAGCTTATGGAGCCACTGCCTGACCTTCCTAAGCTTTGGCTTTTAATAACTATCTCCCTCATGGAAAGGGAGGGAGATAGTAAATCACTCCTGCTGTGATTCTGAATAAATAGGAATTAGTATTAAATTATGAACTTCAAACAAAATCAAGTGCAGAAGCACAGCATGGTGAAAGTCAACTGAAGTTGCAAGGCATGGCAATCATAAATCATTGCTCCTTTTTTATTTATTTATTTTTTGGGGATGGAGTTTCACTCTTGTTGCCCAGGCTAGAGTGCAATGGTGCAATCTCGGCTCACCGCAACCTCCGCTTCCTGGGTTCAAGCAATTCTCCTGCCTCAGCCTCCCAAGTAGTAGCTGGGATTACAGGTGCATGCCACACCTCCTGGCTAATGTTTTGTATATAGTAGAGACGGGGTTTCACCATGTTGGTCAGGCTGGTCTCAAACTCTTGATCTCAGGTGATCCACCAACCTCGGCCTTCCAAAGTGCTGGGAATACAGGCATGAGCCACTGTGCCCAGCCAAATCACTGCTATTAAGAAAGTTAATGCAAATCACTAAATCACTCCTAAGGTGCTCTAGCAAACCAAAGTGGATATCTTAGACCTCTGAATGTCTCTACCATACCTTCCTAGATGCCTAGAGTTACCCCAGGAAGCAAAGTATTTGGGGGGCATCATTAAACATTTTGCCCTATGGTCTTTTGTTTTCTGGGGGCAGACAGGGTGTATGTGTCTTCTATCAGCTAGCTATTAGGCTTAATCAGCAAGCCTCAGCCTGTCTGATTTATCTAGGGACACTGCATCCTCGCTGGGCCAAGGGATGGAGAGCTTGATATGTAAGCTTAGCAGGAGCAGGCTCGATCTCTTGTCTGTGGCCTGATCTCCTTTGCCACCACCGGGGCAACCTGAATAGCCCAAGAACAGCAAGGAGACACTGAACTCTTGGAGGAAGTAGCAGGCTTCTGAAAGGACTGTGTTTGCTTAATATTTCCAGTGGTGGGAACCTCACAAAGTAACCCATTTTATTTTTAAAGCACTAAAGTAACTTTCCTCTCCTATTGAGATCTGCTTCCTCTTATTCCAGAGTAACAGAATAAATTGTCTCTTTCTTACAGGAAAACCTTTGAAATATTTGAAAACTGGGATCATTTCCCCATGAGACTTTTCTTCTCTAAGCAAAATACTTTCAGTTTCTTCTAGCATTCTTTTTGTGATGTGGTTTATAGACCCATTTTTGGCCTTGTCTTCCTCTGGCTATGGTCTATGCCCTCCTTTTTAAATCCCAAATGTTCTACTTCCAATCTGACCAATGCACTAATAAAGTAGAAATATCACCTCTAAAGTCTTGAACATTAGGTATTTGTTGATGCAGCCCAGCTGCATTAACTTTCTTAAGAGAAATTATTTATTATTGTCTTGTCTTACACCTGCAGTTAACTTAAATTATCTTTTACCCCGCTATGCTTTTGCACTTGATTTTTTTAAATTTGAAGTTCAGAATTTAGTTTAATGAATTAATTCCTATTTATTAAGAATTGAATAGTAATTCTTTTGTTTGTTAGTTATGACTCATATTGCAATCTGACTCTGCCATCTAACATCTCTCTACTGATTTGTGGCTAAGGGAAAATAGGGAGGAACATTGAAGAGAAAGACCTCTTCTCCACACCTTTGTCTAATGATGTTCTTCTGCAGGAGGAAGGAGAACTGCAGAATACTGGTCCTATATTGGGGAGTGGAGAATCCAAGGCTTTTAAGGGGTAGGATTAGGATCCAGGCCAATATGCAAGAAGTGAGTTCCTAAAATGGAAAAAGAAGACGATGCTGCATTTTCCTTTTCTGTTTTCCCTTGTGTCTGGGATCTGAGAACAAGAGTGAATCCAGTAGCTAAGGACACAGATCTTGATGGAAAGACCTAGTGCAAAGGATCCAGTTGGTATTCAAAGCTTTTGTATGTACCCTTTATGTTTCCTTTGGGGCTTAATCTGGTTTCTTTCAGGTCATTGGGCCCAGAAGCTAATAGAAGATATGGTTCTTGCCCTTGGAAAGAAGCTGACTGGTTTGGGGAAGAAGATTTGCATGTGTGAAACCACAACAAAGTGTCTAGGAATGAAGACAAATTTGTGCTAAGTGGTGTGGAGTTGACCACAAGCCACAAGGGGGTCTATGTAGGAGGGTACAGGAGAGGGACAGGCCCACCAGGGAGTATCCCAGAGGAAGTGGGAATAGAGCTGGATTCTGAAGGATTTGGAAGGAGAAGAAAGAAGCAAAGTCTTTTAAGGGTAAAGAAGGACATGAACAAAGTGGGTGGTGGTGACAATATCTCTGCAGAGACTGAGGGATGGAAAACAGACCGGTTCTTCTTCAGACAATGGAAAAACTCTCTGCTGAGAAATACTTGTTGGCAAAAACCTTTCAAAGTCCCCATTCTTGGATCTGACTCGGCTTCACCATTTCTCTAACCACCAGCCAAATCTAGGCGCTCTTTTCCTCGTTTCCGGATTCTTTTTTAAAATTAAAAATTTAAATTTATTAATTTAAAACAAATAATAATTGTGTTTATTTAAGAGAGTACCATGTGATGTTTTGATCTATGTATATATTATAGAAAGGGTTAATCTAATTAACATATCTATCACCTTGCCAACTTAGCAATGTTTTTCATGGTGAGGACATTAAACATCTATTCCTTTAGCATTTTTGAACTATACAATACATTAGGAACTGTGGTCATCATGCAGTGCAATGGATCACTAAAATATCTTATTCTTCCTGTCTAACTGAAACTTTGTACCCATTGACCAACATCTTCTTTCCCATTCCACCTCCTCCCCCTCAGCCTCTGATAACCACCTTTCTAGTCTCTGTTTCTATGAGGTCAAATTTGTTAGATATCACATATAAGTGAGATCATACTGTATTTGTCTTTCTGTGCCTGGCTTATTTTACTTAGCATAATGTCCTTCAGGTCCATCCACGTTCTTCGTGCCTTCTTTGCTGGTCTTCTTCCCTCCATCTTCCTAAACTCTCACTCAAGATTCATATTAATTTTTTTTTTCAAACACAGGCAGGGATGAGCAAGATACAAAGAGGCACATTCATGTAGCCCCAGTTTCAAATATTCTGCCCCACTGTCACTGTTTGTTGGCTCATACTGGTAGGTGTTGTGTCTCAGTTTTTCACTTGGAATATATAGTAATAATATTGATAATGAATAATTACATTCATCTTAATAATAAATTATTAATAATGAACAATAATAGCTGACATCTTCAGAGTGTTAACTAGATACACTAGGTTTATATATGTTAGGATTTAAACATGACAATCCTCCAGCAAGGTAGATACTGTTATCATCCCCATTTTATAGATGAGAAAATTGAGGCAGATAAAAGTTAAATAGATTGCCTAGAGTCACAGATAGTAAGTGGCAGTGCTGGGACAAGCACAGGCATTCTAACTGCAGGTCCTGTCCCATTTACTACACTCCACACTTCATCATAGAAAATACAGGGTACTGGTCTGCAAGGAGCAGGAGTGGAAAGAAAGGGAAAGTTTTTATTGACACCTAGGATGTGCCACTTCTTGTGCTAAGGCATTGTATGCATGTCACCTCAATTAACTCCTAGCCTACCCTGAAAGATGGATATTACCCCATTTTATGAATGAAGGAAACAGGTGCAAAGTAAAGTTGCTGGTTATGGACACAGTTGGTACAATGGATTTAAACTGCAGCCTGTCTTTTCCTCAGAGTCCAATGTTTCCATTACAAATGTGAACTGGCTCCCAAGCAGCTGGTATAGAGATGGTGAGAATAGGCCACATGTGAGCAGAGAGAGGGTGCAAAACTTTCCTAACCATTACAAAGCACAGCACTTCAGTCTGTGGGACACAGCTGGGCACAGCTGGAAGACAGTAGTTAGGCAGAATCTGCAGCAAAGGTGCTGTTGACTTATGCGTTTGAGAACAAAGAGTCTGGACTGATCTAAAGTGTTTATGTGCCATAAATCTGAGAGAGCAGCAGACATGGGGAGCACCAGCTACTGACCACGTCAAAAGCATCTGTTCCCTTTCTACAGTATGGCAAAGGGCTGTCCACTCATAGTGGCCTCTTCAGCCTAAGCTACCACCCAGGTGGTAAATGCCATCTGCAGGGTCATCTTTGGATGACCAAAGGCAGGACCCCAATTTCTGTGATTCTGTGGGGAAAATCTGGTTGTTCTGTTTTCTTATCTGCCTCCCTTCAGGATGGGAAAGAAAATAGGCAGGGAAAGCAGAGATAGAGAGGTGCTTCCCAATAGTGTCCACAACTCTTCAGGTTCCAGAGTAGTGTTTCTCAAACTTTATTGTGTATGAGAATCACCTGCAGGTGATGGTTAAAATTAAATTTTAAAATATATTGTTAAAACTAAATTTTTTTTTTTTTTGACGGGGTCTTGCTCTGCAACCAGGCTGGAGTGTAGTAGTGTGATCTCGGCTCACTGCAACCTCAGCCTCCTAGGCTCAAGCCATCCTCCCCCCTCAGCCTCCTGAGTAGCTGGGACTACAGGTGTTTGCCATTATGTCCAGCTATTTTTTTTTTTTTTTTGTATTTTTTGTAGAGATGCGGTTTCTGCATGTTACCCAGGCTGGTCTTGAACTCCTGGGCTTAAGTGATCTCTCTGCCTTGGCCTCTCAAAGTGCTGGGATTACAGTCATAAAACTAAATCTTGTTAAAACTAAGATTGTTGGATCCCACTCCCAGACTTAGTGATTCAGCAGGTCTGGGGTATTGCCCCATGGTTTGCAGTTCCAACAAGTTTCCAGGTGATGCCGATGCTGCTAATTTGGTTATCGCACTTTGAGAACCACTGTTCTAGAGCCATCTCCAGTAGTCATCTGGGATGAAAGTATCAGCCTGGCTAAACTTTCTACTCTTTCCTGATCACAGTATGACCTCTGTGGGGTTAACATCCTAGCCCCTTATTTTAACCTCCACACTTGCATTGAACATACCAGGTGTACCAAGATGGTTCAAACAAAAAGACTTAAATGAAGAGGCTGCTACAGAAGTGTGGGCAGGATGTTAAAGGAGCACACAGGGGAAGTTGAGGCACCAGAGACTAGCAGCAGCAAGAAGCAGTGATCGCTTCTAGGGCTGCAGAGGCAAGTGGAGGAATCAGTGTTCTGTGGGCTTGGCGAGAGCTGGGCTTGCGGAGGATGGGCTGTCTGGGGGAGCCGGTGCTGTGGACACACATGGCTGCTGCCAAAAATGCAGCACAACAAGAAGGGGCTTCTCTCTTCTGCTGCTCTCCAGTCACCTCCCGGAGAGTGCCATTGGCTCAGTCCAGCTGGAGCCAGAAGGCAATGGGAGAAGTAGTTTCCAGGGATCATGCTCCCAGGGCATAGAACAGAGTAGAAAATGGATCTGGAGCGAACTGTCGGGCAAATGGAGAATAACCAGACCTCGGCAAGACCCTGCTCTCTCTTCTTGGCTATGCTCGAGCTCTTGACATCTACCTTTGCTTCCTCCAGAAGCTTACTTAGTAGGGGCCAGCCGGCCCAAGAGAGAAGAGAGGCTGCCTAATGCCTGTGGTCACCCTTAGCCCCCACTCAGGCAGTCAGGATCCCAACCCGGCCTCAAAGGTGTGTGGAGACATGGGGGCTTTGAAAGAGGTCTTAGAGGAAGCCCTGTCTCTTCCTTCCTTCTATCACCCAACTCATAAGCACTCATCCCTTATCTCAAATAGAAAGGCAATATATCCACTGGTCTGCTCTGACTTTCAGATGGTCAGGTGGGCTGGAAAAAGACTCTGCTTCTGCAGCAGCCTTCAGGGGACTCTGATAGGAGGACTCCGAAGGTTGGGGTACAGCGTGGGATGGTTGGCGGGGAGGGGACACAGTGTTTCAAGTGATTTCCAAACCGTAAGGAACACACAGTACTTGTTGTTGGCTCAGAAAGACCTCCCTTTGCATCTATGGAACAATGAAAATGAAATCTCTTAATCCTTAGGAAAGAAAACAGAGAGGGAGAAGAGGGGGAAACAGGAGGAGGAGAAGTGTTTACATTTGAGAACTGTTGAGAACTATCCTAGAACTTCCAGGTCAAGGGCTGTGTTGCTGCTGGCCCTGCTGGCATGAGTTTGATGTCTCTATTTACCTTTTTGTGGCTGTCAGGCTATTTTTCTGAGCTACGTGGCAAGATGTTTGTGTCAGATAACCCCCCTCCATGGTAAGATAATATTTGAGCATGTTTAGGGAAACTGTGAGCTGGCTGCTGTTTTGTAACCTGACATGGAAGTCAGTGGGCGGCAGGCAAACTTGGGGGAAGCTCACACACCCCAGGACACGGAGGACCAGCCTGCTCTGTGGGCTGGGAGGGGACTCTTGGGTGTCAGGATCCCAGGAGGGTCTCCTAGGCAAACTGTGGCCTGATGAAGTGGCCTGGGCCCTCCCCAGGTGAGTTTTTAAAAACAAAAACAAAAACAAAAAAAACCCGTCTTTTCAGCTAAGCTCTTTTCTTCTTGATACTAACAACAAACAAACACAAATCTGAAGTCAGAGTCTGTCAAGGGAGTCCTGTGTCTTGAAAAAGGGGTCCCATGAGTTAGGGTCAAAGAGCTCTATGATAATAGAGGAATAGACTCCCTGTAGTTTGATGGAGTTCCCTCCATGGTTATTAATCTTCCCAAAGCTCTGCATAGAGAACTTGGCCTCCCGTGTCTCACTCTGTGAGCCCTAACTCTGTCCTTGAGCTCACCACCCTGCCATTTTGAGTGCCTTACCCCAGTGCAGTCTTCTTTCTGCCTCCTTTGACCCAGACAGTGTAGTAACAGTGGGGAAGAATACAAGCTGAGGCTGTGGTTTTGTGACATTGGAGATCAGGAAGGGAGCAGAAATCTTCTCTGGCTGGGTCCCAGGGGAAGGATGACACTGGCATGGGAGGAAGCCTGGCAATGTTTGGAGAAAGCCAGGACTTCATTCCCAGATAGTGGAAAGTGCTTGAGTTTGGTCCTGGTTTCCTGTAACAGCTATGTCTACTGCCACCATGGCACCCAAGAGCTGGAAGGAAACCTAACTAGGTCACTTGATCTGGGACACTTGGGATTGAGCTCACTTTCTGCCACAGTCTAAGTTGTGGGAGACTTTTCCTTTCTGAGTTATTAATTCCCAGGGCTGAAATAAGGAGGTTTGGCTGGGTGAACTCTGAGATCCTGTCTAGCTTTGATAGTCTGTGATTCTATGGCCTGGTTATTGTCTTCATAGCATTACATATATCCAGAGATTTCTCTAGGAGTCACAGTTATTCTTTAAAGAGGAAAACAGAGTTTTGGGAATACACTACATTTGGGAAATGTATCTTCCTGATACACTATGGTAATTATGGAGGTTGGGCCATGGGTACCACACACAGTGATTTCCAGAGAAAATCAAGTATCACATGAGGTAGGGCCCCTTCCTCATCCTTGAGCCTCTGGGGCTATGGCTAAAGTTTCCATTGAGATGCCTGATCTTCTCCTGGGATCTTCCTCCAGTCTCATGCATAAGTCTGGTCCCAGAGCTAGGGGTTATCTTGAGCCACGTTGGCTACATGAAGCTGTTTTCTCTGTATGCTCTGATCCAAGTGAGGTACTGAGATCCATGGTGGAGCTAAAGGACTGTGGGGGACATAGAAGCGGGTCAGGGTTGGTAGAGGAGACTCAAAGCTAGTGGAGCACCATGAAGCCTGTGTCTTTGGAGTCTGACAGATCCAGGGATTAATCTGACAATGACCACTTGCCAGCTCTGTGACCCTGGGCCATTCGTTTTATTTCCCAGCCTCACTTTCCTCATCGAGAGAAGTTGTTAACCCTCTGGTGATAAAATTTCACCTACTTTTGAGAGTGGCTAGGAGGACGAAAGAAAAACATTTATGTAAGGCTTTCTCTCATTTCCTAGTTCACGCTAGACATTCAATTCATGAGTTTCCTTTCCTCCTCCTTCTTTAAAACTTCTGGGATGAAAGGTAAAGAATAGAGAGCCATCCTGGAGAAAGAAAACCAAGGATGATTTGGAAGTGACCTTGACATACAGGAAGGACCCACACATATGCGTATCATGCCCTGAAGAAGAGAGAGCAGCTGCGGCCATTTCAGGAAGTAAAGAATTTTGTGTAACTGCAAACACACAGAGCCAAGGTGTGGGGTGGTAGTGACAAAGATTATATTACCTGCAGAATTATCTTTCAGCCCATAGATTGCCAGGCTTGGATAGGCACCAAGGAGTCCCTCCTCGCACTTGTCTCCTTTTCTCTTTTCGTCCCTACTTTGGGGCACTCCCTCTGACTCTCTCCCCACCCTTCCTGGCCACTGTGAGTCAGAGAAGCCCTCCAGACCTCTGTAGAAGTAGGTGGTGCTAGTTCAGGTTTCTCAGTGTGGAGCACAGATTCCACACGTAAGCCTTTCCCTTGCTAATACTGGTGACCTCTCAACATGACCTCACAGAGTTCATACGCCAAAGGAATTTCTTCTCAGATAGGTAAGGAGGGGGAGCCAAAGGAGTGAGAGGACCATCAGTCCTGATCTATCACATTAAAGGATGCCCCAGTAACCACTTATGAGACTCCATAGACTTACCTCATGAAGTAGCTTTAGGGATTTAGGCTAGACATAAAGAACATTCTAATAATGAGGGTTAAAGCTCTTGATCAGGTGAGCAATGCAAATTTCACACCCCTTTCAACTTACTACATTTTAAAAAAATAGAAAAGAAGATACCTTTAAAAAAATCGTCTTCTAAAATCAGGGAGATGGGAGACAGAAGCCCTCAAGACACTTTTTTCTCTAAGCTTGCGTAAATCAGTTCAGCTATGTCTGGGTCTAATGGGATCTCAGGTAGGGCACTGCATGAGCACTCAGGTAGGGATTCAGTTCCTTCTGAGCCCCATCCTTGTGCTTCCCCAATCCCTTCCACACATGGACCCAGACCCAGATTTGCAGCATGGGTTCTCTCCTGCCTGTGTTTTGCAAAAACCCGCCTTTGTTCTGGTGCCCACTCTCAGCTTTCTGTGAGAACAAAGAGGAAGTCCAGCTACAAACTGTCCTCTTGCAAAGTAATTAAGTTCATGGCATGGGGGCTGGTGCTCTTCAGGGCTGGCCAGCATGGGAGGGTTGGAGCCTACAATAGGTCTGCCAGGAGAGACCTGCTGGTTCTCACGTCCTTCCAGCCCCTAGTGGAGGTGGTGCTTCCACACGTAGTTGCCCAAGTGGTGACGTTTTGGGCACAAGGGACTCATGAAGTGTCCTGGGTCATGCTGGCACAGTTCACAGAGCCACGACTTCCTGGCTCCATTGGTCACTGGGATACTGCAGCCTCATCCACACGTGGCAGTAGAGGGTGTTTAAGGAAGGGCTTTTTTCACTCAGAACCTATGAGTCAGCTCATAAAAGAGAAGGCTGGGTTGCCAAGGGCATGTTTTCGGGGAGGAGAAAAAGAGAGGACTTAGTTATTCTTTACAGAGTGGATAGGAGCCAAAAAAGTTCTTTCTTCACTGAAAGAATAGAGAGACTTAAAAAAAATAAAAAAGGAAAGAATTTAAGTTAGAACTGAGATCTAAGATGTTTCAGCCCTAGGACCAAAAATAGAGAAATAGGTTGGATTTGTTTTTTGTGGATATTCTTCAGAATGGACTAGAATGGATATTTGATAATCCTAGCTAAGGGCAGCAAAATGCACTGGATGTGTGATGTACAAGATACTTGCCATAGGCAACAGATCAGAAGTAGTCCGGGGTGGAGGACCATGGCATCTTCTAGAATCTCTGCTATGGATTAGAAGTATTTTAGCAATGTTTTCTCTGGAGGCTGCAACCAGAGCCCACAAAGGGATTATTAGAAGGAAGGTTTAAGCTGACTAGAGGGAAAAACATTTGAATAATTAAAGCTGTCTAACAGTGAAATGGACTGTTTTACTAAGGCAATAAACTTCTGAATTCAGGGGGTATTTAAATCAAGGATTCAAATCTGGAATCCTTTGGAAGGTTTTTTCCTACATTGGAAGGGTGAAATTGATGCCCTTTACAGTGCTAAGGGTGAAATTGATGCCCTTTACAGTGCCCTTTAGCACATTTCTTATTCATCTATTTACCTCTAAAGGTTAATGCACTTAGAGCTATAATTCATTTTGATTGAAAAGCTGCTCCATTAGGCTAGGGTTTGTTCATTAATTTACTTATCCTTTGAACACCTACGGGTACCAGGCCTGGAGATACAACAATGAAAAAGACATGGCGACTTTGCATATGGCAGGTTCTTGGTATATTGGGAAGGCAGAAAGGAAACATAAATTGCAACTCGGCATGACAGGGGATGAAATAGAAGCACCAAGAGCTGTGGAAACACAGAGAAGGGAATAAAAAGCATCTCCCTCTCTCCAGGGGAATAGGAGAAGGCTTTTTAGAAAAAGTGACTTTTCAACTGGCAGCTTCCTCCCAATCTAATTCCATTCCACTCCAGTCCTGATAGGCTCACTGAATGTCTACTATGCGAAAGGCAAAGAGAATAAATGCAAGCATGCGTTATCTAAAGAGCTATTCAGCTTCAGATGCAAGTTCATATTTGTGCCTTGGGACGGGAGACACATATGAAAAAAATCTGGTCTTTAAGGAGCTTCCAGTGTCACAGCAGCCCTTCCTTCTAGGCTATGTGTCCCCTACTCTGGTGTAGAATTTAGATCAGAAAGGGGGTAAATTGGGTGGACATTTCAAAGCATGGTTTCAAAGGGCAGCAGTGGAGAATTTGTTTCTGTGGCTCCCCTGCTTTTCCTTGGAGTGGAGGTGGTACTCCAATGTGTGGTCGTCCCAGCGATGCCACTGTGGGCATAGGGGACAAAACATACTCTGCTGGGTCTTCATAGCTCCAGTTTGCAGCCCTAGGTGAGGTCTGTTGAATGCCAGCAGGAGGCAGGGAGACACGTTTTGTGATTTGCTTCTCCTCTGCATGTGGCAAAAGGTAGGCAAGGCTCAGGTGCTGGACGGAGGAAGACAGAAATCTATGGCTCATACTGTGGTATCATTACCATTGGGATGATGGAGAAACCCCAGGTAGCTCCAAACGTGTTGGTGTATAAATCAGCACCCAGCTATGAGACAAAATATCTGGTGTGGTTTTTAACAGAGGTAATTTAACCTAAAGAATTGTTAACTAGGGATTGAATGTTCAAAGGGAACCCTAAGACATCACAGAGTTGGCCGGGTGTGGTGGCTTAAGCCTGTAATCCCAGCACTTTGGTAGGCCGAGGCAGGCGGATCACTTGAGGTCAGGAGTTTGAGACCAGTCTGGCCAAAATGGTGAAACCCTGCCTCTACAAAAATGCAAAAAACTAGCTGGGCATGGTGGTGTGCGCCTGTAATCCCATCTACCCAGGAGGCTGAGGTGGGAGAATTGCTTGAACCCGGGAGGCGGAGGTTGCAGTGACCCAAGATAGTGCCGCTGCACTTCAGCCTGGGTGACAAGAGCGAGACTCCATCTCAAAAAGAAAAAAAAAAAAGACATCACAGAGTAGCAACTGCAAGGAAGGGGTACCATCCTTAGGGCCAGGGAAAGAAAGAAAGACGTTGGAATTATTACCAGCTGATGCTGGTCTCCCAGAGGAAGATAATGAGGATGGTACTTTGGGTGATGGAAAAAAGTGGCTGCTACTGGAATGAAATGCAGCTGCCAGGGTGAACGTGGCCCGGTAACACCTCCAGAAACGAGAAGCAAGGAAGTGGAACAAGAAGCAGACAGAAGGGAGCAGGCACCTTCTCCCCTCTTCCAGCCTTGCAGTCTCTCTCTCTAGTGCCCTCTATTGGCAGACCTTAGCAGGAAACTATTAGGCACAGCAGAAATGTGGTTTGCTGGGTCCCAGCTCAGGGACTCATAAAGTCAAGAATAGAAGGACGGATTTGCAGTTGAAGTCATTAGCTTAATAATTAGCTCAGTTGAACTGCTGGGGGAGGTGTCAGACCAAGGAATTTGCCAAAAGAAGCCAGGTTGGCTTCTGAGTTAGTTAAGGGAATACTAGCTACTGAATCAGACGCAAGCTCAAAAATGTATATGAGCTCAAATACAACTTTTTTTCTAGCTCTTATAAAGCCCAATATGGGTGTTTCTGATCAGTGGGTGACTCTCTAGGCAGTGATTCAAGGATCCAAGTTCTTTCCATTTTATGGCTTTGCAACTTCAAGTCTTCCAAGTTTGCATATTCATCTTTATTAAAACAGCAAAAGAGGACAGACCATGAAGTACATGAGGTTTTCATGTGCCAGGCCTAGAGGTGGCACCTTTGCCCACATTCCATTGGACAGAACTCAGATATGTGCACATAGCTAACTGCAAAGGGATGCTGGGAAACGTAGTCTAGCTGTGTGCCCAGGAAGATGTGGGAAAAGGAGAGATAATTGGCCAGTTCTGCCACATGTTCGGCTGACCCTACATAGGTTAGCTTTTCAGCAGTACTTTCCTATGAACACAGGCTGACCTTAGCTCATTCCACAGGTGTCTTCAAGAAAGAGGAGCTTGAGGATGTGGGAAAGATTGTATGAGGAAATGCCCTCCAAAATCATAATTTGTTCTTTGCTTCAATAAAACACGGGCTTGTGTTCTCATAGTGTTTTTGATTTTAAAAAGTTTTTCCTTTCATTCCAGTTCATTCCTGGGAAGAAAAGAGGGTGGTAGAGGAGATTCTTTCCAACTCTTTTTGCCTTTTTTTGTTTTTAATTAATGAACTAATTCACATTCACTGTCAAGAAAAATAAAACAACAAAATTCAAAGAATATACGTAAGATGAAAACGTATTTCTGCCATTTTTTGCTTGCCTTTTGATTTTGCTTGTGATGTCTTTGTATAGAAGTGTTTTATATTGTACTGTTGTAAACTTTATTCATTTTTTGGTTATGTCTTTCCCCTTCCCTATTCCAAAGTCATAAACACATTATCCGATATTTTCTTCCAGTATTTTTACGTGTACATTGTTTAGATTTTTAATCCATCTGGACTTTATTTTTGTGAATGGCATGGCATAGAAATTTGATTTTGTTTAGTGTTTTAGCCAGATGACTAGTTAATTGTCTATATATTACCAAATACTATACCCTTCTCCAGTTATTTGAAATGCTACTTTTATCATATCTTAATTCCTTTCTATGCATGGTGTATTAGTTTCTATTGCTGTTGTAAACAGTTACACAAACTTAGCAGCTTCAAACAACACAAATTTATTAATTACAGTTATGGAGGTCAGAGTCTAAAATCAAGGTGTTGTCAGGGCTGTGTGGAGGCAGCCATCTGGGGGCTCCAGGGGAGAATCCGTGTCATTCTGTCTCCAGCTGGCCACATTCCTTTGCTTAGGGCCCCCTTACATCTTCAATTCATCAGTGGTTGGTTGTCTTTCTTAGGCTGTATCACTCTGAAGCTGACTCTCATGATGACCTCTTCCATTTATGAACCTTTGTGATTACATTGGGCCCATGTGGATGATCCGTGATAATTTCTGTCTGTTTTCTGTTGCTTATAAGAGAATACCTAAAACTGGGTAATTTATAAAGAAAGAGACTTTATGTCTTACAGTTATGGAGGCTATGAAGTCCAAGGTTGGGCAGCCACATCTAGTGAGGGCCTTCCTGCTGGTAGGGACTCTCTTCAGAGTCCCAAGACAGCACAGGACATCACATGTCCAGGGTGCTAAGCATGGTAGCTCAGGTCTCTCTTCCTGTCCTCATAACGTCACCCGTCCCACTCTTGTGATTCCTCAGTAACCCATACCTCATTAATCCATGAAGGAATTACCCAAACACTTCTTGTTTTTTTTTTTTATTATTTTATTTTATTTTATTTTATTTTTTGAGACTGAGTCTCGCTCTGTTGCCCAAGCTGGAATGCAGTGGTGCAATCTCAGCTCGCTGCAGGCTCTACCTCCCAGGTTCAAGCAATTCTTCTGCCTCAGCCTCCAGAGTAGCTGGGACTACAGGCTCCCGCTTTGTATTTTTTAGTAGAGACGGGGTTTCACCGTATTAGCCAGGATGGTCTCGATTTCCTGACCTCGTGATCCGCCCGCCTCGGCCTCCCACAGTGTTAGGATTACAGGCGTGAGCCACCGTGCCCGGGCCAAACGCTTCTTAAAGACTCTGCTTCTCAATTGACTGCCACACTGGGGTTTAAATTCCAACATGCAATTTGGAGGGGACAAGCATTCAAACCATAGCAATCTTCCTATCTTAATCAAGGTCAGCAGATTGATTCCATCTGCAAACTTGATTCCTCCTTGCCATGTGTTATGGACTGAACTGTATTCCCCTGTCCCCTCCAGTTCATACGTTGAAGCCCTAATCACTGGTATCTCAGAATGTGACTGTATCGAAGGATAGGGCTTTTAAAGAGGTAATTATGGTAAAATGAGGTCGTATGGATGTGCCTTAATCCAATCTGACTGACATCCTTATAAGAAGAGGAAATTTGGACTCATGAAGAGACATCAGGGATGTGCATGTACAGAGGAAAAGACCATGTGAAAAAGCAGCAATAGGGCATCCATCTGCAAGCCAGTAAGAGAGGCCTCAGAGAAAAAGCAACCCTGTTTGTTCCTTGACCTTGGACTTTCAGCTCCAGTACCGTGGGACAATAAATTGCTGTTGTTTAAGCTACCTGGTCTGTGGTATTTTGTTACGGCAGCCCTGGCAAGCTAATATACCTCATAGCCTAACATAATCACAGGTTCCAGGAACACCATCTTTGGGAAGCTATTGTTCTGCCTATGACACATTAGTTGATTTGTAGGTTTTCTATTCTGTTGCATTGATCTACTCACTTATCCCTGAGCTAATACCATGTTTCTACAATTACTAGGGTGTTATTTTGTTTGGTAGGGTGAATGTCCTCTTTTGCTTGTTGTTTTCATTCGCCTGCATTTATTCTTGCATATCAATTTTAGAATCATCTTGTCAAGTTTCCTAAAAATAATCATTGCAATACATTTATAGATTGATCTGGGATTTACCTTTACATGAACACATATTTTCCCATTTAGTGAGTCAGCTCTTCTATATATCCTTGTTCATACTGTTCTTTTTTATTTCCTGGTAAGTTTTTTCCCAGGCACTTTCTAATTTTTGTTGATGTTGTGAATAGGATAATTCTTCCTCCTTTACAGCTGGAAAGCAGAGGCCCAGAGATGGAAAGAGACCTCTCTGAGACCACACAGAATCATGGAGCAGGCTCTAAGCAGAATACAGGGCTATGATTTCTAACCCCTGTGCTTTACCCCTGGCCATGTGGAGCTTCTTGGCCAGATCCCATTAGGTCCACAATGTGATGTTCTGTTTTAGCTCAACACTCATGTGTCCACTAGAGCAGTACTGGACCAGGCCTTGGGATGGTTGAGAGGTCACATAAGGACCACTCTTATTTCACTGATGGAGGTATCATAGGGTGGAGGGTAGGTAAGGGGTAATTTTGGGGAGCAAGCAAGGGAGCATCTGTAGAATCACTTATTTCTTAATCCTGGATGATTAAACAGCTATCATCAGGAAAGAAGTGTACACTAATAAAAAATAACAAATAGAGCTCTTGTTCACAATTCACAATAGATAAAATCCAACTCCTACTGACTGAGGAGCAGTAAATAGTCCCCAAGGCTCTTCATTAGGATGACTAAAAAGATTCAGAATGATACAAGAGAGACATTAGGTTAATTTGACCATAGAAGACAATATGTCTATGGCCCAGAGACATAAAGGGTTAAGGAATGCAGAGAGAGGAAGGAAAGACTGTCTTTCAGGTTGCTCAAATCATTCCTCTACATGGCCCCAGTTGTAGGAGCAGCAGGAAGTAGCAGGGATGAGTTGACCTTGACTGTCTACCTGGACCTTGACTGTCTACCTGGACAACATGGGGCCCCTCTCATTAGCTGCCCAGTTTGGACTTCCCCAGCCTCTCATGAAGATTTGGGTGGGAGTCATTATCCTTTGGCTACCTGCAAGGACGCTGCATTCACAAATACTTCGGAGGATTTTCCAAATCTCTTTCAGCAGCTGCACTTTCTAGATGGCGAGTATCTAGGAAATTGGGGAATATTACTTATTTCCAAACAAAGGGGTTTTTGGGCTCCCATCTCTGCTCCATATCTGAAGACCTTAATTTCACAAACCAGGAAATGGAGCCCTGAGAAGGAAGTGCCCTCACTTGAGCAACATTGTTCATTAATCCTAGAAGTCTTAGTGCTGGGGCTCCAGGATCGTTTACATTGTAGGGTACAACCCTTCCCCTGGCCCCTCTAGGCAGATGGGTTTTATTATGAGCCATAGAAACAATAGAGACCTATATGACAATCATGATAAAGGGTGTGTATGGGGTGGGTACAGGATGTGCAGGAAAAGGGGATGAGGTCTTTCATTTTTCTGAGGCAAATAAATGACTGCCACACCTCCATGGACACAGATAAAATGTTCTAATGGGAAATTGCATGTTGGATCTATTTTGCCTTTCATTCATTTATTCATTTGTCCAGCTATCCATCCATCCATCCTTCCATCCATCCATCCATCCTTCCATCCATCCATGCATGCATACATGCACTGCATGCCTAGTGCCTGAATGGTATGGAATTGTGACACGCCATGATGAAAAATTTGGAGTTAATCCAAGAGTTAGTGAGGAAACATTGAAGGTTCTTGGTTGAGGGAGTGACAAAATGCAGGAAGTGATTCAGGGAGAGTGAGGCAGCTTACAGATAGATCTAAGGGGCAAAGGCTAGATATGGTCTTTTCATAGGAGTCTGAATGTGTCTCTTTTTCATTTGTTGTACTGAACTAGCTTCTGGCCCTACCTGAAAAGGGGTTAGATGAAAATGAGAAGGAATTAAGGATTGACTGAAAGCCTGAGAGAACAAGATATGTGATGTGATGTGTTCAGTGGACTTGTCTGGAGAATAATCAGTTCAACGACTATTTGCTGGGTACATGCTCCTTAAATTTCACTATCATTTTTCTTCTACCTTCCAACCCAGAGGGGCCCTATACTTTCTGCCAGGACTGTTAGAAAGGAAAGGAAGGGGCTGGGGATGGGCACTGGGCCTACCTAATTTGCACATTTCTAGCCACCCCAGCAAATTCAGCAATCTTCCCTGGGGATTGGGTATTAGGGTTGAGGAAGGTACATTGTGTGTGGAGAGACAAGGATATAGAGCAGATAGTGGTGATCTGTTGGGGCATAAGCACCAAGAGTCTCCATTAGGGACAGTGGGAAAAGAGACCCTCCTTCTCCATCTTTAATTACAAAGTTGCCTGTTTGTTCTCTGTGTTGGGGCCCTGCAGAGTACATTGCTAGGGTCCCTCCTTCCAGAGGATTATGGCAAGGGGTAGGGGAAGGAGCAAGAGATTTAGAGTCACACAGATCTGCTTACCAGCTGTGTGACCTGGGTCCTGCACTCCTCAAGCTCTCTGAGCCTCAGTTTCTTCAACTGGAAAATGAGGATAATAATGTCACCTGACTCATGGGATTATTTTGAGGACTAAATACAATAATACATGTGAGAATTACTTTGTAGAACATCAATCACTGTTTAAAGACTGAATATGAATAATAACAAGAATTTTTCCAATGTAATTTCCATTGTCTTAGAATGCAAGCACATTAACCCTTCTCTAAAATCCACTGTGGTGTTCCATCTGGAGGGACTAATGCCTGGGAGAGAAAAGCTGACCTGAGCCTCCCAGTATTTACAAGTGAGGAGTGTGTTCTCAGCCCATAAATCTATGAGCATATGGATGAAGCACCCTGCCTTTCTGGGGATGTATGTGTGTTCTGTTTTCAGATTTCATGACTCTGTATTGGTTTTAAAAATATAACTTACTGCACTCGCATATCTAGTTGAACGTCCCATTTTTTTTCCTTTTAAAATCACACTTAGAAAAGTAAAACACTAATTTCAAATGGCTGAAATTAGAGGTAGAGGGTGAGGAAACATGGGCCCAGGTTGAACCTGCTGAGATTAGGGGCAGACTCCACAGCTTCCTGGAGATGTGGTGGCCACCTCTCACTTTACCCTGCTCTGGAAGGAAAGCCTTGCTGCTTGTGAGTTTCTGGTACAGCCCTTCTTCTTTGTCCTCGGAGAACCTGCCATTTGCTGAGCATCATCCCAGAGCTGCAGGATGGGGTCACCACCAGGGCCAGGGCTGGGAGCCTGTCCTGTTGTCCAGAGAACAGGGAGAAGAAGGGCAGGTAGAGGGTTAGCAGCAGAAAGCCTTTTTCCTGACATCAAGTCTTGCTTCTGGGGGGATGAAGAATGTTAAAACTGTTTAGTTTTTCCTGTTCAGCAACTGATAATCTCTCCCTCTGTTGAAGGCATGGGTTCAGTGAATGCTGGGGCTTTTTGCCTGTTAAATTGTTAAAATGCAGAACGACAGCCCCTTTGCTGGTTAAGGATATTTATTTCAAGTCCTAAATCAATTTCAGCCTCTCTGTCTCTCTTTCTCCTTTCTCCTCCTGGTGCACCCCTCCCCTTTGGAACTTGGGAAAATCCAATTTCCTGCCTGCCTTAATCTCTCTCCAGTTTTGCACAGGCTCTGCTCTGCCCGCACCTGCTGCTTCCAGCTGTGAGATTCCTTTTGGTAAAATACTTTGTGTCCTGCCAAGTTGTCGATGGACAAGACCTCCATTGCTGCTTCCTGGCTCTCTTAATGAACACAGTTGTTCTGTTCCACCAGGTCCCCAGGACTCCTCCATTCACTCTATTAGCCAGCAGTGGTTTCCACAGTTAGCGTGAGTAAGACCCCTGCCCTGGGCCCCCAAGCGCCTGCTCTTGAATGAGGAAAGAATTTGAAATCAAGCACTCCCTGTGCTGGTACTAAGTGCTCTGAGCTTTACAGTCCCAACTCCTGTATCACAGGAATGTCAGGCTAAGTGAGAGAGACTCCAGATCCGCCATCTCCCCAGCCTTGGGGCTGAGCCGTCATTATTAATGACAGCAATCACCACCCAGAACTCAAGTCATAAATAATAAGGGTCTTTTAGCAGTCACAAGAATGGCTGCAAACATTCGTCATCTACACACCTCTTGAAATAGCCATGGGAATGAACAGCAGAACTATTATGGCCAATTTCTATCTCTATTTCAATGCTAACAGCTTAGTTTTATTTAAAAAAGAAAAGTCCAAAGCAGCATAAACTTCAGATGATAGATAGATATTGCACAAAAGGGGGTTCTGTGGCCAAATAAGTTTGGGAAACTCTTTGTTATAAACAAAAGATAAATAGATTTCTTGATAGAAAGACTTCTCTGAGTCTTTAATATACTAATGTGCATAGGGAATTTCCAAGAGAGGTAAGTTATGTTTCCTAAAAGTATTTGATCTTAACTTTTTTTTTTTCTTCTTTTGCCCTAACATGCTCTATCCTGCAGGTCACTATCCAGTAGTGTGCTGGAAATATTTAACAACTGGTTCTCTGTGGGGTGGGGAGCCCTGATTCATAGTGTTTGCTGATTTTCATGTTGTAAATACTCCCACTATGGTCAATTTTAAGCTATTAACATGAAGTCACTGAGCATGAAGTTGGGAAGACATGCACATGATCAGATCTCTGAGCTGATGTGAGCTGACGGAAGCTGGTGCTAGCTGGCTGGCGGTGGTTCAGCACCCTGTGGTGAAACGCCATCGAGAGAATGCTGCTCTTTGATGCAGTATCCCTCTTTCCATTGACAATGAGGAAGTGAAAAAAAGTCATTGGATATGACTGGTGTTGAACTCCACAGTGAAACAAGAATGGAACACGATAGGAAATTCCTGGTTTGGGGAATCTTCGTTCACTTCTCTAATCACTGATTCAAGTGGACTTTGCCTGAGGCCAGCTTATGATGGATGTTGGATTCTCTGACAAAGTTTCTCGGCCCTCTGAACTGATAATAAGAACTGCTTTAGGGCAGATCTGTCTTGACTTTGCTACAACTTTACTGGCCTCTTGTCTACCTGAGGATAGATGCACGAGTGCGTGTCCACTCTCTGGGCAGCTCAGTGGCCTCCTTTTCAGTGGGGGTCAGAACAACTTTTCTGACCAACTTCCCTGCTGATTCTTGGGCAACTCCCTTTGACCCTGACCAGTGAATCTTTCTCCACATAAGTCATCTGATATAACACAGAGGCAAAAACTCGGATTTACATCTCAGCAGCACTTGGCATAGAGGACCATTTTGTTCCTTTTTTAAGTCATTTTCTTCTCCTAGATTCCAAGGTAACACTCTCTCCTGGTTCTCCTCCTCCTGCTTTGGCCACTTCTGTTTTGCCAATATTTTCACTTGCTTTCTAAATGCTTGGATTCTCTAGAGCTAGTTTCCTCTACCCTCTGCGTCCCCCAGTCTCCTTTCCTCCCCTTCCCTGCTTTTCTTTCTCTCTGAATGATTTGATTTATTCTCATGGGCTTAACTTCACCTTTTTTTTCTGATGACTCTCAATTTTATAACTTGAAACCGGACCTCTTGTTTGAGCTCCAGGCTTATATAACCAACAGTCTACTTGACATCTGTATCTGGATATCTTACAAGTTTCTCAACTTGAACTTGTGTGAAAAGGAACTTGATGTTCCCTGTGCCTTCTGCCCTGTTTCTCCCTCAGCCTTCATTATCTCAGTAAATAGCATTTCCTTTGATCCAGTTGCCTGAGTCCGAAATCTAGGAATCATTCTTGATTCAACTTTTGTTCTTATCTCCATACCCAGTCTATCAGTCTTAAATGAGTGAAATTCTCTCTACTCTTTCCTTTTATCTCCTGAGAGTCATTATCTTATACTCAAGCTCTGCAACAGTCTGTTGGGTTTATGCTCTGCAGCAGTCTGTTGGGTTTATAATCTACTGCTTTGCCTTATCAAGGAGAAAGATCTAGGAGAGGGATTTCAACTTGATGACTCTTGATTCAAATTTCTTCTGACCATTCTCCAGACCAGTAAGCCCCCAAGAACCCCTACACGTTCTCCCTGTCTGACAGATCCCAAATGGGTGTCTCTTATTCAATGGATCCAGGTTAGCCTGGGCTCCCTTCACGTTTTCCTGATACTTAGTTGTTGTCCTGTGGCCTTTGCCATGACAACCCCGATTACCAAACGTAGATGGGTAGTTCAGTGGGACAAGGCACCTTGAAAAAATTTAGATGTGTGAGGTAAATTCTTCAATAAGAATTGGTTTATTCAGGCCAGCCATGGTTGCTCATGCCTGTAATCCCAGCACATTGGGAGGCGAGGCAGGTGGATTGCTTGAGCTCAGGAGTTTGACACCAGTCTGGCCAACATGGCGAAACCCATCTCTACTAAAAATACAAAAATTAGTTGGATGTGGTGGCGGGCACCTGTAATCCCAGCTACTCAGGAGACTGAGGCACAAGAATTGCTTGAACCCGGGAGACTGCAGTTGCAGTGAGCCAAGATTGTGCCACTGCACTCCAGCCTGGGCAACACAGTGAGACTCTGTCTCAAGAAAAAAAATAGAAATGAAAAGAATTGGTTTATTCTTTCTTTTATGACTTTGAATTTCTAGGGTGCTTTTGGTTTCATGGTGATTCCTGTGTATCCCATTGTCACCTATGGGAAGCAGGGATTTTCAAGAAAATGTTCCCCATTTCAAGATCGAGAAACTGAGGCCCAGCTTGTGACCACAAAAGCTTAGGCCCAGCTTGTGACTGCAAAAGCTCAAGACCATACAGGCAGTGACACAGCCATGTGATTCCTTTGGCCTCAGTTTCTGTTGGGAATAGATTCAGATAAAAGCTCAAGTGTCCCCAAGAGAATTGCTGTGTTGAAAGATGGGCATAAGATGGTACACACCCAGGTTCTGGGGGCCTTATGCTCATACAATTAGGAGACTTTGTTAAGAAAAAGAATATGGAATTTTATACAAAAAGGAGCATTTAAACTAGAAGGGAAAAAGAAATCACAACAAAAATGACAAAATACCACAAGCATCACAGAATCCAGAAAATAACATTTATGCTTTAATTAATTAATTAATGGACTACTTCTATAATGCTTTTTCTCTACATTTTTGGCTGCATACTTTTTTGATCGCTTTTTCATATATTAATAATTTGTTAAGATTTTCCATAGTGAGAACAAAGATAATTCAGTCTTTTCTCTATGCTGATTGAAATTTGCTTTTTTTAAAAAAAGACTGATAACTTAGTATATTTCCTGTCAGTTCTGTAACTTGTTATTGACAGTGTCATGAATTTTTGATTGTCAAATCCTACATTTGGGAACATCTTAAATCGCTTTTCTCTCATATCTGAATTTTAAGATTTAAGGCATTTCAAGTTTTCTTTTTTTGAGATTAAAACATTTTTAATTGCAAAATACACATAAGATTTATCATCTTAACCATTTTTGCATACAATTTAGTAGCATTCAGTATATTTAGTGGCATTCAGTACAACCAATCTCTAGAACTCTTTTCATCTTGTCTAACTGAAAACTCTATACTCATTAAACAACTTTCCATTCCCCTCACCACCGGCCCCTGGTAACCATCATTTTACTTTAAGTCTCTATTAGACTACCCTAGATATAATATGTAAGTGAAATCATACAGGATTTGCCTTTTTGCTTATTTCAGTTAGCATACTGTTCTTAAGGTTTACTCATGTTGTAGCATGTGTCAGAATTCCCTTCCTTTTTAATACTAATATTCCATTGAATGTATGTACCATGATATGCTTATGGATTCCTCCGTAGATGGATACTTGGGTTACTTCCACCTTCTGGCTATGTTGAATAATGATGCTATGAACATAGGTGTACAAATAACTGTTTGAGACCCTGCTTTTGATTTTTGGGGGTATATACCCAGAAATGGAATGGCTGGATCATATGGTGATTCTGTATTTAATTTTTTGAGAAATCACCTTACTGTTTTTTTTTTTAATAGCAGCTGCACCATTTTGCATTCCCAACAGTGCACAAGGGTTCCAATTTCTCCACATCGTTGCCAATACTTGTTCTTTTCTTTTCTCTTTTGCTTTCTTTTTCTTCCTCTTTTCTCTCTCCTTCCTTCCTTCCTTCCTCCTTCCTTTCCTTCCGTCTTCCCTTCCTTCTCCTTTCCTCTCTCTCTCCCTTATTTCCTTCCTTCCTTCCTTTCTTCCTCCCCCCTTCCTCCCTCCTTCTTTCCTTCCCTCCCTTCTTTTCTTCTCTCTTCTTTTTTTGATAGTAGCCATCTGAATGGGTATAGGTGGTGTTTCATTGTTATTTGATTTGCATTTCCCTAATAATTAATGATGTTAAGCATCATTTCATGTGCTCATTGGCCATTTATATATGTATATCTTCTTTGGAGAAATGCCTATTCAAGTCATTTGCCCATCGTTTATTCATTTGTTTATTTTTAACTTTTAAGTTTGGGGTAAATGTACAGGTTTGTTATATGGGTAAGTTGCATGTCACAGGGGTTTGGTGTACAGATGATTTCATAACCCAGATAATAATCGTAGTATTCAATGGGCAGTTTTTCGATCCTCTCTCCTTCCTCCCTGCACCCTCAAGTAGGCCCTGGTGTTTGTTGTTTCCTTCTTTGTGTCCATATGTACTCAATGTTCAGTCCCCACTTATAAGTGAGAACATGTGGTATTTGGTTTTCTGTTCTTGTGTTAGTTCACTTAGGATAATGACCTTTGCCCATTTTTTAATCAAGTTGATTTTTGTTGTTGTTGATTAAGCTTTCTTGGGCAGTAACTAATTGTCAACACCCCTTGAAGTGATTGCACTCATTTCCAATTTGTCCTTCATGGCCTTGTATCTTGTGAGTTTATTTTCCAGTGACAGTACTGTCAGCAAGAAATTAGACTCTTTTTTCCAATGTTTATATAGTTTTCTTCTCATTTTAAATTGAATTACCAAAGAATTAAAGAGTCTATTGACTACTCTTATTTAAAATGTATCTCTTTTTTTAGAAAAAAGTTTTTAAGAGGTGAGGTTTTGCTTTGTTGCCCAGGCTGGAGTGCAGTGGCGCAATCGTCACTCACTATAATCTCAAACTTCTGGCTTCTAGTGATCCTTCTGCGTCAGTGTCCCAAAGTGCTGGGATTACAGGTATGAGGCACTGTGCCTGTATCTCTTTTAATGAATTATTGCTTTTGGAATGATCAGTTTTTTTGTTGTTGTTGTTACAGCTTCCTTGTTGATGTCCGAGTAATCTCTTGATTTCATGTAGAAACTTATAAAAAATAATTTCATTGTACAGCATGTTTATAATTGCATACATTGAGTTATCAAGTATATTCTTGGTATAAGAACCTTCCGTTTTGCCTAAGTGTTGATCAGAACCAAATCCTCCACTTATAATTCTATTCTTCTGAAACTGAACAGTTTTTGCCATACTAGCATCTGGCTCCTTATATTTCAAAGTTTGGTTCTTCTACATTGTGCAGACACTTCCAGTCTCATGCAGTGGGACACATTTAAGTCACAATAGGCCCTCTGGCCTGGCATCTTTATTCCAGACACTGGATGAATCAGTACAATGGGTAGCAGGACTATTTCTAGAAGTCATTCTTACACGGGGACGGCTTGAACTATAAATAGAAGAAACCAAACCCTATAAATATATCCCACTAAGCCCAAACTAAATATACCCTAGATTCAACACTTTTTAGCTAAATCACACAAATACCAACATTACTTGATAATAAGGGACAGAAGAGAATTCAGAGTGGAAAAAGACAATGGTCTTAACTGATTCTGGTTAAAATAGTATTTTTTTTTTTTTTTTTTACAAATTTGCCAAAAAAAAAAAAAAAAAGTCCACCTGGTAAAACATTGCTAGGACTTTTTCCAGGGTCTTGAAACTGGCCTATGCAAATGAGGGGCCCTGAAGCCTGTACTTCCTTAGCTTCAGGGTAAATTGAGTCTGGGAGTAGGGTAGGAAGGAACAGTTCTCCCGTTTTTCAGGAAGGGTGAGATAAGGAATGCTAGGAAGAGCCCTGATCTGGTTCTTCCAGGTCCCAGGACATTTTCTAGCCTTCGTGTGCTGCTTCTGCAGCCACACATCACATGCTCGGTATTCCTGGAATAACCTGTCGTGGCTGGAGACTATGGATTTCCTGGTAAGATGACAGCAAGCTGTGATATTTTTATTTTACTGTCCCGCCATTCTTCACCTGCAACAAATGTCCTCTTAATTGCTTCAGCATGAACCCCAGCTGACATTCCCCATTCCTCAGGGTCTCTCAGTCCCAACCTCACAGTAAACTCAAGACATCCAAATGGTGCTGCCAGACAAGGCAGCTGGAAGCCAGACATCACGGCCGATTTGAGCAATTAGCTGAGCTCCCATCCTGGGCTGGCCTCATTAGGGGTGTCCAGATGTCCACTGCTAGCACTGCCTCCCATCCCTCGGGTGGGCTGTCTCCCCAGGTGAGGCTGAGCTGGTGTCTGTGGGAGGCAGGTTAAAGCTCAGAGAGCCCTTACTAATTTTCAGGGCTGCTAATTGCAGTGAAGTGAGGGTCACAGAGACACTGTCATTGCTGCCTGGTCCCTAAGGCTCTCTGGTTCCCCATGCATAATCGCCGTCTGCACAGAGCTCCCCTCATCTGGGGGCAAGCCCAGCTGCCACAGCTCAATCGATTGTGAAGGGTGTTCAGGCAGCCATGCTGTTTGTCCGCTGCTCAGCTCTCACCATGACTAAATGGAGACATCTGGAAAAGGGCAAGGCAGGGCAAGGGCGACGAGAAGAAGGGCAGGAGAGGATTAAGCCTGCTCCATTTTTATGGGAAGATTTTTCTTTGATAATGTGTGCCTTTTCTTTTTCCGTGTGGTGGGAGGTGAGGAAAGGAGAATTTCATCCTAGAATAAATTGACAGAGGGCCCAGCCAGAGATACCAGCTGTTGTGAGGGCCTGCAATGCACTCCACTAGGGCGATTGTTCTCGTCACAGATTATGTGAATGGCACCCCCTAGAGTTTTGGGGTACACAACATGCGTGGTTACAGTGCACCAGCCCTGCCAGTTGGACACAAACTGGACCACAGGGCTTGTTTGAGTTCGGCTGTTCCCAGAAGTAAACTCTGAGATAAGGGTTTGGGTACAAGTTGTTTATTTGAGGATGATACCAGGAAGCACTACTGGGGACTGGGAAAATGAGATGGGGAAGGGAAGGAAGAAAGACTGTATTTAGGATGACCAACCACCCCATTTGCTGGGGACTGAGAGGTTCCCTGGGACATGGGACTTCCAGTGCTAAATGGGAAAAGTCGTGTACAGACTGGGACAAACTGGTGACCCTTGTTGTGTGAGTGACTAAGATTACTGCTGTGGGGAACCAGGCTCAATCACTTCCATTAGAATTTTCCCACTGAGGGGCAAAGAGGCTGGAAGCCATTGACTTCTGTCTTGTCATTGGCTGAGGGCTGCTCGCAAAGGTGTTAATTCTCTGACAGTTCTGGTCTGTCCTGCTCTAAGGTAAGCATGCTTCAATGGCCAGAGAAAGAAAAGGAAGGGAATCCGGAAATGAATACCAATCAGACCCTGCCTTCACACAGCTCTTAGTCTGGATGTAAGGAGGAGGGAGTCTTAGAGGTGAGGAGGTCCTGCCCAGAACATGCCTTCTCCCATAGACCCTTATTTCCTGCAGTTCTCTGTCCACTAGGAAGCTCCATTCCAGTCCAGTATAGGTTCTTCTGCCCATTCCTCTCTATGTCCTGGGAAAGCCAGCTTCAAAGGGAAGGATGTGGCAGTAGATGCAGCAGCATAATAATGGCCCCCAAAGATGTCTTATGTATGCCCTAATCCCTGGAACCTGTGACTATGTTGGGTTATAGGGCAAAGAAGGAATTAAGATCATGAATCAGCTGACCTGAAAGCAGGGAGATTAACTTGGATGAGTTGGGTCCAAAATAATCACAAGTATCCTTAAAAGTAGAAGAGAGAGGCAGAAGAGGAAATTCAGAGAGGAAGATGTGCCTATGGAAAAATGGTCAGGGAGAGGCAATGTCATAGGCCTTGAACACGAAGAAGAGGCAAAAGCCAAGACACATGAACACAAGCTAGAAAAGACAAGAAAATGGATTCTCCCCTGGGGCTCCCAAAAAGAAATACAGCCCTGTTCGCACCTTGATTTTGGCCCAAGGAGACCTGCATTGGACTTCTAACTTCCAGAGGTTAGTGACTTGTTTTAAGCTACTAACATTGCAGTGATTTGTTATAGCAGCAATGAGAAATGAATAAAGGTCCTGGTCTTCTCAAAGCAAGCTTTGTTTTGCTCAGTTTCAGGCATTTGTGATTCCAAGTAAGATTTCACTTACATGTGGAGTTCCAGGGCTGGAAATCTGAAAGTCAATGAACCAGGTCCATGCAGTCCCTGCCTTCTTAAGAGCTGACAGTCCGGTGGGGAAAGTTGAGAATGCAGAAAGTCCCATGCAGGGGGCTAGAGGAAGTTCTCTAGGAGCAGCCCTCCTGGGATTAACTTTGGCTTTCTGGAATTAGGGCCTTGTCTTCAAGGGTTGAGCTTGGTTGATACAGGGGGATGACCACATAGGTCCACTCAGTGGGGCCCAGGAATTGTTTCTTGAATTCAATTGAGTTGACTGGAACTTGGAAGTGGACTCTTAAATTCTGTTTCATATTTTCCTACCCACTGAAGAAGGCCTGGTCTGATTTCATTTGAGAATTCTTTGTTCATCATGCTAGGAGTACCCCCAAGAGATTTCTGAGGCAGCAGAGTCCACATAACTGCTGAGTTTATCTCCAACGAGGCTGATTTTTTCCATATATCAGTCACATAGTTCCCAAGGCCCTTTCCTGTGGTTGCTGATGTTTCTTCAGCAGCAAGAATTAGCTTGGGTCTGAATTAGCTTACTTGTTGGGCACATATATCCTTTGTCCTGGTGCTCCCTCTGCCCCAGCATGATATTTACATGTCCACTAGAGCAAGCATCATGTTTTACTGTGGCTTGTGTTATTTTATCTGACTGTCCTGTTAGACTACGGGCAGCTGGAAGGTCCAACCGTGTCTTATTCAGTTTTTTAGAGTGACAGTTCTTAGCAAAGTGCTGGGGGCTTGGAATACTCTAGCAGCTCAGTAGATGTTTATGAATAAACTAATGAATGAGGTTTTGTCCTGACTTGCTCTCTAAGTTCATATTTCCTTCCATGGCAAGACAAAAGTAGTAGCTGTTAATTCTGACTTAGAGTGGAATGCTTCATGGACCCAAGTGGCAATTGAGCTAGTTCCTTAGAAGGCAGTAGAGTGGAGTTGGGTGTGGTAGCCATGTAGAAGGTGAGGGGAAGATCAGTGTGGGTCACGTGCAGCGTGTGGTTGGAGACTAATGATCAGCTTAGTGTGGCTGTGGCACCGAGGACACAAGTAGGTGTAATAAGAATTGAGTTTAAGATTGTAGATTGGGTACAGATCATGACGGACTTTCTATGAAGTGTTAGGGGCAGCTTGGAATTAATCCTCCGGCCAAAGGGTCAGGAGCCAAGGAAGTGTTTGAAGGATATGAGAAAGTAGATTTTGGTAGTAGTTGTAGGGATTTAGTTTAGACATTTTGGAGGGTTTTCCAAGGTTAATGGGCCTGAGTTATCAATCTCTCAGGCATTTGGAATGATTATAAATAAGCTTCCTGGGATCTTTTAAGGCATAAGGCATGGTCCTGGTCAGTGGCCCTAGGAGAGGATTTATATAGTGACTGAGATGTCTCCAGACCTAAGAAACTCCGTTTGCAACTTTTCCTCCTAGGAATAAGCCTGTATGGATGTGGTGTCCTGAGAGGCTCCAGGGCGGGGCATCACTATTGGAATCAGCCAGAGGTCTCCAGGCCTTCAGGGGACATTAATTAAAACCATCACCATGTGGCCTCTTCAGCCCAAGGGGTGATGAATTGCACTTGAGGTGTGTGCAGTACATTACCCTTTGGCTCAAGGGTGCAAGCTCTGTGTCCTTCATGACATTACCTAAGAGTAATTCACAATATGTTCTAGAAGGCTGCCAGGAAGTATGAAGAGCAACTTGTACACTTCTGGATTTTCTTTCCTCCAATCACCATTGTTCCCTGGAAGAAGGGGCATCTTTATCCCTGGAGTCTGGATCACAATCCCACATCTGAGTCCTTTTATTAATTTCCTGGTGTAGGTTGGGCTGGTAATGCAGACCTCATATCATGCAGAGCAGAAAAGGACCTTGTCCTTCCTCCAGCTCTGGCTGGAACAAATGAAGCCCAGGGGTTGCTGGTGAGGGCTTAGTGGAGAGACAGTCTGTTGGTTCATGGCCAGAGTAGAGCCCTGGAGAGTTCAGGAAGGCCAAGAGGAATTTTCAGGGCTTTAGAGAGGAGAGCTGAAGGTTGGGGTCACCTGTCCCTGCTCACCATTAAAAAGTGAGGCAGCAGAATCTGTGCCTAGTCTGGAGGGCTTCCAGTATCCCCCAGATTTCCCCCACCTGCCTTAAGCTTCCTTCTTTCAAGAGCTGATGTGGGTTTGGAAAACTCTGACAATCAAGCATTTGCCAAGGAGTAGGAGTTGCAGTGGTGAGGGGAGACTTGTTCTTATGGACTTTTCTTGGATACAGGGCACAGGGGGCAAAGTGGCACAAAATGCCTGGTGGGCCTCCTTTATAGGAATTTGTCCACCAGGTTTGCAGAGCTCACATTTCCTGAATTTAAAACACGCATGCACACAACACACACACCACACACACCACACACACACACACACACACACACACACACACACGAGTCATGCATTACTTACCAACAAAGATTTGTTCCCGGGATATGTCATTAGGTGACTTCTGTCATTGTGTGAACATCGTAGAGTGTATTTACATAAACCTCAACCGTAGAGCCTACTAAACACCTATGCTACTGTATGATATAGTCTGTTACTCCTAGGCTACAAACCTGTACAGCATGTTACTGTACTAGATACTGTAGGCACTTGCAACACAGTAGTATTTGTATATCTAAATATATCTAAATAAGAAAAGGTACAGTAAAAATATGGTATTATCATCTTATGGGAACCACTGTTGTATATGTGGTCCATCATTGAGCAAGACATCATTGTGTGGCATATGACTATATACACACACGTACATATATGGATATATGTATACACACGCACATGCATACATGCAGAGGGACCATTTGATAAATAGCATGCATAGGTTTTTGTGGATGAAATGCCCTGTTGGTCTGTGTTGTGTTGTTTGCCAGCAATCCCCAAAACATAGAGATAGAAGCCACTGCAAATAGAGACCACCTTGCTCTCTCCTGGCTAAACTATGTGAGGCCCTGAACAATAGTATTCCCTCAAAGTGGCATTTATGAGTTTTAGGGGACTGTGTTGAGAGGATGCTGGATTTGCAGAAAGCATTTTTTTTTTTTTCTGGCTGTGTTTTCCCAAAAGTCTGAGATGAGAGGCTCATCTGAATACTGGTCCTGCAGGAGGGAAGGAAATCAGAACTGACACTGGGAATGGCTCTCTCCTGGAATACTCCTTTGCTGTGAGCTATTGCTTATACCAGCTGGGAAGCTCCCCCCATGCTTGGCTTGTTCTCAGAACACTGTGTGCTGAGTCTGTGTGTCTGGGCTTGGAAAGCCCTCAGAAGACAGCGCAGGCTTTCCAGACTGCAGAGATCTGAGGGACTCCTTTGGACCCTGCAGAACTGACTTATTAGCTGGAATTTGGTTTTCACCCATGGTGCTGATGTCTTCCCCATGCCCTGTGTAGCTTAGTGAGAATTTATATTAAAACATACAGGCCACAAAATAGATGCCCTTCCCTCTTTTTGGGTTAAGGTCTTAGGTCCTCAGACTCTGGTCTGGTTTCCAAAGGAACATATAGGTCCCTGAGTGTTGAAAGGAGGCATGCTCTGCTTAGTTAGATCAGGGAAAAATTGAGCTCAAAATTCCTCCTTTTTTTTCCCCTCCCTTCTTTGTTCTACATTCCCATAGTTATTCCCCTGAATTAAACTGTTAAATCAGGCTTAGTTATCTAACAATCCAGAATATGGATTGTTTTCCAGATTTCCTCCTAAGAATGTTAGCATGACTTTTCCCACTTCAATACTATCTACCTCTTGCCTTTAGACAGGGGAAAACAGAGGCACAGAAATAAAAACAAAAATGTCCATCTGCAATTTTCGCTCCATCGCTACACCACTGGCTTCCTAGTTCGGTGGTACACAGTAATGCCCATGAGACCCAGAAAGAGGTTTGTCCAAAACATCTTGGTGGAGCTGCTCTGGATTTTGCTCTGGGAAGATTAGTCCGTGGCTCCACTCTGAATTCGTGCTGTAGTCTTGGGCACACAAGTTGGCTTCTTTGAACCTCGGTCTCTCCCCATGCAAAATGAGGGGGCTGATTTAGGTGGTCTCCAAAGACGCTTTTATTTCTGACATTCCCAGCCCTCCGACCTCCTCCCAGCATGCTGCCGCTGCTCCAGCAGGCAGGCTCGCTAACACATGGATTTATGTGGGCCACTGGCTTTCCCCAGCAGCCCATTTCCGCAGCTTATTACCAGAGGGACAGAAGTCATTAGCCTGCTTTGCTTACTGAAGGCTTCACTCTCGAGATTTTATGTAGTGGTGGCAGCTTTAACCCCCCGGGCTCACAGCAACAAAATTTCGGTTGTACTTTATTAATCCTAGAACTGAAAAGTGAGTTCAGGGAGCATTTGTGGGTGAGGAGAACAGAATGCCTTGAACTTTCAGTAACTGCTGATCTCAGTTGAGTTGGGTAGGGACAGGGCATGTGTAGGAATACACAGGCCAGGAAGGTGATTTGTGTTTCTTCCTTATGATGGGACATGCATACTTAGATTAATAATGGGTATTAGTAGGGGTGGGAGGAGTAGCTGTAACATTATGTGGAAAGCAAGTGGGAGAATCATGAAAAAAAATAATCCCATAGATGGAGAAGAATAGAAAGAAGGAAAGGAGCATTGCCTAGTGTTGGTTATTGATGGTTAAGCTCAGCTTTTATTTATTCAATAGGCCTGCAGATGTAGACTTCTAGTATTTTCTCAAAGAGTCAGAAGAATAGGTTGACTTTACTCAGTTGTGGTGTTTTCAACAGGGACCCAAAGACTTTGGAACTTGAAGTCTGAAGAGTAGGGAGACTTCTTCCCAGGAGCTGACACTTCTGGAATTTCTGCCACAGGAACTAAGTGTTTGTTTAGCATCAATCCTATGAGATGTTTAGCAAAAAAAGACGTGTCCCAATAAATTCTGAAAATTCTGCAAACTCTCTCTTTTGGTGAGAACGTTGTACAATACTATAGCAACGTCTCTGAAATCCTGTAGGGTAAGGGAAACTATTTAATTTTGTTTAACCTTGAGGCACTCAAGTGTATTTGAGAACAGAGTCATTTAAATTTTGAAACAAACATCTACTAATCCCACACAACTGGTGTTCTATGGCTCTGACTTTGGGAAATGCTACCCCTTGGTGAACTCTGCCAGTGGATGCTTTGCTGCACAGTTGCAGTGCCTGATCAGGGTCTGTGTGAGTGGGATTTTATTGCTCTCTAGATCCTGGGAAGGACATGTACATGGATCTATATTTCATTTTTGATAAAGCAACCAAGGGCATCCTAAAACTCCAGACTCAAGGTATAAACCAAAAATAAATAAAATAAAAACAGAGCAACTATAGTCAGTGGTGTAACAGCTAGCCCACTTTCAAATCTCCCACTGGTGACACACGTAAGTTGAAGAGGGAGGAAATATAGTAGCGAGTAGATAGAAGCGGGCAGTTTGCCTAAATTAATGCCTCCATCTGGAGAGAGAGAAACCATAATGAAGGCTATCTTAGGCTGTGTTCTTAGAACAGAGAGCCTGAGGCTAACATGCTAACATCTTACTGAAAAGTGCAGTCCTAAGGTGGCAAGAAGGAGGGCTACAAAAGATGAAGCAGGAAAGGAGGGAAAGGAAATACAAACTTGTGTGTTACTGAGTTTGCCACAGCCTTACAAGAAGACACACAGTGAGCTGTGTGTTCCCACGGGAAATCTTTGGAGGAACTGTAAGAAACAGTGTCGGAAGATCTTGGAACAGTCCTTTGGAAAAGCAGAGAGGAAGAAGAACTTATCTGCTGCATCCTTCTTGTCTCTTGCCTCTTATATTCAGAGGCTACCCTTTGAGGCAGCTGCTGGGAAAGCCAGAGCCTCCATGCATCCAGCTGGGTTAGACATGGGCAATAGAGCTGCTGAGCCTCACACCACAGCAGGCATGCTAGAGGCCATGCCAAAGCCCAGCTCCTGCTCTGTGGGGTGGCTGAGATGGCTGGCAGTGTTAGAGGATAAGGTGATGGCAGTTGGTAACATCTGAGATGCCAGTGAGCTAGCAAATGAGGTCCAGGGGCAGGTGGGGCCAAGCCAATCTGGAGAGAAAATAAATGGAGTCTAGCATAAGGACTATCTTGAGAAATAGAAACAGACATAATTCCTTTGGAGGGAGAATGCAGTAAGTTACTTTTTTCCAGTGTCAGATTTTGGGACCTAGGCATGATGATAGAGGATGGACAAGATAGGGCCAGGGAGTCAGAAAGCCAACAATCCCATATTGTCTTTTGACATTTGGCAGAAGCCACATCTATGCAGTGGAGGATGCCCTTGAGCCACTTTTCTGTACTCTCCCCAAGTAGCAACTACATCCGGGGGCGATCTCCAACCTGGTCCAGAAGATGGGGGGCCTTGTGTTTTAGGGGTTAGTTTTGCCTGTTCTTGCATCCAGACTATGGCAAGTTTATTTTGGTTGAAACTTGGCTCATCTACTCCCAGAGACCGATGCCTCCTTTGTATGGAAACTCTCCTTCACTTTGTGGTTTCCAGACGGACACTTGGTAGGCCTGGCCCAGCTGGAAGGCCATCTAGAGTTACATCTTCATAGGGGCTCAGACAGATTGTTTTCCTCAAGCTTCTCAAATGTTTTGCAAATGAAAAACAAAAAGGGGAAAAAAAAGAAAAGGAAAAAAGCAAAACAACCCCTCCCCTTCCACCACATAACTTGGGCAAGGACCTAGGGTGGCTTCTGAGTTTCTGGTCTATAAGAACAGAGCATCCCCTCCTTCTGGGAGGTAGAACACTTAGCACAATGTTTTAGAACCATGGGGCAAAGCGAGGCTGAGTAGGAATCAGAGGTCTGTGTCTGGGCATGAGGTTTAGGGGTTGGGCTGATTTGAACACTGAGTTCATCTCAAGTTGCCATTTTTACACTGTAAGCTGCTAGCAGGGTCAGGGTGGTTATATAACTTTCCTAAGGTCACATGGCAGCACACAAGACATTGGCTGTAACTCAGGCATGCCTGAGTCCAAAATCTGTTTGAATCTCTTCCTTACCCCATGGGGTAATGCCTCCCTTCAAGGCTCCTAGGCCTAGGCCTGGTGGGTGATGATGATCGAAGGCTTCTTGAGGGCCTTCAATTCCCTGTGGAGCAATTGCATAGTACCATCCTCAGAGGTGAACATGATTAAATTAAGATAAATTTAGAACCTGGGAAACTTGGACATCTGTCAAGGCTTCCCACGTTGACATCCTTTCCTTATCCCCTTTAGGGACTGGCTCTCCTCTGCTGCTAGAAAAAGCCATTGTGGCATTCCTGCCTCTGGGTTAGGCCTGGGTTTCCTTTTGGCTTGGTTAAATTTCTGATTTGTTCCTGGATGTGGCCTCTGTTTACTGCTGTGACTGCCTATGGCAAAGGTCACTGTGGTCATCCCCCAGCTTCTGAGCACTGGGATTCCTAAAGAAGTCCACAGTAGAAGAAAATGGTCTTGCCTGTTTTTGCTCTAGTTTGTAATTTTCAGATTCATCAAAGTGCCATTTATTAATGCATTTGGTTTTAAGTACAACCTTTGAAAAAGTTGCTTTAATTTTGACTTTGCTTGGAACCTTCCAGACAACTTATGTCATTGCTTAACATACAGGGCCATTTTTAGCATGATTGTTATTACATCTCAGAGAAATAAGATTCTAGAACCAAAGTTCCCTAAGAAGGCCCAAATCGCCTAAATATACAAGGGTTATGCTAGAAATATATGTGTCCCTTGGCACTTCTTAGATGCCATTTTATTTCAAAGGCAGAAGGGGCTTACTTCTTTATAAAGACCAATACAACTCTCTTTGGATAATTAGAAATATATTCACTAATAAAATGTTAAATCTGGGAAGGATCTTTGAAAGCAGGTAGGCCAGTGATTTTCAAATATATTTCATGAAAACCTGGGGCCTCGTGAAGGAGTTTCAGGGATACTACAAACATTTATTTTATTCACATTTCATTCTAAAAAATATGTAAACCACTTTAAAAGTTCTAATAAAAGTAACATATATGAGATGCCACACTTTTATGTATTTGAGAACTCCAAAAAGTATGTTGTCAGGTTGTTAGGCAATGTTAGTTACTATAAAAAATTACACAGTGGTTCCAGTAAAATTATAGAATAAAGCCTAAAATTGGTGTTCTTGAATGCTGGGCACCTCTCCTGCAAGCAGAGACGTGGGGTCCCCAACCTTTTCCATCTTGTGGCCCCACCATCTTTCACTCAAGACTTCCAGGTTCTCTGTGTTTCTCTGCATTGAGCCAACAGAAAAGAAAAGAACACGAGAGATAGGGTGTCTAAGGCTCTTTGGGTGCAGTGCACATCCTTCCTTTCACATGCTATTGGCTAGAAATCTGTCACGTGGCCACATGTAACCGTAAGGAACTCTAGGAAATGTAGTCCACCTGTCTGGAAAGAAGAAAAAGAACTGGACTTGTAAACAGCTAACCTGTCTCTGCGTTACCAGGTTCTCTCTCCTAGGCACATACTTACATAGTTGGAAATCAGATCTGTTGATCTTAGGAATAACCATTTTTTTTTTGAGACGGGGTCTTGCTCTGTTGCCCGGGCTGGAGTGCAGTGGCATGATCATGGCTCACTGCAGCCTCAACCTCCTGGGCTCAAGCAATCCTTGACTTGCAGCCTCCCGAGTAGCTGTGACCAGAGGTGCGAGCCACTGTGCCCGGCTAATGTTTTAATTTTTTTGTAGAGGTAGGGTCTCACTATATTGCCTAGGCTGGTCTTAAACTCCTGGCCTCAGGTGATCCTCTCATCTTGGCCTCCTGAAGTGCTGGGATTACTGGCATGAGCTACCATGCCCAGCCCAAATAGTCATTCTTAAACCATTTATCTGTGTGAATCTGGATTTTGAGACTGTGTGATTAAGGTGTCAGATTAATAAAAGGTGTCAGCTTATATTCATAGTTCTGGACCTGTTATTTTTGTATTCATGAAAACAGCCTCATTTATCTCATTGGTCATGTAAATATCAAGTAAATCTTATACATTTTAACTTAAGAAATGTTTTATGCTCATAAAATGCTACTTTTAATATGCTCTATAAATTATGAAGTTCTACTGCTAAAAAGCCTTGAAAATAAAACCACCGATCAAGTGCAATTTCCTTATTTTATAGGAAATTGAGGCACAGAGAGAATAGCATACTTGCCCATGGTCGTACATTGATAACGAAACAGCTGGTATTTGAATTCAGACTTCCAGGCTCTTAGGTCAGTGCTTTTTCTTCCATTTCAACTTGTTCCAGGCCTTCATGGCCCTCATAACTCAAATATTTTTCAGCCCATTTTCATTTTCTCAATCTTCAAGGGAGAGAACAGCTGAAGTGTAAGGGTTGTTAAATCTGTCAGAAGATTTAATGTCTCGCATTTTTGGTCCAGCTGCTTCATGAATCAGTATTCATCAAGCACTTATTGAGCATTTATTATATGCCACACATGATGCTGGGAGCTGATGATGCAGTGATGCAATAGGCATCTTTCCAGAAGGATCTTGCAGTCCAGCAGAGGAGCCAGATAAAATATATCATGGAACAAAAGTAGAAATGTATATATTTGCAAATAGGTGCTATGAAGGAAATAAGAAAGGGATGAAATAGAGAAAAACTAGGTGAGGTGCCCTCCTTCAGATGAAGAGATTAGGAGCCAATGATGTCCTTGGCTTGGTTCTGGACACATTCCAGGCTTGGCCATGTGAATAAGCCACGGTCCTGGAAGGAATGGCATCTTTCCCCTCTGAACATTACCAGTGAGATTCTTGGCCTGAGAATGTAGGTCCTCAGTGTTTTTGCGGCATAAGCAACATAAAACTGTCGGAGGTTGCAGAATGTGCACAGATGTTGAAATAAGTACAAATAATTAAAAGATGAAAGTGAGTCAAGCTTCCTCCAAGAACTAAATAAGGAAAGGGTTTTCCCTGATGGCTGATGAAGTAGCTAAGTGAAATATCAAAGACAAATAGCTTTTCCATTTTCTTAAAGGAGGAGGTTGTGAAAAAATTTTATTAAATATTCATTGGCATACTTGCTGCCTTTGCCTTCTCTCTGAGTTTTTGTATCTGCAACCTGTTCTGGAATCTTTCTATGAAGACAGATGAGGCAAGACTATGCAGGTGGTGGGTATTGAGATAGACACAGACCATGGAGCAGTGGGCATAGATGGAAGTGTGTATGTGGTGTGTATTTTGGACCGCGTGTCCAGGAGATCACGATGGGTGTCCTCACAAGCTTCTGAAAGGGGGTGATATGCTGGGAGGGATCACGCGATATCTTAGAATGACAGGGTGCTAGATGAGAAAAGGATCTTGAAGAGCATCTATGGGTTCAATCCCCCCCTTGTTTTCTATGCAAGAAGACTGAGGCCAGTGAGAGGAAATGATGTGCTCAGGCATGCACAGTGAGACAGCGATTGGAGCCAAGACTAGACTTCAGTGCCCTCATTTCCACCCTAGACCTGCTCCAAGACTCTATGGAGCCTTCATTGAGGAGCGTGGGAGTAGGGGTTAGTCTAAAATTGAAAAAAGAATTTGGGTCGAGTGCAGTGGCTCACAGCTGTAATCCCCACACTTTGGGAGGCTGAGGTGGGCAGATCACATGAGGCCAGGATTTTGAGACCAGCCTGGTCAACATGGCGAAACCCCATCTCTACTGAAAAAAATAAATAAATAAAAAAATTAGACAGACATGGTGGTGCACATCTGTAATACAGCTCCTCGGGAGGCTGAGGCACGAGAATCTCTTGAACCCAGGAGGCAGAGGTTGCAGTGAGCTGAGATCATGCCATTGTGCTCCAGCCTGGGTGACAGAGCAAGACTCTGTCTCAAAAAAAAAAAAAAAAAAAAAAAAAAAAGATAATTTGATTCCAGAACAGAAAGCCCTATCTTCCACCTGCTTTGGAGGCTGGAGTGATGTGGCTAATGTAGAAAAGAGATGAGGACTGGAAATATACAGCCCAGTGTGACCACTGTAGCCTCATGGCTGCAGACAGCAGGAGATCAGATGGAGGATGGGGTGAATGAGGCAATTGTTTTCCAACATCTCAAGTTGAAATTATGACCCTGGTGAGAACCATATATGTACTCATACTTTATGGGTACAATGATACTTTTATTTATTTTAATGAGATTTTCTTTTTCTCTCCTTCTCTCAAAACATTTGACTAAGTTTGTATAAAGAAGTAGGGTTAATTTATTTTGAGTGAGGACAAGGAATCCAGCATAATATTTTTTGAACCTTTGAAGGGCCATGTCATATTTCTTTTCACCCTATGCATTCTCTTGGTTTCAAGCACCGCTGGCATGTGTGTTAGTCCTGAGTCCACATTCCTCTTGTGGGTACCACTGGTTGGATAGCCATCTTCACCTCCTTCTCCCACAGTAATCTCAAACTCAAAATAATTTTTCTGTCTTGGGCTGAGTTTTCCAGAAAGTGGAGCCTGGGACAAAGACTTATGTATTGTCTTAGTCACAGTTCTCCAAAGAACAGAACCAAAAAGATGTGTGTGTGTGTGTGTGTGTGTGTGTGTGTGTGTGTATAAATATATACAAAATCTATTGTAAGGAATTGGTGCATACAATTATAGAGACTGGCAAGTCCAGAATCTGTAGGATGGGTCAGCAGGCTGAAGGCCCAAGCAGAGTTGATGTTGCAGCTTAAGTCTGACTGCCATCTGCTGTCAAATTCGCTTTTGCTTGAGGAAGGGCAGTCTTTTATTATATTTAGTCCTTCAACCAATTAGATGAGGCCCACCCACATTATGGAGGGCAATCTGTTTTGCCCAAATCCGCTGGCTTTACTGTGAATCTTATTTAAGAAATGCCTTCACAGAAACATCCAGGATAATGTTTGACCACATGTCTGGGTACCATGACCCAGCCAAGTTGACACATAATATTAACCTTCATATATGTGAATATCTTATGTAGGAAAGTGATCTCAAGGAGAAGTGAGGGAAAAGGAGCATGAAACAAGGAAGTGGGGAGATCCAAAACAATGAGGAATTCCCAGGTTGGTCATGGGAAACTGGCTGATTCAGAGGCTGGGTGGAGGAGGCATTTTTTTCCATCAGATCTCAGCCTCTACTGGTTACCTTGAAAGCAGAAATCATATCCAGTCATCTCTTCACATGCACATCACAGAAGTCTCAGCTTGAACCAAAATAGGTGCTCAGGAGGATATTTGCAGATGCGGTGCAGAAGGGACTATGCTTGGACCATTCATGGAAGGACCTCCTACCTGATACCCTGATGCAGAAGGCTGGGGAATGATCACATTATGTCCTCTGGTTGAGTTTCAGAACAGGTGAGGGCCTTGGTTATCTGGACTGTGTTAGGGATAGACTTAGCTCAACAAAGAGGGGCTGGGGAGAATCCATGTGCCTCAGTGGAGCCCCTTTCCCTTACAGTGAGGGCCTTAAGAAGCCGAAGTGTAGTTTAAGCAGAAGCTGAGTTCTTGAGATTCTATCCAGGGGAGGTTAAGTGTTGGCCCGTTTCCTGAAGAGCCAGTGCTTCTAGGTTCTGAGAATTTGTTCCCTAATCTCTGCTTACAGGACTCCAGGCGGCTGGAGTCTGCATGAAAGGGGCCTTTGTCTGATATGGGAATGGTTTTTGGGGCTAATCTCTCCTTGGATGCATTTTAATTCACTTTAATGACTCTGCCTCCTGTCAGGCTTTTCTTCTGTGAGGGGGGTTTGTTAAAGAGATTAGGAGGAGTGAACATGAGCCCCTGAATCTCGCCTTCCTCTGAGGTTGCTGTTACAGGAAAAATAGTGTTCTGCAAAATGTATTAGGATGCTCTGGGAGCCAGTGGGGAAGGAGCAGAGTGGAGAGTAGGAAAAATATATATCTAATAAACACACTCACATATAAACACTCTGCATGTACTTACACCAAGCACGTTCACCAGCCTGCTGCCGTTTCCCCCAGCCCCCACCACCAGTGGTGGGAGTCGAAGCAGACAGGACAGAATGATGTCATCCCTAGGACACTGTCCTTTCTCTTGTCTCTCTCTCCCTCTCCTCTAGTTCTGTATAAACACAGCTGTTTGTGAGGAATGCTGGCTTGGGAAAACATAAACTGTCTGCATTAATGACCTTTCCTCCCTGCCAAACACCCCTTCCTACTGAACGTGGGAGACTGGAATGCTTTCAGCCCAGCAGGCCCATTGTCTTCATGTCTGCAACACCAGGTTTTTTAGCTTTCTGCTTGGGCCTGGGGTGACCAGACTCAGGGACCGTACAAAGCCCAGCAGGGCAGACAGAAGTTCATCAGCACTCTGGTTGCAGGTGATACTTCAGACCACCTGTGAAAGATTCCTAGGGGACTGCAGAGAGGGGAGGAGGGCGTCTCTTTTCTGGGCTTGGGGAATGCAGGGTGGAGGTTGGAGGGATAGCAGGGATCCACAGTGGATACAGGTGCTCCCTGATCTGCCAACTTTGCCCACTGGGAAGCCAAGGGGGAAGAAAATAGCAATGGTGGGCTTTGGCCCTCTACTTAGTGTCAAGCTATCGAACTGGGCATTAAGGGCAACCCCACCCTCATCATAGCAACTCACCCCAGCTTCCACTGCATTTACAGTCGCCATTTGGGACCAAGAGCCTTTTATCCTTTCAAAGAGTAGAACACAGGGGCAGCTAAAGGGAGAACCCAAGCTTGAACTCATGCAGTCCAGTTTCTTTTGAAATCCCACAGTACTGTGGTCCATAGTAATTTATTGACGGTGATTTTCCATTTCCAGATGGTGACCTTGGGGCCTTGGAGGTTAGGATGGTTTTTATTCAAGCTACTGAACTTGGCATTTTGGCTGAGTACATGTTTGCTTCCTGGCCACTTGCCCCCAGCCCAGTCTACTAAATCTCTCTCTGTGTCCCACTTTCTTACGTGGTTTTGTGACCACAGCTGCAAAGAAGTAATGACTGCTCTCTGGGCCTCCCTTTCCAAGGGTCAGGCACCTTAGATGGGGCCCAGGACAGCTGCCATTGTGGAATGAATGGGATTCAGTGCCAGAAAGGTGGGGGTGGGTGGGGAGCTAACAGTCTTCTGAAGTCTCCTCTTGGGTTTCCATGGGGAGAGAAGACAAGCCTTCACCCACGTATTCATGCTAAGTACAAATCACAGAGACATACCATTGGGCTACTGGTTACCTCTCTTGCCTACAAGTTGCCAAGAAAAATGCAGGTCTATAACCCACACTTACGGACTACCTGCTGTGTGTTGGGCAGGGTACTAGATGCTTTGCATCTGTTCCAATTTTATCCTTGCAACAACACAGTGTTATTAGGTAGTGCTATTTTATATTTAACAATGAAGAAATTGAGAAAGGTAGTTTCAGAAACACTATTCAATGAGTCAGTGATGAAGCCAGGATTCACACCACTTTGAATTTTAATGTCTATCCATTCCAGGAATTCAGAAGGAGATTGAAGAGGTAGCAATGAACACAATAAACCAGATAGATAGACAAAGGCGGCAATTGCCTGTGTGAGGTGATTTGAGGGATAAAAACAACATCCCTCACCTTCCCAAATATTCCTCTTACAGCCTGAAATCTATTACAGTCATTCCTTTGAGTTAAGCATTGCCCTCTGATTTTGCTGTGTTTTTGAATGCAAATATTTTTAGAGAGAAAATCATTTGGCAATTAAAATGCTTTATTAAAAAATCCTCATTTTCTTTTAAAATGTTTTACTTTCAATTAATTGTATTCCTTGTAAGGTAATACTTAACAGAAAGTAGTTTGTATCAGAAAAAATGACTGGGGGGGGGACCTCTTAAGGGAGTTGAGAAGTGTTAATCTTTGACATTTACTATTATAAGTGCATTTTAAGTAATTCCTAGAAACTGATAAAATCTGTTAGGAGCAAAGGATCTCTCTCTCTCTTTTTTAAGTAGTAGAAAATTGTACCCTTCTGATCTGAAAAAGAGATAGACATGGCTGTTAACTTTCTGAGATATACCCACATAATTGTAATCCCTTGGGATTCTGCTTCAAGGAAAGAAAAAGAAGGAATTTGAAAGATAGGTCGGGCTGAAGCTTCAAACATTAAAAGATGAGATGATATTGGTAAAAGCACTTGGACGAACCCTAGAGTTAAATGAATAGCAGCTATTATTATTCCTCCTAAGAATTATATTGACAATGAAGGAAGAAAATGAAAGAAATAATTTCCTAAGGCAGTATTTCCCAAGAGCTTTCTGCAGACCCCTATGTCTTGGGTTTTTAATATGTGCTACATGAATGCAGTGTTTTCTGGTTAACCACACTTGGAAAACACTGGGTTAAACAAAGTTAAGCATGTTTCTTTACTATAGGAGTTATCAGAACTTTTAAGATATAGGTGTGCATGGTAATTCTCCCAGGGGGTAGACAGTATAGTATAGAGGATTTCCTAAATCTATTTGACCAGCATAGAATCCTTTTTTGAGGAGTGGGGGATGGGGGTGGCATCTCATAAGACCAAATATTCCCTGGAACATAGTTTGAGAAACACAGGTCTAATCAATAGTCATGCTGGCTATAAGAGCTTTTGACACTAAGATGTCTTGAGGCCTTAGAAAAGCAGGGCATTATATTCCCAGTTAAGAGGGGACAGGGAGTTATAGATGTACAGACAATTATTCACATCCATATCAGTGAATAAGTACAGGGAATTGAATAAAAAGGCATTTTGACTGGGCCATTTAAGTCCATTTCATCTCTAAGATGTGCCAAGGTCCCAAGCTTCAGTAGAATTGTGTCAGAGAGACAGGCATTGGGCAGTAAGTAGCCCCATCCTCCCACCCTGCTAACTGAAGGCTTGCCTCGGGTCTCTCTCTTCTCCAAGTCATTCTAGTCACTACTATTAATCTTGGCAGATCTTTGATCATGTCACAACCCAAGGTATGTAAAATTAAACTCAGGTTCTCCAGTCTGACATGTAGAGCCCCTCACTTTTTGGCCCTGCAATTATGACATGGTGGTTTAGATGGTCTGAATTCAAATCCTAGCTTCACTACTTAATAGGGATGTGAGCTTGGGCAAATTATTTAACTTCTCCATGCCAAAGAGAGATTTAGTAGACTGGGCTGGGGGCAAGGGTCCAGGAAGCAAGCATGTTCTCAGCCGAAATGCGAAGTTCAGTTTTTTCCACCCGTCAAATGGGAGTGGAAGCATCACCTTACTTACTTAACTGAGTCATGAGGATTAAACAAAGACCACCTGTCATATATTAAGAGCTCAATGTTGTTATTGTTGACATCTTACCTGGTGTACTCTGAACTCTGGTTCCAGCTGAAAGCAGAGACTCACCATGCATTTCTCCATCTTTGTTCATGTCCTTTCCTCCACTTAAAATGCCTTGCCTGTTCTCATCTTTGCCTGCAGAAAAAACTGCAAGATGTATCTCCATGCTGCTTGCTCCATAAGACCTTCCTGGATTTCCCAACTTTCCCTCCTCTAAATCCCCCACATCCCTCTGTAGGTTTCTGAGACTTTGATCATTCAGCTTTGTATTTTTGTGTTGCGTAATTTATTTTATCCTTGGAAAGATGTTTTATTTGTCTTTGATTTTCTGATGCCTGGTGTAATGTCCTTTATCGACTGGATTTTCACTGAAGGTTAGCTGAACTGTTTAATTTCAGGGCATTCTACTGAGATACAGATACCCCCTTAGTAAAATTCTCTCTTAAGTCCTTACCTGTACATGCTTCACCAAACTTTTTATAATTTGTCAAGGACTGGTGAAAATGAGCTCTAGGCTAGGCTAGGCTAGGCATAGAGGTAGAAGAAGCCAAGAATATAGAAGAGGATTATATATAACAATTATATGTCTTACATTGTTTTTCAGGAATGTTCCAATTAAAACTATTCTATCCCATTTTTCCTGTTCATGTTCACCATATATATGATTTTTGGCATTTAATAATCCATAGTAGGCATTTAATCAATGTTTATTGATTGAGTGACTAAATAAAAGAATAGACAACTATTGCTCCAGGCCAACCTTCCTGCTACGTTGGGTCCCACAGGCCACGTGTCCTGCACAATCAGGGAGTCCATTTACAGAGACAAGATGTAAAGTTTGACCCCAGTCAGGACAAGGCGAGGATTACTTTAGAAATCATGTCTGAGACATAAGCTGGTTCTGTTTCTAGATGGAAAGAAGGAAACATTTTCTAACTTTTCTGCCTTCTAATAGTGCACAGCCCTTTTCCGTCTTTCGAATGAAAAAGTAGCGTTGCATAGCCGCTGTCATCTCTCACCGAGCTCTCACAGCCCTTTGCACATTCCACAAACCACTATTAGCACTTTTGTCACCACTGATACGTCTGTGCCTTCATTGTGGGGTCCGTAGAACCATATTGGTATCCCCAGCCCTAGGACACAGAGCCTGGCACATAGTAGGTACTCAGCAGCTGATGCTGGGGAATGAGAAAATGTCCTACATGTTTCCCTAAACAGAGGCCCAGCAGTTGCCTCCCAGCTCCTCCTGTGTCTGAAATCTGAACTCCATTAGCAACCCCCTTTCCCTGACCCTGATTTGAACTTTAGTTTGCTAAGCTGAAAGAGAGAAAGACGTAAAATGGGAAGAGGAGCAGACATTTTTTTTTTTTTTTTTTTTTTTTTTTTGCCTCACGGGCTATCCCACCCCCTTTGCCCGTGCATTCCAAGACAGATCAGGACCCAGGTGGAGCTGGCTGCTGTGTACCCCCTTCCCTCACAGGCGGGCAGGAAAGCCTGGCTGGGAACCTCCACGGCCCATCGGGTGTGCATGGGCCATGCTGTGACCTGCGGCTGAACTGCTGAGGCCCGGTCTGGTCTTAATACCCAGGCAGCTGCTCCTGAGGCAGGAGTCCTGGGGGAAGGAAAGACCATGCTAAGGTGCAGCTCCAGAGTGCCACAGTGTAAATTGCTGTTTGCACACTGGAATCATTTATGAAAGGTTGGGTTGCCTGTCCCAACTGGGTAGACCTGTGGAAAGAGGTCCCACACATCTCTAAAAATGCTGAGATGAGAGAGACAAAAACATGCAGGAAGACCAAAGATGGGAAGTCATCCCCTTCCCTATGCTGAGAGAGAGAGATAGAGATATATATATATATATATATATAGAGAGAGAGAGAGAGAGAGAGAGATTAAAGAAGGGAACACCAGGAAATACTCTGATACTATTCATGTATATGAAAATGAAGTAATTATGCTTCATTTTCCTGTAGTCACTCCTCTCCGATTCTAGGTAAACTCTGAAAGTGGGTAGAGCTCCGCAGTGCAGCTGGGACACTGAGGCCAGAGAGAAGCTTCTTGGCTCAAAACTTAGATTCCAGGCATCTCATGAATTCCTCTCCGGGAGATGTGTAACTAAGAATATGTGGTCTGAAGTGACTTCGATGATTCTCTACTCTAATCTCCTTGTTTTTCAAATAGAGCATCTAAATGCTTCATATTTGGTTCCAAAGTGCTATGGTTTGAATGTGACTGTCAAAAAAAACATGTGTTGGAAATTTAATTTCCAATGCTACAGTTTTGGGACATGGGGCCTAATGAGAGGTGATTAGACCAAGAAGGTGGGGTGAATGGATTACTGCTGTTATCATGGGAGTGGGCTTGTTATTGCAGGAGTGGTTTCCTTATAAAAGTGCAATTTTAGCTATTTGGCCTCTCTCTCTCTCTCTCTGTCTCTCTGTCTATCTCTATCTCTTTCACCCTCCACCTTCCACCATGGGATAACGTAGCAAGAAGTCCCTTGCCATATGCTGGCCCCTTGATCTTAGACTTCCCAGCCTCCAGAACTGTAAGAAAGTAAATTTCTGTTCTTTATAAATTATCCAGTCTGTGGCACTTAGAAAAAATAATAGCACAAAATAGACTAAGACACAAAGGAATGGAAAATTATGTTGGGGTTAGGATCCTGGGGGTCAAAGAAGAGTGATTGCCTCCCTTATCCTTGGGTGAAGAGGAAGAGACTCATATGTGCCTTCTAGGAAACATCATGCTATTTTGTTTGGTCTCTTATTCTCCATCTGCTTGTCCGTGTTCACTGCTAACGAGGGATCCTGGCTGAAATGTAGTGGTCATGTGGTGGTGTTGGGAAGAAGAAGGCTCGTACAATGAGATTTGATGTCCCTGTCCCACACAGGGATGGTTCCACTCTCAGAACGAGGCCCAGTCTCTATCTGCCAGAAGTTCTGACAGAAGAGCAGAGTTTCAGCACTGTCTTGTGCCATAGCATAGAATGCATGGATTTCCAAAGGCAAAAAGGACTGGCAGACGACACCCAGTGAGAACTGGAACCCTTCACCCATTCTGCAAGGTGTTTCAGGCAGTGGCTGGAGGCAGAGGATGATGCACTTCCATCTTAGTGAATTTCTAGTGTCTCAGAGCCTCTGGCCTGTCCATAGAGCATAACTGTGCCTGTTGAGGGCATGGCTCTAGCACATCTACTTTCATCCTCTCCTTCCCACCAAACCTGGCCCTACTCTTTGTTGAGATGGTCAGAGGAACAGAAAGGGGATGAGTAGAAGAGAAACAGATGAGGTTTTGGAAATGACCAATGCATTTGTTAGGTGGACTATGAAGGTCAGCTGGGCAAGTGTCATCAATCCTATTTTACAGATGGAAACTGTGAAGATTAGAGAATGTGTTGGCCAAGCTCCTTAACAGTTATAAGAAGAGACACACTAGGTCAAATTCAAATATCATTTCCTGGGGTTTATTTCAGATGTACAAAGGAACGTGGAATAGCGTGGAATGTGGTCACTACAGCAGAGCAGCACAGGGGAGCCTGTGCTTCCAGAACTGGGGGGTACAACACTGAGCAAACACTTCACCTCATTTAGGATTCACCATGATTTCCAGGAACTTGCCTTCTTATATATGAATTTTAATTTACCTAGTCTATGGGTTAGGATGTTTCCAACTTCAAAAAACCAAAAAGAGGCTCAAGCTTATTTAAATGATGGAGACATTTAAATCTCACATAGAGAAAGTCTAGAGGTAGGACAGACTCTCTGCCAAATTTCTAGATTGCTTTTTGTGTGTGTGATTTGCTCTTCTCTTTTCCCCTGGAAGGTTTGGTCTTGGCTCAGGCTGTCTTCCTTCATGGTTTCAAGAGGGCTGCCAGCAGCAGCTGGGGTAGCGTGCTTTCTTATTTCACATATAGGCAGATAGGGAAAGCATGGAATAAAAATCCTTCCTTTCTACCTAAATTGACCAACTTAGGTCATGCCCTCACTTCTGGACAACTAACATTGCCAGGGGAATGCCCTGTGTTGATTGGCCTAAACCTGAGTCCTTGAAGTAAACACTGGTCAGGAAGATGAGATTACCAGAACCTACATCTGAAGGCACACAGGGTAAGAGGGGGAGAGTAGACACTGAATAAAATTGAGGTCTCCTAGGAAGGAGAAAGGTGTGAGAGTTGCTCAACAAATACCCAAGAGAGTCCACCACACCTAGCATTTAAGCATCCCAAGGAGAGCTGTCAGGACCTGTGTGCTTGCTGGGAAGATGTCATGCTGTCCCATCTCTGAGGTTTTTGGTCTTTCCTACCCTCAGCCAGCTGATATGGCTGCTCCCTTCTTCCTGGCCCAAAAAGTTGTGACAGGGTGGCAGGGTTGTTTTTTCTCACCACCTGAGGCATACACTGTTGTAACTTTTGCAGGAAATGACTTCATAAAGTGATTTTCCTCCAAAGGGAACTACATAACTAGCAGGCTCCTAGGGGCTTTCTGGTGGACTGGGTTTCGAAAGGTTCAGCGTCTTACTCAAGGTCATGCACTGCTGACTGTCAGAACCTGCACTAGGAACAGGTCTTTCCATTACACCAGGAAGATGTCAATGTGGTAGAAATGATGTCAGCCCTTTGAGGGTAAGGCTATGAGTAAAGAATGCAAATTTAGACCTTGGGCAAATTCCCTAATTTCTCTAGGCCCCAGTTTACGCACTAATATAGTAAAGGAATCTTATTAGAAGATGTTAAAAGTACCTTCCAATTCTAAGAATACATGAATAGTTTTAGATAATGGGCGTCTTCCAAAAACCTGAAAACACTTGTTCTATTAGATCATTTAACTACAGATTATTTGTTTAAATAGTTTCCCAGGAGTGACCCAGAACATCCTACGTAATAAACCAGTTGTTAAATCATAAACAATATGGACAGGATTCATCATCATTATGCTTCTCAACTGAACATCCCTGGGGCCTTCTGGTTGCTTGGACACTCTGCCTAATGGAGTGTTGTCAGGGATTCCCTATGTGGGTGACCGCCTTTCCAAGAATTAGAAATAACAGACTATAACAAACACTAGAGCTCTGCTGGAAAAAATGTGCTTTTTTTCGGGGGGTAGAATGAAATGGATGAAAAACCAAAGAAATTTGCCTGTGTTCTTCTTTCATCTCCCTTCTTTTCTTGGTATCCTTGTTATCAGCCCCATACCACATCACTGTCAAGTTCTCAGCTTGTGGCTCACTAATTCCTACTTAACTAATTGAAATTTAGAGTGCTATGTGTTCTGGAATATTCATAGGAAATTTTATTTTATTTTATTTTTCTTTTTTGAGACGGAGTCTCACTCTGTTGTCCAGGCTGCAGTGCAGTGGCGAGATCTCGGTTCACTGCAAGCTCCGCCTCCTGGGTTCACGCCATTCTCCTGCTTCAGCCTTCCGAGTAGCTGGGATTATAGGCGCCTGCCACCACGCCTGGCTAATTTAAATTTTAAAGCCTCTAGACATAAAGGAATGCATATAGGAAGTTATAAGTAAGGGTAGCCTAGCATCCCCAGTGGAGCATTCCCCAGTGTTTGTTTTGTTTTGTTTTGCAGCAATTTTACCCCAAAACTCTTGTCCTGGGTCTCGTTGGCTTGTCTTGAGTCAGTGCCCATCACTGTGACTTTGATTGGCCAGGCTCAAATCAGGAGATAAGAGCAATGGAGTTAGGCACATCCAACCAAAAGACTGAGCATGTGAGGCCAAGTGGTTCCCCAAAGCTCATCAACAAAGGGAGGAGGTGACTTTATCCTAATGTGACAGGCCAGTGGGAGGATAGCTCCTACCAGGAAAGCCTTTCAGAACTTGGGGTGTGAGCCCCGGAGGGCAGCCACATGATCATGTGGGACCAGCCTGCTGTTTTCCCTTTTAAGATGGGGCCTCAGAAATGGTGAGGCTCCCTCAGTGTACACGGCAGCGTGGCAGGAAGGCCTCAGGAATGGAGCTGGGGAAGCGGTAACTGTGTTGTTGAATTTAGTTTGGGCTGTGTAGATGGAAATATCCACTGCAGTCTGAGTCATTTTTGCATCTACAGCTCAGAAAGGTGGAAGAGTGCCCAGCAGGAGCCAGGATCTGCAAATAAAGCCGCCATCAGGTGCACCATGTCCTAGTGGCATCTTAATGAGAGAGTGTGGCGCTGTGGTCAGCTGGCCTCCGGGTCATTATAGGGCTCTAGATTTGCCAGCCCCTGCTGTCTGCTTTACCATGGCATATGTCGACTCACACAGGCTGACAATGCACCGCAGCAGGTCTCCAATATACCTATACAGGCTGTCCTCCTTCCGAGCCCTCCTGGTAGCATGGCTGCCTGTCCCCTTTGCTACTTGTTTTGCAGGGCAGGGACAGTGGGATGTTGCCAAAATTCAGCTTTGTTCCGTGGGATTCATGGAGACCTTCTCAAAAACATCTGAGACCACTTCTGATCCAAAGTTTCATCTAGATGGGATAGTGGAGATGAGCCCTGCTCTTAATTTCCAGGGGGCAACTTAGTGACTCTTACCACCTCCCAGGTAGAAGGAAAGAGAATCCATCAGACACCATGATCCTGAGCCTAAAGCCATGGAGAATCACCAAGCATGGATTCCAGTGTCGGGGAAACCTTAACTGTATGAGGGGCATTTTGTTATTTAGTTCTTTTGTTAAATAGTTTGCAGACTGAGGGGACCAGAACCCAGAACTTTTAAAGCCTCAGTTACTTATTCCTTACTTATTCCACCTCCCTGTCAACTTTCTCCAAGTGAAGTGAGAGTGTAAAACAATTTAAAGGCGGGGACAGCAAAAAACAGCATGGGGCTGGGAGCTGTGCCCATTTTTAGGTTTAATATGTGTTTCTCCTCGTGTTTCTTGATCATTGCAGAGTTGGAAATGCTAGAGCCACAGGACACATTGGTCTTCTTTGTTGTTTCTCTTTCTACTTTTCTCCTGGAGGGCAGCTAAACTGAATTACAGAGAAGAGGTATCCCAGGTCACAAGCACGTCATGGCTAAAGAAGGTGGGAGAGAGGTAGGGGTCACACAGACATTATCTTCTAGAAAACTCCAGAGGCACTTCAGGCTCAGGGGAGGCAATTTTGATCCGTCCATGGAGGAATGTTTATAATCCAGAGTTGTTCCACTGTGAAACATGCTGCTTAGTGAGGTAGTGAGCACCTTGTTGGTGGAGGTGATCAAGCAGAGGCTGAAGCACCAGCAGACAGGCTCGCTCCTGCGTAAGAGTCCATGACTCAGCAGAGTGAATATCCCCCAGGCCCAAGATCCGCTGGGCTCAGAAGCTGTCCTTTGTCCGTGGTCCTGGCCTGGCTCAGATGCTGCATCTGAGGCCCAGGAAGTGCAGGCCCTAGGCCAGTCCCTGCAGTGCCTTGCAGAGTGTGTGCACCTGCCAAGACTTCTGCCCAGGTCTCCATCAACCACCGCCTGGATGAATCTCCAGATGGTGACATCCACCTAGCTTTTTGTGCTACTTCCTCCATCACTGCCCCCAAGTCCACAAAGCTACTGATTGTACTTTTACCCTCAGAAAAGACACATATTGGAGGAAAGGGGCTTTAACCTTCTCCCCAAGCCCCTACACAGAGCCTGCTTTTGAATGGTAAAGTTGGAGAAGGGAGTTTTTCATCTGTTTCCTGGTATGAGACCCATTGGATTGAACGCTGGGCAGGGCAAGAGTGAGAGTGAGCAGGGAAGGGCAGACAGACCTGTCTCATGTCTGGATATGCACCCCAATCCACAGTGGAGCTAGGAATGGGCAAAGTTATCTCTACCTCGCACAGCTCCCCGAGGCCACTAGCTAAGAGAGCACGTGTGAAGTGAGCTCCCTGCAGCTCCACCTGGGCCTTCCCCCTGGGGCCTGTGTCTATCTGTGACTCTAGGGTGGGCTGGTGTGGTTGAATGCTGCACTGGTTGGGGCTGGCGGTGAATTTGGAGGGCTATGAGCCTGTGGACCTTCTCAGAGGACAAAAATGAGGCCTGGAGAGTCCCACAGGGAGCTGGTGGCAGAGCCTGAGCACCTGTGTGCCCTGTGACTTCATGCTCCTTCTATCATGAGAGGCTGGCAAGATGTCCCTGCTGTTCCCTGGGCTGTGTGAACAGGATCCTAAAACATCTGACTGCAAAGGACACCCCTAATTCTCTGGCCCTTCTCCCATTGTGCAGGTGAGGAAATTGAGATTCAGAGAAACAAAATGCTTGGAAAGATGAAGTGACTTGCTCCACATACACATGGTGTTAAGGGTAGGCTCAGGTCACCTGCTCCAACCTCCCTGTCATCCCAAACTGGTAAGACAGCTTTCCTTAGAGCCCCATGGCACCAGACTCATGTAAGGCTAAAAACAACCAAACCAAATTTTCCACCGTACTTTTCCGTTTTCTCAAAGTATTTTCACAGTGCGATCTCATTTCCTCCTCACCTCAGTCCTCCCAGCAAGCAAAAGCTCCTAACAACAGGGCTTAAAGGTTTCCGTTTTGTAAGACACCACCCACGCACAGGCTGTGAGGGCCGCTCTGTGCCAGGCACTGGGTATGTTTGCACACCTGGTGAGCAGGAGGGTCACCTCCTCAGTGGCTCAGGGCGTCATGCAGACAGCTTGGTCACTTGTCTGTCATCCATGTCACTCAGCAAGTCACTGGCAGTCTTCAATCCTTGTCCCTGATGACTGGCTGCCTGGTCTCAGAGCAGGTGGGGCCCCCTGAGTGACGTTGTAAATGAGTGAGACTTCCCACAGGCCCAGAGAGAGGCATTTTCTGCAGCGTCAGGAGGTTTCTGCCACCAGGCAGTTGTCAGCCTTTTAGAATGTGTGCTGTGACCTTTGGCAGATGTCGAGCTGGGTGGGATGGAGCAGGCAGGTGAAGCCATCACCTGCACTGTGCGTGTTGTCACCTTGTATGATTGATTATAAAGGAGCGACCAGGACACCAGGTTGCCACATTCTCCCTCTTGTCCCTCCTTAGTGTCCAAGAGTTGAAGAGTCTCAGGGCTGGGAGGGCTCTGGGCAGAGGCAGGGCCAATGCATCTCCTCCCCCTCATGGTCCTGGCACAGTGTCTGTACAGCCAGGGCTCTAACAATGCCACATGTTGAGGCCCAGCCTCTTCCTGCAGGCAGCACCTGCAGCCTCTTCCTGCAGCCCACAGTCTGCCCTCTCCAGGGCTACATTCACCACCTGCTGTCCTCCTGAGCCTATGCATCCCCTGCCCAGGTGTGCATGCAGGACCTTGTGTAAATCATCTCGGATACAGGGAGATCCAGCCCACACTCCAGGAAGGCAGTGCCCACCTTCCCCTGCACCTGCTCCATCACCTCTCCCACACTCACTGTCCAGAAACTCCCTGTTGCTGCCTGAATCCCACTGGCTGAAGGCGAGTATTTCTTTGTCCTCTAGCCCCCCTTCCTCACCACTTAGATAAGCAGCAGCATGTGGCTCCAGAGCAGAGTGGGCGAGACCCTGGACCTGGCCGTAGTTCTCATGCTGCCTGTCTTCGCTCATTCTTCCTTAAGGACGGTCACCTTCGTTTCCACCTACAAAGCTCTTTGCCAGCCACAGCTCACTTGGGGTTTTATCTGTGAAGAATGTTGAGATGGGATTTATACAGTGGGGAGGAACAATCCAGTAAAGAACAGATACTCACAGAGGTTAAGGGACTGAGCCCATGTCACAAAGCTAGTGGGAAGCAGGGTGGGGTCCTGGTCATTTAACTCCCACTAGGGGCACTTGCCCTCTTGTGTCTTTTCTCGCTGCCCCATGCAGCCTTCCTCCTTCCCCTTGGATTCTTGTCTAGTCCTCCACCTTCATGGCTGCCTTTAGTTTCCACCCACGTCCCTTCCCTTCCTGAATCCCACCTCCCTAAGCACTATTGACAGAGTGGTCCACTTCAGCCATCGAGGGACGCACATGTGTGTGCACACATACACACACACACACACACACACACACACACACACAGACTGAGCACACAAAAAGCAAACAACACCCTGAGGAAGAGAGGGACAAGAGAAAAACACATAAGTAGAGAGACACAGGCAGATGGAGACTGGAAGAGAGATAGGTGCGCATAGTGGAAGAGATGTTAGTTACCTAAACTCTGCTTTGATACTTATTGGCTGAGCCACTTGGGAGAGTCACTTAACCTCTCTGGGCCTCATTTTCCCGTCTGGAAAATAGGCATTGTTTACTTAGTAAATATTCATTAAGTGTCATTTTTTAGGTGCCTAGGCTGTATCAGTGAACAAAATAGTTAAAAAAAAATCTTGCCTTTCTGTGGGTGAGGTGGAAATAAAAGTAAATGCACTAAGTAAAGGATTTTGTATGTTAGAAGATAGATGCTATAGAGTGTTAGTTTGGGTTGACCATAGGATTACATATGTCAGGAAAGAACATTCAAAGAGTTCTTTAAAGGACATGCCTGTGGGAGGTAGAAAGGGAGGCTGCCAGAAAAGGCTCCAGGGAGCCCCCAGTCCACCATGCAAATGTGACCTTGAGTGAGGAGAGAGAGAGAAGGTTGGGTGGAGGAGCCCTGGCTTGCTGAAGCCATGAGGGGGAGTCAGTCCTCAAGCAAAAGCTGGACACCAGGAGTCCCATGTCTCTATGATGGCCTTAGTCTTTGGCCAGCAACTGCCCTGGGGAGGTGGGGTAGCAGCTCCGATACAGTGATGGGTTTCACAGCATAGCAGCTGAGGCCCTTGGTCAACTATGTGACCTGGAGTTGAAGGTCTGTACAGTGCGTTCTCATGGTTGGCACACATGAGAAAAAAGCCTAAAGAATGGAGCAGGGTAAGGAGGACAGGGATTGCTGTGATGTGGACAGATCAAAATTTTAATAGGGTGGGCAGGGTAGCCTCACTGAGAAGATGATATTTGAGCAAAGATTTGGAGGAGGCAAGGGAGAGAGTCGCAAAGATGCCATTGCCATCATTGTTGTTGACATCGTCACACTGCAGCCTTGCAGGACAGTCGAGTGGGTGGTGTGGATTCATGCATGGGAAAGCACTTTGTAACGGCATAGACTTAGCTGCCGGAGAACAAGAACAAACAACAAGGCTATTTGTCCTGGCATCTTGGATTGACATGTCCCTGAGAGAGGAGCTGCTGGCCTCTATCCCATGCCATGTCAGACCTCTCCTCTGGGGAGGAGCAGTCGGGATGACCACTCCACCCTTGGAAAAGCGAGGTATTCTGTTTCCAGGGCATGCTGCTCCCAGGGACTTAGAACTCTCTGAATGGCTGAAACAAACAGCCCCCAAAGTCCCAAGAGGATAGAATCTTATTTTCACCTCAACAATGGGATATAAAACAAAATCTTTCTCAGACAACTAGATGAATGTGTTATTCTCCCTGAAAACCAGAGTTAACAATAGCTGCTGATAAGAGATCATTCTTATCTCTGTGGTATCCTGGCAGATGGAGTTTCACTGCTAACCAAGTGTCTACTGTGTGCCAGGCTCTGTGCTGAGTGAAATAACTTATTTTATTTTGTTGAGTATCTGAGTGTTTATTTCTATTTTTATAAAAATAGGAAACTGATGTGAGGCCCCCACAGTTGGTTAAGTGGTAGAGTAGGGACTCAAACCCAGGTAATTACTTGTCTGAGAGTCTGTCTCCCCAAACCCCTCATCCCTTGTCCCTGTGCTATGTGCCCCTGACAGGAACAGGTGGATTCAATTCATTTCTGCTTGACCTGTAGCATGTATAAGGGGCCCTGCTGCAGGGAGGCTTTCAAGCTGGGTAATGAATGGTCAAGCCACACTCATCCAGCTGTCTGCAGCTTCTGGGTGAGTGGCTGGCCATATGCTTTGGTATTCTTTGGAGCTTCATAAAACTCTATGTTAATATTACCTAAGGGAGGTTGTTAAATGTAGATTCCCAAGTCCTGCCATTGAAAATTCTGATTTAGTAGGTTCAAAGTATGCCCAAGAATCTGCATTTAAGGAGCACTGCTCTGTGAGAACATGCAGCTAGGTGGGTGACCAGCAGGTTGGTGCATGTGGTGGCATTCCTAGGGGAAATAGTCGCTGTTCTTCCTCTTGTCCTCAGGAAAAAGGCCCAAGGAGCAGTGGCTCTACCGGCCCCTGGGAAATGTCCAGATGACCCTCCATAACTCCAGTCAGAACAAGGACCTGGATCAAAGCAGAGTGGATTTTGGAGATCTGAGTGGGAGATGTGTATGGGGAGCATCATGCATGTCCTTATGTGGTCAAGCTTCCTCTATTGCTTATAAACACCTCTGTAATCTTTGAGAAAGTTGGGTGAGCTTACGCAGATCTCAACCCTGTCCCAGAGATGTACTATGTTAGGTGGTGGAAACCTCAGAGATCTGTTCATCTCATTCCCCTGGTTGGAATATGGGCTGGAGGGTAGAGGGAATGGTTTGCGGTCATACAGTCAATAGCCCCAGAGTCAGACATCAAGCCCAGGTTTCCTGATTCCCACGTCAGCCCTCACTCCGCACTTCTTTTTGAACCTATAGACATGTGCTGCTCTCATGCTCAGCTCTTGGCTGTCCAGCCTGGCCCAGCAGACCTGCTAACTTGCTTTGAAGATGCATAGGGATGCTCGTGGGCCCTGGCACTGAAGCCCTCTGGGAGCTTACATCCTCATTTCCCAAGTCCTCAATATGCAGCAGGGGTAATGCCCACCAGTACATCAAGAGTGACAGCTAGTCCCACCCACTGCCTCCATACTCAACACTTCCTAATGTTACCCTCCCTCCTCAGCTTCCTGTTAATGGATTAGAGTTTCTCTTTGAGTTTATTGTTTCCTGTAGCTTGGTGGTATAGGATGTGGCTTTAGATGGCAGTAGGCAAATATTTTACTAATTAATGTATATTGCTTACTGTATGCCAGGCTCTGAGGAATCTAGATGTATTAACTCATTTCATTCTCACAACTATTTCATGAAGTAGGTACTGTTTTATTTCCATTTTGTAATAAGGAAACTGAGGCACAGTGAGGTTCAGTGACTTGCTCAAAGGCCATGGAGCTGGTGCATGGTGGCAGCAGGTCTAGAATCCAGGCTCTCTGAGTCCAGAGCCTGTGCATGATCTATACTCCAGTTAGATCTTCATTTCAATGTGTGTATGAAAACGATGCAAAACATTCAATGCTGGTTGGAAGATACAGATGCCAACCACAACCTGCTAGTGGGTCTTGGCTAAGGCAAAGACAATTTCTAATAGGAGTGGAGCTTGAAACAATTTTAATGCAGGTCTTGTACTTTCTGTGTTAGAAAATTGATGCCTTGAGAGCCAAGATCACTTCTCCAATGTCCTGCTGTGAGTTAGTGGACAAGCTGATCCTGGAATCCTTCTCCTGACACCAGCTTCATGTCCATTGCTTTCTTCTTGAGTATTCACAAAGCATGGATTTGATTGAAGTCGTGTTTCATAATCTAGATCATTTAAACTTCACACAAATAGTTTGTAATCAGGCACTAAATATGGTGTGTTTTTCATGAAAAAAATTTAAAATCAATTTCCCAAGGCCATTTGGCCCAAAACACAGTTCAAGATCTGCTGAAGGGCCATTTACACCATCATTAAATGTCTCAGTCAAGACATAGTTGAGTGATAAGGCACCGTGATAGGTAGTTATCTTTAAGAATCACCCTCCTTTCCTTCTGCCCATCACGTCTCCTTCCCAAGGGCTCTTCTCCCCAAAGAGGCTGCCCCATTTACCCATCGTTCCCTTCTTTCTCTTGCCCAGCTACACTCACGCCCTGCAGCAGAGGCTGCCAGTCTGCCACTTATGGCTCCTTTTGTCCTGAACTCATCCCGTCTTCTCCAGGAACTTCCATCTCAGGTTCATATCGAGCCCTTGATATACCTACCGCCTCATCCTGTGCCCCAAATGGCAGAGAGCAGGGATTCATAATCCCTTAGTTTCATCCATTCTTTCTTTCTTGTTGGTGTTTTGTGCTCTGGCAATGCTTTCTGAGCCATGATCTCCCTTCCCTTTGCTATGCTTCAATTTCCTTCTCTGCAAAATGACGATCAGATCTGATGGTCACTAATAACCTGTTATTGACCCAATGGTGTTAACATTGAAATATTGTTTATTCCACTTGACCCTCATTTGATTTCCTCTCCTCCCCAGACTCAGCTGTCACAGGCAGGCAGTGCGATTTTCCATTCCCCAGGAAGTCTTCAAATAACACTTATTATTCAATGGAGGTGGGAGGAGCTGCACATAATTCTCTTTCAAAATAATGACAGGAGAAGGAAAAGAACAACAACAAAAAAAAACCTGAAGCAATCAAAACAGGAAAGTCCACCCTTGTGGGATGAGCCGGGGAGGAAGGACAGCACCCACCACATTCCAAGGAAACTTTGGCCCCTGCTTTGTGGTTTTATATATTATTAGAGAATTTACAACAAACAGATGAAGAGGAGAAGCTGGATGGTGCTGACAGTTCTGGTGGGAAGTTGATCCTGCACAGCAAAGGCCCTGTCTAAAAATACCTGGCCAGGACCTTGCTGTTTCCATAAACAGATGGACACCACGGCCTGGCACGGGGCGGCGGCAGTGGGAGGAAATTGTATCTGACAATGATAACAATCTGGCATGTCCCAGAGCTTCACATCCTGGAGAGTCCAGCGGGCTGTCCAGATCTCCACTGGTGCAAATGAGACGGCTGTAAATAGAATTTTCCCAGCATGGCTGCCCCTCATGGGGGCCCGCAAAACATCTCTCCTGCCCCCCTCTCCTCCCAATGCATCCATAAAGAGGAGGCAGATGAGGTGTGGAAGCTGCTAGAGGGGTAGAGGAGTTGAGGTGGGGCCACTGGGGGGACCCCATGGAGCAGATGAGATCTGTTTGTGGCCTGTGCATGTGACTTTCAAGAAGTCTTGCTTCATGTCTTTGTATCTAACCTTCCAGGTCTATAACAAGGAAGGGACACGATTCCGGAGTCAGTATGTTCAGTTCGGCAAGACTCATTTAAAGAGGGGCAATATACCCAAGTAGTGGGGTCAAGTGGAGAAGAGACCAAATGTGTTAATCCTTGTGCCAGCCTGTAGGAGAATCTGTTCCTTGTCAGGGTGGCCCAGACTGAATGGGACACCAGGAGGAAAGAGTTCCTCATCACTTAGGCAGAGAAACAGAGGTTGGGAAACTGTGTCCAGAAAAAGGACACAGTTGAGATGGGTCATGACTAAAGATATAGGCTTTGGAGTAAGGCTTCCTGGGCTTGAACCTTGCCCTACTCACTTAGTGGCTGTGCATCCCTAAGCATGTTACTTAACCTCTCTGAGCCCTCGTTTCTTCGCTGAAAATATAAATGATGAAAATTTTTACTTCATAAGTAATTGTGAAGACTGAGTGAGATAGTACATAGAAGTTGTGCTGGATAGCTCGTGTTTAGCTCTGCAGGTCCATTCTCCACCCTTCTTCACTCTGTTTTTCGTCCTGGAGTCTCACCTCTATGGACCACATCAGTGAGTTCTCATGTCCTCTGGTTTCCCATTGGCCTAGCTAATGGGAGCCCAGCAGGAGATCAGAAGGTAGTAGGAGAGTGATCTGGGTATTTATTCTCCCAATGACCTCTCCGAGGGGTTGCCAGGAATCAACTGTGTTCCTAGACTCAAGGTCAAAGCTCCTGGTAGAGGATCCTCTCCCATGTTCTCTCTGGGGTCTAATAACCGCTAGCTTACCTTACTCCTTCAACCCCCGGGGTCATAATGGAGCCTCATTGTCAACAGCCTTGGAATATCACACCGCCCCTTGCAATTTCCCTACACTTTGCTCACATCTTTTTCAATGGTCTTTTTATTAAGCTCAACTCAAATGATTCCAATTTGGTCATTCCTTTTGTTTCTCATTGGGACCTGGACTGTCACATAGTGACTGCCACATAGTAAACAATCAATTTATTCGTTTGACAAATATTAATCAAGTGTCCACTATGTCTCAGGGACTGTCCTACCTAGTGGAGGTTTGATGATGAACAAAACAAAGATTCCTGTCCTTCTGGAGCATTCATTCTAGTAGTGTCTTTACTGATATTTATTGAGCACTTATTATGTAGCAGAGACCATTTCAAGTGCTTTACAAGGATTAACTCACAAGGTCTTTACAACAACTCCATGAGGTAGAGACTATTAACACCATGAGAGAGATGAGAATGTGATTCAGGGAGATTAGATTGAGTTACTTCCCATGCTGGGAAATGACAGAACCGAAATTCAAAGAATAAATGTCAAAATAATTTGATTAGTAAATATGAGCTAGCAATGATGATGATGGCAGTAATAGCTAACATTTATTTAGTATTAACTTTGTGATGTTCACTGTGCTTGGCCTTTTATGTGGCTTAACCTGCCTGATCCTCATAGTGATTCTGTAAGGTTTATGCTGTTATTATTCCCATTTGCAGATAGAGACAGACACTGAGGTTTCCCTGACCATGCTATTTAAAATTTGCAACCTCTCCACCCTGGAACTCACTTTACCTCCCTTTATTTCTTTTTTCCAGTGTCATATATCACCAACAGATATACTCAGCATTTTTTTTCTAATAACTTTTATTTATTTATTTGTTCCCTTCCCCTGGAGTGAAGTCTCTGTAATGATGAGGATTTTCATTCATCTGCACACTCTCTGCCTGAAACAGTGTCTGGAATATAGTGAGAGCTTGATAATGTTTATTGAAGGAATGAATGAAGCAGAGTGTCATGGAAAGCCCCCTAGGCCCCACAGCCAGTTGAGGGCAGAGCAGGATTCAATTCCCAAGCAATGACCAAGGGCTCTTTTTTGACCTTTTTGACCAAGAGCTCTTTAAAAGGGACATTGGCAAATTGGAGGGGGCAGTGGAATTTGGATACTTGAGTTCTAGTTCTTGGTCTGTCGCTCATCCCCTGATCAACCTGGGTGTCATCCCCCTCTCTTGGATTTCATTCTCCTCATCCTAATATGACAGAGTGAGACAGGTGGTTTCTCATATCCTCTCCAGCTCCAGGTCTAATACATGGTAACTCCCAGTGGCCAGCAGAGGGGCCATGATCTCCCAAGGTAGGAGAGTGGGACCTGAGCAAGGCTCCACACATTCCTTACTTGTTTCAGCCCCCAAAGGCTGAGCAGGTTGAGGAGGGAGGGGACCCCCAAAATGCTTTAGGCAGGGACGTTCCTCTGCAGGGGTGTTTCCTTTTTCTGCTCACCTGCACAAACCAAATAGCCATAACTTGAGACTCCACTGGCAAGAGCAGGACCCTCAGAGGCTCTGTGTGTTTTTCCAGGGTCCTAAGCTTGGCAGGATCATTTGTTGACATATTAATTTGTATTGTTCTTGCCATTGCAGAAGAATCAGAATAAATCAGAGTTGTTTTTGTTTTAAGACTTTTAAAAGGCTCCCTCCTCAACCTGCTCAGCCTTTAGGGGCTGAGACAAATAAGAAGTGTGTGGGGCCTTTCTCAGGTGCCAGCGGCCACTCTCCCACCTCATGCCATAATGACTCCTTTGCTGACCACAGGGAATCACCACGTGTTAGACCTGAGTCTGTTCCATTTTGCCTAAAAGAGCAAACAGGGCTGGGAATCAGGTGGAGAATGGGGATTTTGTTTTCCAAAGGAGCTGGTTGGTGAAAGCAAAGGGGGCTCAGAGAGTGGGGAAGCACAGGAGTTTGGAGTTGAGGAGTAACTTTTCGGAAAGGGAGGAAAGGAATTGTATCCACCAGGGTCCAACCAAGGAAACAGAGTCACATGAAATATTTATAACAAAGAGAATGTGACAAGGGGAATTGGTTAGTAGGTGATGGAATTGCTGAGAAGCCAAACAGCAGATGAAAAGGCAGCCCTGAGATTAGCAAGAGTGGGGAGTCTGGTTGCCCTAAGCTTGAAGGACAAAGGGAGGAGAGCCTGAGGGCAGCTGAAACCAGGGCTGACCTGTGCAATGGGAGCTGGGGGCACAGAGGAGAAGTGGCAGCTGCTGGAGATGCTATCTTCAGAAGCAGAGAGAGAGGGAGCAAGGCTTGGCTTCTCTCCTCCATATCCAGTCTTCTAGCAGTGCCTTACCTGGGAATCAGCTGGAGAACTGTGCCTTGTTTCTCAGCAGAGATGAAGAGGTGAGGTCCTCTGATGGGCAGCATGGGGTACCAGGGTTGGAACACTGAAGAGGAGCCTTGGGAACCTCAAAGACTCCCATACCTCCATAGGCACTGAGGGATGGAGCACCCAAAGGAGCTTGCCTTTGGGTGAAGCAACTTTAAGGATGATGAGTACCCTCAGAGACCATGTCCTTTGCCTATGTCTGAGTACCGTCTAGGCAGCACCCCCCCGCAAAACATGATAGAGACTGAAGGAAACAATAAGGAATGTGGCACTATTTTATACTCAACTTGTGGAATAAAATTGATTCCTGCTAGAAGAATTACCAATGTTCTCCGCATCCTGTCTTCACAGCATGATTTTCTGGTCAGACTGCATCAGCTCCCTCTTCTCCACCAGGACAGTAGGGATCTACAGCCCAAGAACCAAAGACTTTGGACATTTTGTTCTACTTGGGAAGTTTGTAATGTTATCTTCTGCTGTGGAGCATAGTGCAAAGAAATAGGGGGAAGAAAGGTGGGTTTCTTCTGTCTCCACCCCAAAGACCAAGGATACTTTCTTCCCTGAGGGTTGCCTCTGCATTGCAAGTTTTTTCTGACCCTTCACTACACAGATGGACAACTCAGGTGGCCAGAGGACTTCAACTGAATGGAATTACACAATGATTTGTTGAACATGTATTGTGCACCAGGGAGTATGTGAGGCTATGTGGTAGGCATGAGATGAACAATGGAAGATTCTTGCCCCATGGAAGGTGACCACTGGAATTAGAAATCCTAGCATCACCTAAGGAAAGGCTCAGATCTTCCCTGGTGGAGGTTGGGGATCTTCCCGAAGGGACCTTTTGGACCCAGAGCTCTTGTATCATTGCCTCTTGGCAAGAGGTTTAGAGACTCCCTTCATCATGAAGTTTCACAGACTCCTTCAGCCTTTATCTTTCCTGAGTTCTATGGGGAAAAGCTAGGTTAGATATGTGGAGTGACTCACCGAGACCTGAGAAGGCATCTGCATGAGGCTGCGGGGGTGTCCTTAGAGAAAAGGGAAGCTGCAGTGTGGAGGCTGGGGGATGCACAAGATGATCTCCAGAGTCTCTCAGCCTTCAGAAGCGCAGGCTCTCTGAGGCCACATTCCTTCCTGGTCTGGCTCAGTGGAGGCTGTGTTTCCCCACTGTTGCTTTTTGCATGGATTTGTTCAGCAGTTGAATGGGCAGAGAAGGAGGAGTCTCTCCCTTCCTGTTCTCACACAGCTCTGCTTCATGGACACCCACACAGATTCACTGGAGAGCAAAGCCTACCAGAGTCCCTGTCAGCAGCACTGTTTCTAGAAGCTTCCACATGAGCAGACAGCATGGAGTCCTGGGGGCTAATGAAGCAGCAATGTCAGCATGAGCACAGGCAGGGAGAGGCAAGAGGAGCAGAGTAAAGGGGAACGTTCTCTTCATTCTTCCACCTGCCTGTCCCCCAGCCGACACGTCCCTTCCGTTCCCTGCAAGGCCATTTCCAGGGAGGCTTACGAAGACAGCAGATGATGGTGATGGAAGGAGTCTGGGTGCTGAGCTGTGCCATGGACCTGGTGAGGAGGAGCGCCATGCCCTGAGCAAGGTCATGTGATGATGCTAAGTCAGGATCAGAGGCTTGGCAGGGACTGTCGGGATTTTACATCTCTTCCTATCGGCTTTTCTGACCATCCTGGTTCCCAGAGCTCTTGTAGCTTTGCATTCAACCTTTCTTTTAACTGCACGTTTAAACTATGAAAAGATAAGGGTGTAAGAAACCTCTTAAGGCTAACTAATGCTGGCTTCATTTTCCACCTCTGCCATCTGCTTACTAACTGAGTCACTTTGGACGACTGATTTAACTTCTTTGAGCCTCTGTTTTATCACCTGTAGTTACCAACGGTAACTTTCTGGCATGATTTTTACGAGTAAAAATAAGAAAATGTATATAAAGTGCCCAGCACTGTCCTATTATGTAGTAGTTGTTTAAAAAATATTAGATCCTGCATCAGTCAGGCTTCCCGCAGGAAACATAGTGTCTTAGGTTGGCCCCTCCAGAAGCAGGTCCTGAGAACAGATTTGGGTGCAAGTAGTTTATTTAGGAGGTTATCTCAGGGAGCACTAAGAGGGGACTGGGGAAGTGAGGCAGGAAGAGAAGGCAACTGAAATGGGGTATGTCAATGAGAAAGTTCCCACTGTGGGCAACCAGGGCTCAACCCTGCTGGGCACCTCTGGGAGATGATGTGGAACACACTTCCAAGTTGTCCTGAAGGCCTAGGAAGATGAGCTATTCATTTGTCCATCAACTGCTACTTATCATTCTTTGAGGACTGCTCTTGGGGGACCCTCGTGCAGTTCAAGCATGCCCCTGGGGCTGGAGAGAGCACATAGGCAGAGCCACAGGTGCTTGCTGCAAGAAGACCAGCAGGGATGATGCATGCCTAGGGTCTGCTCACAGAGAACCAGCAGTGCCTGCTCCAGATGGCATACTCCCAAAGGGTGTAAGGGGAGTTTAATGAAGAGTCTGTTTACGTTGGTGTGGGCAGTTAACGGAAACCAAAGAAGGATGTTGGAGCACACCTAGGGCTACGGGTAAGAAGCAGCTACTATGCCTGGTCCTGAAGATACCAGAAGAGAGGCCAATTGCCTGATTCAGAGAGACGGTAGCTATCAGAGAAGGGCCTCTGGAGAGCAGCTATGTCCTCAGGTTGTAAAATGCTTGGACAGGAAGGACAGGAACTGGAGAATAAATCTCCAGACCTCTTGCTCTTCCTGCCCACCAATTTCCTACTGTTGCCTCCCAATAATATTATAGAACCCAAAGAAGCTAGAGAGAAGGGAGTTTGGTTTGTTTGTGCATCCCTGAGACATCACCCTCTAGGGGCGCAGAGTAGAGTAAAGGTTGAGATGGGATCTGGGAGAGCAAGAAGGGAGTTATCTCTTACCAGATTTCACTGATCATGCCTTTACTCTCATCTCCACAAAGGCATTGTAAAGTCCTAGAAGGCTGGGGCTATACCTCATTTTGTGATCTTGTTTCTAGCAAAGTGACTTGCATGTATTAGAAACCTAAATATTGGGTGATTGACTGGAGTAATGAAACCTGAGGGCTGTTGAAGAGAAGTGGGTGACGCCTAGGCTGGGGGTAGTGGTCTTTGATGCCTGAGCCAAGAAATGTGGTTTGAAGTAGTCCCCAGAAATATCAGTTCTATCTGGGCTTGGCAAGCCACCCAAGGAGTCAAGAATACCACATGGGAATGGCTCTGTAGAGGACTTCTTGCATCTGTGTCACTTTTGAGAGGGATGCTTGCTCTTTGACTGTGGTTGGTCAGGCAGCGGGCCTCTCGGGGGCACTCCTCAATGAGAGCCAGGACTCCTTCGAACCCCCGCCATGTCATTCAACCACTGCACGTGCCAGCTGTGGCTCCACTCCCTTTTCCTTAGTTTAACTTCAGTCCACATATTCCAGCTGCTATTATCATGGTGATTATTATTTGTTGGGTAGTGACAGCGGGTTTGGCAACATGGCAGATAAAGAGATGCTGCTGTATATGTTTTCTGGCTGTTGAGATTGCCACCACCTCCTTGATTTGTTCTGGAAGATTCTGAAAGACTGCTACTTCCCCTATTGGGTCTTGGATGGAAGTTAACAGGGCAGTATTTCCCAAAGGGAAGAGTGTGAATCACTTACAACAGAATCAGGTTGAGAGGTATAAATATGCGGATTCTAGGACTTCACTCCAGACCTACAGAATTATAATCTGAATGTGCCTTGGTGCTCTGCAGTTTAATTAGCTCCTCAGGAGGTTCTTAGGTCTGGCGATTTTTAAAGGAATGCTGCTCTGGGAAACCCACTGAGTGGAAAGGAAAAATGAGAAAACAGGCGGGGTATCAGCATGGTGTCTGCTCTCGGAATCTGATAGGCAGGCTTGTGGAGAGAACCCAGTAAGAAATGTTTGGTGAAGAAATACTGCCTACATTTGTTTTAAGACACTAATAAATGCAATATAACATGAGTTAGAAAGCAGTGCTTGGTATTGCTTGGTTTTAGACTCTTCGTAATAAAATCTTGTATGTAATATTTGTAAAGCTGATAATAGTAACCATTGCTTATTGAGCATGTGCTATTGGCTGGACATTCTTTGAAGTGTCTTACATGCCTAAAACACACTTAGTGCTCACTACAACCCCTAGAAGTCCCTACTACTAGTATCCCATTCTGCAGATGAGGAAAGTGAGGCACACAGAGAAGTTACATAAACTGCTGAAGATAAGAAAGTTGTCAGTGGACCCAGGATTCAAAGGCAGGCATTCTGCCCTCCTGAACATACTCTATGCCAGCTTCTTATGTGATAAAAACAAGGATGTGTTTGTTAGTGTTTTTGTACTGTTACATCAAGTACTAATTCAAGAAACTCTCAGTTGCCTCTTATATACTGGGTACTCATTAAGAATATGCAGAATGAAAGACTTGGTTCTTGATCTTGAGGAACTGAGGGTCTGGAGTCAGAAAACATGCAACTCAATTACATGTATTTGTTTATGTTTAAATGCAGCTTTTGGGCTCCTATACAGGTTGAGCATCTGAAACCCAAAAATCCAAAATCTGAAATGTTCCAAAATTCAAACCTTTTTGAGCACCAACATGAAGCTCAAAGGAAAGTCTCATTGAAGCACTTCAAGTTTTGGATTTTTGGATTTGGGATGCTTAATCAGCAAGCATAATGCAAATATCCCAAAAATTGAAAAAATCTCAGACTTGAAAATCTTCTGGTCCCAAGCATTTTGGATAAGGAATACTCAAGCTGTGTAAGATGCTTTGGGAAGCCAACACAGATAGCCAAATTTGCTCAGGTGAGTGGGGGAGGTGTCATTATAGTGGTGACATTGCAGCTAATTCTTGCAAGATATGTAAGAGTGCTTTGGGCAGAGAGGGAGAGAAGGAGAAGCAAATTCCAGGGAGAGGAAACTACAGGGGTAAAAAAATAGAACAGGGAAAAGAATGGGGTATTTTACATGAACTGCAGCTGTTATAACACAGAAACTGTGATGTTGAGGGGGTGATCAGTGAGATTGTGACTGTAGGCTTGAGGTCAAATCATGACAACCTTGAGAGCTGAATAGGGCATATGAGCTTGTTCTGCAGGTATTGGGAAACCATGGCAGGGGGGGCATTGTCACAAGACTGGCAGCAGTGGGGAAGAGTTAAGATTAGAGGGGAAAAAAATGGAATCCAGACCAGCTTTAAGGTGTGGCCAAACAAAAACAAAAACTAAAAAACCTAGGTAAGGATAACGAGGGCCTGAGCTCATTGTAGTGGGGCTGAGGATGGAGAAGACATAAAATTGAGAAACACTGGGAAGATGGATCAGTAGTTCTTAGAGACCGATTTGATACTGGCGGCTGATGGAGAGAAAAGGCTGACTCTTGGGTTTCAGGCTTGGAAGACTAAAAGGTAGTAATGCTAATGTTAAGTTATAGAATTGGGGATGGTTTAGGATAAAAATAAAGGATTTAAGTTGCGGCATGTTGCATTTAAAGGATGAAGAAATTTGAGTAGGGAACATAAGATCAGAGATGGTGATATATAAATAAGATTTGCTTTTTGTGATGGAAAATTCTTTTGCTCTCTGATGGTTTTACTTGAAATTTTTGTGGACCCATACTCTTATCCCACCCCACCCTCAACTGGAGAAATGTTTTAAAAATATTTTTAAAAGACACACCTGTACCCTACTATCTGATAAAGAACTTATCTACCAGGTAAAAATGTTACTCAGCTCAAATGTTTAGAAATGAAACTTTCTTTTTTTTCAAAATTGAACTCAACCATCAATTTTAGCTGACAGTTTAAACCATGATCTCTGTGCTTTAAAGTGACTTAGCCACTTCTGGTTTAAAACTTTGGTTCAAAGTTAATCTTTTTGAACCAGAACTGAGTTTTCCATTTGCTTTTTCCTCTTTGTTTTTTCTTGTCCTTCCCCCCACACCCAGTTAGTGGCTTCTGGGAAGAGGTAAGTGGATATAGTACCATGGTGGTAGAGAGACCATCTAGAAATGCCTAGGAAATTAATTCACTTATCTCCTGGTATAGGAACATACATTTTGAAATGTTAATTTATGGTGTTTTAAATTGTATTTTTTTCTCCTCCAGGTTTAAGGAGGTAGTCTGTAGGTGACAAGATATAGAACTTTTATCATGGATAACTCTAGAGACAGACTGCCTGGGCTCAAATCCTTGTTCTGCCATTGCCCAGCTATGCAACCTTGGTTAAGTTACTTAGCCTCTTTGTGCCTCACTTTCCTTGTCTGTAAAGTGGAATAACAATAGCACCTACCTAAAAAAGTTTTGTGAGAATTAAACGAGCTAACAATGTAAAGTGTTTAGAACGTGCTTAGGACATAGAAGAACTACATAAATTTTCAATTACATTAATTCCTTGCTTTACAGGATGGACTACAGAAGCTACTTTGAAATCAGAGACTTTCTCTGTCTTTTGTAAAAGCCTAAACCTATCAGATTTTCTAGGTGTCCTAGAACAGGAGGGGAAAAGGAGGAGGAAAGCGCCTTAGAGTGAGGCAGAGTGAAGACATTCCCAGGGATAGGTTGGGGGCTATCCTGGTGAGGTCCTGCAGAGGAGGCTAGTCTTAGAGGAAATGGTGGTGTGAAGGTCTCAGGAGATAGGACTCAGGGCACAGTGACCACTAGACCTGAAAGGACTATATCAGGCAGCACAAGGGACATCCTAGCAGGTACTGGGTGGACTCATTATCCAGGATCAGGGGAGTATCTGTAATGTTGGCACAATTCTTGGCAGAAGCCTCTTGTAACAGTGGAAATTGACTCCCCACCCTTCTTCCTTTGGTGGGCTAGGGACTGGGAATGAGATACAAATGGGTTTAAGAAAGTGAAAACTTAGGCCACTTCTTTCTTGCACATGTGAATGAGTGGGCACAGTCCATTTCAGGTCAGAGCAGGGAATGGAGGAGCACACAAATGTCTGGAAGACTCTTTGTTTTTAATTAAAGAAAACTGCTCTTTCCCCTTCCTCCCTTCTTATCCCCTAGGAGAAATAGAAGCTGAGTCCTTGGCCTCTGAGTTTAACCAGGACCTCCCCAGAGCAGCAGTCAGGCAGGAAGATTTAGCCCCATTTCCCTCCACTTCCCTCAGACCTCTCCCCGGGACTGCCTGCCCTTCTGTGTTTCACTTCCTGTCCTCCTCTTAAGTGCTCCCCTGTGCAGCTGCTCCACAGCTGGTGGCTCTCCGGTCACCTCCCCCCACCACTTCCCTGTTGAAGGGGGCCTGGGGAGAGTCAGAAGGTGCTACATCAATGTAAGACATTTCCTCCCTGCCCCTCAGCTGTGCCGCTCAGCTGTGTGTCCTCTGGCACCCACAAAATCAAACACCTGCCTTCCAGATGTTTGCACCTATAGGCCGGCAAAGCTGACTGCAGCAAGTCCTTCAGAAGGGAGACAGGTATTTAGTTGGGGGCAATGTTAAATGGAATTTTTGGCCTGAGAAAGACATGGAGGGAGGGGGTTGTCATTTCCACTTCTCTACCTTTAGGAAACATGAAGCTAAACAACTGAATTCTTTATGCTTTAAAGACATCAAATGGAAGAGTCCACAACTTCCCTTGGGCTCACTGTCAGTGGTTTCTCTTTATGACCAACCATATTTCTTTCTAATTTTAAGGGAAGTAGTATAATACCATGCAGAGCTTATACATAATCATTATGCTTCCTTTTCCCCAGTGTGAGTATTCAGAGGTAAGGAAGTATGGTGGTATGGAATGAGCACTGTCTTTGGGGTCACACAAGCCTGTGTTGAAATCCAGTTCTAGCCCCATACAGCTATGACCTGCCTTAACCTTTATGTCTCAATTTCATCCTCTTTAAAATTTGGAGAGTAGCACCTATGGAGAAGAGTTTTGCAGACTAAATAGATAGTGTATATGCATACTTAGCACTGTTGCTGGGCTCAGAGTAAGCCCCCAGTAAGTCATAGTTATTGTTGTTATTATCATGGATAACCTGTTTCTTAATTCAGACAAAAAAAAAAAGATGTCCACCATTAAGTACCATCTGCCCATCTATGCTGAGTGCTTGTTAAGCTAAGTGTTGCACAAAACAAGGTAACCCATGGATACCTTTTCTTTAGTTCAGGGTGTTTAAAGGTATGCCATGTTTCACTTGCATCAGGTCATTCTGATTCAGAATCTATTGGCTGGCAGAGAATCAGTATTTTGTCAAATACCCCTCAAAAGTCTTTTTTTTTTTTTCTTTTTTGAGACAGAGTCTTGCTGTGTCGGACAGGCTGGAGTGAAGTGGCACCATCTTGGCTCACTGCAACCTCCACCTCCTGGGCTCAAGCAGTTCTCCTGCCTCAGCCTCCTGAGTAGCTGGGATTATAGGCGTGTGCCCTAAAGAAGGCCCTAACCCCAGCCCCAGTGTTAAGCTTGCCAATGGGGCAAGACTTTTCTTTATATGTCACAAAAAAACCCAGTAATAGTTCTAGGAGTCCTTACAAAGGTCTGAGGGACGAGCTTGCAACCTATGGCATACCAGAGTAAAAAATTGATGTAGTGGCAAAGGGTTGGCCTCATTGTTTATGGGTAGTGGCAGCAGTAGCAGTCTTAGTATCTGAAGCAATTAAAATGATACAGGGAAGAGATCTTACTGTGTGAACATCTCATGATGAGAACGGCATACTCACTGCTAAAGGAGACTTGTGGCTGTCAGACGACCGTTTACTTAAAAATATCAGTCTCTATTACTTGAAGGGCCAGTGCTGCGACTGCGCACTTGTGCAACTCTTAACCCAGACACATTTCTTCCAGACAATGAAGAAAAGATAGAACATAACTGTCAACAAGTAATTGCTCAAACGTATGCCACTTGAGGGGACCTTCTAGAGCTTCCCTTGACTGATCCTGACCTCAGCTTGTATACTGATGGAAGTTCCTTTGTAGAAAAAGGACTTTGAAAAGCGGGGTATGCAGTGGTCAGTGATAATGGAATACTTGAAAGTAATCCCCTCACTCCAAGAACTAGCGCTTAGCTGGCAAAACTAATAGCCGTCACTCAGGCACTAAAATTAGGAAAAGGAAAAAGGGTAAATATATATACAGACTCTAAGTATGCTTACCTAGTCTTCCATGCCCATGCAACAATATGGAGAGAAAGGGAATTCCTAACATCCGAGGGAACACCTATCAAACATCAGGAAGCCATTAGGAGATTATTATTGGTGGTACAAAAACCTAAAGAAGTGGCAGTCTTACACTGCTGGGGTCATCAGAAAGGAGAGAAAAGGGAAATAAAAGAAAACCGCCAAGTGGTTATTAAAGCAAAAAGAGCTGCAAGCAGGACCCTCCATTAGAAATGCTTATAGAAGGACCCCTAGTATGGGGTAATCCCCTCCAGGAAGCCAAGCCCCAGTACTCAGCATAAGAAATAGAATGGAGAACCTTACGAGGACATAGTTTCCTTCCCTCAGGATGGCTAGCCACCAAAGAAGGAAAAGTACTTTTGCCTGCAGCTAACCAATGGAAATTACTTAAAACCCTTCACCAAACCTTTCACTTAGGCATTGATAGCACCCATCAGATGGTCAAAGTATTATTTACTGGACCAGGCCTTTTCAAAACTATCAAGCAGATAGACAGGGCCTATGAAGTATGCCAAAGAACTAATCCCCTACACTACAGGCCATACATTTCAATCCCTGTATCTTTAACCTCCTTGTTAAGTTTGTCTCTTCCAGAATCAAAGCTATAAAACTACAAATTGTTCCTCAAATGGAACCCCAGATGCATTCCATGACTAAGATCTACCGCAGACCCCTGGATCAGCCTGCTAGCCCATGCTCTGATGTTAACGACATTGGAGCCACCCCTCCTGAGGATATCTCAATTGCACGACCCCTACTATGCCCCAATTCAGCAGGAAGCAGTTAGAGTGGTCATCGGCCAAACTCCCTAACAGCGCTTGGATTTTCCTGTTGAGAGGAGGCACTGAGAGACAGGACTAGCTGGATTTCCTAGGCTGACTAAGAATCCCTAAGCCTAGCTGGGAAGGTGACCACATCCACCTTTAAACACGGGGCTTGCAACTTAGCTCACACCTGACCAATCAGGTGGTAAAGAGAGCTCACTAAAATGCTAATTAGGCAAAAACAGGAGGTAAGGAAATAGCCGATCATCTATTGCCTGAGAGAACAGCTGCAGGGACAATGATCGGGATATAAACCCAAGCATTCGAGCCAGCAATGGCAACCCTCTTTGGGTCCCCTCCCTTTGTATGGGAGCTCTGTTTTCACTCCATAAAATCTTGCAACTGCAAAAAACAAAATAAAAAATAAAAAAAAAAGGTGCCAGAAAGGGAACCAGAAAGTATGTGGGAGATTATAGACAGAGAGGCATTTAGGAAGAGGACCCTTTAAAGTGGCTTATGAACTCCTGGGCTACACCCCCATGAACTGTGCATGAGTGAACTTGGCTAAAATATTATATATAGACTTTGAGAACTGAACTATGGGCTATACCACATACCTAAGTACTAAACTGGCTACTGGGTGGTATACATGTGAGACAGGCCCAAACATCACTGCAGAGGTTTTGAAAATTGAGCTGATAATAGAACCACAACCCTCATAAAGCTAGTTTAAACATGTGGACTGAAACCAACTGGGCTACTTACTTATTAAAATAAAAACATAGAATAAGCAATGAGGACTTAAATACAACCAGAGTGTTTTAAAATAATACTGAAAATGTCCAGGGTACAGTCCAAAATTACATAGCATACATAGAATGAACAAAATCTCAAGCCATCCAGAAAAAGACAATTAATGGAATTCAATATCTAGCTAACATGACAAAAAATTTAAAGCAGCTCTTATAAAAATGCTTCACCCAATAAGGGAGAGCAGTCTTGGAATTAATGACAAGATAGAAATTATCAGCAAAAAATTAGAAAAGATAGAAAAAATACAACTCTCTCTCCCTCCAAAAAAACTAAGAAATGGAAATTTAGGGAAAAAACTAACACAAAAACAAAATCAAAACATTGCTAGATGGCCTTAATAGCAGAATAGAGACAACAGGAGAGAGAGTTAGAACGTGAAAATAGGTCAATAGAAGTAATCTAATCTGAACAGCAGAGAGAAAAAGATTAAAAAAAGAGAACAGACTTCAGGGACCTGTGGGTAATCAGAGCACCAGAGGAAATGAGAGAATACGAGGCTAAAAAACAAAACCAAACCAAACAAAATTGCCTGAAAACTTTCCCAATTTGGTGAAAGACAGAAACCTACAGATTTAAGAAGCTCAGTGAATGTCAAACCAGATAAACTAGATAATCCACACCCAGATATATTATAATCACACTGCTGAAAACTGAAGACAGAAATTTTTTGAAAACAGCCAGAGATATATTACCTATTGGAAACAGTCATTCTTATGAATGTGGATTTCTCAGATTTCTCATCAGAAACCACGGAGCCAGAAGAAATAGAAACAACATTATTCAAGTGCTGAAAGAAAAGAACTGTATATCTAGAATTCTATATCCAGTGGCAATATTCTGTAGGAACGAAGGTGAAAAAAAAATTCTCAGATGAAGGAAATAATAAGGAATTTGTTAGCAGTAGACCTGCTCTAAGAGAATGGCTAAAGCGAAGTCTTCAGACAGAAAGAAAATGATACTGGAAGGAAAACTGAAACATCAGGAGTGAAGAAAGAAATAGAAATAATACATATTTGGGTAAATGTAATAGACTATTCTTTTCCTATGAAGTTCTTTAGAATATATTTGATGGTTAAAAACAAAAGTAACATTGTCTGGGTTTTCAGTGTATGTAGACATAATACACAAGATAACCATGACATATATGGGGGAGGGTAAAGGGGCCTATATGGTGACAAGGTTTCTACCTTTCACTTGAAGTGGTAAAATATTGAATTAAAGTAGACTGAAAAAGTTAAGTGTATATATATATGTGGTAATTCCAAGAGCAACCAGTAAAGAAACAAACAAACACACAAACAAAAAAACTATACAAAGAGATATAGTCAGAAATGCAATAGATACAATAAAATGGAATATTTTTTAAATGTTCAAATAGGCCCGAAGAAGGCAGGAGGGGAGAGGGGAAATAGAGGAACAACAACAAAAACAACAACAACAAAACAGAGAAAATAAATAGAAAACAAAGAATAAAATGGCAAATCTAAATCCAAGCATATCAATAATTGCATTATAAAAATTCAATTCAAATGAAATACATATACAAGGAGTGTATAGGAGTAAAAGAATGAAAGATTACTTACTAGACATTATGCAAAGGAATGCTGGACTGGCTACATTCATATGAGACAAAGTAGAATCCACAGCCAAAAAAATTAGGAATAGAGAGGGATATTGTATATTACATAATGATAAAAGAATCAGTTCACAAAGAAAACATTAATCTAAATAGTTTGCCTTTAAGAACAGAGCTCCAAAATACATAAAGGAAAATCTGACACAACTGAAAGAAGAAATAGACAAATCCACAATTATGGTTGGAGACTTAAAAGTCTTTCTCAGTAATTGATAGCACCAGTAGACAGAAAATCAGCCAGGATATAGAAGAATTGAACAATGCTGTCAACCAACTGGATATATTGCTATTTAAAGAACACTTCACTCAGTAATAGTGGAATGCACATTCTTTTCAAATACTCATGGAACGTTCACCAAGACGGATCATATCTTGGGTCATAAAACAAACCTTAACAGATTGAAAAGAATTGAAATTATACAAAGTATGTTATCTGACCATAATGGAATTAAACTAGATAGTAGAAAGATTTCCGAAATACAGAAGAAAAAAGAAAACCGTTGTGACTTTGGGTTATGAGAAGATTTCTTAGATACAATACCAAAGCATGTTCCATAAAAGAACAAATGGATAATGAGACTTCATAAAAATTTAAAGTCTCTGTTTTTTGAGAGACACAATTGAGTAAATGAAAAGTCAAGCCACAGGCTAGAAAAAAAATATTTGCAAACCACTTATCCAATAAAGGACTTGTGTACAGAATATATAAAGAACTCTAAAAAATCAATAGTAGTATAGTTAAAATGCACAAACACTTTTAGAAGACACTTAACCAAAGAAGATAAACAGGTGGAAAATAAGCTCACGAAAAGATGCTCAGCATTATTAGTAATTAGGGGAATGCAAATTAACACCACACTAGATATCACTATACTCCTATTAGAATGGCTAACATTAGTGAAAGCTGACCCAGGTAGGGCTTCGCGTGGGCCCTGGCGGAAAGTGTGCAGGGAGGTTGCAGGGGAATATGGTGTGGGTGTGATCAGGTCATGGTAGACCTGAGATTCTAGTTCTCACATCCTCTGAGCTGTTCCATGGTTTTGCTGGAGGTGGGCCACACTCCGATCTATGAAATCTTGAATTTTCCTCGAGTGTGAAAGAGCCCAATTTTGAGATTCCCACTTTCTTCTTTTAGACGTTCCCTAGACTCCTGAGAAGGAGAAGACACAAGGCCCTGGCACTCTTGCTTCAGAAGACGAAGGGTTTGCTTTAGGACATGACCCAAGTGACATGAGGGAAGTTGGAAGTTCTCAAAAAGAGGATGCTCAATCTGAAAAAATATGAGGCTTTGAATTTTCTTCTCCCTTCTCTGGGGACAAAAACTTGGCCACACCTCATAACTCTTATGGCCTCAGCCTTTCCTCCTTTCCTTTTTAGCCCAGCCTCCCCTGCATCTGATCTGCCTCCTAAAGGCATCCATTCCTAGTTTGGATGTCTAGACCCATGCCTACCCCTTACTCCCAATTCTGGAGGCTTATGTATAGATTCCAAATCTTGATGGTGGTTAGAATTTGGAATTTGGGGATTTTTTTTTCTGCTTTGATTTATCTTTATATGCATCCAGTATCTCTGAGTGCAATTCCAAGTATCTTTGAATACTTACTAATTACTATCTAAGGTGGTCTATAGGGCATCATGAGGAAAAGCTTCATACAGAGTTCAAAGCCTGAAGCCATGAAGGAAAGAGTCCAGAGTGTCTACACAGTACATTTACTCATTCAATAAACGTTATGGAGTACTATCATACTTCTGGCCTTGTTGAAGTTTAGCAATAAACTATAAAGGAGGTTCCATTCTAGCCAGAGAAGAAAGACAATAAACAAATCAATAACTAGATAATATGTCAAATGATAAAAATGAAGAAAACTAGAGCAGGGTATGGGAGACAGAGTGACAGGAGCAAGAGGATGGGGTGGGGGTCAGGAGATGTATCTGTGATTAGGTGACATGTGGCCAGAGAACTGAAGAAAGTGAGAGACAGACTGGACAGAAATCAAGGCAATGAGAGTTACAGGGAAATGGAAAAGGATGTGGAAAGACCAGACCTTGAGGCAGGGTCCTGCCTGGACTGCTTGTGTCTCTACAAGGAGCTGAGTATGACAGGATAGCAAGCTCCAAGAAGGCAAGGAACTTACCTTAGAGGGTTCAAAGAGAGACTCTAATGAAGGCACCACCTCAGAAAGTGAGGGCAGGGTGTCAGTGGAACAAAGAAGGAGTGTTGAGACACTCAGAGAGGGGCAGCAGGACGCTGTCACCTTTCCCAGGGCTGAGGGGGCAAGGACTCTGGGAAAGGGCCATGGGCATCCTGTGAGAGCTGAGTCAGGAAAGAGGGACTTCTTGGTGAGAACTGCAGCAAGGGAGGGGTGCCACCATTGCTAGAACCAGGCCGGGGAGCACAGCCGGCTCTTTCTCTTCTCCTACCAGTGCCTTTCAGCTGGCTGAACCCAACCATAGCCCAGCTAGAAATGCCATCCTTAAAGACCGGAGCACAGGGCTGGGCAGAAGGGCAGAGAATGAATCTGGGAGATGGGATGAGAGTGATCAGGGATTGCCTAGCACTGAGAACAAGAGGAAGAATGGCTACTTGGTATAAAGAGAAATAACCAGTAACTTTTAGTTTAGAGGCATTGATTCAGACTGCCAAGCCAGATCACGAAGCTGAAAGTCAATCCTCTTAGGTGTTTCTGTGAACAATCTGGGCAGGTAGCCTCTGCAGAGAAGGCTGAGTGGTCTGGTCTGTGAAGGTGAGGTGACTATTTGTATGGTCAACAGAACCAGGCTCCTGTCCCTCCTGTGCTTCCCATCTGGCTATGGAAACTGAGTTGCAGCATTGGGTTCCGTCCATCTTCCCCCAGTTCTCATTTTCCCACTTAAGAATTACGCATAGTTTTCTCATATGCCTAAGTTGCTTTCCTACAAGGCTCTTTGAGAAGAATGTAGTTCAGTTCAGTTCCAAGAGATAGCTTGGGATTTATTCTTAAATTTAGACAAGCTTGATCGTGAGGACGGGAGCTCTTAAAAAATGAGATTTTAGAGACAATGGGCAGTTCTACTCCAAGGCAGAAGCATGGAAGAGCTGCCTTGCAGAAGTCCTCACCCACCCAGAGAGTTGGTGACTCCCTGAGCAGTCTAATTCCCAGCCCAGATTTTGCCTGACATTTCCTCCAAATATAGCATCTCCCCAAAAGGTAGTGCTGCAGATGAAGGAGAGGCTTCCTTGGCAGCTGTCTCAGGTTCTCTGGAGAGACACTCTGGCAGGTCTCCAGGGATCCTGTGACTCCGGAGCTCATCCTGGGAGAGCCAGCTCAGCTTGCCGATCTCACAGCCCAACTCCCTCCAGGTCTGGTGCCCAATGGGCTGGAATGGTCATGGAGGGAAGGGAGTCTCTGTGGTTCGTGAGGTTTGCACTGTTTGGTTGCAGGGGAATGAGTAAAGTGATGTCAGGAATGAGAAAAAGGAAAAAGATGGGATGGCGCACTCTTCAAGACTTCTCCATCCTCAAGAAGGAAAGCAAACAGGTGGCCTCCTTGTGAGGGAAACTAGATCATGGTGCTCATAGATAGCTAATTGAGAATTTTGGGGTTCTGTGTAGGCAGTTTGGCTGTCAACATAGTAATACCCATGGAAACGGCTAACCCTCTTTTACCTTTTAAACATTTATAAAATTGAAAAATAAAATTGGTTTAACCCTTTCAGTGTTAGTTCCATTTGGAAAATCTCTTTGTAATAATCCCATGGGAATGGTTTAGAATATTCTGAAACAAATTATCTGCTGGGGTTTGGTGAGTTGAGCTGGTGGTGTGTGTCAAGAGCGGGTAGAAAGATCCCCTCTTTATTCTTGCAACTTTCTACAAGAGAGGAAGGATGTATATGGGGGTGAGAAACTGATGGCAGGTCTGTAAAAAAATCCCACATTCAGCCATGGGTTTCTTAAATGATGGTTTAGGTTTCTCAAAATAAATTTTAGAACCACCAAATGAAGACAGTGAGTTCTGAGTCCATTTATTTATTCCTGAACAAGAAATTTCTATGTCACTTTATCCAGTACCAGCTTTGCAATCTTCAGTGGAAACCTCTAAATTTCAGATGCCTTATCTGTAAAGTAGACCTAATAGTATTACCACACTGGGTGGTTATGAGGAATAAATGAGAAATGGCAACATAGGGTCCTTAATAAGTGTTTATAAAACAATAAGATGTGGGAATTGGGTCCTGTGCCAGAATCTCTCTGGGGAGATGGGCATGGGAAAATGTAAGGGAGGAAATAAGCAAGCTTTTTGGAACAAGCTCACACTCCTAATTTTTTTTCTTTCAAAACAGTGAATTAGAGGTCAAGGCTAAAGTGAAAGGGGATAGAAATAACTAGAAAGATGGATGAAAGATCTGCTACAGAAAACCAGGCACCACATTCATTGCAGCAAGGGAGGAAGAGTGACAATCAAGTTAGCTGTGGCTTTTACACCTCCAAAAACACTGTGACCAAGAGGATTTTTATTTCAAATGAACCATTTTGCTTAAAGACTTTTCTTTCATGAACAATTGTGGAGAAGTTGCCCAGATTTTCCCAAATGTGATATGATAATAAGGGGTATATACCAATACCCACAGTAAATCCTGTGTTAGGAAACTGCTAGTAAGAAACAAGAGAGGCAGCTCATAAGAGTCTCAATGGAGTTTTCTATTTTTAAATTTTTTTGGACTAAAGTTTTACTACTTAAAATTTTTTACTTTAAAATTTTCCAAACATATGTTGAAGTAGAAAGAATAGTTCAGGCAGGGTGCAGTGGCTCACACCTGTAATCCCAACATTTTGGGATGCCAAGGTGGGAAGATCACAAGGTCAGGAGTTTGAGACCAGCCTGGCCAACATGGTGAAACACCATCTCTACTAAAAATACAAAAATTAGCTGGGCGTGGTGGCAGGCACCTGTAATCCCAGCTACTCGGGAGGCTGAGGCAGGAGAATCGTTTGAACCCTGGAGGCGAAGGTAGCAGTAAGCCAAGATCATGCCATTGCACTCCAGCCTGGGCAACAGGGTGAGATTCCATCTCAAGAAAAAAGAAAAAAAAGAAAGAATAGTTCAATGAGCTTTCATATACCTAGTTTCCATAGTTACCAATTCATAGCCACTGTTGTATCTTGTATGTCACTTCTTCTCCCTCCCCATATTAACTGAATCAACCTCAGACATCATATCATTTCAGCCATAAATATTTCATATGTAACTAAAAACATTTAAGGACTCCTCAGAAAGCCCTCAATACTATTATTATATAAAAACTAAAATTAAGTTCTTCATATCGTCAAATATTCAGTGTTCAGATCTTCAATTGTCTCATGAATACATTTTCTTTATTTTAATCAGAGCCCAATTAAGTTTACACGTTGAAATTGATTGTGCATAGAGCTTTTATCCCTAACTTTAAAATGTGAAACAATTATATGCTCATAAAAACTTGCAATAATAGCACAGAGAGGTCCTGTGAACCCTTCACCCTTCTTCGTCTAATGGTGACATCATATGTGATCAAAACCAAGAAATTGATATTGACATAATATAATTAATTAGACTACAGAACTTATTCCAATTTTACCAGTTTTTACATGCACTCATTTTTCTTGTATGTCTTTGTGTATAATTCTATGATGTTCTATCCTCTTATAGCTCATATAACCACTGTCCCAGACAAGATACAGGACTACTGTCACCTCGAAGGAATTCTCTCATGCTAGTCACACCCTTCACTATCACATCCTCCCTTCTGTTCCATAACTCCTGGAAACCACTGATCTGTTATGCATCTCTACAATTTTGTTTTTTGAAAATGTTGTATAAGTGGAATCATAAAATATATAGCCTTTAATTTCTCTGTATTTTAGTTGATTTTTAAATTTTTTTTTCATGTGAACAAAATTATATAAATAACCATCTTAGAAAATAAAATGTCTACCTACCAACTTTAAACAAATGGACATTCACTCAACACATTTATTGGGGAACCATGATGTGCTTGTAACTCAGCAGTAGACAAAAATGAATTGTTTCCTTGCAACAGTGGCTGTGTCATGTGTGTTGTTTGGTAAGGTTTTCAGAGCAGTGTCTACAGGTTAGAAAACCATTAATTCTTTCAGGAAGGGGATTTTAGGTTTGGCCTGGGCTTTAGTTTTTGCTCCTTTCTCTTCCCCTGTCTGGGATCCCTAACTCCACCCACAGGATTAGCCTGTCTTAGTTCATTCAGGCCCCTCCAATAAAATACCATAAACTGGGTGGCTTATAAACAATAGAATTTTATTCCTCACAGTTCTGGAGGCTGGAAAGTCCAAGATCAAGGCACCAGAAGATTCAGTGTCCGGTGAGGACCTGCTTTTGAGTTCACAGACGACGTCTACTTGCTGTGTCCTCACAGGTGGAAGGGACTAGCTAGCTCTATGGTGCCTCTTTTATAAGGGCACGATTCCATTCATGAGGGCTCTGCTGTTATGATCTAATCACCACCAAAGCCCCCACCTCCTAATACAATCACCTTGGGGGTTAGGATTTTAACCTATGAATTTGGGGGGAAGATAAGCATTTAGTCTATTGCAAGCCTATCCCAGGCTTTAGAACCAATCCCCAGCTGAAACAGAAGATTTCAATCTAGCCTACAAGCCTGGAATTCAGAAGACTGTCCCTTGTTCTGTCTACCTCACTTGGATTTTGTGCCCTAGTTCTGATAACAGATTTTGTCTTCGGTGTAAGCCAGTACTCATGCTGAACTCCATTCTTGATAGGCAGGTTTCTAGTGTCTGGTCACAGTTTAGCTATTTTTTGTGTGTCCAAGTATCTCTAGGGTTGTGCTTGTGCTGTTCTTTAACAGTCTAGAGTCCTGATTCTATCCCCAGCCTTGAGGGATGCTGAGAGCATACTGGTTCCAGCAAGCCTGCCTACTAGCCTGCCTGCCTCAATCTTGCCTGCTCCTGAATTCCTGGTCTCCATTGCCTAGCCTGCTGATTGGTGCTCAGCCTTCATTCTTCATGCCTCCCTGAACTATCACCTCTTTTCTGGTGCTGTGTCCATTGCAGACCAAATTCTTCCTGCCAAATTGGACTTAATTCACACACAGTTCTGGCTGGCCCTTTCCTTATCCATGGAAGAGTCTAGTTTCCAGTTTTTGGTCCTCTGGTCTGCTTTGTACCACATGACTAGGTCATAGGTAATTATGTCCCAAGATATGACATGGCTATTTTATGCATTATAAATGTTTGTTTATGAGCTGAACCCACAACAGAAGGGAACCAGGTTGGATCAATTCCCTTCGACTAAGAGTTGTATGATGCAGAAAAAGAGGCAAGAATATGGATTGGTGGAATGGAAACTGTTTGGGGGCAGGGGTTAGAAGACCCAGGTTCCATTTGGCATTCTGTCATCAGCTAGCTGGTGACTTTGAAAGGACACATCCTCCCTGGAGTTTCAGTGTACTTATCTGTTGAATAAGGGAACTGGCCTCAAGATAATCCCTAATTTCTCATCCATTGTTGGTACCCTAAGGTTTTATGACCTAAACTTCAACCTCCTGGATATTGCTAGACCTCCCTCTATCACCTTAGGTCAGGGTGGTATTATTTTCTACTGGACTACTAAGGCCTTACATTCTCCCCACTGCAGCTAGAATTGTTGAAAACACAAATCTGAGCATGTCGCTCCCACTTAAAACCTTTCAATGCCCAGACCTCACCCCTGCCATGACCTTAGGGTGCAATTTAAATGTCTAACATGACCTTCCATGCTCTGCATGACATGGCCCCTATCTATCTTCCTTGCCTCATCTTAGGCCCCTCCAAACTTCACAATCTGTGTTTCAGCCATTCTAAAATTGTTTTAGTTCCTGATAGACTCTGCTTGCCTATTGTAATTCATTGTTTTAAACTCCTATCTTCCCCAAAGGACAGGATGTCTTGTGCTCACTGCCATATTTCCCATGTTTATCATAGCACATGTCACAATTAGTATTTGACGTGGTTTGGCTGTGTCCCCAACCAAATCTCATCTTGAATTGTAGTCCCCATAATCCCCACATGTTGTGGGAGGAACCCGGTGGGAGGTAATTAAATTATGGGGGCAGTTACCCTCATGTTGTTCTCATGATAGTGAGTGAGATCTCATGAGATCTGAGGGTTTATAAGGGGTTTTTCCCCCTTTGCTCAGCACTTCTCCTTTCTGCCACCTTGTAAGGAAGGTGACTTGCTTCCTCTTCACATTCCACCATGATTGTAAGTTTACTGAAGCTTCCCCAGCCATGCTGAACTGTGAGTCAATTAAACCTCTTTCCTTTATAAATTACCCAGTCTCAGTAATTTCCTTTATAAATTACCCAGTCTCAGCATTGTGAGAACAGACTAATATAGAATTTACTTAAGGAGTGAATGAGTTGCATTAATCATGGCCATCATTAATTTATTTCTTATTAATTAATTCATCCCCCCTCAACAAAGGAATGGTAGTTTTATTAGAAAGAAACATAAACCTAACTCTACTAGTTTAAAGTTTTTAAAAATGAGGGCATATCTGGAGGGTATCAAAGTCTATGGTTGGGAGGGGTTTCAGCCACATCTAGATCCGGGGATTGAAGCAAAGTTGTCATCTCTCCTTTCATTTTATGCATTTCTTAATGCCACTTCTCTTCTTGCATTGATTGACCTTTATTCTCTCTTGCAAGAGAAAGGTTTCTCCTCCTTCAATTCTTCCAGGATTCACATCCCTCTTATTCCATTCCTCCAAAGGTAAAGAACTCTTCCAGCTTCAAATGACAAGTAGATTGTCATTTGAAGCTGGAAGAGTAGATTTCATTTGACTTACTTAAGTCACATATCCACAACTGGAACCATCACTTTGGCCAGAGAGATGTCCTTTGATTGACAGTGTCCAAGCCATTACCCACACCTGGGGCCAGGAGGAAGGTAGGTAAGACAGAGTTAGCACAGCCTAGGGTTAGGAGCACAAACTTGAACCTAGATCACCTGGGTTCAAATCCCAGCTCTACCTCTTACTAAGTGATCTTTAGCAAGTTATTAAATTTTTCTGTGTTTGTTTCCTCATCTGTAAAATGGAAATAACAATAGTACCTCACAGAATTATTATAAGGATTTAAAGAGTTAATATTTGTAAAGCACATGAAATAATTCTGGGTACATGGTAAGTACCCAGAAGGTACTTGGTACTGGGTATATGGTAATACCCAGAATTATTAGTGGAATAAAAATCAACAACCAAATAATACAATTGAGTTGCATCTTCTAAATAAATAACCACTTTATTTATATTTGTTAAGCATCTACTAGGCACAAGACACTGTTCCTAGTGACTGTAATATACCAGAGGAAAAGACAGACACAATTTCCTCCTTTATTACATTCCAAAGTGCTATATAGAGAGACAGAAGGGATAGACTGTATCTTTGAAGAGTCCGCCTTATAAAAATGTAAGTTAGATGTTATAGGACTAAAGACATTTGCAGTTTTTTCTCTAAGAACCTAGTCTAATTAACAAGAAGCTACTTCCTAACCAGGTGATAAATTGTTGCCAGCCAGAAGTGGGGAGCATTCTCAGGATACACAGTGGAGCTGGGCTCATGGAAGCCCAGCCTCTAGCAGTGGGGAGAATCCAACTCTAGGAGCCTAGGCTACTCCATGAAGGCTACTCCATTAGCAAAGTCCCCTGCTCCCTAATCTCACCAGGGCCAGTGTTGGGTGGGTTGGGGTGGAGTATCAGGAGACTGTGGGTTTACTAGCTAGAACTGGAAATCAAAGGACAATCTTTCATTTGGGAGCCAAACTGAAAAGGCCTTTTAACTACCTATAAAAAATAGTATTTTTTAAAAATAACACCTGTATAAAGTAGAAATGCATGTTGAAATTTTTTATAACAGGACTAATTTTCAGTATTCTATCCTGAATACCTCTAAATTGTCAAGCTAGTGAAGAAATTGTTATCTTGTTAAATGTAACTGACTGCATGTTTTACTTAAGCATTATAATGAAAATATGTTACATCAAGTCCTTTGTCATTTCACATCTTAAGTTTGATTTTGGTGGGAGAAGATGGCCAAAGAACATACTATATAATGATACACTCGACATATCATCAAAATTGTTCATCAACAATGTTATTCCGTAGTCAGATTGGATTTTCTCTTCCAATCTCCCATTGTCTATGGGGCTAGGAGAATGATTTGTGGTTAACAGATGGAATTCACTAGATTTTATTTTCCAGTGAGGCAAGCAAGTATGTCTGCTTTGTTGCTTTCTGTATCCCCACCGTCTGATAATGATAACAGCTAATTTTTACTGAGTACATAGTATATGCTGGGTCCCTTGCTAAACACTTCATATGTGTTATTTTACTTAATCCCCTCCACAACTCTGTAAGGTATGTTCAATGTTTAATTCCACCATTTAGGTGAGGAGCCTGAGGCTTACATGGGTTGTTACCTACTCTAGATTGTGTACCTGGTAGGTGGTAGGGCCAGATTTGAACTCAGGAACTTTGAGTAGAGAGCTTGAGCTCAAGCTGCTATGCTAGAGAGCCTAGCGCAGAACTGGCAATTGTGCAGAGGTTCAGTATTTACTTAAATAAATTGGAGAGTGGAATGAAACTAAGTGGCTCATCCAGGGACTCAGGTCTTTAAATGGGGTGTCCAGGGTCCTGGACCCTGTTCTGCTGAACTAATCAGGACCCAGGCCCAGGCTCAGAAAGATGACCCCAGGTACCTATATTTGGCTGTGACAAGTGTAAGAAGCAGGGACCCTGTAGATGCCCTCACTGTCCCATAGGCCTGCAGAGAAGCACCTGTGTGTATCGGTAATCTGGGATGGGGGATTACTGATACCACCATATGCCCTATAGATGCCATCAAATTTATTCGAACATAGGCCCGGGGACAGAGGTAATGAAGGGATTCTTTGCCCTTAGAGGTTTGGGCATGGTTGAGGTACTGGGGCACACAGAAGAAATAAACTTGACACTAGTTCTTTCTCAGCAGAATGTAATAATTGTCTTGAACCAGCAGAGCATCTGCTTTGTATCTCTGCTATGTATTCATCCTCCTTTGCCTTTTATGCTACTATTTGGAGATACCTTGTTTTTCCTACTGGAGTGTGCTTTATGAAACCTGGAATGGTCTCTGGCTCATATTTGATGGCTAAAGAAATAAAATCAATTAATTAATGCATTATATGCATTTTAAAATAAACTGATTTTAATATTGTTTTAGATGTACAGAAGAAGTAGCCGATAGTACAGATAGTTCCTGTGTATCTCCCAGTTTCCTCTATTGTTGACAGCATACATAGTACTATGGTACATCTGTCAATCTGTCCCCACTAATGAATCAATATTGATACATTTTTATTAATTAAACTCCACACTTAATTGAGATTTTATCAGTTTTTTCCCTAGTGTCTTTTTTCTGTTCTAATCCCATCTGTGCCATATTACACTCAGTCATTATGTCTCCTTAGGCTCCCCTTGGATGTGCCAGTTTCTCAGCCTTTGTCCCTGCTTGGTTTCGATGACCTTGACAATACTAAGGAATAGTGGCTAGGAGTTTGGCTTTTGTTTTTGTCATGGTTAGACTAGAGTTATGGGTTTTTGAGAGGACTACAGAGAAGTGCCATTCTCAAAACGTGTAAAGAACGTGTGCTACCAACTTGACTTATCACAGATAATGTTGACCTTGCTCACCTCATCTGGCTCAGGTAGTGTTTTCCAGGCTTTTCCACTGAAAAGTTAGTTTTAAAATTTCCCCTTTTCCATGTTGTAATCTTTGTAAAACAAGTCACTTAGCACAGCCACACTTAAGGAGTGGGGAGTTATGTGCCACTATTTGAGGGGGGAGTATCTATTAATACATAAATTATTTGGCATTCTTCCGCGTGGGAGATTTATCTACTCTCTTCCATTTATTTATTTATTCAGTAATTCATTTGAATCGGTATAAATTCATCGATATTTATTTTATACTTTGGGCTATATAATCCAATACTATGCTATTTATTTTGTTGCTTACATTGTTCCACTTTGGGCTATTGGGAGTTCTGTTGGCTCCCTTGTTTTTTGTTGTTGTTGTTTGTTTTTGTTTGGACATTATCTCTACTGTTTTGTGTTTTGGGAACTTCCTTATTTTCTTGTATTACATGCTCCAAGCTTATCTTGTATTTGCCCTGCCCCATCCCCGGAATCAGCTATTTCTCCAAGGGGCCCTGGTTTCTTTTGTTGGATAATGGTATTAGAAATCAAGGTCTGGGTGCTGGGTGTGCTTTTTGCTCCTAGAGTGTCTTCTAGGCCTTTTCAGTGCTGCGAGCAAGGAAATATACATGTATATACTAGCTCATATATATAAACATATCTATGATTATTTTCATATATAGCCATCAATGTCTATATTAAGCAAAACTTAACTTCCCATTGATAATCTCTGACTCTAATCCAAGTACCATATGGTTCATTTTAGCTTTATCCCATTCCTTATCTGTAATGGGGAGAAACCTGGCTCCACCACCCTCCAACCATTTACTTACTTGTTCAATCTCAGTGTACACAATTTCAAAATTCTTAACCCATACTGCCATGAGAAACAAGTTTACCACCTAGAGTATAATACAGTGCTTATGTACATTTTTAGTATACATACTATATATTTTAATGTCAACAAGTTTTTTAATGTTTTATAATTTTTTAATTAAGAAAATGAATAGACAATAATTTTACATATTGATGGGATATATAGTGATATTGCAATACATATACAGTGATCACATCATGGTAATTAACATATCTATCATCTCAAACATTTATCATTTCTATGTTTTGGGAACATTCAATATCCTCCTTCTAGCTATTTAAAACTATATAATATATTATTGTTAACTATAATCATCCTACAGTGCCATAGAACACTAGAAATTATTCCTCCTATCTAGCTGTAATTTTCTGTCCTTTAGCAAATCTCTCTGTGTCCCTCCCTTCCCCCTCCCCTTCCTAGCCTATAGTATCTTCTGTTTTACTTTTTACTTACATGAGAACTTTGTTTTAGCTTCCACATATGAGTGACACCATGTAGTTTCTTTTCCTGGCTTATTTTTCTTCACTCAGTATCCTCCAGTTTTATCCATGTTGTTGTGAATGACAAGATTTTATCCTTTTTTTATGGCTGAATAGTACTCCATTGTGAATATATACCACATTTTCTTTATTCATCTGCTATTGGACACTTACTTTGATTCCATATCTTGGCTATTGTGAGTAGTGTTGCAGTAAGCATGCAGGTGTGGACATCTCTTTGTACATTGATTTCCTTTCCTTTGGATAAATACCCAGTAGTGGGATCATATACTACTCCTATTTTTAGTTTTTTTGAGGAGCCTTCATACTGTTCTTCATGGTGGCTGTACTAGTTTACATTCCCACCAAAAGTGTGTAAGAGTTCCCTTTTCTCCACATTCTCACCAAACCTACATTATTTTTTATCTTTTGGATAATAGCCATCCTAACTGCAATGAGATGGTACTTCATTGTGGTTTGATTTGCATTTTCCTGATGAGTAGTGATGTTGAGCATTTTAAAATATATTTATCAGCCATATATATTTAATTAGATTTTTTATTTGCTGTTGAGATGTTTAAGTTCCTTGTACAGTCCGGATATTAATCCCCTGTTGGATGAATAGCTTGCAAATATTTTGTCTCATCCTGTAGATTGTTTTTTCACTCTGTTGATTGTTTTCTTGGCTATGCAGAAGCTTTTTAGTTTGATATAATCCTACTTGTTTATTTTTGCTTTTGTTGCTTATGCATTTGAGCATAATATTGTTCTACCTTCTCTTGCATGTTCTGTGCTTGTTCCTATGTAATTGCTCTGAGTGGTCTTCCTTATTCACTGCTCATGGTACAAGTCACTCCCATTGATCGGTTTCCTTTTAGCAGCAGCAGGAAAATCGGCCCAACTTGGCCTCCACCCCTGACTTCCTTATTCATAAAATCTTTCCCAGACCAATGTCCTGAAGTATTCCCCCTATGTTTTCTTCTAGTAGTTTTATAGTTAGGTCTTTAATCCACCAAAAAGATTTTTTTCTCCCCTAAGAACTGTTTCACCCAATGTTAGACTTCTGATTGCTTTTTCTAAACAATAGTGTTTTAATGTGAATATACTTAATGACATAAATGATATACTTAAAAAATTAAAGTGGCAAATTTCATATTATCAATATTTTATCACAACAAAAAGTATTGTTTCATCTTCCTGCAGATATCCCAATGAATTCATTTCTAAACCTGGCTGATTATCAAAGTCAAAATCTTTGTAGTATGAACGAAGAATCTGTAGTTTTAACAGATTTTCCAGGGGATTGGCAGCCACTGACTATCCTAATGGAGTTTTTCTTTTAAGAAAATAAAATATGCAACTGGGAGATCCTGGGATCTGGGATCTGCAGCTGCATTTCAAGCATCATGGCAGGTGCAGTGGTCCTCTGGGACCCGCCAGCAGTGCTGATTGTCCCATCTGGATGATGAGGAGAAGTATGAGCTTCTCCCTAGGCTGGCCTGAGGACTCAACCACGCCTTGCTCCTCATCACCAGCCTAGCCCTTCTGCAGGCTTGCCTCAGCGGCTCCAGCTTTGAGCTGCCTGGACATCTCCAACAAAGGCTGTGCTGAGTTGCAAGTAAGTCAGCTCTCCCCCACCTTCGGCATGATCTAAGCATGTTGGAGTTGCCACATGAAAGAAAGCTGGTTGTTTCTCAGAAAAGATTGCCAATTGGATAACCAAGGATCATCCTCCCAGCCCATAATAAAACCTCCATTAAAAACTTCTATTACGTTACCCATCTGTGGAGCAGACTTGCCTTCAATCAAGGACTGCTGAAGGAGGTTCCAACATGGGTCTCCAGCCCCTTGCCTGCAGCTGTCTTCTCTGACACCTCTGAGTGCAGTAGCCTGCTTGGCAGTGAGCGGAGCTTTGATTCCAGAGCCTGACCTGGCCTGTGTAATTAGATGCTCCGGCTAGACCCTATCTCATGGCTGAGTCACCCAGAGGAGGGAACAGTTACTAGGTCCTGGGAAACCTTGAAACTGTCTGCCAATTCATTTCCTAGTGGTGAAAGTTTATGTCTACAAAGAAAACCATATGGAGACTCAGCAGCTATCTGAGTAATTTCAGGTTCTCTTCAAATCACTTTCACCTATGCAATCCAAATGTGAAGTAAGAGGACCTTATTTTTGCCTATATGAATTGGAGAATTACCTCTCCTCTATATGCTGCATTGTGCTTTTGAATGTGGGAGAGGTGAAGGAAAAACTATAAACAGCTGATACTTCACAGGTGTGAGAGGGCATTGTGATCTTACTTTCCAAAGGTCAAGATGGCTACCATAGTACATTTGGGAGAAAACTTGGGCTTGGCAGACAGGTTAGCCATTCACCTGGATCAAGGATCTTGGGAAAGTCATACATCCTTTTTGATTTTTTCTTTTTCTCAAAAAAATGGAGTTCAAAGGATTTGTGCAAAAAATTAAATGATAAAGTGACTATGAAAGCATTTTGTAAACTATGAGCTGTTAGGCCAACATGTTATAGAATTGGTTAGACTGGAAATTAGATAGTAGATAATATTGTTCTACCTTCTCTCACATGTTCTGTGCTTGTTCCTATGTAATTGCTCTGAGTGGTCTTCTTTATTCACTGCTCATGGTACAAGTCACTCCCACACCCTTCCTCTACCACAACCTTTAGAATTATATCTGTTTTTAGGACTAATCCCCTAGCTTCATCTCCTTCTTAATTCCATCTCATCAGCTACTTCTCCCCAGAACTCAGTTATACCCCACGCCACCCCAAGGAATCTGTCCTTTTACCAACCCCACTAGGATGTTCCTCTACCCTCTCCCTTGGAAAGCTCTGCCCCCTTGGCTTTCCCCTAGAACAACCCTACTCTTGTTTCAGAGCCCACATTCTCACCTTGAACATAACCATGACCATTTCAATCCTTAAAGAATCCCTCTCCTCTGGAATGCAACCCCTGTTCCATGCTGTTGTCTTCTACTGATCACATATTAGCATTATCTCTCCAACAGAACTATGTGGTCCAATTGCCTAGCACCACGCTAGATGTATAGCACTGCCCAATAAAAATGTGTTGTTTGGAATGCAATCACAAACCTATAGGGCTCTGACTTCTTCCACATGATTTGGCACAGGCTCTTTATCAAATGATTTTCCTATTCTGACAGGCAATTTTCCACCCTGCTGTAGACAGGGAAGTTCTTTGGTAGTCATCTCTAACTGCCTCCCCTGTGCCCTCCAGACCCTTAGCTCATCTCAGGCATACTTGAGGGGAGATGCTTTCTCCTCCTCCTCATTCTGCTTCTTGGCCTTCTACCTGCTATGTGTTCAGATGCCTGGGAGTTGTCTTGCACATGCAGTTTCTAGTATTTAGTGTAATTGGAAGAAGTCAGGGTATAATAGCTTGGATATCCTAGAAGAGTCTCTGAAATCCAGTGGTGGCTGGGCAGAAGGGTATGGGGATGTTGATTTATGAGTCATTCACTATGCAGAGTTCATCTACATAATATTTTATGTGGGTGCAATGTGTGAACTCCTGGGGAATAAAAGGGGGGCAGGCTATAGGAAGGCTCTGAACCAAGACCAATGCTCTCTCTCTTCTCTGACATGTGACATCTGGAATCTTCCTCTACACAGGAGAGTGGGGCCCTGTAGTCAGATTGATTATTTTCCAATAATATCTCTGCCGCTTAACAGCAGTGGGATTTGGGGATATTTACTTGATCTCTCTAAGCCTCAGTTTCTTTTGAATGATAATAGTATTTATCTTAAAGGTTAACTAATCTTAACTACATAGTGCACACAATAAATGCTCAGTAAATGTTAACTATAATTAGAATTACTGAATAACTTTTCTTACTCTATAAACAAGTCTGTGCCCTTAAAAGTATTTCCTTATCTCTGTTTCTGCCTAAGACTGTCCCTCATTTTTCCTCCTCCTCTCCATGACAACACTTTTGACAGTGTGAACCTCAATGACTTCATTTTCTTATCCCCAAATCCTTACCTTTATAACTGGGCTCCCATTTTTATCATTGATGAAGGCTTCATATTTTAACATATTTGATAACATTCCAGTCTCAAATTCATCAGAGGCCTTTCCTCAGGCCTCTCTCCACTTAGAGAATTGGGCATTGTTGAAGTTTTTCCTTTATTGATGTTCTCCCTTTCCTTGTCATTCTTCAACTTACATGACTCTTAATACTTCCCCTTTCTCATTCTTTGATTCTTTGTTGGCTTCTTCTCCTTTGACCGAATTCCTCCAGTCAGCTCTTGGAGCATCCCAGGGCACTGCTCTTAGCATTGTGCACTTCTTAATTCCTTCTCTTTCTGTGGGTATTTCACACCCAGCACCTGAAGCAAGGGTGACTGCACAGATAGACCCATGGTGCCCAACTCTATGCAGTATTGACTGCATGTTTAACAGGTTAATTAGTGTATATGTGTGTGTGTATGTTTGTGTGTGTGAAAGAGAGGCAGAGAGATAAAGAGACAGAGACAGACAGAGAGATACTCAGAGAGAGAAACACAATTTAGATGATGCAAGTGGTTCTGGCCACCATCCTACCCAGTGAACAGGTAATGGGAAATGGACTTCTAGTGTTATTCTTACAACAGGCCCCAAACACAAGACTACTACTTCTTTTGGTGCTCAGGTGGCCCCTCTATCTCTGCAGGAATCATAGGCCCTACTGAACTTATGGTGGAACAGGTTCTCTGTTTCAAATATGGCCCCTCTTGAAGAGACTTCCAGGGATCACTTTGACTCTGCTTAACATTGACCCTAGGCACTGCCTTTGGAGCCTAAGCCCAGGACGAGTCATGCTGCACCAATCAACATGGATTCCTGACTCTTCCTTGGTGAGTCTTTTCTTCTAGGCTCCAGACCCTTACACCAGCTGTGACATACTCAACTTGTCTAAAAATAATTTTATCTTCATGTTACTCTCCCAATCCTGTGCTTTCTGTGTCCTTTATTGGCACATTCTGAAAAACCTCAAAGTCATCTTTGGATCTTTTCAATCTCAATGCTTCCTTACTCTTTAGGACCCTGGGGATTTCTCTTCTGGACTTGGATAATAGTTTTCCAAGAAATCTCCTCCCCCAGTTCCTCCATGTCCTGGCTAGAAAGCTCTATCTAAAGAGAAGAACCAATTGTACTGCTCCCTTTCTCAAAAACATTTCTTGACTCTGCATGGTATACAGACTGGAGGCCCAAACCATCAATTTCATCTCTGAACGAAATGCCATTTTCCTGGTGCCAAAACTTTGCTCGTGCTGTTCACAGAGCTTGGAATACATTTTCCCCTCCTCAGAATATCAAATCCTTCTTAGCGGTCAGGACCCAATTCAGATGACGCCTTCTCTGTAAAACTTTCCTGATCACCTAGGTGCAGGATTAATGACTTCCACCTGGGTTCTTATTGTGTTTTGTTTATATTTCTGTTGTGACACTTAGCACAGTCTGGCTGGTGGTTACTATGTAAGACTTTGTCATCTCTACAAGGTGGAGAGCAGGGTTCCATGTCTCAGTGCCTTAGTTGTCTTTGAGTCCTTATCCTCCTCATTCACTCAGGGCTCAGCCCAGTAATGTACACACATATAATTTTCTACAAATGTTTGCTGTTGAAGTGCATTTGTGTTGGGTGTCATTGGACTGAAAGATTTTTGGGTGGCAGGTGTGGTTCTTTTAAAAAGAACTTCTAGATCCTCATCTGGTTCCAAGGCAGGCCAGGCTTTGAGAAAAAGAGATCCTATCTCTAGTTAACTGTGGTGTGTGCCACCCCTACATCAGGCTCATATTCCCTTCTGGAGTCAGTTGCCCAAGACTAACTAGATCCACAGTCCACACCTGCTGAACTGAAGCCACTAAGGACTTGGTTGAATATTGGCTGATAGCACAGAGAAGTTGTACAAGATGCCTAGTATCACAAAGCTCATCAACAGGGAGGAATGAATAAGCCCCTTGGTTCGCTCCAGACTCACAGCAAATGTCAAAAAATAAACATTGATTTTCCAAATCATACATCTTCCCTCCTTGAATGGTCATTTTCTCTCCTCTGCCTGATCCTCACTCTGCTTTTGGGGAGACATAGGAAGCAAGAAGACTACACCTTGACTTCTTAAGAAATCTACTTGACACAATGATTACTTTCTCAAATCATCTTTCTTCAGTTTTTGACCGCTCTCCCATTTCTCAGTCCTTTCTTCTTGGCCTTCATTTCCAGCACCTCATTCTCTGCCCACCACTGGACCATTGGTGTTCCCATGACTTGCTCTTCTTGCTTTTCTGTTGACTCCCATGGCTTCCATTTGCATCTCCACACTGAAGACTCCCATATCTCTGACCTTGGTCCAGACATTATAATTCCTGCCTTCCCAGATCTATAAAACACCTTCAAATACAGCATCTATTTTTTTATTGAATCTAATTTTCATCAGAGAATTCTTATTTCCACCTTACAGATGAAAATGTTGAGACTCAGAGTCAAAGGAAAGACTTTTCCACAGTGAGGCAGCCACACTGGCAGGACCAAGACTGGGACTCCTTGCTCTTTGTGGAGGGCTGTGGTCACTTTAGCCATGACCTGGGATTTTTCACTTCCTCAGGACCAGGTATGGAGCTCCACTTCAGAACCAGAATACTCCATCTTGGTAAGATGAGAGGCACTCCACACCTATTCCTTTCTTTTTGGTCCTCATAAAAATTTCTTTCTCCTTGACATTCCTCTACCATATGGAATCTATTTACTCATGAGAAACTCAGCTTGGATGCCACATCTGTTTTCTTGCTTTCTACTCCAAATTTCTCAGCTGAGTTTGCAAGCAGGAGGGAGTCAAAACATTTGTAGAGTTAGCTGTGGTGGTGGAGGTGGTGGCAGTGTGTGTGCTAGAGGGAAAGTGTGTTGATGAGAGAACTGCTTGCTGTTGCTATGCAGACCTTGATTACTCTCAGACTTTAGTAACCATAGAAGTCAGGGTGGGATTTCAGTTTCTAGGCATCTCAAGATTTATTGAAGAGGTCAGCCTTGTTCCTCACCACATCCTGCATTCATTCTCTCTCCTGATAGGAGGAGGCCTGGGTGGCTTGCCCTCCTGGTCATGTTCTTCAAGGGGAAGCACTCCCTCCTCCCATTTGTCTCCAGCTCCTACCAGGCCAGATTTTGGGCCTGACCTGGAATGGAGGTCTCTCTGTCTTCTCAGTCCCTCTTCCTCATTGCTCAGAGCCCTTGGGGAGTGTGAACCCTGTCCCTGCACTGCCTCAGCTCCGTGGAATGCTTTTCATCCTCAGCCTGGGTGAGCCGACAGTCTTCCTATTTGAAGCTCAGCTGAAAGTCCCACTTGTTTCTTTTGGCTTCTCCTTTTGTGCCCCTCCAGGGCCGATTGATGGCTGTGTGCATCTGGACTCTTCTGATTCCTGTGCACACGGGCGAGGGCCTCAGAACATCCCAGAAGAGTTAGGTGATGTGTAGATAGCTTGGGTCCAGTTTCTTTGGCTTAGAGGGGAGGAAAGGGAGGTCCTCCCTGGTGAAGAGGCCTACTCAGGGCCATACATCCAGTTAATCAGCAGAGTTAGAATACAGGCATTCCAACCCTGGCATGGTGTTTCCCCCCCACCCCCAGGGGTATAACCAGACAAGGATAAAATGATGGGAAATAAGTGTAAGAGAACCATATGCAAGGTCAAGCTTTTAGGACATTAGCCCTTTAGCAGAAAATTTAAACCATTGGTTCCCATTCAGATATTCTGGACTACTCATGGATTCACTAGTAGCCTGTGTTCTTACACATGGAAAGGAACGAGGGGACCCTAGGAAGAAAGCTGCTCCTCCTTTGGGTTTGGGCAGCATCCAGGGTCACGGCGTCCTTGGGCCAGTTGGCTTCACCTGCCTAAGCTCCTTCAGGGGCAAAACAAGCCAAAGGCACAGCCTGTGTCCCAGGGGAACTCATGGTTTTGTTGAAGAGACCAGAATCATGGAAATAAAAGTGGCCAAACAGTCTAAGCTAGCCTTACCAATCAGCTGAGAAGCCAGTGGTCATTAAAGTGGGGGTGAGGCATCCTCAAGATGGCAAGCTCCCAGTGAAAATAATCTACCACCCAGCAAGTGCTCAGCACTGATGCTGAAGAAGTACCACTGCCAATGAACCACCTTTCTATCCAGTGGTGTCCTTTGTCAGGAAGCAAAATATTTGGGAGAAAGTAAGACCTAGAAGAGAAGACAGTGGATGCAAACCTAGAAGGAGGACAGATGAGCTCAAAGAAAAGGGACTGAACTTGGAGTGGAGGAGGTGCCTGAGACAGAGGATGCTGATATAACAGGTGTGAGTTGCTCTACAGTACTTGAGGTATGGAGTGGGAATTGCCTTTATTCTTTTGCTAAATTTATTCTTATAATAACATTCTTGTACCTCCAACAAAATCCACATCCCATCTCCCAGGATAGATAAAGTCCATTTTATTGTGCCTGTCTTCCCTTTTATTTTAAAGGTTGCATTTTCTCTTACATTATGCCAGAAAATATGGGAAAGTTCTCTGATCAACCATCTTTTAGGAATTATTCTGAAGATACCCCCTAGACAGGTCTACATGACAAATTTAAATTTAATTTTTCAGATACCAAATTTGGCTGTAGGACCTTGTCCCAGCTCTCAAAGACGCAGTATGTAATACTTAGTCCCTGGCCAATCATGCAGGAGCCCTATCTGAGGTTCATTTGGGATGCAGCCTTTGAGTAAAGGCACAGGTTCATGCCCTCCTAGAACTTGCCCCTAATTTTTCATCCCAGTTATGGAAAATCCCATTGTTTCCTCTCTGTAACTGGGCCAGTGTTCTCTTCCTCCTGGACAGCTGATCCCATCTCCTCGTCTTCCACAGATAGTCTGGAAATGTTTCAGTTAACCTGGACCTTCAAAAACAAAACCTGTTTTGGGTGACTTTCAGAAATCTGAAAACTTCTCTTTTCTTTCTCCTGTTCCTCCTCCTTTTCCCCTTTATCCTCATACCTCCTCCTCCACCTCCTCTATCAACTCTTCCTCTTGTTTCTTCCTTCTCTTTCCTCCATCTCTTCCTCCTCCTTTTTCATTCTCTTCTTCATCATGAAACACACAGGAAAGTTTTTAACCCCACCCCAAACTTACAAACACAGAGACTGGAGAAGGTGGCCGATAGCTCCCAGCTTGGACAGCTCTGATTCTAGGATTCTAAGCAGCTCTCCAAATGTTGACTCAAAACGAAAAGACCCACATCTCTTCTTAACATTGACTTATTGATATGGTTTGGATCTGTGTCCCCACCTAAATCTTATGTTGAATTGTAATCTCCAATGTTGGAAGTAGGACTTGGTGGGAGGTGATTGGATCATAGGGGTGAAGTTCTCATGGATGGTTTAGTACTCATCCCCTCTTTGTTCTGTCTAATGAGTGAGTTCTCCTGAGATCTGGTTGTGTAAAAGTGTATAGCCCCTCCCCCCACTTCTTCCTGCTCCAGCCATGCAAGATGTGCCTGCTTCCCCTTCACCTTCCGCTATGATTGAAAGTTTCCCAAGGCCTCCCCGAAGCCAAGCAGATGCCGTCATCATGCTTCCTGTACAACCTGCAGAACTGTGAGCCAATTAAACCTCTTTCTCCCCTTTTCTTTATAAATTACCCAATCTCAGATATCTCTTTTATTATTATTATTATTATTATTATTATTATTATTATTTTTGAGACAGAATCTCGCTGTGTCACCAGGCTGGAGTGCAGTGGAGCGATCTAGACTCACTGCACCCTCCGCTTCCTGGGTTCAAGCTATTCTCCTACCTCAGCCTCCCGAGTAGCTGGGACTATAGGTACGTGCCACCATGCCCAGCTAATTTGTGTATTTTTTTTTTTTTTTAGTAGAGACAGGGTTTCACCATGTTGGCCAGGATGTTCTCCATCTCTTGACCTCGTGATCTGCCGGCCTCGGCCTCCCAAAGTGATGGGATTACAGGTGTGAGCCACCGCGCCCAGCCAATCTCAGATATTTCTTTACGGCAATGCTAGAATGGACTAATACACCATCTTCTCTTGGCCTCCTCCTCACATTGTGGCAAGGTAGGAAGAAAGGGATTCAGGGTCAGTGAGATAACATCTGTGGAAGAGCCTCGGTAGGGATATCTGCTCAGCAAGACAAGGGGCACTCTTGTTATTCCTGGGCTTCCTGAGGCTGCCCAGGTAACTCGGCCCTTTCATCTTAATGATGCTGCATATAACTTCTTTCTCCTAGAGTTAAGGTTTTTCTTGAAAGAAATAATTAGCTTGTACTTTTAAACCTCTCCAGTGACTTCTTTCTTCTTTGAAATACTAACCTGGGATTGTCTCCTTCAGAGAATAAAATGATGATAGCAATTTATTTCCTAGCTAGAGCCAGGCCAATTACTACATGCCCTATGCCCAGAACTTTATTTGTAAAAAAGATCTCTAAAGTCTTGTTCAGCTCTAATGTGTCCTGAAATTCTATTACCAAGGTTTTTTCTTCCAATGCTCTTTGTTTGGGGTTTCCATAGTAGGGAAAGGGGTCAGGTGGGAGGGATCAGAGGTAGAGACCCTGCAGGCAGAAGCTTGGAGGTCTAGGGTGCTTTGAACTCTTGTCTGTCTAGCAGACAGGAGGAAATCTTTGTAGGCCCTGAGAGTCAAGCCTCCATCCACAAAGAGAATGGAAGAAGTTTCTTTATCATGGAATTTTAGTGTTTCATTTGCCTTTATGATGTCTCAAGGATGCTAGGAAGAATAGCTTACTGATGACACAGTTTCTTGTGTGTGTATAGCACAAAACTTCATTGATTTTCCCTTTCAGAGATGATTTTAGTGCCCGTACTTCTTGTCCATTTCTTTTCTTATTCTTTTACCAATTTTTTTTTGTTTTTTGTTTTTTTTTTTCACTGAAACTTCTATGAGGAATGTAAGGCAAGGATTGTCATCAAAGACTTAGAATGAGAGTAACAGAAGACATGTTAGAGATCAGCTGTGTCTAACCCTTTAATTTTATGGATGGAAAAACTGAAGTTCAGAGAGTAGGTAGAGTACCTGTAAAAGGTTATACAGGTAGATTTTGGTGGAATTGAATTGAATTGATATTAAACTCAAAGTATCCTGAATTTTTTGCCTTTTCTTTTTCGTAGCTTTGGATATCAAGATTTTGATATATTCACAGAAATATGTGCAGGTTTGGGAAGTTATAAAGCCTGTGATCATGAAAAAGCACTTAAATTAAAGGCAAATTTAAATTCTACCATAATTTGGGTCCAAATTCCCTATTTATATCTTCTACAGAAATGAAGAGTGGTGGTGAGTAACTTCTCAGTTAGGCTACAACCCGAGGCATCTCTTCTTCAGGGGCATACGGTTTGGTTTTGTTTTGTTTTGTTTTGTTTTTTGGGACAGAGTCTTGCTCTGTCACCTAGGCTTGAGTGCAGTGGCATGATCTCAGCTCACTGCAACCTCCGCCTCCCAGGTTCAAGCAATTCTCCTGTGTCAGCCTCCCGAGTAGCTGGGATTACAGGTGCCTGACACCACGCCCAGCTAATTTTTGTATTTTTAGTAGAGCAGGGGTTTCACCTTGTTGGTCAGGCTGGTCTCAAACTCCTGACCTCAGGCGATCCACCTGCCTCAGCCTCCCAGAGTGCTGGGAATACAGGCGTGAGCCACTGTGTCCAGCCAGTTCCTTTTCTTTAAGTTTTCCCTTTCTCTTCAAATGTAAGGCAATTCAGGGTCTTGCACAGAGCTCTTGTACAAGAGTCTGAGGAAAGCTGAGTCTTAAACTATGGCCAAGTGTTCCCATGTCCAAAAGGAGATGCTTAACTGTTTGGTGAGTGGAAGGTTAGAACATGTTTTTCAGTCGTTCAGCCAAAAGAAGTGAGCACTGACAATGTGGGAGTGGGACTTTACTTCATGAGGTTTGTAATCGAAGGTAACTTCATGCTACCTCAGCATTTATCTAACAGTTTTATCTATCTAGCTTCTGGCCTGTGATGTACTCAGCTTGAACAAGTTGCTTCAACTTGCTCACACATAAATAAACTGCAGTCTTCTGGAATGTAGAATGAAAATAAAAATAATACCTACGTCCTAGGGTTGTTAAGAGGAATAAATGAACTATTGCCTGCACAGCATCTGACACATACAGTAAACAATCTACAAGAATAATTTTTATTGCACTTGTTTCTTGACAACAAGTCTGCAAGAACTCTCCTTAATTTTTTTTTTTAAGGATTAACCCATGACTTATTTAGTGGGCTTGATGGCACATGAGCTGGGGGTGGTGTGGGGGAGCTGTGAGTCTACGTTCTGTGCCTTTCTTCCTAATGTCTGTTAACCAGCATTCTAGGGCCTTCCCTTGGGTCATTTCTTGTGTGAAGGACTGCCAGATTTATCTTCTCTCTGATAGACCAGGACACCAGGCCAATCTCACTTTCTTCGCGGCCAAGCCAGAAGAAATCCAATTGGAGGGAGACAGCTCACCACCCTTCATGCCTGTAAATGAGAGCAGCTCTCTTCCCTCACCCAGGGCTAAGTTATTCTGAGGCTATAAAAAGATCCCTGTCCACTTCAAAGGGCTTTTTATCAGCTCATCCATACAGATCTTGTTCAACTCTTCTCATTTTCAAAGGCAGAAGGAAGCCCCTTGGCTGAACCCCCCGGTAGGCTCTTACCTTCCTTGAAATATCTTTAACTTCAATTAAACTGATCCTTCTTGGCTCCATTTAGCAAATAGGTTGTCTTCAAAAAGAGTTCCCTGATACCACTCTCTCCATCTTAACCACCCCCACCACCACCCTACCCTTCCAGTTAATGTCACATCATTTTGATCTGCAGGCAAATGTATGCAGAGTTGAGCAATGTGGCCTGATGCTGTTGGATCTTTTAAATCTACTCTTGTTTTAGAACAGCTGGCTCTAAAGCACTTTTGTGCCTTTAGAAGAGGGGCAGTAAAGGAAGCCTTGACTTGCAAATTAACAGCCTGGGCTTTCTAGGTCTTGTTCCCCATAGATCTCCTGAATGAAACTGGTCAAGTCTGAGTTTCATTTTCCTATAAGTAAATCAGGGAGCTAAGTAGAATCATCCACAATGATCTGTGTCATGGTTATCTTGCTGTAATTGCCTTTTTCTAAGCCTGTCTCCCTAGTAGAGGGTGTGCTGCCTGAGGGCAGGAAAAGTTGTTGGATCTCTGTATCCAAATTTCTCAGGAGACATTTGTTGAATGAAGGAGCCTGAGCTGTCCTCTGGTACACCTTTCCATTCTATCCAGGTCTAGCCATGCACAATGTCTGTGTCTCCTTAGCTTTGTTCAGCTTCAGCATCTCCCCAACACTTAGCGGCCTCCCTCTGCTAGGAGGACAGGCTCTGGGTGATTTGGCACAATTCCACTCTAGGAGGCAGATCAATCGATTGCTGAGCTCCCTGGCTCTTCCCACCTCTTCCAGGTTGGATGTAGCTTTTGACAAAAAGAGTCAAACTCTGTAAAATATTTGAAGAGATTTATTCTGAGCCAAATATGAGTGACCATGGCCCGTGACACAGCCACAGCCTCAGGAGATCCTGAGAACATGTACCCAAGGTGGTTGGGGTGCAGCTTGGTTTTATACAGTTTAGGAAGACATGAGAGTTCAATCAAATACTATTGGGGGAACCAGCCCCCAATATTTCAACATAGGTTCTTTCTATTTTCCCTAAGTGTCGGCCAGTCTGAGAAATAAAGAGAAGGAGTACAAAGAGAGAAATTTTACAGCTGGGCCTCCAGGGGTGTCATCACATATTGGTAGGACCATGATGGTGACCCCAAGCTGCAAAACCAGCAAGTTTTTATTAGGGATTTTAAAAGGGGAGGGGGTGTACAAACAGGGAGTAAGTCACAAAAATCACATGCTTCAAAGGGCAATAAAGATCACAAGACAAGGCAAAATTAGAATTACTGATGAGGGTCTGTGTCCCGCTGTGCATGTGTTGTCTTGATAAACATCTTAACAGGAAACAGGATTTGAGAGCAGACAACTGGTGTGACTAGAATTTACCAGGCTGGAATTTCCCAATTCTAGTAAGCCTGAGGGTACTGCAGGAGACCAGGGCGTATTTCAGTCCTTACCTCAACTGCATAAGACAGACACTCCCAGAGTGGCTGTCTATAGACCTACCCCCAGGAATGCATTCCTTCCCCAGGGTCTCAATTATTAATATTCCTTGCTGGGAAAAGAATTCAGCAATATTTCTCCTACTCGCATGTCTGTTTATAGGCTCCCTGCAAGAAGAAAAATATGGCTGTATTGTGCCTGACCCTGCAGGCAGTCAGACCTTATGGTTATCTTCTCTCATTCCCTGAAAATCGCTGTTACTCTGTTCTTTTTCAGGGTGCACTGATTTCATATTGTTCAAACACACAATCAGTTTACAATCAGTTTTACAGTCACTTTTATTTTACAATCAGTTTTTACAATAGTGGTCCTGAGGTGACGTACATTCTCAGTTTACGAAGATAACAGGATTAAGAGATTAAAGTAAAGACAGGCATAAGAAATTATAAGAGTATTAATTGGGGAAGTGATAAATGTCCATGAAATCTTCACAATTTATGTTCAGAGACTGCAGTAAAGACAGGCGTAAGAAATTATAAAAGTATTAATTTTGGGAACTGATAAATGTCCATGAAATCTTCACAATTTATGTTCTTCTCCCTCGGCTCCAGCTGGTCCCTCCGTTCAGGGTCCCTGACTTCCCACAACAAAATACATTTAAGAAATACATTGGTTTGGTCCAGAAAGGCAGGACAACTTGAAGCGTGGTGAGAGGGTGGGGGGTGGGGGGGTGGGGGAGGTGCTTTCAGGTTATAGGTAGATTTTAAAATGTTCTGATTGACAATTGGTAAAGTTTATCTGAAGACTTGGGATCAATAGAAAGGAAATGTCTGGGTTAAGATAAAAGATTGTGGAGACCAAGGTTCTTATTGTGCAGAGGAAGCCTTCAGGTAGCAGGCTTCAGAGAGAACAGCTTGTAAATGTTTCTTATCAGACTTAAAATCTGTGTTGATATTACGCTGGAGAGGTATAAGGAGACATGTCTGGCACCCTCTTCCCATCATGACCTGCACCTGTCTTTCAGGTTAAATTTTAAGGGTGCCCTGGCTGATGAGGAAGTCCATTCAGTTGGTTGGGGGGCCTTAGAATTTTATTTTTGGTTTACATAGCCTTACATTTCTGGTTGAAGGATCTCACTTTCCCAGTTACTTTTGAAGGGTTCAGATGACACAGCCCAGAACAACAGAAAAAATAACTCCCCAATGATCAAACTTTGACCAATGGGAGAGAGGAAATGGGAAGGTGTCTGCAGATAAATTCCTGATTTTTCTTCTCTCCAATGGTATTTTTTTTTTTTTCTGTACAACTTGTGCAAAGATGTCCAGTGGGATTGAGTGACACTTTGGGCTTCTTTGATAAGACACCACTGCGGCTTCTCAATCTTTCTTGTCCTATGTCCTTTATCCCTTCTCTTGCTGCCCTAGGATTGCACCTATAAGTAAACTGTTAACACTTAAGTCTCTCCTCAGATCCTGTTTTCTGGGGAACCCATGTAAAGATGCCATCTATCCAAATCAATCTACCCCAAACATACTCATCCTTATAGGTTCATAGGAAGTTAGAACTAGAAAGGATAATGCTATTCAATTACTCGTTTTAATGGATAATGAAAAGAGGTCTAGAGAATGGAAGTGACTTGCCCAAAGTTAATGGGTGTATTAGGACTAGAATTCAGGGTCCCTAATTCTTAATCCAAAGTTGAGGAGTAGGAGCGTAGAAAGGGATGCAGAAGCATTTTCTTCTTCCTGTCTTGTGCAGGCGCTTCCCTGAGTGAAAGCTCTTTGGATTGGTGGCAGCACCAGAGTGGAATGTCTCATTCTTAGCTGGTTCCTGGGCCCCATGATTTGTCAATAATGTAGGGAAATGTAAGTAAACCAGGACAAAAGATATTTCATACAAGGAGGATCTATCTGCATTTGACCAAGAAGATAGAGAGACTCCACCCCAAATGGGATTGAGAGTCAAGGAATTTGCCATACATAGGGGCTTCAGGAGCAGTGCAAACTAAACCAGTATCTTTACTTTCTGTTTTTAGAAATTATTATTATTTTATTTTATTTTAAAGTTCTAGGGTCCATGTGCAGGATGTGCAGGTTTGTTACATAGGTAAACGTGTACCATGGTGGCTTGCTGCGCCTATAAACCCATCACTTAGCAACTCTTCACCTAGGTATTAAAGCCTGACCTTTACTTTCTCATTGGACTTAACTGCTACCCTGGTTAAAAGCAAGGGCTGAAAAAGACCTTGAGAAGGGCTCTTTACAGCTAACAAGTGAGTCTTTGTGTACAGCATCATCTGAGCTCCTTCCTCTTTTTCCCAGAGATGAGACTAACAATCGTTGGTATGAGGGTTTAACCACATGACTGTTGTCTGTCTTTAGGATAAAGGAAGCAAAGAGAACAAGGAGCTTATAGACACACAGGATGGAAGGAGGCTTGGGGTTCATATGGTTAATTCGTCTTACTTTGTGCAGACTAAGAAACCAAAGACCTAAAGGTCATGTGACCTCCTTAGGGTCAGGCAGCAGATTGGGACAGACCTGGATTCTGAAATAGCTTAATTTTCTAATTGAGAAAGGGAATTTGGAAAAGAAACTTAAGTTTTCCAGAAGGCTGAATAGGGTATGAATCAGAAAGTGGACTCTCCCATCCTTTTCTCCCAGCTCCAGGACTGAAATGAAATACACACTCCTCGGTGTTCTATGTACCACTTTCATCCTCATGTGAAATTTTAGAATGTTCTGTGGTCTCAAATACCACAATGGTCCCTTCTTCTGCTGGCCCCTCTCTGAGCTGTGGTGGGAAAAGGGAATAATCTCAGGGAAACACTCGGGTGTTACAGTGAGGTAGACGATAGACCTAAGTCAGCTGACGAGGACCATCTCCCTAACAAGGACCTTGGGCAAGTCACATAACATCTCTGAGCCTGTTTCTTTATCTCTAAAGTGGGGATAAGAATATCTGATTCTCAGGGTGGTAGAGAGGAAAACATGAGACAAAGTACGTCTGAAAGTATTTATCTGGGTACTCAGAGAAACCAAATTAGGATAACTCGAAGAGGGCTTACTAAAGGACTCTTTACAAAGGTGTGGGCAGAGTTTGGAGAAATCACACAGATAAAGCAGCAGCCCAGTATTAGTAACATGGAGGGGTGGAGGCGAGGGAGGCCTGTTACAGCGCTGAGGCTAGAAGGGTGAGGAGAGGGAGCAGTCACCAGCACTTGGAAGAAGAGATTCAGTGGTCTGCAGAGAGAATTTTGGGTAAAAGCCCTTGACCTTCAACTGGAGGAGGCATCCAAACCAAGGTGACTTTGCAGAGAGGGAGTGAAGGAATTAAGCACCCTGACCCTCACTCTTCTTCTCTCCCTCTCATCTTCTCCCAGGGCTCTATTGACCAAACACAAGAGGGAATTGAAGGGCATGAGAGCCTGCTGATGTAATCCACACAAGTCAGCCTCCCAGAGAAGGAAGCAGAGTGGAGAAAGGTAGAGAGTCTATCTGGAAGGGCAAATGAGAAGATATCTGCACAGATCATGCCTGTTAAACTGCGAAGGAATTAACACAGTGCAGTGGATGCATCAGAGCCACCTTAATCAAAGCTTGTGTTCCCCTAGATGCTACAAATGTTTGCTGACTACTCTTCAGCACTTGCCCTTGCCTTTTAGGCCTTTTTTCCCCCAAAGCCATGCCTCCCTCCCAAGGATAGCCCATGTTTTATTTTCCTTATTTTGGACTTGAGGTCTCTCTCTAGAGAGTGACTGTAAATTCTAGCCCTGCTTTGATGGAGCTCCAAAGGAGGTGGCTGTGGATGTTGACAATGTGCCTTTCATGGAATACTTTTTCATCCTGGATGACAGCCTAATGCCTAAGTGTCTAACCCTGAAGTTTCCTCTCCCAGGAAACTTGTTTATACTGGCAGATGCCCTTGTGGCTCTTGTCTGACCTATGTCCAGTTTATTTCTACCAAGACAGCCCCTCTCTAGGAGAGCCTTGCCCAGGAGGAGAGTTAGGTCCAGGTGAGACACAGAGGAGGCAGCACAACAAAACCCATGGCATAGCAGAAGCAGTTAATTACTCACAGACCCCAGAGAGAAGACAGCATGCTGCAAAGCCAACAGGATGTTGGAGGCATCCAGGACACCTGCACTTAACCAGTCAGTGGGGAGCAAGAGGGACAAAAGGACCTGTAGGCCAAAGCTTTCACTGGGGTGCAGGGTGTTACCCAAGTAGGTTTCCGGGGGGAAGCTCTAATTGGTGAGTTTATAGCAAGCAGGCATGAGTTCTGTAGATTCACACTGTGACTGAGAGAAGGTCACTGTGGCATATCTGCACATTCCATATGCAATATGGGGGTGAGTCAAGTAGGTTGTATCTAGCTGTCCTATGGGGCAGTGGTCACCAGGAGGCAGTCGTATAAGGCAGATATCTGGTTCGATTACACTGAAGAATGAACTGAGAGGAGGCGGAGAAGTAGAAACCGAGTCAAGGGTGACAAAGCCCTGTTGCTGGTATGAGAAAGTCAAACCTATATTCAAAATGTATGCCAAGGCAACATAAAATGGTAAGAATTAACTACGGTCCGTATCTGCAACTGGTCTACACAGGACGTATAAAAGCCCAGCCTTATCAAATTCTAAACAACTCAGAAGGACCATCTCGCTTGTAGAGCTCCCTACAGGGTGGGTTGAGGTCTTTGCTGCAGCTGCATTGTGGTTCAGCTTCTCCCTCTGTTCAGTGTTGCTTCTTTTCCTCTCCTGTAGGTGTTGAGGTTGGGAGTGTTCCTGTCAATTCACATGTTCAACTCTGAGTCTGCTTCCCCGGAAAACTGATGTATGGCATGTAGTAACGCACTATTATTATTGACATGTAGATTTTGAGCAACTACCCTATGCCCCCTTGCACTTCAGCTACAGATGTGTAGTTCGTGCAGGTTGTATGGGAGCATCTAGCTAAATAAATCAAATGAGGGCTGAAATCCGTTCTGCACAACACTGCCGAAGCTGTTTGCCCTGGCATGGGGTTACCTTTTTTCTAATTTACGCAAAGTCTCTGCATGAGCTCATCAGCCCTGCTGTGGGCACTTTATTTTCAGTGAAGTGTCCCCAAGGAAGAAGCAGAAAGAAAAACCAAAATGCCTGGGATGAAGTTGCAGCATCTTCAGGAAAGTTAAGATTAGGTTGCAGCTTCTCAGAGACTCCAAGAAGATGACATTGAAGTTCACGTGAAACAAACCTCCTCTATCAGCCCCAAAGTGTTTTGCTTATGTTTCTTATTTCATCTTGGCTGGTCTTATTCACTGGAGTGTAGGCAGTTAGGGGTAACTTAGTAGGGATGGGACTTGCATCTAATTCTAAATATTATCCTCCTGCTCAAGAGATTACTTTTTCTTCCCTTGAAATTCAAAAGCCAGTTCTGCCTTTTCATGGTTCCTGGAGAAGACTGTTAGAATACCATTCATTCATCTTTAATTGTCTCATTTTCTAAGAAAATGAACTTGGGGAGGAAAGTGACATTCTCCAAGCCCTGTGGCTATCTAGTTACAGACTCTAGGTCAATTGCCTGACTTCTTGTTTAGAGCTCCTACTACAAAGCTCTATCAGGCTTCAGCCCCACTGAAGCACTCTGGATGGTGAAGAAGTTTCCAGGGAGCTGGAAGGGGCAACAGCAGTTTCCCCAGCAGACCCTGCTCCTCTTCCTCTTGACAATCCTAGAAGAGCACTGGCAGTGGGTGTGCTCCCTTCTCTGCTTGGCTCTCAGTAAACTTCTGAGCTCCCAGAGAAGGCTCTGCAGAGGCCACAGGGTGCAGACAGAGCTGTGCCTTTGATGTGGCTCCAGAGAGAGGCCACTCTCCTTGACCAGTGGCTGGAGCTCTATTTTATGTAGACATTTCCCATCTTTCCTTTTCATAAAACATTCCTGCAGGAGATAAAGTATTGTACATTTATAGTTTCGGCTTGCCAAGAACATCTCACTAGCTCATCTCATAAATCCTACCAAGCTTCCCTCCAGCAGCAAGTCATAGCCAGTCCTGCCAGGCCTGGGGCAGGCAGGATCACTGACGGTCCAGCCCACGGACATCAGGAGGCCACTCTGCACCCTTGGGAGTTTCTGTCTCCTCGTCCTTCCTGCCCTCTGAACTTAGAGTCTCAGCTTTCCCACAATCAACTCCTACCTCCAGAGATAATTTATATTCATTCTCTCTCTGCCTGTCCCCACCCCACCCAGCATTCCACCCTGCTTTGTTATTCTAAATTTACATTAAATGCAAGCTCTTTCTAGTCACTGATTCAGAAGGCTTGGCGCATGCTCATTCAAATCATAGTACTTAACTTTTTATAGATCAAAGCTTGTCTTCTTAGAAAGCCACGAGACTTGGGTAGATCCTTCCTCCACAACTAGCCGGAGTCTCAGCCTGCCTGCCTGCCTGCCTTGCAGAGAGATGGGAGGAGTTCTGGGGCCCAGAGCAGGTGGGAGGACAGACAAGCAGCCCTGTCTTCTCTTTCTACTCTCTCTTCTTCTGCCAGCACTGGGCTCTCTTTGAGGTTGGCTCTGGTCTTATCTAGATGCAAGTTCAACTAACACAAACTATTTCTCTGATTCTGAACTATTTTATCCTTTGGATGCTCTTTTGGTCTCTCTTTTTCAAGTGTTCTTTGTGCTGTCTGTCAATTACTCTATTTATTCTGAAGCCCCACCTCTGTCCCTATGTTCTTCCTGCCCATCTCTTCCCTTCCTTACAATCTCTCCATCTCACAAGACTACAGGAATAGTAGAATGTTATTGGAGGTTGGGCATTCCCAATCTGAAAATCTAAAATCCAAAATGCTCCAAAATTCAAAATTTTTGAGTGCCAGTACGGTACCATAAGTAGAAAATTCCACACATAAGGGCTTTAACACAAACTTTTTTTCATGCACAAAATTATTAAAAACATTGTTTGACATTGCCTTCATGCTATGTGTATAGGGTGTATATAAAACCTAAGTAAATTTTGTATTTATACTTGGGTCCTATCTTTGCATATTATGTATATGCAGATATTCCTAAATCTGAAAGAATCTAAAGCCTGAAACACTTCTGATCTGGAGCATTTGAGACAAGGGATATTCAGCCTGTATCAGAGTTACTTTCAAGGTGAAGCCAGAGACTCTCATGTCACAGGAGAAGAATCCGAGGTCGGCAGGGTGGAGTGTCTTGCCTACTTAATCCAGGTAGTAGATGCCAAAGCTACAAATAAAATCTGCAACTGTTACTCCCTAATCAATGCTCTTTTTATAAGAGCACATTTCTTCTCTTTTCCTTTTGCTTTCAGGAATATGAATTCTAATCATTGGTTTTTGCTCAAACTTCTGTCTTAGCCTTCTTCAGCTTCTACCTGCGTCCCAATCCTGAAGTGGGAGAGAATAGGAGAAATTGAAGGATGAGAGTCTTGATCATCACCTTTGGAGCTTAGTTCCAAAGCCAAGTTTCATTTCTGATATGAGATACCACGGGTATGAGTCCTGGGCTGCCTTACACATCTGGAAAGCAAACAGTGTTAAAATAGCCTTATCTGCTGGATGGAGTGAATGTTGAGAAATATTTTCTGGATAAAGGAGAAAAAAGACATTTTGTTTCTTTCTGAGCCCCCAAGGAACAATGAACTGGAACCCTTTCTCTTGGAATGGGTGAGGAGATGGGGTGAGGGTAGCACCTCAGAGATTTCCAAGTAACTACAGGAGTTGTGATTCATTTTCTCTCTGGGAATGACACATGTCTGGTTCCTCCTTCTTTCTTCTCAAGAAACAACATCAAAGTTCTGGGTATTGCTGGGCAGCAGGATTGCTGCTCCCTCTGGGGAAACTGAAGATGACAGAGAGAAGGAAGGAAGGAGGGAGGGAGGGAGAGAGAGAGAGAGCGGGAGCGAGAGAGACAGAGAGAGAGAAAGAGAGAGAGAGAGAGCATGTCCCTCATTGCCTGAGGACACAGGAGGCCAGTGTAGAGAATTCACTTTTAGTGGCTCTTTGGACAGGGTAGAGATAATTTTCCAACATGGTAAAAGGCTCCAATGAAATAAGAGGAAAAGATTGGTTTGGGGATTTCTTGTGTCTTTGTCTTGTCATGCTTTGGGCCTAACCCACTGTAGGCCATTTTACTCCAGGTGCTAAATTCCCTGGGGAGGAAGGTCTTAGTATCTCCTGGGAACGTGGAGATCAGTATCTCCTGGGAACGTGGCAAACTTTTCAGAGTCCCGCATTTGAGAGTAACAAGCAGCAAGCAGGCAAATTCTCCAAAAGATAAGGTGATTTCATCATTGTGTGGGGACCCAACCTAATCAGCCGTGGAGCTGACTAGGAAAAACATGGCTTTTGAGCCAGACTGACCTACATTGAAATTCCAGATTTCTTTCTTATAACCACTTACTATCTTTGTAGGTCTTGGGCAAGGTATAACAAGGCCAAGTTTCCTCATCTGTAAGATGGGGCTAATAATGCTGGTCTCACAGGGCTATTGAGAGCAACACTGGGGGTCCTGAGTGTTTGGCATTATGCTTGGCCCAAGCAGGTGTCCAGGAAATTTCCATTGCCTTAATGCTTCACTTGCTTCCAATTCCACTTCAGCTCTTCTACCTCAAAAAACAACCTGGATTAGCTGAAATCCAACAATCTTGAACCCTCTAGTTACTGTGTTTTTTTGTGTTTGACTTTTAGGAGGGTGATAAGGAAAAAGCAAAACCAGATGACAATCTTTAAGGAACATCCTAGAGTCAAAAGAACTTGGGTTAGGGCTTGGGATGCCTGGGTCTGCCCCAGGCCCTCTCCTTTGCCCCGGGAAAGCTTCTTCTAATGTGTGGGCCTGGATGATCTCTCCTCTCCCCTCCAGCTCTGCTATTCCCTCTCTCTAACTTCTAGACCCTAACTGACACAGCATTCCTCTGTAAGCTACTTCATCTGCAAATAAGAGGTTTGGTGGAATTTGATCTATTGTCCTGAACAAAATTGCAAAGTGAGATCAGGCATTTTAGAAAAGATTTATAAATAGAGAACCCCAGTTAGGCATCCTAGAGAACCTTGGGCAAAGTTTTAGAATTATTACTTGCAGGTAGAATTTTGTGGGTGATAGGCTATTTTCTTTTAGTTTGACATAATCCCTGTGCTCTAGGGAATTTACAGTGTAATAAAGATGGTAAAATGCGACTTCCTTAATGGCTTTCCATTCTCCCCAAACCTTTAACACAGTCTGCAGAGCCTTGTTATCTGTCTTCTGTCCTGCTTCCCTCTCTCCGCTGCATGCTTCTCATTCCTCAAGAAGTGCTCTTCTCTCCTTTCCCTGAGCCTGAAATTCCCACCTCTGATTACCCTGAAGAACTCTTATTCATCCCTCAGGTGTCATCTCTGATGTCCTTTTCTCCAGAAAGTCTTCCCCAATCCTCCAGACCACACACGTTGTTCTGTTCCAGGCTCTTGTTTCCAACTATACATTTAGCTCTCACCACTATTATCACCAGATCACTTACCATGTAACCAGTTATTTAATGTCCATCTCCCCTTCGTGAACTTCACCTCCAAGAGGGTAGTGCTTGTCTTAGTCATCCTGGTAACCCCAGTATACAACAAAGTACTCTGCCATTGCAGGTACCTAATGGATATTTATTATATGAATGAATGAATATGAAAGGTTGAGTTTCACTGCAAGAGCCAGGTTATCACGTTAGACCTCAATACCAGGCACCACGCAATACCTGGTGCATTGTGTGACCACTGGAATAGAGGATGAATGCTGAAGGTTCAGAGATGTGGCGGCCACTGTAAATCAGCAAGGCTTCCTGGCTGTAGATCATAAGCCTGTGTGGGCCCCTTCATTCCTCTCACATTCCGAAACATCAGGGTTTAAATCTACAGACAGCTCTGCCCAGATTCCTAGGATGTTTTTATGGGCTAGAATACCAACATGAGTCAGCACTGCCCTTGTCATGCTAAGTTTATCAAATGGCAGATGCTGTGGTATATTGGCCAGAATTTGCTGACCTCTTATCATGGCTAGGTCATAGTACATGTTCCAATAGCTATTTTATAGTATATTCTCAGGGCCATACTTCCAGGATGGTGTTAATCCTCTTACTAACTTACAGCAGACAGCTAGCAGTTGACATGCCATATGAGCAACGTCATCCTTCTGGAATAATCTATAATGCTCAGGGGATCACCCCCTTCAGTACTTTCCATCTCACTGCAGATACTTCACATTAGGGCAGGTACTGGGTGGTGAGCTATGAGCATTGCTGCCTATAGTGAGTAGGACAGGACCAATAGGGGTCAGGGAAATATCAGTGGAAGAGCAGATATGACCCCTGTCTGCAGTAAAGACCATCCAAAAATGGGAGGCAGAACATCTGAGAAATTCTAAAAGATCTCTCTGTTATCATCATATGCTTAATGTGTGTGTTAGTGCTATTTCACCATAAACTATGCATAATAAATCTTTGTGTTGCTAACTACTTCTGAGCCTTATGAAAACGGGCATAGTGACTGTTCTATATATTCTTTTCTTCCTCTTAAAATCGAGGTATAATTGACATACAACAAATCACACATTTAAAGTTACACATTGGTAAATTTCACATGTGTATTTATTCACGAAACCATCACCACAATCAAGATAATTAACACATCCTTTACCCTCACGTTTTCTCATTTGCCCTTGTAGCCCCAGCCCCCTGCTCCCAAGGCCACCCCGTTCTCAGGCAGCCATGAGCTGCTTTCTGTCACTGTAGATAAATTTGCATTTCCTAGAATTTTGTATAAATGGAATCTTTTTTTTTTTTTTTTTTTTGAGATGGAGTCTCACTCTGTTGCCCAGGCTGGAGTGCAGTGGCGTGATCTCGGCTCACTGCAACCTCCACTTCCCGGGTTCAAGCGATTCTCCTGCCTCCGCGTCCCGAATAGCTGGGACTACAGGCACGCACCACCATGCCCGGCTAATTTATTTATTTTTTTTTTTTTTGAGACGGAGTCTCTCTCTGTCACCCAGGCTGGAGTGCAGTGGCGTGATCTCTGCTCACTGCAAGCTCCTCCTCCCGGATTCACACCATTCGCCTCCTCAGCCTCCTGAGTAGCTGGGACTACAGGCGCCTGCCGCCACGCCCGGCTAATTTTTGTATTTTTTAGTAGAGACAGGGTTTCACCACGTTGACCAGGCTGGTCTTGAACTCCCGACCTCAGGTGATCCACCCATCTCAGCTTCCCAAAGTGTTGAGATTACAGGTGTGAGCCACTACTGCCAGTCGATAAATGGAATCTTATAGTATGTGCTCTGTTATCTGGCTTCTTCTACTTAGCATTTTTTTTAGATTCATTCATAGTACTGTGTATATCAATAACTGATTCCTTTCTGTGGTTAAGCAGTAGTCCATTGTATGGTAAAACATGATTTGTTTATTTATTCATCTGCAGATGGACATTTAGATTGTTTCCAGTTTTTGACTACTACAAATAAAGCAGCTATGAACATCTGAGTACAAATACATGGATATATGCTTTAATTTATCTTTGGTAAATATCTAAAAGTGGAATGGCTGGATCACATGTTTAGTTTCTTAAGAAACTGCCAATCTGCTTTCCAAAGCGATTGTGCCATTTTACATTCCCACTAGCAGTGTGTGAGAATTCCGGTTGCTCTACATCCGTGACAACACGTTGTATGGACTGCCTTTAATTTTAAACATTCCAATGGATGTGTAGTAGTGTCTCATTGTGGTTATAATTTGCCTTCCCTAATGACTATTGATGTTGAACATCTTATCATGTACCTATTTGCCATCAGTATAGCTTCTTTGATGAAGTGTGTCTCGTATCTTTTGTCATTTTAAATTTTTATTTGCCTTTTTTATTATGGGTTTCGAGAGTTCTAAATATAGACTATATAAAGTTATTTTATCAGATATGTGATTTGAAAATATTTCCTCCCAGACTATGGCTTGCCTTTGTCATTACCTTAACAGTGTCTTTTAAAGTGTGGCAGTTTTTAATTTTGCTGAAGTCTATTGTTTTCTTTTATGGATGATTGTTTTGGTGTTGTACCTAAGAAACCTTTGTGTAACTCACAAAGATTTTACCATTTATTTTCTTCTGAAAGTCTTATCATTTTACTTTACGTCCGTGAACCACTTTCAGTTAATTTTTGTACATGGCATGAGGTATAAATGAAAGCTCCTTTTTTTTGCATGTGGATATCCATTTGTTTCAGCAGCATTTATTGAAAGATTGTATTTTCCCTTCCAAATTGCCTTTGTACCTTGGCAAAAATCACTTGTACGTATAGGTGTGGGTCTATTTCTAGAATCTCTCTTAATGTTTCATTGATCTATGTGTCTTATCTTTATGCCAACACCATAGCGTGTTGATTATTGTAACTTCATGAGTTTTGAAGTCAGGTAGTGTTAGACCTCCAACTTTTTGTTTTTATATTTTTCTAAAATAGCCAAAACATTTTTTTTGCATTTCCATTTGAAGTTTAGAATAATCTTGCCAATTTCTACAAAAAAGCCTGCTGGGATTTTTGATTGGGAGTGCATTGAATCTATAAGCTAATTTTGGGGAGAATTGAAATCTGTTTTAATCAGGGTTCTCCAGAGAACGGAACCAATAGGATGTCTGTGTGTGTGTGTGTGCGTATATACACACATTATATATATACACATATATACACACATTATATATATACACATTATATATACACACATTATATATATACACATTATATATTATATATACATATCTGAACATATATATGTATATATAATATATATCATGTGTATATATATAATGTGTGTGTATATATGTGTGTATATATTATATATAATATGGGTAGATGGATAGATAGATAGATAGATAGATAGATAGATAGATAGATAGATAGATAGATAGATAGATATATTATGAGGAGTTGGCTTGTGTGATTCTGGAGGCTGACAAGTCTAAGATCTAAATCCAGAGGCCTGAGAATCAGGAGAGCCAATTGTGTGAGTTTCAGTCTGAAAGTGAGAGCAGGCCAATGTCCCATTCAAGCAGTCAGGCAGGAGTTCCCTCTTACTGGAAGGTTGGTCTTTTTGTTTTATTCAGGCCTTCAACTGACTTGACAAGGGGCTCCCATATTAGGGAGGACAATCTGTTTTACTCAGTCTCCCAATTCAAGTGTTCATCTTATCCAAAAACATCCTCACAGATACACCCAGAATAATATTTTACCAAATATCTGGGCACCTAGTTGAGTTGACATAAAATTAACCATCACAATATCTTAAGAGTATTCAGTTTTCCATCCCTTGGACAAGGTGCATAGTTTCATTTATTTAGGTTTTCTTTAATTTCTTTCTGTAATGTTTTGTAGTTTTCAGTGTGTAGGTATGACACATATTTTGTCAGATTTATTCTTAAGTATTTTATATTTGGATGCTATTGTAAATGGTATTGTATCTTAATTTCACTTTTGATTGTACATTCCTGGTATATAGAAGTACAATTTTGCATATTGAACTTGTATACTGCAGCCTTATTAAGGTCACTTATTAGTCTACTACCTTTTTTTTGTAGATTCCAAGGGATTCTCTACACAGATAATCACTTTATCTGTAAATAAAGACAGTTTCTTTTTGCTTCATTTACAATACAGATACAATTTAGATGCTTTTAATTTTTTTCTCTTACTTTACCACGCTGGCTAGAACCTTCAGTAAAATGTTGAAATACTGAGAGCAGACATTTAATTTTGTTTCTGATCTGAGGGGCAAAGTTTCATTCTTTCACCATTAAGTAATATTGTAATCTGGTGTTGATATTAGGGTGATACTAGCCTCATAAAATAAATTTCAAAATATTCTCTCTTCTCCAAATTTTTGCCAAGAGATTAAGTAGAATTTATATTGTTCCTTGCTTCAATGTTTGGTAAATTTCACTAGTGAAGCTGTGCTTGGAATTTTCTTTATGGGAAGCTTTTAATCACAAATACATTTTCTTTTTGATATGGAGCCATTCAAGTTATCTATTTCTTCTTTAGTGAATTTTGATAGTTTTTGTCTTTCAGGGAATTTATCTATTTTATCTAACTTGTCAAAATCATAGGACTAAAGTTTTCCCTTTATTTTCCTTCCATTGTCCTTAGAATCCCAAATAATGTTACCTTCCTCACCCTATTCTTGATATAGATAATTGTGTACATCTTTGATTCTAGATCAATCTGGCTAGATGTTTATATATTTTATTGATGGTTCACAAAAAACAGCTTTTGGTTCCTTTTTTCTCCTGCTGTTTTTCTATTTTGTATTATATTGTTTTTTCTTCTGTTATTTGTCATTTCTTTTCTTTAGTTATTTTGGGCTTTATCTGCTCTCTCTTTTTCTTTTTTTTTTAGTTTCCTAATGTGAAATCTGAGGTCATTGATTTTTTACCTTTTCCCCCCTCAATATGGGCTTTTAGTGCTCTAAACCTCACAAATTTTGACATGTGTTTTAATTTTCATTCAGTTCAAGACACTTTCTGATTTCTCTTTTGGTTTATTCTTTGATCTGTAGATTATTTAGAAGTGTTTTATTTAGTTTTCAAATATTTGGCAAATTTTTGGATTGTTTGATGATTTATTTAATTCTATTGTGTTTAGGTAACATACTTTTTATGACTTGCTTCCTTTTAAATTTATTGTGATTTGTTTTGTAGCCCAGAATATGGCTATTTTGTAAATGATCTATGTGCATTTTAAAAGAATGTGTGTTCTGCTGTTCTTTGGTGGAGTGTTCTATAAATGTCAGGTCAGTTTGACAGTGTTGTTCAAGCCTCTTATATCCTTGATGATTTTTTATGTTCTTGTTCTATTAATTATTGAGATTAGGATGTTAAAATTTCTCTAAGATATTAAAATAACCCCTCCAGCTTTCTTATGACAAGTGTTAGTGTGACATAACTCTTCCCACTTTTACTTTTAATCCATTTGCATCTTTATACATAATGTGTTTCTTGTTGGCAGCAAATAGTTTAGTCTTGCTTTTCTATACAATTTGGAAATATCTGGCTTTAATTGGGGTATTTCAGCCATTTACGTTTAATATGATAATTGAGATGGTTAGATTAATTATCTTGTATTACCATTATTTTTGTCCTTTCCTTTACCTTTTTTCCTGTCTTCTTTTGGGTCAATGGAGTAGATTTTATGATTCTGTCTTACTTCTTTTGTTGGCTTATACATATAACTCTTTGTTCCTTTATTTTAGTGGTTGCGATATGACTTATAATATATGTCTTTAACTTATCACAGTCTACATTCAAGTGATATAATTCCCATTCACTTATAGTAGTAGTTGCCAAGGGTAAAATACTTTGCCTCAGGGAGACGTTTGGTTGGTAATGTCTGGAGAAATTTTTGGTTGCTGCATCTTGGGTGTTGTTACTGGCATCTATTGGGGGCAGGGGGCAGGGGTCAGGGATGGTTCCAACAGCCTACAAACCACAGGACTATTCCCACAGAACAAAGAATCCTTCATCCCAAATGTCAGTAATGTTATGTTGAGAAATCCTGACTCAGTGTAAAACCTTTACTATAGTATATTCTCATTTCCCCTTCATAAGTTTTTTGCTATTGTCATACATTTTACTTTTACAATATTATAAGCCCATGCTACATTTTTTATTATTTTTGTTTAAAGTCAGTTATCCTTTATGTAGAATTAAGCATTAATTTAAAAATCTTATATACATAATTATGCAGTTACCATTTTTGATGCTTTTCATCTTTATGTAGATCTATATTTCCATCTGGTACACTTTCCCTTTTGCTTGAAGGTCTTCATATTTTGTGTAATATGGGTCTGCTTGAAATAAATTCTTTCAGCATTTACATTTTGTAAAAAAAATAATCTTCATTTCAGTTGTGTTTTTGAAAGATGTTTTCACTAGGTATACAATTTTAGTTTTTTTTTCAGTACTTCTTTAAAGATGTTGCTCTGCTTTCTTCTCATTTGCATTGTTTCTGATAAGAAGTCTGCTGTCAACCTTCATTCCCCCATATAAAGCATCTTTTCTCTCTGTCTTTTTAAAATATTTTTTTCTTCATTACTAGTTTTGAGCAACTTGGTTATGTGGGGCCTTGCTGTAGTTTCCTTTTTGTTTCTCATGTTTGGTGTTGGTTGAGATTCTTGGCTATGTGGGTTTAGATTTTTCATCAATTTTATGTGGGTTTAGATTTTTCATCAATTTGTGAAAATTTTGAATATTATTTTTTTTCAGGTTTTTTTCTGTCTTCCTTCTCTTTTTTGGGCACTCCAATTATATTACCCATATGTTAGGCCACTTAACTTTATCACACAGCTCACTGATGCTCTTTCCATTTTTTAAAAATTCTTTTTCTCTGTATATTTCATTTTGGATGATGTTTAACACGGTACCTTCAAATTAATTAATCTTATCTTTTTTAGTATCCCATCACCCATTTATCTCATCCAGTAATTTTTTCATCTCAGATATGCTTTTTATATTCACAAGTTTTATTTGAGTGTATTTATCATCCATGTCCCTACTTAAATTTTGAAATATGAAATAAAATTATAACTATTTCAATAACCTTGTTTGCTACTTCTAATATATGTGTCAATTCGGGGTTGGTGTCAATTTATTGACCTTTTCCTTGCATTATGAGTCATAATTTTTTGTTTCTTGGCATATATGTAATCTTTGGCTGCCAGAGATTTTGAATTTCATCTTATTAGGTGCTGAATATTTTGGTAATCTTATAAATATTCTTGAATATTGTTCTGGCATACCATTAAATTATTTGTCAACAGTTTGTTATGTTTGAATTCTTCTGTTAAGATTTGTTAGAATCAGATTTGCATTTATTCTAGGTCTGATTATGCCTCACTCCTGGGGCAAGATCCTCCTAATACTCTACTCAATGTGAATTATGAGGTTTCCAGTCTGGCTAATAAGAATAGGCACTATTCCCAGCACTGTGCAAACCTCAGACACTGTTCTTTCTAATCCTTTCAGGTGATTCTTTAACTGGCTTTGATTAGTTCCCTCACATAACAGGCACTGATCCTGACTCTGCAGTATATTAGAAGGGACTCTCTGTTGATCTCCTGGATTGTCTCTGTTTGCCAGCCTCTCTTCCCTTGTACTCTCCCATATGAACTCTCACGACCTTGGTCTACCTGGACTCTCAGATGCATCTCCTCAAGTCAGGAAGTCTTATGGGCACTACCTGTGCTTTTCTGCCCTGTGCCAAGACCTACAGACCCTAAGTCAGTAAGCTGGGGCAATCAGAGTTCACTTCATTTGTTCCCATCTCTCAGAGGTCACTAACATTTTTGCCCAGTGTCCAGTGTCTTGACAACTGTTGTTTCACATGTTTTGTCACTATTTTTTGGTTATTTCAGATAAGACACTAAATCCATGAATTGTTACTTCCCCTTAGTCAGAAGCAGACATCTGACTATTCTGTATCTTGACTGTCATGGTTTTCATGACTGCACACATTTGTCAATACTCATAGAATGGTACATGATATGATTTGGCTCTGTGTCCCCACCCAAATCTCATCTCAAATTGTAATCCCCACATGTCAAGGGAGGGATCTGGCGGGAGGTGATTGGATCATGGGGTTGGTCCCACCCCCATGCTGCTCTTGTGATAGTGAGTTCTCATGAGATCTGATGGTTTAAAAGTGTTTGGCAGTTCTCCCCTCGTTGTCTCTACTGCCGCCATGTAAGACATGCCTTGCTTCCCCTTCACCTTCTGCCATGATTGTAAGTTTCCAGAGACCTCACTAGCCATGCAGCACTGTGAGTCAATTAAACCTCTTTTCTTTGTAAATTACCCAGTCTCAGGTAGTTCTTTATAGCAGTGTGAAAATGGACTAATACAGAAAATTGGTATCGAGGTAGTGGGGCATTGCTGTAAAGATACCAGAGAATATAGAAGCGACTTTGTAACTGGGTAACTGACGGAGGTTGAAACAGTTTGGAGGGACCAGAAGAAGACAGGGAGATGAGGGAAAGCTTGAAACTTCCTAGATATTTGTTGAATGGCTGTGACCAAAATGCTGATAGTGACATGGACAATGAAGTCCTGGCTGAAGTGGTCTCAGATGGAGATGAGGAACTTGTTGGGAACTGGAGTAAATGTGACTCTTGCTATGCTTTAGCAAAGAGACTGGTGGGATTTTGCTCCTGCCCTAGATATCTGTGGAACTTTGAACTTGAGAGAGAAGATTTAGGGTATTTGGCTGAAGAAATTTCTAAGAAGCAAAGCATTCAAGATGTGACTTGGCTTTTTCTAAAAGCATACAGTCATATACATTCACAAAGAGATTGTTTGAAATTGGAACTTATGTATAAAAGGGAAGCAGAGCATAAAAGTTTGGAAAATTTGCAATGTCTGCACCGTCATTGTATCTTGAAAGTAACTAGCTTCTTTTTGATTTTACAGGCTCATAGATTGAAGGGACTTGTCTCAGATGAGATTTTGGACTTAGACTTTTGAGTTAATGCTAGAATGAGTTAAGATTTTGGGTAAGACAGGTAGATCTTCTGAGGTCAGGAGTTCAAGACCAGCCTGATCAACATGGTGAAACTCCATCTCTACTAAAAATACAAAAATTAGCAGGGCATGGTGGGTGCACACCTGTAGTCTCAGCTACTCTGAAGGCTGAGGCAGGAGAATTGCTTGAACCTGGGAGGTGAAGGTTGCAGTGAGCTGAGGTTGCACCACTGCACTCCATCCTGGGCATCAGAGCGAGACTTCATCTCAAAAAAAAAAAAGAAAAAGAAAAGACTTTGGAGGACTGTTGGGAAGGCATGATTCATTTTGAAATGTGAAAAGGACATGAGATTTGGGAGAGGCCAGGAGTGAAATGATATAGTTTGGCTCTGTGTCCCCACCCAAATCTCATCTCGAATTGTAATCCCAATGTGTTGAGGGAGGGAGCTGGTGAGAGATGACTGGATCATGGGGGTAGTTTCCCCCATACTGTTCTTGTGATAGTGAGTGAGTTCTCGTGAGATCTGATGGTTTAAAAGTATTTGGAAGTTTCTCTCTCTCTCTCTCTCTTTCTCCGGCTGCCATGTAAGAGGTACCTTACTTCCCCTTCACCTTCTGCCATGATTGTAAGTTTCCTGAGGCCTCTCCAGTCATGTAGAACTGTGAGTCAATTAAACCTCTTTCCTTTATAAATTACCCAATCTCAGGTAGTTCTTTGTAGCAGTGTGAAAACAGAATAACAAAGTACATTAGTAAAGGGTGAATTTTATGAAATTTGTTTCTCAACTTAAGAAGATATTTTAATGTGTCTTATGTTATAGTGAATGTTTTAAAGGTTATAGGGTTAATAATCCTGAGTCCTAGGTGTCACTTATCCACAGACCAGCTATGTGAGTTTGAGCAAGTCACTTGATCATCACTAGACTGTGTTTTTTTCATCTTTTAGATGAGATTTCTAATGCTTGCTGCTTTGTAGGGTTACAGAGGGAGTTCGTAGATGTTAGATGATGCATGAACATGGTTTTGTTAAATTGCATTTTCGTATATTTCCAATCTGGCATTGCTTTAATAATTTTTTGTGTTTTATCTGTCTTCTTTGTCAGACTAAGATTCATGAGGGCAAAGTTCAAATTGGTTTGTTTACCTCTGTATCTTCACGTATCATGGTGAATTAAATGAATATTTGAACATTGAAAATTAAGTGCTATTACTATATAGAAACACATTTGTCTTATAGACAGGATATACTTTATTAAGACATTTCAAAAAATCAAAGTTCCTCTTCACAAAGTTATATAGCTTATGAAACTCAGTGTGGATGACTTAGATTGGTGGTTTAGGGTTTACCTTTTTCATTTTCCTTTTTGCTTCAGGTTAATCTTTTTTGCTACAGGGGAGAGCAAAGCCTTAGAATTCCCCCTCACTGGCAAGATATTATGTTTCTGCATGTCAATTTATTATTAGTATCTTCTACATTTTTATTTGGAAATAAAGGTATAAAGATAGCACAGAGAGTTATCGTATACTCTTCTCTCAGCTTCTCTTAATGTTAACGTTTCACATAACCATGGTACAGTTATTAAAACTAAGAAATTAATATTGGCATAACAATATTAGCTAGACCACAGACTTTATTTGAATTTCATCATTTTTTTTCACTAATGCCCTTTATCTGTTTCATGATCCAATACAGGATACCAAATTGCATTTAGTCATTATGTCTCTTTAATCTCTTCTAATCTGTGACAGTTTCTTAGTCTTTCCTTGTTTTGTATGACTGACACTTTGAAGAGGATTGATCAGGTATCTTGGTAAAGTGTTCTTCGATTTGGGTTTGTCTAGTGTTTCCTCATCATTAGGGGCTATGAATTTGGGGGAAGAATACCACAGAGATTAGGTGTCTTCTTCATCACATCACATTAGCATCTACATGGTATCAAAATGACTTGTTACTGGTGATATTCACCTTAATTAATTGGTTAGGGTAGTATCTGTCAGGTTACTTTTTTTCCTTTATCATAGCCTATTTGTTAGAAATAAATAAATCACTGAGTCTATGAACACCCATGGGGAAGGGAATTAAATTCTACCTCCTAGAGAGAGAAGTAGCAAAGAACTCTACACATATGTTAAACCACAACAACAATTTACAAATAATTTGGAGGATATAATTTGAAGCTATGTAAATATCATAGTTTCTCCTTAAACTTTCTCTACTAATTTTGCCATTCACCTATGGTTGCCTGCAGCACCCACTACTGTGGTTTTCTAGTGGTGAATTTCTATTTCTCTGATTTCTTCTACAGTTAATATTTGGAATTTTTTATTAGAAAAATTGTCCCCTCTCCCTCATTTATTTGTTCAATAATTTATTTATATCAGTAGGAACTCATGGATATTTATTTTATTCTTTATGTTTTAATCCAATGCTATAATTATCTATTTTATTCCAGTTTTGGCCATTGAGAGCTTTTCCGTGTTGACTCCTGTGTCCCTTTAGATACACCCTATGTTGGTTGATCTTTGAGTGCCTTGTACAACATTCAAAGAGCCCACACTTTCTGTAGGACATCTTAGACACTTTATACACCAGACAATGTGGCTCACCCACTCAACATCTCTGAAGTAGATTGCCATGAGAGACAGGACCTTGAAAATGAATGATGCTAAGAAAATGATTTGGCTGTCCAGATTTTACTTACACACATAAGTGAACATAGACTCCATTTTTCTCTTTTTACTATGACTTTTGCTTCAAATTCTCAAGACTGACTCTTGTGCTTTTATCTCAACAACTTCCACAGGCTGAATATAATCCTTTCTCTGTTGCATGTTGACACACAGCTATGAAGACAACTGGACTTCACTGTGCTTTTTGGGAAGTGTAGGTGGTAGTGAAATTTGAAAGCAGGAGATAGAGAAAGAGGATTTATCTTGCCCAGCACAACGGATCAACTGCTCTGCAATCTGCACACATGCAATTGAAAGTAATGGATGGGCCGGGCGAAGTGGCTCACGCCTGTAATCCCAGCACTTTGGGAGGCCGAGGCGGGTGGATCACAAGGTCAGGAGTTTGAGACCAGCCTGGCTAACATGGTGAAACCCCATCTCTACTAAAAATACAAAAATTAGCCAGGCGTGGTGGCTCACACTTGTAGTCCCAGCTACTTGGGAGGCTGAGGCAGGAGAATCACTTGAACCTGGGAGGCAGAGGTTGCAGTGAGCCAAGATCGTGCCGCTGTACTCCAGCCTGGGTGACAGAGTAAGAGTTCATCTCAAAAAAAACCAAAAACAAACAAACAAACAAAAAAAAACCAAAAAAAAACAAAGAAAGTAGTGGATAGTTTTTTTGACTGGGTCAGAACTCTCAGTGTGTTTCCAGAGAAGTAAAGTCAAGCAGAGAAAAAAAATAGAAGGAGTTATTCAATCTGATATATAAAGCCTCCTACTATTTGATACCTCTCTATCTCACTACTTTACAGCAAGATGTTTCATGGCCGGGCTTTCTCTGAACTGGACTATGGGCAAGTTCTCCAAGATAACCAGCTTCTGTTCCAGCTATATCTTTCAGATCTTATAAGAAAATAGAAACCATAGTTCATCATGTGGTGGTATTGCCTACTTGAATTCATATAACTACTTGGGCTGAGATTCCTTAGTGAGTTGACTTTTTCACTAGCCTGTATGAACTGAATGAACAGTGCATTTGGCATTGACTATCCCCCACTGGATGTCCTTAGTGGCTGTACGTGTACAGAGCAGAAGGGGAACAACCAGGGCAATCTGGGCTTCTGAATGGTTCCATTCATTCCATGGAGGCATAACCTCCTGCCTGACAGCCTTCCCACATCCATTTCCATTTCCTCCCTCGTTCCCCACAGCTCTGCAACTTCAGCCTTCCATCCTCCTGCCATGTGGGCTATATCCAATCCAAGTTTATTTAGGCACAGTCTCTTTCTTCATACACATGTGTATGTTGGGTTTTTCAAGGCATCCAGCATTCTTTCCTCAACAGCTACCTTTTTTCCACAATTGACAGCATTTGGACTCAAACAGAAAAAAAAAAATAGGCCCTCTTCCGCTCCTGGGGCAGCCACCTGCCTTAGCTTTGAGAGCTCTCCTGCTCCATTCTGTTGATCTTGGGTAAACCGTGGAACTGGATATGGTGGAATGGAATTTCTGGGTCATTTACCTGAGCAGTTTATATCCTTTGGACCTCTCCCAGACAGCCCATTGAATCTCAAGTGAGGTTCAAATGCTTTTTCTGACCTCTTGTGGCTCATAAATTTCAACTTATGTGTGAGCTATGTGTTCACATTCCTTGATTTGCTTTGACTCACATCAAAGAGGTAGTTACAGCTGATGAGTGACCCATTAAAACAACCATTATGAGTATTTTAAAAAACATATACATTTCTATGTATGCATACCAATCTATCTACACTTGTTTTTCATTGACAAACCGGAGAAGCATGTATCATGCCCAGATAATCCTAAATAAATCACTTGTTCATTCAAAAGCCATTTTCAGGGCAACTAGCTTCTCTAGATAGCCAGTATTGTGGCCATGAGGCCACTACCATAAACTCTTGAATGAATTCAACTGCTTAACAAGCACTGACTGAACATCAGTTGTGGGCTAATCTCTATTCTGTGTTCCAGGATGGAAAGGATACACAGGACAGGACAAAATCCTTCCCCTTAAGAACTCACATTTTAGGCTGGGCATCTTGGCTCATGCCTGTAATCCCAGCACTTTGGGAGGCCGAGGTGAGCAGATTGCTTGAGGTCAGGAGTTCGAGACCAGCCTGGCCAACATGGTGAAATATCACCTCAACTAAAAATACAAAAATTAGCTGAGTGTGGTGGTGGGAACCTGTAATCTCAGCTACTCAGGAGGCTGAGGCAAGAGAATCGCTTGAACCTGGGAGGCGGAGGTTGTAGTGAGCTGAGATCACGCCACTGCTCTCCAGTCTGGGCGATAAAGTGAGACTCAGTCTCAAAAAAAAAGAACTCACATTCTAGTTTACTCATAGAAAGTGTAAAGGAATAAAGGGGGAAGAATGCTAACACTTGTGTTGAGTGCTTTGTAGGATATAATAAACTCTCACAATCATCAGTATTTAAATGTAATTAAATTCTCACAATCATCAGATTATTGATAATTAATCAGCATTATTGATACTATTATGTCTTCTTCTCAAGGCCTTCTAGTTTTCCCATCTGTTTCCTTTCTCAGTCTCTTTATTATAACAAAGTTTACATGGATGAGGCAGATATGTAAGCAAATATCATGCAGTGAAATATATGCTAAATAGAGATATAGTCAAGATGCTAAAGGTTGGAAAAGAGTCCGTGTTCACCATCCAGGCAGGTAAGGGTCTTCAAATTTTATCGTGCATAAAGATTACCTGGGAAGTTTGTTTGAAGCGTTGATCCGTGGGATTCAGGTTTAGAGATTCTGATTCAGTAGTTTTAGGGGGGAACCAAGGATCTGCATTTTTAAAAATGCCCCAAGTTATTCTAATGGAGGGGATCTTCAAACCACTTTGAGAACTGGTCTAGTCCAAAGTGGTCACATTTATTTTTTACTGATATTCTAGTGTATGAAATATTATTGCAGAGAGATTTATCCATCCATTTCTTAATTTGTTTAAAAGTATCACATGATTTAACACCTTAATGAGAATTACATCAGCTGCATTGATCCTTGACAGAAATGGTGAGGCCACAGCAGCATAAAACACAAGGTGAGAGTCGTGAGTGGTGGGGGAAAGCAAAAGACCCCATTTCCAGTGCTCGGCTGAGTGACAGTGACAGGCTCTGCCTGAGACTTTCTCACAAGCCACTGCTTCATGTCTACAGGCAAAGAGTTGAAGTATCTAGGGACTATCTAGGTGCCTCCTGCTTAGTTTATTTTGTCTAAGACCTACCTCTTGCACCATTCCCTCTGTGTTCTGTTCTGAACTGTTTCTCTCTTCTCTGATCAGATGCCTCTCAGAATTCTGTCTCCCTAGAGCCTTTGCAGACTTCCAGAAATAACTTTTCCTATTCAAATCATCTCAGGAAATTCTCAGGCCTTTTGTGTATAGGGCTGACCCTGTGCTCCTAGATATGCTATTGATTATAGATACGGCTCTTAGCCCACAAACCTCAGTGTACAAGAAATATTGCATCTATTTTCCTTAAATAACTAGAAATACAACTCTGATTCTTCATCCCTTCAAGTTGTTGGGAAATTCAGGCTAACATCTGGGTGCTCCCCAGATTTCAGGGTCCCAAGTTCTTATGAACACCAGAACTTTGGGGCGACCCTTCCGATCATGAAAAATGACCCACTCTGGTAGGGCTGCCAGTCATTCTTTCATGTCATTTCTTCAAGTTCGGTGACTCTGCTTATTTGTGCTGCACTAAGAACATGGGAACTTTAGAGGAGAATCGGCACCCATTGCATGTGCTGTAAATCCCCCTGGTGTGCACACCCAGCTATCCCCTCTGAGTTGTTTCATAGTACCCCAAACACTGCTTCCAAAAAGCAGGACATGGGCCATTCCTCATGGTGGATGCCAGAACCGTCTGTTTGAATAGTTTAGGCTTTGTTTGAAGTTAAGCTGAAACTGAGAGCCAACTTCTTTTATCTGTTGTATACGTCACTGAGGGAAGAAATATTAAGGTTTTGGGCATTTGTTTGGAATTAGAGAGGAGGGAAAATAATTTCTTTTTTTGACTGCTTCCTTAGGAAAAAATATTGACGTTGAAAATTTACAATATACCAGGACTTGGACTGTTACTGTATTTAATCATCTAACACATCTAGAGGAAGACAGTAACCTCCAGATTTTACAATTACAGGAAAAGAAACAGAGACTGAGAAAGGATAAGGAACTTGCCTAATTAAAAAAAATAAGTACAGAAAAGTGAAGTTACTTGCCAATGCTAGAGTCACCATGGGTCTCTCGACTCTGAGGCCAAGGTTTATTTCCTCACATCATTATGGGTCTGTCTGACATTGCTACAAAATTGACTAAAAGAATATTCCTCTAAAACTCCCATTCTTTAGGGAGCAATACACAGTTAGGTTGTGAAACTATTGACCCATTTACAAGGACAGCTGTAAAAGATCTTTAATATTTGGAAAATCAAATTTCGGCACAAGTCTGAGTTTTTTCATTCAAGGATTTCTTTTGTTGTTGCTTATGGGTATCACTTGTATAAGAAAAATCAAGTTTTGAATCCAAGATTACCACAAACATTGAGTTTCAATCCCTGCATCTCTTAGACTTCTCTTCCTGAAGCAAAATGTATACTGTATTGCAAAAAAAGATAAAATTTGTCTTCATGTGCAAAATGATGCTTATGTTTTGATGGACATCCTTTCATGTGCAAAGGATTTGTCCTTTAGTATATGTTCTATTCTTAAAGTGGTCTATGGCTGAATCAACCCAGACTGATGCATAGCCTTGTGCAACTTCAGATTTTCCAGACGAAAGAAATACTTCTACTTTTTTTCTTCTGTTACCTCCCACTCCTTTATCCTAGGCATGCTTACCTGTCCAACTTCCATCTTGCCTGCTGTGATTTCAGCGTTTTTCCTAACGTTACATCTTCAGAAAAGACAGAGAACAGCTGGCCTCCTCTCTGCATGTAATTACTCCTCTGAGATTTGAATACTGCTATTCATTTCCTTACCTTTAGTGAAAGAAATTTTTTGCCAGACATTTTGGAGAGCCCTCCGGATGCAGCTTTTTATAAAATATCCATAAGCTGGCGTCAAGCCACTAGATAGGAGATGACCTCTCTTGGAACCAAAGCATCATCAGGACCATAAAATTCAAAGGCAGAACTTATCTGGAAGGGTGCAGGCTGGTGGGACAGCCATGCTTTTTTTTTTTTTTTTTAACTAGGTAGTGTTTTATTCCAATCAATACAGTTAGGACTGTTAGTCGATGGCAAGGTATTGGCACTATTTATGTTTACTCTCAAATAATTAACTCTAAAAGGAAATAGATGTAGATATGAAGAAATTACAGTGAGGAGAGCAAATGAAGATGGAGGCTTCATAATTTGTATTTGTGTTCTTGTAACTTCCAAATTCAATCATCTCACAATGATTTATTGAGTGCATACTATGTCCCAGGCACTGTCCTAGGCACCAAGGCTACAGTAATGACAAGTAAGTCATCATTATTATTATCTCCTTAAAGTGAATATCAAGTTCCCACAAACAAATCTTCTTAGTCACAATCCCTGCTGCTTAAGAACTTTTAGACCAAGATAGAAACACTCATGTAAATTCATTCAAAGAAAATAGAAAAAGTACAACAAACAAACCCCCCACCACAAAGAATGATAGGCAGCCCAGTCTCTGAAGAAGCTAGGAATGGAATAATATCCTCTTACAACTGGAGAGTGCCAGAGGGAACAAGGGAAAAGGCCCTGAGTTCTTGGTGTATTCAAGGAAAAGCCAGGAGGACAATGGACCAGGAATACTGTCAGAGATGGGATTGGTAGGAGATAGGATGGGAGAGAGCCAGAGGCTGGGCTGTGGAGGGCCTTGCAGACCAAAGTCCAAACTGTTGGAAGCCACACATGAGAACAGGAGTCTCTGAGAGGGCAAGGATTTGGGGAGAGAGCACGGACACTGAAGTCAGGTTGATTTGTGTTTCAATCCAAGATGTGCCACTTAGTGTGAATTGGGAAAGTTCAATAATCTCTTTGAATTTTGACTTCTTCATAGGAAAATGGGGAGCTATAAACTCAAGAGAATATTTTTGACCATTAAAAAGGTAAAGGTGAAAATTGAATGGTAGTGAGCAGTGACCCTAAATAAATACAGCTGTTACTGCTTTCTGCTGTTAGGTAGTATTTAGATACACTGTGACATTGTTTCCAGTTTCTAGTTGTAGGAACTGTATAGATAAAGATTAGTGGCAAATCATCACTAATAAGTATGGTCATGTGCCACATAACGCTGTTTTGGTCAATGACAGACTGCATATAAGATGGTGGTCTTATAAGATTATAATACTGTATTTTTACTGCTTAGATATACAAATTGTTACCATTGTGTTATAGCTGTCTACAGTGTTTGCTATAGTACCATGCTGTACAGGTTTGTAGCCTCAGAGCAATAGACTATACCATATAGCCTAGGTGTGTCCTAAGCTATACCGTCTAGGTTTGTGTGAGTACACTCTATGATGTTCACACTATAACAAAATCACCCGACAACACACTTCTCAGAACGTTTATCCATCATTAAACAATGCATGGCTGTAGCTGAATTAGGATTCAAACCAAAATTTGTCTGACTCCTAAACCTTCCCTTTTCTCTCTGCCTTACTTGATAATACTAAGACTGAAGTTCTTAGGAGCCAGTAGACCTGAATCTTGAAAGCAGTTTGGAGGTGGACCAGTCAGAACAGAAACAAAAGTCTACAACTTGAGTCCTCCAGCTTATATTGGGCTTACTCAGTGATCAAGTTTCCTGGGCCAGTGTCAGGGGAAGTAATGTCAGAGTGTCTCCCCCTTCAAGATACTCAATGAGAGGACACAGGGACATATGTCCTGATTGCTTTAGACATCCAAATGCCCAAAGCAGGAGACCAGACAGTCTGGCATCTTGGCCTTGGCATACTCTTCTGTAGTTATGAGATAATGAGCATATTGCTCCTTGCACTAGAAAGATCGGATGTGATTTACTCGCTAGTGATTGCTCAAAATCCATGAACCTTCAACTCTCATCTTTTCAGCCTCACAAGAATTCCCAGCTGCTTGTGTATCTGTGTCTCATTTCCCTACAGATGCAATATGGGAAAGGAGGACTACAAGGTTAACTTTAGAATAGCCACTGGGGAACTACCAGATATAGGAAGAGGAAGCAGTAATACAAGGGTTTTGTGAAAACAATTTTGGTGTCCTTGCCGGGCTCGTTCTAGGACACCTCATACCCAGAGGGAGCAATCAAGTAATGTCCTATGGGAGAGGATTTTGGGAGGATTACATACCAGTGACTGTTACCCAGAAACTCATGAGACTGGCTTCTGTGACATAAAAAGCATGATGTCTGCCCAAAGTTAAGAGTTTCTATGATCTGTTTGGGGTTTGGGGATGCTACAAGAGGTTTTTATAGCAGGCTGGTGGTTAAATTTGGAGAGACTCTAAGCAACTCAGCAGCCAGGATCCCAGGGTTCCTGTAAACAGCAGAGTTGTGATGTCCAGTTGAAACCATGCACGCAAAGAGCTTAGCAAAGGGTCAGCCATATAAAAGTGTTCAATAAGTGGAAAGAGGAGGGAGATGTGTAAATTTTTCAGAAGGCAGGGCATTAATTTGAGCTTGTAGTGACCTGAGGCTGTTGTATTCCTGTATTAGTCCATTTTCATGCTGCTGATAAAGACATACCCAAGACTGGGTAATTTATAAAGAAAAAGAGGTTTATTGAACTCACAGTTCCATGTGAGGCTGGGGAGGCCTCACAATCATGGCAGAGGGCAAAAGGCATGTCTTACATGGCAGCAGGCAAAGACAGAATGAGAGCTTGTGCAGGGAAACTCCCCCTTATGAAACCATCAGACCTCCTGAGACTTATTCACTGTCATGAGAACAGCACAGGAAAGACCTGCCCCCATGGTTCAATTACCTTCCACCAGGTCCCTCCCATGACATTTGAGAACTGTGGGAGCTACAGTTCAAGAAGAGACTTGGGTGGGGACACAGCCAAACCATATCAATTTCTGTCTGCCCTATTCACATCTTTTAGAAAAGTTTAATGAGCCCAGTTTACTGATTAGGTTATGTGGAAATGGCTAAGGTCCTTTTGGGGTAGACTGGATCTGTTCAAGGGAAGTAAAGAAAGAGTGGAAGGTGGTGTTAATAATAACAATGTGATTTCATAATGCCATTCTTCAATGTGTAATTGATTGAACACCTAGAGTGTATTAGGAACATTATAAACAATCACATATAATCTCCAACATTTCATAGTCTGCTCACACTGAATAAATGAAGAAATCCAATCTCAAACAGGCTATGCAACCTGTCCATGAGAGAGGAAGACCTGGACCTCTGATCCTAACCTGTCTGATTCAGAAGCCCAGGTGAGGCTAGTACAGCAAGGGAGAAGGCTATGAAGGGGGTGGGGAGCAGGAGGCATGGCAGGCACTTTGGTCCTTGCTATAAGCTTTGGCATGCAAAGAGCTTTTGCAAAGCAGCACTAGAAATCACCCAAAGGAAGCCATTTGTAAGGTTTTGTGTGGACCAGGGCTATTGGTGTATCACCTTACTCCTTTTCCAGTCAACAATTCTTAAATCACTTTGTTCATGTCTCTCATTCAGATTGGGCTGCTATGAAGAGGACAGACAGGGCAGGAAAACATAAAATGACTGGATAGAAAATTAATAATTTAGGCTTTTTTTCAAAGAGAAGATAGAGGAGATGAACTGTTTTAGATAACCTAACACATCTAAAAAAATATGCTTAGGTGCTTGAGTTTATTTTAACCACAGCATATTTCACAGGGCTCTCACAGCTGATGTAGTAGCAGGGAATAACTTAGCAGCCCTAGAACAAAGTTATGCAGTGTGGTGGGGGAGTTTCTCTATTTCCTTGTTTTTAATTCCTGAAGAATCAAACCTTCTGTGTAGGCTGCCTGATATAGGCCATGGTCTTGTTAATGTCTCCTTAATTAACAAAGGGATTTTTATTTATCCAGTGCAAAGCTTTTCTTACCTCCTTTCCCTATCCCCCAAACCAGCCATGCAAGTCAGCACGTACTGAGACCTCAAAGAAATCCAACAGTGGACTTAAAAGAATCCATGCAGCCAGCTGAAGAGGAGTTTAATAAGCTTGGCCTCTCTTTTTCTTCTTCTTGTATTCAGCTTTTACAAGACTCTCAATATGTTGGCTGCAGGAAAATTCTGGGGCTCTGAGAGGTCCAGGAGATGGAGGGCAGTCGGGGAGCTGGAGATGGTAAGGGGTGTATTGCGAAGGTGACTAGAAGTGTGGCTTGAACCACAGCCAGGGATTGGACAATTCAGAATTGCCACAGTCTCATGCTCATGGAAAAAACTTGGCAAAGTATAGCCAGAAACGTAGGCCTAAGTTTTCAGCCCCTAGGACTTCAAACTGCCTATGTTTCCTTCCCCTAAAAGCCTCAGGCTAGCTTTGGTCTGTTTTTCAGAGAGTCACAGGCTGGTCAGGTGGAAGTGGACTTTGACCTGTAGGCTATCTGCAGGCTGAGTCAGAAGCCCAGGTGAAGGATGGTAGAGCAAGGGAGAAGGGTATGAAGGGGGTGGGTGGGAGTGGGGCATGGCAGGTGCTTTGGTTCTTGCTATAAACTTTGGTATGCAAGGAGCTTCAGCAAAGCAGCACTAGAAATTACCCAAAGGGAGCCATTTTTAAAGTCTTGTGGGGACCAGGGCTATGGCTCTCTGAATAGTGATGAAGGCCTTTTAGGTTGTCAACCTCTTGGGAGTAGCCCTACTCCTGGCAGACAGCACTGAAGCTGGCAGGAGAATCTATGTTGTAATTGGCGGCCTCCATGTATTCCAGAGAGGGAGGAGGGCCCACATTCTCCAGAGAGATAGTGAGATGAGGGAGGTGCCAGGTTTTCTGTGATCTTTGACTCTCAGCTGAATTACTGGGGAGAGAACCAGCTATAAAGACCATAAAATTGCTTTGGTAATCCCCTCTGAGAGCTATCTATTAGAAAAAAAAAAAGGGAGAAAAGATGATGGCAAAGTAAGAAATGATTCCCAGGGATCCCTGGGCCCCTGTGTTTGAGAATCTTTTCTAAAGGCCTCCTTTACCACCCCTGGTTAAGTCATTAAAACATAGAGGGAGGAAATCCAGAGCTTCCTGGCTATCAGCATGGTGAGACATCAGACTGCCCCTCTGTTGAGTCCTCAGCAGTGGTAGAGACATTTAGCGCTCACTTATTATTCAGGTGCTCCCTTTGCAGTTGGATTAGGCCCATTTGATTAGTTCTGGCCGATAGCTGTGATCAGCAATGATCTGTGCCATACTGGGGCCAAAGCAGTAAAGAGGCATTGTGCTACCTCGATCTTTCTTTACCTTGCTGGGGCAACCATGAAAGGCATATGCTGAGATGAAGAGACAACTTGATCCTTGAGTCCTTGGTTAGAAAAGAACCCTTACCAGGTTACAGAGATTAGGAGTTTGCCTGTGCCAAGCACTAACAATAATTATCGTGATTAAAATGTTGGTATCAGTGTCATGCTGTTTTGTTGTTGTTGTTGTTGTTGTTGTTTTTTTTTTTTTTTTTTTGTCCCAGGGACAGTTTTCCAGCATACAAGTGTTTCTCCAGAATTGGCTGATGGAGGCCTGGCTCCATCTAGTCTTGTAAAGCCTCCACAACTTTTTGCAAGGTTCTTTTGTGGAAGCTGTGAGTATTATCCAATCCCAAAAGAATATCTCTGGATTGTTAAGATCTCTGCGACTCAACAATTGGAAAGCACTTCCTATATGTCCAGATAGCTCTTACTGATGCCAGTCTACCAATCTTCTGGCTGCCCTAGCCACAAACCATAGATATGATTGCATTGATTCATTCAACAAGGATGTGTTTGGTACCTGCAAAGGTCCAGACAGTCTTCTGGCATTTGGCCTGCTTCATGGCCCTGCCCTTGTTCTTGCAAGATGGTGATTATCTGACGTGATGGAAGGCACCATACCCAGGAGCTGAGCAACATGCTGACACATATCAATTATCTCCTCCCAATTTCCCAAGAACTCATTAGATAAGAATTATTTCCTTGTCTTTTCTTACAGATAAGGAGACTGACTTCCAGAGAGTCTCCTGGTCACAAAGCCAGGAACTACACAGCCTTCTCAGGTCCTGATTCCACGGCTTCTGTACTCTTTTCAGGAAACATGGATATTCCAAGATTGCTTCCCAGATTAGTCATGATGAGGTTCTGAGAATATGGATATTCTTTCTGTGGTCAACTTTGCTCAGTAATCACAGACCTCTCCCAGTGGTCACAGGTCTGCTGATTAAGAACTATAGGACAAGAGAAGATGTTTCCTAAGAATCACAGAGTAACGTGCTACTCATAGATTCTGTCGTAGATTGGAGGAAATCTGGCCCAGTCCGTTGACTTCTTCTGGAATCATAGCACACTTTGTTCTGACCACTTTTACCCATTAAGTGGATTTGTTGAGGAGGAGATCAATCCTATGATCTCTTTGGATGTCTATTTTCTGTAGTCTTTCTTGTGTTGGCTGGCAGGTAGATTTTGTTTAACTTAACTTCTCTTGTTAACTTTTTGGCAGTTCCAAAAAGTTAACTTAAGAGAAGTTAAGCAGAAACCCAATGCCAGTGGAATCCAGAAGGCTCTGTCCACACTGCAAGACCTCTTCTTAGGTAGAAAATAAGGGGGCTGGGTGTGGTGGCTCACGCCTGTAATCCCAGCACTTTGGGAGGCTGAGGCGGGCGGATCACAAGGTCAGGAGATCAAGATCATCCTGGCTAACATGGTGAAACCCTGTCTCTACTAAAAAAAAAATACAAAATTTAGCCGGGTGTGGTGGCAGGTGCCTGTAGTCCCAGCTACTTGGGAGGCTGAGGCAGGAGAATGGCGTGAACCCAGGAGGTGGAGCTTGCAGGGAGCTGAGATCGCACCACTGCACTCCAGCCTGGGTGACAGAGCGAGACTCCGTCTCAAAAAAAAAAAAAAAAAAAAAAAAAATAAGGGGAAGAGCATGTCCAAAGCCAGGAAAAGAATGATGCCAGACCGTTTATCCCTATACTTTCTTTCTGCCTCACTCTACTCCTCTTTCATCTAACCCTGAAATTGTGTCCATCTTGAGAGATCAGAAATGGCAAAATGGCAGGTCACCATTCTAAGAGCATTTTCTTTGATTTGGGCTTTAGTAATGAAGGAGAGTTACCATAAATTAATCCATCAAAGGGGTGCTATAAAATAGATCTGTGGCCTAGTGTGAAGTTTTAGTAATAATGATTACTGGATGGGAGATGGGGTGAAAGGTGGAAATTAAATGAAATTGTCCAAAGTCAAAAGGAATATTCCACAAGCCAGAATGCAAGAGAGAGAAATGGACTCAAGATGCAGGCTAACGAGTCACCTTGTTGCAGAGCCAAAGAAATCGCCAACTCAGTAAAATATTGCCTTTGATGCATTTGCTCTAGGGACTTTGTCTTTAATGGAGGGTAATTAATTATCATCATCTACTCTTACTTAGTAATAATCTTTTATAGGCACTTGGGCATTCCAGATGCATGCTGTTACCTAATATTTAGGCTGGAGGGAAGTGGTTTTTGGGTGGATGAAAATTGCATCCCTGGAGAGCTTCTGACTTAGGGCACATTCTCCTCAAGATTCCGTGACTCATCAGCTGTATGGAGCTTTGGAAGCTAGGTGTCTCAGCGGGGCCTGTGGAATCCTGAATCCACACATGCAGGATTGTCTAAGGGAGTGAGAACCAGTGGACACCACCCAGTTCCTTCTCAGGAGACAGAACACTGTGAGAATTCTGTCTCTATCTAGTCTTGTAAAGCCTCCACAATTTTTTGCAAGGTTCTTTTGTGGAAGCCCTGAGTATTAACCAATCATAAAAGAATATCTCTGGATTGCTAAGATCTCTGCAACCTGAGACTTATATGCAACTGGCATATTATGCAACCAGCATATTATGGATTATTCTTCAATAATAGAGAAGTTATTGAAGAATAATCCATAATATGCCAGTCTCCCTTCTGTCTCTGTCCTTCCTGACGAGCATTGGGAAAAGCATTTCACTTCCTAGGTTGCAACTCTCCAACCTGAGTTGGGCATAAAAGGTACTTTTGCTCTTGACTTCACCCAGAGCATCTTCAGTTCATGAAGATGACTAAGCTCATCCAATTGAAAGGCATAGAGCTCTTTAAGAACAGGTGCAAAATATCAGCTATGAAGGTTGACTTCACAATGATTACATGCTTTGAATCAGAGTTGCGGCAACTTGCCATTTAATGTCTCAGAACCTCTGCCCGCACCTTGTTCTCTGGCCAATTTTTGACAGAGAGGTTGTTTTCTCTCTTGAAGGTGCACAGTGAGAAGGGGAGGGGAGGGAACTAACACTTAGAGAATGTTGAGTTGGTCAAGTATTTTGCTAGGGTATTTCATCTGTGTTATCTTATTTAATCCTTACTACAGCTCTGAGGTTGTGCAATTCATTTTACAGATGGAGAAAATGAAGCTCCAAAAAGTTAACTTAAGAGAAATGAAGCAAAACCCAATGGCAGCGGAATCCAGAGGATTCTGTCCACACTGCAAGACCTCTTCTTAGGTAGAAAAATAAGGGAAGAGCATGTCCAAAGCCAGGAAAAGAATGAAGCCAGACTGTTTATCTCTGTGCTTTCTTTCTGTCTCACTCTACTCCTCTTTCATTCTAACCCTGAAATTGTGTCTATCTTGAGAGATCAGAAATGGCAAAATGGCAGGTCTGACCTTCTCAATCCCAGCCTGCATTCTTGATTGCAATATCACCTTTCCATCACCTCCAACCCTCCAGCTGCTGCTAGAAGAGACACCTGCTCTCCTCCCTGCTCCAGGGCTGGAACACATTCCTCCAACCTCCCTGCCACTGCCCCACCCAGAGCCTCTCCCTGGCTGCTAGAGTTGTCAAGCCCCTGATGACAGGGAAATCGGAGAAAGAATGTGGGGTGCCAGGTTGTGTCAGGTACCTGATGCCCATCTGGGAAGATACATGGAGTGCCTGGCCCTGTTTGAATTTTCTGGACCACTGAGAAGACAGAATTCCAAAGATAAAGTTCCTTCCCTTTCTCCACCATTGGCTCTCCTTTCTGACGGAGCCTGCTGGCGTCAGTCTTTGGAAGAGAGGAAGGAGACTTCAGGATGGCAGGGCTGTGGATGCTGCTTCTGTGTTCTCTGCAGGACACCCCAGCAGCCACACTTGTGGTGCTCAGTTCTGGAAAACACCTCTTACTCTGTCTCCTCTGTCTCTCTCTCTCTATCCGACATTCTTGACATTTTCTCGCCTGGACTGTGACAAGAGAAACAGTAACTAAAGAGCCAGTACTGAACAAAAAGAGGATGCTTTAATTCTAAGAAGTTGATTATCTCTATTCCAGCTTCTGTGAGGACTGAACTGGAATGAGAAATGTGAGATATGTATGTGTGTGTGTAAGAGGGAGTGAGGGAAGAAAACGTGGGAGTGGAGAGATTGAGAGAGAGAGATCACTAAAGTTAGACCCCAAGAAGAACTTCCAGCCTGGGAGGTATGACATGCTAGTGTTAGTGATGTGATGGAGGGTCATTTCTAATAGAGGTCTTAGTTCGGGAGAGAACTAGATCATAAGGTCACAAGAAGACAATGCAAGATCACAGAAGTCAGTTTCTAGACCAGGTGGCCCATTGTGAAGTCAAACAAGGTACAGGACCACAGCCAGGACTCCAGACCTCAAAGGCATCATCTGAAGCATAGTACATTCTAGATTTGGCATTTCTTCCTTTTTGATTACAATATTGTCAATGTCATCTAAATAGATGACATGTCACAACTCCCAGACCATGGAGGCAAATTGATATACTACATGGCTACTTCCTGAGCAGAGCTACTGGCTAAAATACTTTTCTAGCCCCCTAAATTTACATCATTTCTAATCTCCAAAATCCAGACCACTTAGCCATTATTTCATCAAAACACATTTTTATAAACACTCTGTGTTCATGGCCATGCATTGAGAACTGCAAAGCCGATGGCACATACAGGTACTGTTTTTCATTGTGATCCACTCCCTGAAGGGAGCATTCTCCCATTTAATCATCACCACAAGAATCCCATTTTGCAGAAGCAGCTAGAGAGGTTAAGCAACCCACCCAAGTGCGGAGAATCACTGAGAAGCAGATCTGGAATGCAAATCTGAGCATACCAGCTCTAAGAAACTTGCTTTTAACCTGACGGTTGGAGAGAGACCTTTCTCTTGAGAACCCACCCATTTCGTAGCGCAATATACCTCTCTTATATCCTGTCTTCTTATTTATTGCTGCAAAATCACCCCAAAACATAGTGGTGTAGAATGCCAACCATTTTTATCATGACCTTCAAATTCTGAGGGTTAGAAATTCAGAATGGGCTCAGTGGAGTCATTCTCTGCTCCACAATGTGCTGGTCCTCAGCTTCGATGACTCAAAGCGTGGGAAGTTGGAATCGCTGGAGCTGGAGGATCCACTTCCAAGGTGACTTCTTTTTTTTTTTTTTTTCTGGAAGAATTTAATCAGAAAATTGGGCTTTGTCTTTTATAATTTCTATGTTAACATTTATAAAAAAATCTTTTTTTAAATTTTACTTTAAGTTCTGGGATACATGTGCAGAATGTGCAGATTTGTTACATAGGTATACATGTGCCATGGTGGTTTGCTGCACCTATCAACCTGTCATCTAGGTTTTAAACCCTGCATGCATTAGGTATTTGTCCTAATGCTCTCCCTCCCCCTGCCCCCAACCCCCGACAGGCCCTGGTGTGTGTTGTTCCCCTCCCTGTATCCATGTGTTCTCATTGTTCAACTCCCACTTATGAGTGAGAACATGCAGTGATTTCTCTTTTTTTTTTTTTTGTGAGACACAGTCTCACTCAGTCGCCCAGGCTGGAGTGCAGTGGCTCAATCTCTGCTCACTGCAAGCTCCACCTCCTGGGTTCACCCCATTCTCCTGCCTCAGCCTCCCAAGTAGCTGGGACTACAGGCACCCACCACCACGCCCAGCTAATTTTTTTGTATTTTTTTTTTAGTAGAGACAGCGTTTCACCGTGTTAGTCAGGATGGTCTTGATCTCCTGTCCTTGTGATCCACCCTCCTCGGCCTCCCAAAGTGCTGGGATTACAGGTGTGAGCCACCGCACCCGGCCGATTTCTTTACTCATATATCTGGTGCCATGGTTAGGATGGTGTCATCTGGAGCATGTACTTGCAGCCTCTTTGGCATCATGGTCATGGCATACTGGGAATTCTTACATGGATACCTGCTGCTCCAGGAGTGAGTGTCCCAGTGAACAAGGTGGAATTGCAAAGCTCTTTAGAACCTAGCTTTAGTCATCGCCTAGCCTCATTCTGCTATGCACTATTGAACAAAATATTATAAGCCTGCTCCTATTTAAGGGGTGGGGAGGTGGACCCTACCTCTCAATAGAGGACTGTCAAAGAATTTGTGGGAATGTTTTAAAACCATTATATGAGTTAAAATTCTGTGTCAGTAGCAAGTGGATTGAGAATTTCAGATCCTGATATATGCTAAGGGCGTATTGTTTCTTTCTTCTTTTTAAATTAACTAAATTGAAAGCATTGAAATGGAGACAGTTTGGGTTCTCATTTGGCTGAAGGCATCCTCTTCATGGTGATGCAGTGGGAAGATTGGGTAGCAGCCCAGGACAGAAGAGCAGCTGGACGCAGCCCACCAAAGGGATTCAGACTGAAGTCTCCCTCACCCTCATTGTGGCAGAGAGAACTTCGTAATCAACACTCTCTTGGCTACAGTCCTGGCCTGTCAGTGGACCCTGTCCCCCTTAGCCTGGCAGCTCTCTATTGTTGCTTCTCAGCTTGGATGGGAGGTGGGAGGGACCAAAGCCAGCTTCCCTCCCTTCCCAGGCCTCTTAGACTTGCCGGACACCGGCATCATCCTCCTCTTTGGGCAAGCACCACTGCTCTCTTATCTGCTTCTGCAGGGAGGGAGCCATCAGCACTCTCCCTGTTCCATTGCCAGGCGCCACCAAGGCCCCTCTGGCTTGGTGCCTCCTCACAGGCGGAGTAGCAGAGGCCGGAGTCCCGACTTCTGGCCCCAGCTTCACCCCTAACCCTGGATGTGACTTTAGCTGAGTTGGTTCATCTCTTTGGATTTTAGTTTCTCATCTGCAAAATTAAGGTGGAGTGGTTAAGTCAGTGCTTTAATATGCACACAAATCTTCCATGGATCTGGCTAAAGTGCAGGTTGTGATTCCATGGGTCTGGGGTGGGGCCAAAGATTCTGCATTTCTAATAAGCTCCCAGGTGATGCTTCTGCTGTTGCCCTGTAGTAGCAAGAATTCAGTGCTGTTCTATAGAACTTTCTGCAGTGACAGAAATGTCCTATACTCTCCAATATGGTACCCACTAGCCACAGTGGCTATTGAGCATTTGAAATGCAACTGTTGAATCAACAGGAACTGACTCTTACATTTTATTTAATTTTAATTCATTAAAATTTTAGTGTGTGGCAGGTGGTTAACATGTAGGACAGCATGGGATAAAAAATCTCTAAGATTTGCCACTGACCAGCCCTGTGAATTTGAACAGGGCATTTAATTTCTCAGAACTTTAGCTTTCCTACTGATGAAAAAAAGTAACTCTTCCTGTCTAACAGAGTTTTTGGTGGGTGTGAGGTGTGGTGATAAGTTTTAAAATAATTTGTGGACTGTATAGACATATGTTATATAGTAATGATATTATTACTAACATTATATATTAATTAATATACATTATATAATACTGCCTCTATATATTGAAAAGAAAATTGGAGTCAGACAATTTGGGTTCAAACTGCATTTCCAGCAGTTTCTAGCTCTGTTTTTGGTTTTCTCTGGGCCTGATTTCTCATCTCTAAATTGTATGACATGAACACTTTCATAAGACCCTTGAGAGAATAAAATGGGTTAAATGTTAAGAGGCAACCAGTACAGTGCCTAAGAGGGGTGTCAATTAATGTTAAGATGGCACAGTGGAGCCATCGTCAGTGGTTGGGGTTTAAATCCTGGATCTAGCACTTACTAGCTGTGTGTCCTTGGAGTCGTCATTTAATCTCTCTTTGCTTCAGTTTTATTAGCTTCAAAAGAAAGACAACAATACTGTAGAAAGTTAAATTATTCATTAATTTTGCGTCAACAAATGTTATTTGAGCTCTCTTTTTACATATTTTATGGTAGGTACTTAAGATACAATGGCAAGTAAAAGTTGTCCATGGTTTTATGATTTGTATAATCTGCTATGTGCTAAATCAAACATTACATGAAGCAGAGCATCTGTGATGCTGCAGGATCCTGTAACTGGAAGGCCAGAGAAAGCTACCTTTGGGAAAAGACATTGCACAGGAATCAACTCTCATTTGCCAACTGGACGTTTGCTATGGTTTGAATATTCGTTTCCTCCAAAACTGATGTTGAAACATAATCCCCAGTGTGGCAATATTGAGAGGTGGAGCTTTTAAGAAGTGATTGGGTCATGAGAGCTCTGCTCCTAAGAATAGATTAACCCATTCATGGGTTAATGGATTAGAGGTTTATCATGAGAATGGGACTGGTGGCTTTATAAGCAGGACAGAGATCTGAGCTCAGCCCCCCCTCACCACATGATGCCCTGTGCCACCCTGGGACTCTGTATAGAGTCCCCACCATCAAGAAGGCTCTCACCAGATATGAACCCTTGACTTTGTACTTTTCAGCCTTCATAACTGTAAGAAATACATTCCTTTTCTTTATGTGTAACCCAGTTTTAGGTATTCTGTTACAAGCCACAGAAAACAGACTAAAACAATGTTGGAAAGCAACAGACATAGAAGAGTCTAGACTGGGGGCTATACATTTGTAAGTTGTCTACTCATAGAGTTGTTCAAGAGTACAGGAGATAACGTTTGCAAAGGGTGAGGCACAGCACACCTCTGAGGGGCTCCACATTTCTGAGGGGCTGAGCATATGGCTGCCTCCTTCTGTCCCCTTTCCTTGTGGAGTGGTGAACCAAAACCTCATGTTGGCCTGCAGAGGCAAGTCAGCCTCTGTACCTGAGCCTCCAATCACTGTTGCCACTCAGGGCTTCCTGAGTTCCCAGCTGAACCAATTCATCAACTAATCTGGATATGCCAGATTAAACACCATAAAAAATCTACCAGTTAGTGGATATTTTACTTAGTCCCCATATGAGCAGAAAGCCAGTTCATTCAACCTAGAAGTGAAATGAGATCTTAACTGACTCTCACCAGGAGATCCAATGGCATGACCTTGTAGTTACTCATCTGTATGGAGGTCTGTTGAGCTTTCCAGCATTTGTAATCTGCATTGATCATTTGTGCCCACACACGCACACATGGATGTATGCACGCATACACACCAAAAGGATAGATTCCATTGATAAAGCTTAGTAGTTTTGGTTAATTGAAGCGTTTGATTTTCTTCACAAGGAAGGGGCTTGGAGTCAGGAACTTGTGCCTCTGTATCTCCACACAGCCACTGAGAATATGGTCCACATATGGTGACAAACTGAAGAGCCGCTGGTTACCTCGTTGACTCAGTCTTCTTGCCTTTGCCCCTAGGGCAGACTGCAGCCTCTAAGAAGGATGTTACAGGAAAAACAACAGCTTACCCAGCTCCCCTCAAACCCTCCTTCTAGAATTTACTCCCTTTTTCCAGATTTCAATACCCTTGGGACTGAGTCAATTCCCTGAAAAGCAAGTATTAGAAAGCAAATTTGCCAAATGATCAATTTACCTATTTACTAATGTGCAAGTTGACCAAATTGAATCCTTTATAAGATTTGACTAGAGTGCTTAGTCATTTTGCCAGGAATCTTTTGACGAATTTAACAGGAATGTCTTATTTTTGTTTCTAATAATGTGACACAAAGAAACATATTTTATCATTATTAACAACATTTCAACATTTCACATGGTAATTTTTCATATTATGACAATATGTATGAGGAACTGTTTTGGCTGATGGCTATTTCTGATTTTCTTTGTAGGTTTTGAAATACTGATTTTAATATAATTTAATTTAAAACTGATTTATTTAGTTTTCAAATTTAAATGTAAACTTTTGATTTTCTGTATATTTAAATAATTACTTTAAATTTAGATTTAATTTAAAATTCTAATATGCTTCCAATGATTTTGGATTTAAATATAAAATTATATTTAAATGTTGAATTGTCAGAAATACATAATTAAGGAAGATAACCTGTATAAGGAGTTGATGTACACTACTAAAAAGGGCTTAATGGTTTAAAAAATGGGCAATAACATTTAAATACAATAAAAAGCAGAAGTAGCTTAAAAAAAAACTCGGTTACCTGCAAAATACACCTGCAGAAATGTGTTGATACATAGCATTTATATGTAGTGATTGGAATCTGCAGACTTTATTGATATTATCAGAAATAAGTCATAGTTTGCAACAAAGGTGAAATTATTCCTTTTTGGTAAATCAGCTAAGCAACTAGAGATCCTTTTAAAAAACTCAATTTTGTGTTTTTCTGCCATTTTTTTCTTTGCATTTCTAGCATTCTGCTGTCAATTTCTCATATAGTCAATCTACCTTGGTTTATTATTTCTAGTCATTGATAGCCACATTTAAAAATGTGATATGGGGCCGGGCACTGTGGCTCATGCCTTTAATCCCAGCACTTTGGGAGGCTGAGGTGGGTGGATCATGAAGTCAGGAGATCGAGACCATCCTGGCCAACATGGTGAAACCCAGTCTCTACTAAAAATACAAAAATTAGCTGAGTGTGGTGGTGTGTGCTTGTAATCCCAGCTACTTGGGAGGCTGAGGCATGAGAATTGCTTGAACCCAGGAGGCAGAGGTTGCAGTGAGCTGAGATCGTGCCACTGCACTCCAGCCTGGCGACAGAGTGAGACTCTGTCTTGGAAAAAAAAAAAAGTGATATGGTTGCTCCTGCTGTTTCTAAGTTGATTCTTCCTTGACTATAGTGGACCAGGACTAGTGTGGGAAATCTTTTCTGGGCATCCTCACACCCCTTCCCGGCCTTGGTTTTATCTTTTCTTTTCAATCCTTTCTATAAACTGAAGAAAGCAAATTTCTGCAAAGTAAATTTTCAATAAACTTTGAAACTAAAATAAATTAACTTTAAAAGCACTCAAATAAAGCAGAATTGTAAATAACATTAATTTTAAATATAAGTTAAAATTTAATTCTAGACTCAAGATAGAAATCAGAATTAGGTAGAAGAAAATTTCCAGTAAAAAATTAGAATGCTCCAAAAAGATTTTCATTCAATGCAGAGCATCAAGTGGATAAATATTTTCATTAAACATTATGACATATGAATTTGGTAATGTGAGTGTACTGGTCATTTGGCAAATTGATCTTTCTAAGAACTGACTCCCTGGGCATTAGCTTTCAGTAAATTGACTTTTCAGGGAATTAGCTTTTGTACCAATTGGGCATTCATCAAAATGATTTTCACTGAATTGGCAGATTTCATCCATTTCATCCTCTCCTTTTGAGTTCTCTGGAATCTCCTATATTCCCACCAAGTCCTTGTGAATCTTTAGCTAACTTGGTTTCCCCAGGGGTGCAGATTTATATTCAGAACATTTAATGGCGAAGTCTTTAGGAAATAGAGGAAAAATTTATGTCATTTCTTTGAGGCCAAAGGCTTTTGGGGACTTGTTTGCTTTTTGGGCTTCTTTTATAGCTTTTTGGGTCTTCTTTGGCTAGAGACTAAGTGTTTTAAAAGGGTCCCAGTGAGATAGTTTTGACATCCTTGTCCTCTCCCTGCTCTACTTTGAGAAACACTGGATGGCTAAATGGAATCCCATCTATGCAGAGGAAAAATTAAGGCCCCTAATTTAGTTCTGGAGTTTGAAGATATCTTAAGATCATTTAATGCATGGTTTCTCAACCTCAGTACTGTTGACATTTTGGGCCTGTTGGACTTTTTATTGTGAGGGGCTGTCTTGTGCATTGTGAGGGTGTTTAGCTGCACCCCTGGCTGTACCCACTAGATACAGTATCACTCCCCAATTCATAACAATCAAACATGTCTCCAGATGTTGCCATATGTCCCTGGGACACAAAACCACCCCTGGTTGAGAATCACTGACCCACTCTCCCATCCAATCCAGAATTTTCCTTTAGCTTATCCACCATATGTGCTCTGACTGCTGCAGGGGCCTGACAATGCACCTCCTCCTTTCCAGCCTGTTTCCTGATATAGTCTAATCCCCATTTCATAGATGTTTCAGGAGAACAAAATAGCCATGTGTATAAAATGTCTGGCCTTTTGTTGTGCTTGATAACTGTATTCATTATATTGATCCCAAATCCCCCATCTTTAACTTTTCCTCCTTTGTCTAACACCTGAGTGCCATGCAGACTGTGTGCTCTTTGGATCTCCTGACAGCTTTGAATTCAGCCATTGAAGGCAGCTATCCCATCCTCATTTCTTCTCAGCAGACCAGGCTCCATAAACCTCGATTCCTTTTCAGTTCAGAGACAACACTTTTCAATTTAAGAGGAGATTGATCGCTGAGTTAGCGTGGAGCTGGGAAGAAATGAGATTTTAAGGTTAACACCTCGATGGGGGAGACGGAACTCCTAAAAAGTCCTTGCTAGAAAGAACTGCTCCTTCAGAGGTTGCAGCAATCACTGCAGAGAGGCTGGATGCTAAAAAGAAACCAAACTCCAAGAACATACGTTTCTGCAATGACACCCTAATCTGGCGCCCCATGAGGGGCAGGCTAGGAGACTGAGGCCACACTGCCCTTGACATCTCACTCTCACCAGTTGCCCATTTGGAAATAGTTCCTGACACTTTCCAGGAAGTATAAATGAGTCATGAGCCCTTGAACACAGAGATTTAAGAAGCCACCTGAACCCTCAGAACAGCCAGCGTTTGCTGAGTAGTTTTAAAAAAGCACTGGGTCTTACATTTAAGTCTTTAACCCATTTTGAGTTGATTTTTGTATGTGGTGAGAGATAGGGGTCTCGTTTCATTCTTCTACATGTAGATATTCAGTTTTACTAGAATAAAAGAGATGATTCTTTCCCCAATGTTTGTTCTTGGTGCCTTTGTCAAAAATCAGTTGGCTGTAAATGCCTGGATATATTTCTGGGTTCTGTATTCTATTCCATTGGTCTTTGTATCTGTTTTTATGCCAGTACCATGCTGGTTTGGTTTCTATAGTTTTTTAGTAGATATTGAAGTCAAGTGGTGTGATGCCTCCAGCTTTATTCTTTTTGCTTAAGGTTACATTGGCTATCCAGGGTCTTTTGTGGTTCCACACTAATCTTAGGATTTTTTTTTCTATTTCTATGAAGAAATCATTGGTATTTTGATAGGGAGTGAATTGAATTTGTAGCTCGCTTTGAGTAGTACAGACATTTTAACCCTATTAATTTTTCCAATGCATGAACACAGGATATCTTTCTATTTATTTGTGTCCTTTTTTTCTTTTTCTTTTTTTTTTTTTTTGGAGATGGAGCCTCGCTCTGTCGCCCAGGCTGGAGTGCAGTGGCGCAATCTCAGCTCACTGCAAGCTCCACCTCCCGGGTTCATGCCATTCTCCTGCCTCAGCCTCCTGAGTAGCTGGGACTGCAGGTGCCTGCCATCACGCCTGGCTAATTTTTTTGTATTTTTAGTAGATACAGGTTTTCACTGTGTTAGCCAGGATGATCTTGATCTCCTGACCTCATGATCCGCCCGCCTCGGCCTCCCAAAGTGCTGGGATTACAGGCGTGAGCCACCGTGCCTGGCCGTGTCCTTTTTTTTCATCAATATTTTATAGTTTCATTGTAGAGGTCTTTCACTTCCTGGGTTAAATTTATTCCTACTCTTTTTTTTGGTAGCTGTTGCAAATAAGATTGTTTTCTTAATTTTTTTTTTGGATAGTTTGCTGTTGGGGTTTAGAAACACTGTTGATTTTTGTGTGTTGACTTTGTATCCTGAAACTTTGATAAGTCTTTGAGGTGACAGATATGCTAATTACTCTGATTTTATCATTACACAATGTATACATGTATCAAAACATACTGTACCCCATAAATATATATGACTATTATATGTCAATTAAAAACAAAATAAAACTTTAAAAAATTTTGAAAACATAAAAGGAGGCTTGGTGTCAGGATGCCACCAGATATTCCTGTGGGGAGACTTTCTACATCCCTCCTTGCAGAGGCCAAAAGCTGAGCTGACCTCATATGCTCCCATATGAAAGCTGAATTGCTCTTGTCAATTTCATGCCTGGAATATGCAGGCCTCAGGAACTGCTGTCTTGTGTAAGGGGAGGAATTGTGAGTCAAAGTGCCAGGGATCCATCTAGCTGGTGCCAGAAAGATCCCCCAGCAGAGATGGCAGGCCTTATTTCTCCTTGGATCACGGAGGAGAAATTGGGTTGAAATGGCTCAAGTTTGAGAGGATGGTCTCCCAAAGTCCCACTAGAAGCAGACTGAGGTCATGGACGATGTTAAGACTTGTACAAGAGGCGGTCCTACCTCCTGTCCCCTGAGACAGGAGAGCCTGCCAGCCAAGGGGGTTAGACTTGATTGTTTACACACAGGGACCCTGAGTCTGGCCTAAGGCTCCCTGGAATTTACTCTTAGGCGGTCTCTTGATTTATAAGTCTAAATCACATTAAGTACCATTGTGAATCACCAGTGCCTGTCCCTGGCAAGGTTTTGAAGATAAGAGCTCCAAAATGGGAGGCTTCTCTGAGCCCAGGGAAGAACAGAACTGTTTTCTAAGTCTACGAAAAAGCATTAAACTGCTTTTTGGGCATCTCTGGGAGGTGTGGAGGAGAAGAGGGGATTTTCCAAGGTTTCTTCTTGCTATGATCTGACTTGAGGCACGAAGAAAGAGGAAAGATAAAAAAGGGTAAAGCCTATTGCAGTTTGGAGGTTCCCTATCAGGAATAGTTACTACTCCCTGTGGAAGGTCTTTGTTGTACTGGACACTCTTGAAACAAATGTGACCTTAATCTTTCCAGAAGTATTGAGTCTTTGGCTGGAAAGAATGTCCACCTGGGTTCTCTAGTTCAGTCTCCTGACTAAACTGCAATACTGTTAAGAAACTTCTCCTCAAGAGCCATTGGGTTTCAAGGGTCTTTAGACTTTGCAGGCGGGTATCTCATAACCTCAGATTAAGTCAGAGAGCCAAAGGAACTTGGAGATCAGTCAGCCCAATGTGGTCATTCTGAAGTTAGAAACCCTGAGGACTGGAGAAGTGATGTGACTTGCCTAAAACTACACATCAATTAGTGTCAGGGTCGGGACCATGATCCAGAAGTCTTTCCTCCTAGTCCCGAGCCATTTCAGAGACTCCTGTCATTCTCTCTAGTTCTACCAAACCTGTGTTTGCTGGGGATGTTTAATTGCTTTTGCAGTTTTCACTTTTTTTCCCTCTTCTAAACAGCTATCTTTATCCATGAGGGTGATAATGAGCCATGGGGAACAGTAATATCTATATTTTCCCCTTTTCCTTTAATAACATTTACTGAATTATTCATTATTAATGGTTAGTAATTCATTGTTGAATTATTAACATGTATTGAATTATATTTATTAATTTATTCACTCAACAGTAATCACTGAATATTTATTGAGCATCTTTTATGTGCTAGGGATGGTGCTAAAAGCTCAATGTCTATTACCACATTTCATCCTCAAAGTCACTCTAAGGTGTAGCTACTCTTTGTATCTCTAATTTACAGACAAGGACACTTGGAGAAGTGCTCTAACTGCCCAGGTTGCACCCAAGTTAAACCTGGATTTGAGTCTTATTTCTGCCATTTCTTTGCCTGGTACTTGATTTGATGATTATGTTGTACTAGCTCTCCTACTTGAGTTAAAATTAGCTCTAAGGTCATAAATGGGCTTAAGGACTTCTCTAAGATGATCATTTGCAGACTGGATACAATGTTTTGCAATGGCTATATTATCTCTCTTTCTGCAAGGACCTTCCTGCTGTTCTAATCCTCACATGGAAACTACCATGCCCATCTTCAACTGAGCCAGTTAGTATTTCTTTAGGGCAGGATAACATTTTGGGCCACAAGAAGTTATCAGAAACAGTTCACTCCAAGGTTACATAGAGCACATTAAGCATATTACTTCCAAAGGTGGACTATTTTTGTTATTTTTATCTATTAATTAATATCTATTAATCTATTAGTCTATAATTCAAAGCACTTTAAAAGCTATAAATCTTGATGCATCAAACATGACCAGGCTTGTGGTATATGATAACCATTCTGGATCCCAAATGTGGAGACATTAGAAAAGTGAAGCCAAGGCTGAGCATGGTGGCTCACGCCTGTAATCTCAGCACTTTGGGAGGCCGAGGCAGGCAGATCACGAGGTCATGAGTTCGGAACCAGCCTGGCCAACCTGGTGAAACCCTGTCTCTACTAAAAAAATACAAAAATTAGCCAGGCGTGGTGGTGTGCGCCTGTAATCCCCAGCTACTCAGGAGGCTGAGACAGGAGAATTGCTTGAACCTGAGAGGCGGAGGTTGCAGTGAGCTGAGATCGTGCCACTGTACTCCAGCCTGGGCGACAAAGCAAGACTCCGTCTCAAAAAAAAAAAAAAAAAGAAAAAGAAAAGTGAAGCCAAAAAAGTGATTCAAGGATACAGGAAATTTTACATTTCAGGTGTTCCCTGACATGGCCCCAGCCTACTCTCTGATGACAATATATCCTGCCACCTCACGATATGCATTCTTCATTACAGCCCAGCACACTCACTGTTTCTTAGAACATTGCACTTTGGAGTCTTTCTACCTCTATGCCTGCTCTGGGGCTCTGTATAATACCACCTTCTCAGTGGAACTGGATCTCTCCAGTTGGAATTAATTTCTTCTTTCACTGAGTTCCTCCCTGCATTTCTTATCACACTTGATACATTCCACTTGGTAAAGTAGCTATTTATCTATGTGACTTAGCTTAGCTGGGCTTAGATAGGGGATGCCAGTGAAGGAGTCTAAGCAGGAGAATAAAGGGTCAGGTTCGTGTCTGAATGTTTTTCTGTTTTCTTATACAAAGAGGTTGGCCAGGGAGACTTTGACAGAATCAAAAAGAGCCTTCTTGACCTCTAGGGGTGAAGCTGGGCTGGTGGAGAAAATGAAAGTAGATGAGGAAACTCTGCAATATTTTGGAGTGCTCAGGGGCTATGAAAGTCTATTCTTTTCTGCCTCTGGTTTCCCAATTCTTTCTCTAAGGATACTTTTCAGTTCAACAGATCTTCCTCTTTCCTCTGAGACTCTGCCTAATTGTGTGTGTGTGCGTGTGTATATGCATGTGTGTTTGTGTGTATGTATGGATGTGTGTATGCGTGTATGTGTATGCATGCATGTATGTGTGTATGCACGTATGTGTGTATGTGTGTAGTGTGTATGTGTATATGTATATGCATGTGTGTATGTGTGTGTATACATGGATGTTTGTATATGTGTGTGTATGCATGTGTATGTGTATGCATTTGTATGGCGTATGCATGTGTATGTGTGTATGCATGTGTGTGTACATGTATGTATGCATGTGTGCATGTGTGTGTTTGTGTGTATATGTGTGTATGTATGTATGTGTGTGTGTAGTGTGTATGTGTGTGTGTTTATGAATGTGTTTTTGGTTTTATGCTGATCTGCTATTGTTGTCGTCATTGCTGCCAGTATTCCGGATGCAGATGCAGAGAGATAGAGGATCTACAAGTGACAGTTGGATATAGTTTTCAAATGACTAGTGTTGAAGATTGGATCCTGATAAAGGAAGTTTATCTCTTCTTGGCTTCCTGAATGTCAGAGTCGTGGGAACCTGTGAGCAGGTGACTGAGGGGGCAGATTCATCTCCTGACCTTGACAGCTTTAAGAATAGGAGAATCTCCCTACCCACTCAATATTTGCATCTATTTATAACAGGCAAGAGTCATTTCAAAGCAAGGCAAGGGCATTGCCAGGATGACCTTTGGAGGGCCCTTTTGGGATGAATCATCTGTGATATTGCCTCTTCAGCCACTATGGATGGGGAGTATGTATCATTATTTTAGGCACATGAAAACTGAGAATGCTACATAAATTCACATTATTGAACAAGAGTGGTTATGGTGACCTTGAATATTTTCACATTTACCCTTGCAATTTCCCTGTTCCTTCCCTATTTTTATTTATTTAAAATTATGGTCTTCTCTAGGAATGGAGATGTTTTATGTTGTGGGGAGTGGTCTAGAGGCAGGACCCTGAGCCCAGAGGAGCATGGAGAAGAGGGGAGGAGGTAAGGGCAGTTGGCTTCTTTCTGAACTTGGTGAGGACTGTGTGTTCTAGAGGGAACATTTTGGCCTTGTGAAAAAATAAAACCCAACACAGACATGTGGCAGCTCCCAACTAAGCGCCCATCCCTTAGAGGGCTACCAATCGAATGAACAGAGACCCCAGTTCTCTTTGAAACAGCGAGAGAAACAAGTTTATATTTATTTACATGACACCAAGACTCAGTTAACACAGAACTTAATTTCTTTGTGATGCTGAGGCCTGAGTTGTAAGATGCAGGTTAATTTCTTTTGTGTGTATTCTATGGAGAAGAGAGTCATAATGCTAGAGGAACAGTCTAAAACACATGGAATATTACTGGAAAGACACTTACAGATAGCTTTCCATCAAGAGAGAAAACTGGCATCCAGAGAAGTTAAACGACTTGTCCAAGAGCGTATGGGGTGTTAGTAGGAAAACTGGCCTGGAAGCTGGGAGACCTGAGTCTAGTGAAGCTTTATTGGTAATCCTAAACTGTAGTTTATCTTATATTCAAAACAGCTTTAAGAATTTCCTGAGTCTATAACTTAACTTCCAGATTCCAGATTCTCCCTCTCTCTGTCTATATATACATATATGCACACACACAAATACATATACACACATACAATAAAACATACAATATACACACACAATATAACTGAGATAGAATACTCCAAACTTCAAATTACCTACAGATAAGGGAGTAAACTCCCAGGCTCAAGGTGGTCTCCAGAGCAAGTGCTGGAGCAAAGACTCAGCCTGAAGATTGTTTGGAAAAGGAGAACGGTGCCTGGGGGCATTAGTGTCCAAAACCACAGACAAAATAACCTCCAGAAAGAGAACTTCGCACCTGACTGAGAAATAGCTTGAACAACTCACAGGCCAGGTAGCCTGAGGGCGCTGCTTCAGGATGCGAATGAAAGGGAGGGTTTGACTGCCCATGGGGCTGGGCTGGCCTGTGGAAAGGGCACTATTTCTGGAGGAGAGGGGGCCGCTTGGCAGCAGGGCTTCAGAGGCGTCTGAGTGGAGGGGAAGAACGAAGAAAGAGTGTCCTACCAAGCAAAAGTGGATCTCAAAGCTCAGAAGGCACACCAACCCCTCCCCCACAAAAGCTGCTGTCAGTGAAGAAACTACACTTTCCCATGCCAACAGAAGAGGGTGCTCTTGAACTAAGAAACATGGTCAGTCATCAAACGCCATGACTGCGCCTATCTACAACTGTATATTTAAACATCTAAAAATGAATAGAAAATGGCAGACGACACTCATACAAGGCCAATAACTTAAAAAAAAAAAACAGGAATTAAAACATTCCAGCAGATGAAAATGCTTCTACCGAAATCAAATATGAGGTGGAAGAAAACTGTAACAGAACACCCACACTGAATTGAATATCCTAAAACAAGCATGTGAAGATAGAAAACAAAAACCTTAAATCAGAAGTTTTAAGCTTTATAAAAGAAATACGACCAAAAAACCCTATTATTTTGTGAAAAACCCTATTTTTCAGGAAAATGCGAAATAAGAATTGAGTGAACTCAGGAAAGATATGGAAGGAAAAGACAAAATCATCTTAAAAATAAAGGCCAAGTTATAAAGTACCCATGGAAAAAGAGATTTGACTGAAAATATGAAACAGTGAGGAAAGCCATGAAAAAAGGGAATAAAAATAAAATAAGGAACAAAGCAAAAGAGATCAGAGAGAAAATAATTGATAGAAGAAGGCCATTACAATAGAAAACCACTAGTATTTAAAACCACAGACTAAGAGAAATGTCTGAAATTAAAAGAAAACTTGAATCTGCATCTTTAAAGGCTCCTCAGTATCCCTGGGAAAATAAACCTGGAATGGTGAAGTCCAAGACATATACTAGGAAAATATTGTAATTTAAAGATAAAGAAAAAATTTTTCTAGATCTCCAGGCAAAAGTATCAAATCACTTACATAGGAAAGAAAATCGGACTTCTCATCTAAAGTAAAAGAATAACACAGTCACATCTTCAGGAAACTAAAGGAACTGTGGAATAGCTTTTATGTAGATGAGCTAAGCTTCAAGTATCAAGCGATTTTCTATGTGCAGAACCCCAGAGAACACTGCAATCACTATCCAACTTTAATGGTCCTACTATAGAAAAAACATCATTTAACCAAGATAGGACCTGGACCTGAAGAACTCTGGAAAATGGACTGTGTGAGCATTGAATATATTTCAATGTAAATCTGTAACTTAAACAAGGACAGAGTCATGGGGGGAAGAACAGTTCAACTGTTATATGTGGTGACAAAACTGAAGTGACCTATTGTTGCATAGACAATAGGTGGGAATGAAGAATATAATTTGAAGCAAATAAAACACTAAGTAGCAGAGTAAATGTGAGAAAAGAGACTAAGGGCATTATAATAGGTAGTGGCAAAAAGGTAAGCACTGCAACAAAGATATTAATCTTCCTAGATATCAAAAAATAAATATCACATGAAATAAACCACACTGAGAAAGAAAAATTATATACATAATTTTACACAGAATACAAGTTGAGACCATGTACATCAGTCATATTACTAAATTATATTTATTATATTATAATTTATTGATAAGCTTATTAATAAATTACATAAATCCCCAATTAAAAATATTTTCAAATTGACTCATACAGCAAAACTCAATTCTGTGAGATACATTTGAGACACACCTACAATAAAGTGATTCAGAAAGACTAAGAATAAAGAGGTATTCCAGACAAATGGAAACCGTAAAATAAAGACACTCAAATCTAATCAACATAATTCATAAGGTAGACATTATAGATATATATGAAACCTCCACTCTTGCTAATATTGGGAATATACTCTCTTCTTAAGCACAAATAGAATGTTCACAGAAATTGACCTCATGTTGAGTAACTGTCTTCCTCTAGGCTGCTATAGCAGAATATCAGAGACTGGGTGGCTTAGAAACAACAAAAGTTTACTTCTCACAGTTTTAGAGACTAAGAAGTCTAAGATCAAGGTGCCAGCAGATTTGGTGTCTGTTGAAGACCTACCTCCTCATTCATAGACAACACCTTCTTGCTGTGTCCTCACATAGTGACAGGGACTAGCTAGCTCTCTGGGGTCTCTTTTATAAGGGCACTAATCCCACTTATAAGGGTAGATATCTGATGGCCTGATCACCTCCCAAAGGCCCCACCTCCTAATGCCACCACCTTGGGAATTAGGATTTCAATTCAATGTGAATTTTAGGGGGACATAAGCATTCAGCCCATTGTAGTCACAAAGAAAGTTTTTGAGTGAGTTCCATGAAGTAGAAATTAATGAGAAAATTTAAAAACGTTCTTCTACTTGGAAATTAACATCTGTTAGATGACTATTGGGTGAAAAAGGATATACAAACTAAAATTGCAGAATTTCAAAAAACAATAATAGAATAAAAATATGCACATCTGATTTAATGAGAAATAAAGCAGTGATCTGAGGATAATCTGTGGGATTAAATATTTGAATCAATAAAAAATAATTACAATAAATAAATTTTATTCCCAACTTAAAAACCGAGAAAAATTACAAAGTAAATAAAAAGAAAGTATAAAGCAGGAAATAATAAGGATAAAAGAGGAAATTAATGTAATACAAAAGAGTAAAAAAAGAACTAATTAATGATTCGAAATGCTGGTTGATATGGTTTGGCTGTGTCCCCACCCAAATCTCATCTTGAATTGTAGTTCCCATAATCCCCTTGTGTTGTGGGAGGGACCTGGTGGAAGGTAATTGAATCATGGGGGCAGTTACCTCTATGCTGTTCTCATAGTAGTGAGTGAGTTCTCACGAGATCTGATGGTTGTATAAGTGGCTATTTTCTCCCTCTTCGTTCTGTACTTCTCCTTGCTGCCATCATGTGAAGAAGGATGTGTTTGCTTCCCCTTCCATCATGATTGTAAATTTCCTGAGGCCTCCCCAGCCCTGTGGAACTGTGAGTCAATGAAACCTCTTTTCATTTATAAATTACCCAGTCTCTGGTATGTCCTTATAGCACTATGAGAATGGACTAACACATGGGTTCTTTGGGGAAAAAAGGAAAAACAATATACTGATAACTAACCTAATCAAGAAAAAAAGGCAAAGAGCAAATATACAAAATAAGAAAAGACTAGAAGGAAATAATCATTATAAAAAGGAAAATAAATCACAGGTTGACTACTTTGCAAAACTCTATGTAAATACATTTGGAAACTATGAAATTGATTATACCATATGAAAATGTAATTTACCAAAACAGGTCCCATTTGATATAGAAAGCTTAAGCAGACCATTCTCCAGAGTAGAAAAAAAGTGAAGAAAGTTGTCAAAAATTATTCCACGTGGAAACACTGGACCAATATGGTTTCATAAGGGAATTCTATGAATCTTCAAAGATCACATAATCTCAAATAAATTGTTCCAAGGTATATAAAATGGAGAACTTCCAAATTCTCCATATAATGTTGCTATCAAATCCTAATAAAGATTAATATTAATGGTGATAACAATGATCATTATTATTGTAGGAATCTACAAGCCAATTACCTTTATAAATATAGATGCTAAAATTAGATTAAAAAACTAGCCAAAAGTTTCCAACACCATATTAATAAAACATCAATATCAAATTCCAGGAATGCAGACTTTAAATATGCAGAAATTAATTTATATAATTCACCTTATTAATAGATTTAAGGAGAAAAATCAAACAATTATCTCCATAGGTGCTGAAATGACCTTCAGTAATATTCAACACTCATTCCTGAAAAATGCACTCAATTAAATAGAAATAGAAAAAATGCACTCAAAAAGAAAGACTTCACGCAGTTTACATATGTGTACATGTGTATATGTGCTTTATGCATATCCGTGTACCTCTGTCCTAAACTTAGCATCTTATTTAATTGAGAAGCCTGGGAGGCATTCCTGCTAAGGCCAGAAATAAGATAAGGATGCTATCTTCCTTACTATTTAACATTGTCTTGTCGGTGTTAATCAATACAATTAGATATAGGTGTAAAAATTTGAGAAGCAAAAACTCTCTATGCAGATGAAATGATAGTAAAGCTTGAAAACCCATGAGAATTCATGATTAAACTAATTGAAATTAAATAAGGAATTCAATGAGACAGTAGGATATAAATTAACTTATAAAAATCAATAGCTTTCATATATACAAAAATAACCAATTACAAGATGTAATGGAAGAGAAAACATCCATTTATAATTACAACAAAAAGAGGTGAAACTTGAAAAGAAATATGCAAAATCTAAATGAGGAAAATTCTAAAACACTTCAGAAAGACATTCAAGTAGACTTGAGCAAGTAAAAAGGCATCTGTTCTTCTTGGAGAGAAACTACTCAACATCATACAGATGTCAGCTCTTCTCAAGTTAACATGTGAATTTAACTTAAATGCAAGAAAAATGTCAACAAGCTTTTGTTTTGTTTTGTTTTCTGGACCTAAACAAGTTGATTCTAAAATTATATAGAAAAGTGAACATGCAAGAATGGCTGGGAGACCCTACACAGGGGGGATGAGGGAAGCAATAAGGGGAGATTGGTCTTCTTGGATACTAAAACGTACTGTAACTGCTTGGTGGTTAACACAGTATGGTAGTGGCACATGAATGGAGAGATCAGAGGAACAAGATAGAAAGTCCAGAAATAGATTTAAGCTAGCATAAAAATGTATTATTTGATATAGATGGCATTTCAAATCATTGGGCAAGTATGGACTTCTGAATAAATGGTATTGGGACAGTTGGACAACTATTTGGATAAAGACAGAACTGGATCCACACCTTACACCATATACCATAATAAACTCTGAAGGCACGAGAAATCTAAATGGAAAAATACATAATAAACAATCCATACAAATACTAGAAGAAAACATGAATGAATATTTTGTAACTTGAATATAGGACAGGCTTTCTAAATGTGACTAAAGATCCATATACAATGAAAGAAAAGATTGAGGAGTTGTACTACATAAAATTAATAAAGAATTGTGTGGCTAAAAAAGCAAAAATATTTGCAACATGCATCAGAGATAAATGCCCTCTCCTTAATGTATAAAACATTTTTAAAAATTGAGAAAAAAGCAAAAATCGTGAATTTCCACAAAAATTATAGGAACTTGACCCTTAAACACATGAAAAGATGCTCAGCTGCACTCTTAAAACGGTTACACAGACCAAAACTATACTTTTATAACCGATTGAGTTGGCAAAAATTCACAAGTTTAACAACTCATTCTCCTGCTGAAGCTGTGGGAAAATAGGCTGCATTAGTGCGCCTCAGCTGCCATAACAGGATACCATAGACTGAGGGGCTTAAACAACACGCATTTATTTTCTCACAGTTCTGGAGGCTGGGAGGCCAAGAACAACTTATCTCCTTAAAGGTCCTCTCTCCAAATACAGTCACATTCTGAGGCACTGGGGGTTAGGGCTTGAACAGATGAATTTTCAGAGGACATAATTTGGCTCATAACACAGTCACATACATTGCCTTTGGAAGTTCAAGTGGTGTAATCAGCTTGGAGGGAGATACGGCAGAGTAACATTTATCTGCTGACTCTGCAACTGACTCCTATAACTTTATTCTGAAAACTTCCAAAACAAACAAACAAACAAACAAAACCAAAGTGAACAAAAGAAACATATGCACAGGGTTATTCATCAAATCATAATTTGTAGGAGTAAAATAACAAACAACCTGAATACCAATATATAAAATATTGGTTGAATAAACCCTGGCACATCCACACATTGGGGCAATTATTTAACTATAGAAAAGAATGATGAAGGGCTGGGCGTGGTGGCTCACGCCTGTAATCCCAGCACTTTGGGAGGCCGAGGTGGGCAGATCATGAGGTCAAGAGATCGAGACCATTCTGGCCAATATGGTGAAACCCTGTCTCTACTAAAAATACAAAAATTAGCTGGGCATGGTAGTGCACGCCTGTAGTCCCAGCTACTCGGGGGGCTGAGGCGGGAGAACTGCTTGAACCTGGGAGACGGCGGTTGCAGTGAGCCAAGATCACGCCACTGCACTTCAGCCTGGCGACAGAGCAAGACTCTGTCTCAATGATAAAGATTTTTATTAATTGCTTAACTGCTTAGGGTTACTTACACTGATATGTTTTAAGTAAAAAAAATGCAAAGTGCAAAAGAGTACATATAATAGGCTTTTATGTAAAAAAAAGAGAAAGAAAACAAGAAAGAACGCCCCCCCCCCCCACACACACTTATATTTACAAAAAGAACCATGGGAAGAATAAACCAGAAACTAATAAAGTGATTGTCTGCACAATGGATATAGGATAGGAATGAGAATAGGGTAGAGGGGATGAGAAAGGAGTGAACTTTTATATAACTTTTTATATAGTTTTGACTTTTAAGCCATGGTAAAGTCATACATATTAAAAAAAAAAACTAAAAAGGACAAAATACTCTAATCTGAACACAAAGAGAAACAAATGAACCCAACTATACAACCGACAACACAGCCCACACAGAAACTGATTTTCAACGCAATACCCTGACCGAATATGTTTCGTGGGATATAGCCTAGTGCAAAAAAGAACTGAAAAGAAATTTAAATTTTACTCTATATGTTTGTTGTTGGTTATGGTACTGGTGTAGTAATTCCCACACTACTTTTTGCAAATTATAGGAAAGAGAATTAAGTCAATATTAGATGTTGTTAACCGCCATGAGGGAAGGGAATTGTGAATATGGAAGGGAAGGAGATGAAGAGTTCGCTGTATTCAATTTGAAGGTTTCAGAATAAACTCGTGGTTTAAACACTTAAGTTTCTTAGTTCATTCCATAAAAGATATTCCAGGTCTCTGAGGAAGGAAAAGTGCAATTTTGGGAGAATATTTTATTGTCCCAAGAAAATGTTCAATAACTAACGAGAACATATCAAGTAAACACAGGAGCCAGCTTGAAGAAATTCTCACTAGTCAAATTAGGGACAAATTGAGAATCAAAAAGAATAATGATCGTAATGCCTTTTAATGCACCGAATTAAAAACTAATGATTTCAAAAACAAACTGACAAGCAAAACAAGACTAGGTGGGAGGGTGAAGAAGAGTTCTTTACAGAGAATGCTAGCCGAATGTTGCAGATGACGGAGTTTAAAAATTATCTGGTGAAAGGTTGTTGGGTCACAAGATAGTCATATAAAGTTTAACCTCACAAGTGACTTACTGATTGCAAAAGAGAAAGCTATATTTACATTAGAATAATCTAGTAAACACCTTTTTAAGCAGTCATCAGATAGATTGGGATAATCTATCTGTTTCCTGATGTGATGCACTGAGAAAGACACAACAAAACTTGTCATATTCTTGCCAATATGCGTAATTAGAATTTAAATATGAGAAAACAATACAGTTATTATGGAAAACAGTGTAGAACTTCCTCAAAAACTTAAAAATAGAACTATCATATGATCCAGCAATCTCACTACTGAGTATACATCCAAAGGACACAAGATCATTATTTGAAGAGATATCTGCACTCCAATGTTCATTGCAACACTGTTCACAATAGCCAAGTTATGGAACCAACCTAAGTGCCCATCGACAGGTGATTGGATAAAGAAAATATGTATAGATGCACAAAGGAATAGCCTTAAATATGAATGAAATCCTGTCACGTGTAACGACATAGATGAACCTAGACAACATTATGTTAAGTGAAATAAGCCAGGCATAGGAAGAGACAAACTTCATGATCTCACTTACATGTAGTATCTAAAAAAGTTGAATGAATAGAAATAGAGAGTAGATTGGTGGTTACCAGGGGCTGGGGCTGAGGAGTTGGGAGATGTTGGTCAAAGGATACAACATTTCAGCCAGATAGGAGGACTAAGTTCAGGAGATCTATTGTACAACACGGTGACTATAGTTCATAATAATGTATTGTATTCTTGAAAATGGCTAAGAGAGTAGATTTTAAGGGTTCTCACCACAAAAGTGATAAGTACGTGAGATAATTCATATGTTAATTATCTCAGTTTAGACATTCCACAATGTATACATACTTCAACAAGTGTACATAATAAACATACACAGTTTTCATTTGTCAATTTAAAAAATAAATAAATATGAGGAAACAATCAGAAAAATCCAAATTTGTAGAGCTGGCTACAAAAAAGTTGGCCTGAGTGCTGCAAAAATCTCACTCTTACAAAAGGTAAAAAAAAAAAAATAAGTGAGGGAATTGTTAATGAAGAATAAAGGGATACAACAAATAACTGTAACCTATGATACTAGATTCGATCTTTGATTTAGAAAAACAGCCATAAAAGACACTATTATGATAATTGGGAAAATATGAATATTTACTATATACTAGATAATATTGTCACATCAATGCTAAATTTCTTGAGAGTGATAATGATGTTGTGGGTGTGTAGGAAAATATCCTTGTTCTTAGGAGATACAAAATGAAATATTTACAGATGAAGTGTCGTAATGTCTAAAACTTTCATTTCAATGGTTCAGATGAAAAATTAACCCAAGCACACAAAGGGTGAAATGTTAAAAATGGATGAATAAGAGAGGTATAAAGGTTTAGTCAATAAACCAGATGTGGGGTGGCCAATGCCTGTGATGGTAGCAATCAACAGACAAGTACCCCACAAATACAGTAGCCTTGTCCAGATTCATGGGTGTCCGCATTTCATTCCAGATGAAAATGAAAATCCTGAGAGAGTTTTTCAAAGGAGAATGTCCTAAATTAGTGAGTCAATGAAACATTGAATTCATCAGCATACTTTCTTGTAAGATATATTTCCTTAGAAAACTTTGAAGATTTGTCTGCTAGTAAGGGAAGCTTTGGGATCCATAAACACTCTTAGGACTATTGCTCTCATTATTTTCAGGACAATTTCAAAGTCAATCTTTTGCTTAAAACTGTTTATTTAATTTATTTATTCACTTAGTCATCCCCTATGCATACACTTCAGGCCAAAAATGTTGCCTGCCACTGTAGATTAAAACATGACCCAATTTCTACTTCAAATCTTATTGGGGCAGACATGATCAAACAGCAGTTAAATATACCACTATGGGAACTCAGAGGAGAACGAGTAACTTTAGCCTGGGGGCTTCAGAAAAGACCTGATATAGCACCCTATAATTTTCCTTCATGGCACTTATTCGTGATTATGATTATGGAGTGAGTTCAGAGACTACCAAGTTAACATTTATGTCCCCAGTAGACATTGGGTACTACGGGAGAAGAGACCCACAGGACTATAGCGAGGAACAATCTTGTTCCCCACTATACACCCAACATAGTACTCAGCATATATTGTACTATCAATAATGATTTGTTGAATGAGTAAATGAATTGTTTTAGACCTGTGGAAAGAATATTTTATCAGATTAATCAACAACATTGGAGCTTTTGTACTCAGAAGCAATGAGATGTACAAATGCACAAAGGCATGGAAAAGCAGGAAATGTTTAGGAAATGAAGAATTGTACGTATGGTGTGTGAAGTTCAATGAAGAGCTAGAAAGATGAGCTGCAGTCAGCTTGGGAAGGCTTTGGGTAACTTATTAAAGAGTCTGGAATTTATTCTGTAGGCAGTGAGGAGTCAAGGAAAGGTTTGTGCAGGGGAGCAATATGATTAAATTGATTTCTTAAAAAGATGACAGAAGAAGAAGGAATGTCTTGAACAAAGAAGAAACTAGTAGTAGTGAGGACATTTAGAGGTGCGAAGGATATACAATGAAAGGAGCAGGGGAATTGATACTCCTTATAAATATCTCTGAAGTGTGAGATTTGAAGCCCATTTGGACAATGAGAGAGGAGTGGACTTAAAGATAATGTTGAGGTGTCTAATTTGAGTGAAGGGTTGGATGATAGTGCTATTCACTAAAACAGAGAAAAGTATTCCTGCTGAGTTGAAATTAGCCACTCATGGGGAAAACTTAAGCACACATTGAAAAGGTGTGTCTAGAACTTATTAATCCACATAGAGACAAAAACCTCAAGTTCAATAGTCATAGGTACACAGGTGATAGCTGAAGCCATTGTGGGAGAAGCAATTTCCCAAGAGAATAGAGAATGAGATGACAATGGGGTTGAGAGTAGTATATTAGAAAACACCAGTATTCCTCAAAAATTCTATTGCCATATTGTCATCCTGCATAGGAGCTCTCATTCCAGAGCATCAGAGCCTCAAAGAACATGGCTTCACTAACAGCTGGGAACACTTGTGTAGCAGTCAGAGGCCCATCAAGAAACAATTCACTGAATAGTTTGTGACTTTAATGAAGTCACATTATTCCCAGTGGTGTCAAAAGGGTTAAGGAAAGAAAGAAGTTGAGGCCACCAGAGAATAACAATGGTGGAAAACCTTGCCACTTCTAGACCAAGCAGCAAGGAGAGGAAACAATGTTACTGGAGTCTAGTGAAAATGGAAGCTATGAAGAAGAAATTGCCTAGTGGGACATTTAGAAAAAAATATATGCCTGCTGCCAGAGTGGGCTAAAATGGAAAGGAAGAGGCAGGAGAAGAAATACTCCAACCTCCATTACTCCCCACCACCACCCCCGCCTTTTTTTTTTTTTTAAGACGAAGTCTTGCTCTGTCTCCCAGGCTGGAATGCAGTGGCGCAATCTCGCCTCACTGCAACCTCTGCCTCCCGGGTTCAAGTGATTCTCCTGTCTCAGCCTCCCAAGTAGTTGGGATTACAGGTGCCTGCCATTGCGCTCAGCTAATTTTTGTATTTTTTAGTAGAGATGGGGTTTCACCATGTTGGCCAGGCTGGTTTTGAACTCCTGGCCTCAGGAGATCCACCCACCTCGGCCTCCCAAAGTACTGGGATTACAGGCATGAGCCACCACGTCTGGCGTTGTTTTTTGTTTTTTGTTTTGTTTTTTTTTGTTTTTTTTTTTACAGAAACTCAAACTCGAGATGTAATTTATATAACATAAAATTTCCCATAATACAAAACCCACCATTTTAAAGTATACAATTCGGGGCCTTTTAGTCTACTTACAAAATTGTACAACCAACACCATCATCCAATTCCAGAACATTTTCATCATCCCCAAAAGGAACCCCATACCTTTTAGCAGTCACTGCTAATTGTCCCTTTTCCATAGCCCCATAAACTAATATACTTTCTGTCTCTATGGATTTGCCTATTCTGAACAGTTCATATAAGTGGATCACACAGTGTGTGTGTGGCCTCTTTCTCCTTTTAATTAGCATAATGTTTTCAAGTGTATCCATGCTGTAGTATGTGTCAGTACTTCATTACTTTTAAGGATGAATATTATTCCATTGTGTGGGTATACTACAAATTTGTTTGCCCATCAACTGATAGATATTGGTATTGATTCCATTTATTTCTTGCTTGCACAGAGCCTCAAGGTCAACTAGGGTCTTCTCAGATCTTTCCTGAGCATAGGGACAGCCCTATGCATAGGTGTGGCCTTCTAGACTTCCAAGAATAAGTTAGAGTTTTCCAAGCCCTGCAGACATCTCATTGTCTAGCTTTTCCTTTTAAGCTTTTTGGTTAGTCTATTGTTTTTATCAACTTTTATACATCACTTAAGGCAGTGTCTGTATTAAAACACCTGCAGGTAAATGTCTTTAACGAGTGCTCCCACCCTCAGAGGCATTGAGCACTGGTGCAAGTTTTGAGGCAGGTGAAACTTCCATGTGGTCTGCAAATTTATCAGTTTCCAGAAAACAATCACTAAGTTATCACTTATCCCAGCCCGTTAATCTCCCTGTGCTGCTAGAATCCCGTTGCCTCCTCTCCCCGTCCTGCTGAAGCAGGTGCAATGACAATGTTCGTCATTTAGGCAGTGAGGTTTAACCAGTCATTTTATATTTTGTGACTGGTCTAAGGTTTCTGAGTGAAACTCGATTGCTCTGTATTTGTCACAAAAGAGTAATACAAAGACTCTGGTTCATGAGGGCTAAGAATGATGTCTGTTGGGCATGGATGTCTAGAACTCCCACTGAGTTCCTGGATCATCCGACCTCATTCATTCTACTCCTACTGTCACCGGTAGAGGGTTGTGACTGCAAGTTGTCCAGGTTCTTGGCGTTTTGAACAAAGAATTGGACAACATGCCCAGCAAAGGAAAGAAAGAACGAAGTAAAAAAAGAATGAAAGCAGGGATTTATTGAAAATGAAAGTACACTCCACAGTGTGGGAGCGGACCCAAGCAGCTGTTCAAGGGCCCGGAGACAGAATCTTCTTGGGTCCAAACACCCGCTAGAAGTTTCCCATTGACCACTTTATGCTCACCTTATGTAAATGAAGTGGTAGCCAGCGATCAGTCTGTTTGGTTGCAGAAAGCAGCCAACCAGGGACTGAAATGAAGTTACGAAGGTCACACTCCTGTCCAAACATCTGATTGGTTGCAAAGAGCAGCCAATCAGAGGCTAGGGTGAAGTTACAAAGTTATATACTTCTACACAAATGAAGACTCCACCTGCAATCAGTCTGACTGGTTGTGGACAGCAACCACTCAGAGACTGGAGTGAAGTTACAAAGCTGCAAACAAAGACTCTACCCACACTCAGTATGATTTGCTGCGGACAGCCAGTTTCCCATCTGCCGGGCAGAAAAGGCCAAAGGGAGTAGTAACCTCTGGTCCTTTTGTTACTTAGGCATGGAAAGTTAGGGTTTTCCTTCCTATTTAGTTCTAGGAAGTCGACGTGAAACAGCCTTAGGTTCTCTGCCTCCAGACTCTATTCTCCTGCCTCACTACCATGTACATTGTTGTGAGGAGCTTCATGAAGAAATGAGGCTCCAGGCAGACTTGCAGATGAAGGCAAAGTTACTTGCCTGGGGGAGGTGGTATATTAGTGAGGCAAGCATAAATTGGTGGTGGCAATCACATTTCCTGGGCTCCTAGGCAAAATTATGAAATGTCTTCTCATGCAGAAAGTCTCTTCTCCTCTCCTCTGGCTTCCCACCCTCATTTGGCATCCCACTTCCTGGAGTGTCAACGATTCTTGCCCACTTGAATTTGCTGTCTCAGCATACCATGTTCTAAGCTTTTTTCCCTTTCCTTCTAGCCATTAAAATCTCTCTATCTTATTCCCCTATCATATCAGATAACTAGGCTAGGTGCTAACATATACCAAGATGATAATCACTGAAAGAGATTGCTGTTATTTCTTCTAGGTCACATATTTGACTTTTAATAGTAACTTTCAATCTTTAACTTGAAGGTGTAACCAATGAAAATTCCAGGAAAAACAGCAAGGTTTGTGGGCTAGATACTTTATAGCTATCATTTGTGACCTTTCAACTCTGTAACAGATACTTTAAATTCATAGTCCATTCAATCTTCATGACAACCCTATGAAGAAGGTATTATTTTCCCTGTTTTTATAGATCATAAGCCTTGTTGCTCATGAGAAATAAAAATAAAATCCTAAGTCCTTCAAAAAACTGAATAGACTCCCTCTTGGCCAAGGGGACCCCAGATAAACCTTAAAAACTGAGCTCCTAGCCATGACAAGATGGGAGGTCAGACACATCCCAGTATGCCCCTTCGTTATTAACCTTTAACCAGAATTCTTTCCTAGAGTAAGCAGAAATCAGCTCTAGAAAACAAGAAAGGGATGACTCCTTCCTTTATTACCTTTAGCCAATTATCTGAGGCCGTGACAGGACTCTCTCCCTCTCTTTGCAGTTTTGACATGATAACTCACCAGTTTTACAATGTATTCCTTCCTAATAAGAGACCACCAACCATGGAGTGGTTCTGGCATCAACAGAGGGTGCACAGTGAGGGTTTACATGTTCTGTGCTTTACCTTTTGATATTAGAAAGTCAAAAACTGCACCTTTGGATCATTCTAATGCCATCTTTTTTTTTTTAAAATTTTACTTTAAGTTCTGGGATACATAATGCAGAACATGTAGGTTTATTACATAGGTATACATGTGCCATGGTGGTTTGCTGTATCTATCGACCCATCATCTAGGTTTTAATCTCAGCATGCATTAGGTATTTGTCCTAATGCTCTCCCTCCCCTTGCCCCTCACCCCCCAACAGGCCCCGGTGTGTGATGTTCCCCTCCCTGTGTCCATATGTTCTCATTGTTCAACTCCCACTTATGAGTGAGAATATTCAGTGTTTGGTTTTATGTTCCTGTGTTAGTTTTCTAAGAATGATGGCTTCCAGCTTCATCCATGTCCCTGCAAAAGACATGAAATCATTCTTTTTTATAGCTGCATAGTATTGCATGGTGTACATGTGACACGTTTTCTTTATCAAGTCTATCATTGATGGGCATTTGGGTTAGTTCCAAGTCCTTACTATTTTAAATAGTAATGCCATCATTTTTTGAACATGCCACCCATGAAGAGGCATGGAGCTCAATTGTGCCTGTGCATATTACTCCTTTCATAAATATTCATGATTTCTCCTATAGTTTATTGAATATGTATGCTTAGCCAAGCTGTTCAGCATAAATTCCTGTCTTATGCCTACCCCGACCACCACCAAAGTGCCATTTTCCAGCTTCTGGCTGGAGGCTACACTTCCCAGCCTGTCAGAATGGCTACCTTGCAGGCTACAACCGTTTATGAGAAATAAAGATCTCCTTTCCAAAATTATGACTTCATCATTCTTCAGCTGACACTTATAAGGATGAGGGGATAGAGGCAGGAAAAGGCAGAGCTGTGATTTGAACCTGGGTAGACCTGATTTCAAAGCCTTAAGTACCCTTCCTACCACAGCTCCCTAGCTGGAGGCAATTCAGGATGAACAGCTCATGTTAGTGATAATGTGGTAGGAATTCATGTTTTTAACTTCACTGTATCCCATTTTATTTCTAGTCAGATATGTAATCTCTTCCAAGTCAAGAATTTCTTTCTTTAATTTTTTTTTCTCTTTCTGGATTTCAAATGATCATTTCCCCTCATTTTTGGGCTGAACTGACAAGAGAAACTTCAGGTCTTTCTCTTTAGATGGCCTAAATTGCTCAGAAACGAGAGAGAAACAATAAAAACCACTGTTCTGCTGGAAATTGTACTTTCAAAAGTCTTAAAATGATGGAAGGTTTCATAGCCACATGTCCCAGAGCTGGGTTCTGGATGAAATGAAGGGGCATAAATATCACCATGGTCTCAATGGAAAGGTGGGAAAAGACTTTTATACCCATATTTTCCCCTTCATATGTTGTTGTGGGACTCAGGAAGAAAGACACAATGTGCCTTGAAAGGGAGGCATGTGAGCTCCGGGAATGATGTGTATGAGCACTCAGATCTTAAGGAAACACCACATTGAGAATGTAGTGGGCATGGGTCAGGAAATTCTGAGCTCTGGCTTCTGCTGCAGGAAGAACAGCTAGCTCCTGATTACTTGTGAACAGGTCAGACCACCTGGCTTCTTCTCCTACCACGTATCCAGTTCAGCAAGAAAACAGCGGCAGGTGGCCTAGAAATAAATTGTTTTCTGCCTCTTTGTCCCACATGTTGGTGAAACAGGCCCAAGCAGAGAGGGATTAAATGTTTGAATTTAATTCTATGGTTCTTAGAAATAAAAAGCCAAATTTGGATAATAATTGCTTGCATATTAGTTATGACTTTTCTTTCATCTTCCTCTGACTGATGTAGGTGATTAAGTTGGCCAAACACAATCTCAATTTCCACATTAGGTTTGAAGTAGTCTAAAGACACACATCTGGGTGGGTATAGAGATTATGTGAACTTCAGTCATATTCTGCAAATGTTCCCATAATCCATGTTGTCAGTGTATAGGTTATAATGATCTTTTTGCATTTATAGGACCTTTTATATTTCTTTATTTATTTATTTATTGCAAATTTATTTTCAGCTGAAAATTTTATTCATTTATTTAGAGATGGGGGGGTCTTACTATGTTGCCCAGGCTAGTCTCAAACTCCTAGACTCAAGTGATCTGCCCACCTCAGCCTCCCAAAGTGCTGAGATTACAGGCATGAGCCACCACATTCAGCCCATTTACAGGATCTTATTTCCTTTTTTTTTTTTTTAATATTTTCATCCTAATCCATTATCCTTTATGAGTGAACAGTATCTCCTGTATAATTAGACTGTGCAGAGGGAAGAAGAGTTACTCAAAGGTTCAGGTAAGTGAGTTGCCTAACACCGGTGAGGACATTGAGACCCAGTGAGAGAGACCCGCACAGTGCTCAGCCCGTTTTGGAGTTGAATATCAGTCCATATTGTTTGACTTTCACAAAAACAGTGGTTACTAGACCTCAGGTTATTGGCAAGAAGTAAATACAAGGCGTGACAATGCATCTGAACAAAGTTAGAATTTGTTGGCTGTGGTGAAATCTGAGGGCAAAATCAAGCTCCCATCTTGTTCCCCTGACTAAAGCCACTGAAAATAGTTCCTCATTGTGGTTTCTGAGATCCAAAGAAAAGACAGCTCCAAGTGGTTTATTACACAAGGTTCAGAAGGCTTATGGGCATCCAATGGTTCCCACCAAGTTGGATTTTGATGGGTTAAATGTGGGCAAATCAGAAACATAAGAATTAAATTTCCTTTCCAATACACATGGGTTTTAAGTGAAGGGAAAAAGGTGCTTCGGGCACAATGCATTTATTTGCCAAGCCCCAAACATTCAAAAAATGGTTCAATATGTCCCAGTACATCCAGCCAGCTGCCCAGTCTCCCCTCTTTCTGGAAGTGATTGTCTACATATGCACACTGATAGGTGCACAGAAAGTGATGTTATATCTTCTGCAATTTAAGTTTTTGACCATCTAGTCTCTGATACAGATTATTCTAAATTCTCAGATGATGTAGCGATGGAGGTATAGTGGTCTTTCCCCAAAAATATGACACAAAGCTTCCTCAACCCCTTACCCAATGTCTGGTCAAATACATGTCCTCATGACATGAAGGAGATTTTGTATTTACCAAGAGCCAATGTCTCAAATATTTAGGTCAAAATCATTTACTTTGTTGCCTGTTTACATGTGGTAGCATATTAATGACAAATTTTTGATTTTAGTCGAGACCAACAAATGGTGAAAATGTGGCTCAGTTTCTCTGGAATCTAAATGAATTAGGCTAAAGAGAGGGGAAGAAAGGGGAACAAGAATATAAGTCAGGAGGCTGCTTTGGACATCTGGGGGTAAAGAAATGGAAGAAAGGAGGAATGGGAGAAATGGGCAAAATAGGCTATGAAACTAAAGGAAAGATGGAATCTTAAGGAACCTTTGCAACATGGAATCAACCTAAATGCCCATTAATGATAAACTGGATGAAGAAATTGTGGTACATATATTAATACACCATGGAATACTATGCAGCCATAGAAAAGAACCAGATCATGTCCTTTGCAGGGACATGGATGGAGCTGGAAGCCATTATCCTTAGCAAATTAATGCAGCAACAGAAAACCAAATACCACATGTTCTCACTTATAAGTGAGAACTAAATGATAAGAAGAACACATAGACAGAGGAACAACACATATTGGGATCTATCAAACTCCCATCTTGCTCCCCTGACTAAAGTCACTGATAATAGTTCCTCATTGTGGTTTCTGAGATCTAAAGAAAAGACAGCCCCAAGTAGTTTATTATACAAGGTTCAGAAGGCTTATGGGCATCCAATGGTTCCCACCTTGTCGGATTGAGGGTGAATGGAGGGTGGGAGGAGGGAGAGGATCAGGAAAAATAACTAATGGGTACTAGGTTTTATACTGGGGTGATGAAATAATCTGTACAACAAACCCCTATGACATAAGTTTACCTATGTAATAAACCTGTACATATACCCCCGAACCTAAAATAAAAGTTAAAAACAAAAACAAACAAACAACAACAACAAAAAAAGAAAACTTTTCTGAGTCTACATGTCCTGTGGAAACCAGATGGGAACAAATGGTTCTACCAATCTAATTTGTTTGGGCTAATTTGGGTGAGGAAAAGTAAGGACGGGAATTTATTGTTCCTTTTTCAGGTGGATTGACAGGCTAAGTATGGTGTATCCCAAGCAACAAACTGATTACATCTGAATCTACTGTGGTCATTCTTGCCCACTCCCTGTGGTGTTGGCAGAGTTTAGCTATGAAGAATATGGGACTAAAGGAGGGAGAAGATGCTTTCAAGTTGATGCTGGCAACTGGGCAAATTGAGGTGTCATTGCAGGAGATGGAGAAAGGGGGTGAGATTATGATAGACAAAGAGGATGTCTTGAAGAATACTATCAACTCCACAGATTTATTTTGGAGTTGTATAAATATTGGTACTAGTTTTAAAAATTGTTGTAATTTAAGTCATATAAATAGATGAAGTAGCCTAAATCTATATTTTGCTTTTTAAGAATAGTACAACTCTCTTGCTATAATTAGGGTAGTGTAGATAAAATCTCAGAAAATTACATTTTTATGGCTACCTTTATCTCTATGTTTCTGCCTCCCTTGGAATGTTACTCCCTTCTGTTTCTTGTGATTTCCTTTAACTTCCATCTATTCACTGAAACATGAAGTATGCTTCTTTAAAAAATTTTAATAAAAAAGTATGCTTCTTTTAAAATTTAATGACAAAACATTTATACGAGGCCTGCTTCTCCCTCAGATTTTCATAAAATCTTCTACATATAGAGGGTATTTGAGGATATCTCTTTGCTGTTAATATTAAGGTCTAAGCTTTACTTTGTAGGCCAAAGGCTCAGCCATAGCTTTAAGACGACTACTTAAATAAGACCTGATTAAGTTCCTTAATGAGAAGCTGTTTTCTTCCCATGTCTCTCTCCAAATAGGGGAAAAGGGGGTGGGATTGCCACTGTTCTAGTCACAGAAATTAATGCAGATGGATATGTATTAAACTCAAGTGATGCTGTGGCTAAGGGGTGAGGAAAGAACAAGAACTGAAGAAGTCAGAGGACATTAGTGAAAAGAGAGGATAATTGGAAAAGACGAATGGTGGAGGTTAGGATGGCATAACTTTCAAGAAGGAGGTGAGCACCAGGGCATCAGGTACTGTGACGAATAGCATGAGAGAAATAGAATCCCAGAGGTCTTTGGTAGACATACCAGTGTCCGCACAGCTCATTCCACATGTTGCTTTCCAATGAATAGGTGTCCATCTGGGAGAGGCCAAAGCTGGAGTGTGATAGGTGAGTGTCCGTAAAACTCAGAGGTGAAAAGTGATTGCTACCATCACCTCCATTCTGAATGATAAAATAGGCAATAAATTTGTTAGGCTGGGAAATGATGCCAAACTGAAAGGCTGGAAAAAGGAAAAGGTAACAGGAATAGATGACTCAATTATAAAAATGTTTGGGATTAAAAAAAAATAAGGCAAGGGCTTGGTGGTCCATTGGGATAGAAAATCAAACTAAGTTCCTCAAACATCCCAAATATTCCTCGTCTGATCAAAGTGCAATGACAAAGCATTCATTAAGCCCCAAAAATGTACCAGAAGCTGTATTAGGTGCTGTCAAATATGATAATTTAACTCATGATTGAAACAAGTCTATAAGAAAGGTTTTATGATTTTTCTGTTTGACAGTTGAGGAAGTTGAGCGTCTGAAACTTGTGACTTCCCCAAGATAACACAGGCTATGAATGTCAGAGCTGGAGCTGGAATGTGGAGTGTATGAGTCCAAACCCTGTTTCTCAACCACATGACACTTCTACTCTTTTGTGTAAAGGACATTTCTGTCGTGCTACTAAAGAATAATGAGCTTTTCAGGAAGAGAGAAAATCAGAGGACTGGACATATGAAAATTCCTACAGTGGCTTAGGGCTGCTTATTTTTCTCAAGACCATTATTTCTGAGTTTTATTATTGGTTTTCATACCGTTTAACTGTATAACCATAGACAAATCATGTAGCAATTGAGGTCTCTGTTTTTTGGTCTATAAAATGAAAGGATTGAACTGGCCCTTGAGCCCTTGACACTCTGACATATCTGCAAGGGTCTCTAGAGTTGCTCTGATCTGCCACCTTTGAGTCTGTGGTGTTTTAGAGGGAAGAAACCAGAAGACAAAGGACGGACAGGAGCCCAGACTTGTCCCTGGGACAACTGGGCAGTGAGTGAGTTAGTGAAGCTTTATTCCTCATTTCCTCTTTGACTCTTCAAGTCCCTATTGTGCATCCATACCCAGGGGTCCTTGTCAGTTACCCCTCAGTTCATTCCCCCAAAAGTTTGTCCACATGAGTTTAAAATGTTACCTTTTCCCTGGAGCATTTACTCTTTAACAGTTGACTTTAATGAGTAGAGATTAAAAAATTTTTTTTAAAAAGTGAATGGATTTTTTAAATGCCAGTTCCACTACCGTGTTTAACAATGGAATTGGAACTTCAGAAGAAGATGGAGTCATTGGAAAAAGACCAGATCTTAGTCTGAACTGGAGGCAGATGAGGAAGCCCCGGAGCCTGCTGGGAGCACCTGCTAAAGGGCTACTGGTTGGAATACAGCTTTACCATGCTATCAGCTGTGGCTCATGACTACTCTGCCTTGTGTATTCCTCATCTGCTGGGGCTTCCACACCTAGCAGGTCATTGGAAATGAAAGGGGTAGATGGGGTAGATGGGATAGATGTGCAGTCAGTCCAATTAGCTCCAGATCCTGGTTGTGCTACTTACTATTTGTGTAATCTTTTCGAGTTACTTTGCAACTCTCAGCCTTAGTTTTCTCATCTGTCAAATGGGAGTGAGTCAGATGATTTTATAAAGCACTCAGCATCATGTTTGCCATGTGCAAAGCATATAGGGGAGTGGTTAAAAGCAGAGTCTGGGGCCAGAAAACCTCCTCATTTATTAGTAAGTTGCTTAAACTCCCTGTGCCTCAGTTTCCTCACCTGAAAATATGGCGAGTAAAGACACTAACCCATGAAGTTGTCAAGATTAAATGTGTTAAAATGTGTAAAGTGGTTAGTTAGAACAGTGCCTGCAAATGGTAAATGGTGTAAAAGTGTTTGCTGTCATTGCTATTATGACCATGGAGTTTGCCTCTGCTACCCATCTTGGGGTAGGAAAACAGTCAGTTAGTTTTTTTTTAAATCATGATTAGCTTACAGTCAACCTGTTAAAGGAACAGTCCATTTTGTTTGTTCAATTTGTATCACACGAAGATAAACAATGGGTCTCCCCATCTTCACATGCTAGGGAAAGGAGAGGAGAAAGGCTTGGAACTCTTTCCCCGTATGAGATTGCAAGTGAGTCACAGTCTCTAACAGTCCACCACCCTCTCCTCCTTGTACACGAGCCACAGAGCAGGAGTCCCAGCGGTTCCCACCACCCTCTGAGGTTGCTCTTTGCCTCGTCACAGCTCCCAAGTTGATTTAAATTACAGCTCTGCAGCAGGCACGCAGCTTTGAGGGCATCCCTAAGTTGTCCGCTGAGTGGTGGTGGGAGGTCTGAGCTGGGGGAATACGGATACAATCTGCAAGTCAGCCGCTCTGAGGCATCAACAACTCTCAGAGAGGCCTGCGGTCTGAG